>NC_000004.12:147046381-147671381 GCF_000001405.40 Homo sapiens | reverse complement strand
GCAGAGTTCTGTGGACGAGGCTTTTTCTAAGACTCAGGCAGTGGGTAAAGCAAGAGAAGTGATAAGAGAGGCACAGTCAACATATAGGAGGCAAACATGGATGATGCAGTATCATAGAAGGTAGAGATAGATTTTGAGAAGGAGGGCTCTCTCCTGCAATCAGTGTTATTTGGAGATAAAAAAATGATAACTGAGAAAGAGGATTCATTTTGATAAGTAGGGAGTTATTGATGGTAGAGAATATTTTTATAGACTGTTGGAGTTGGAAGTCTTCTTGCTTGGCATTAAGGAAGAGACTGATAAAGGTAATGGGTGTGAACCACTCTTAAAGATGTAGGCAATGAAAAAATAGCCTGGAGAGAGAACAAGGCCAAGTGAAGTTTGTCATTCCCCACCTCCCCCCACCCTCCATCTTCCAAACCAAGGAGAAGGAGCCAGTGGAGAACAAAGGAGCTTAAGGAACATTCGAGTAAAGTTCCTCAAGATTCAGTAGTAGATCTTAAAAATGAAATGTATTAGGATATATTACATATGGACTGTTTCTATAATATACTCTTCCTTTCTCCTCTCAGCTTTGACATCTTTATATAATAGCATGATATTTTACTTACATATATCTTTAAAAAATCATTCTATAGAGTGTCCCTAGTTGTAACAGAAACTGTCGATGCAGGTTTATTTGGAGAAGGAATTGTGGAGAGTTTGATTCATGCATGGGAGCATTTACTTTTACAGCCAAAGGTAAGCAGTATGAAAATACTTACAACTGATTAAGAATTCGTTATTTCATCAGAGATTTATTGAATCCTTAGTATATTTACAAAACAATATGAAATATATTTTCCATTGCCAAGGTGTACATACTGTGTGGTTGGAAAGAAATCTATGCAAAAAACTTTTACTGGCCGGGTGCAGTGGCTCATGCCTGTAATCCCAGCACTTTGGGAGGCCAAGGTGGGTGGATCACCTGAGGTCGGGAGTTCGAGACCAGCCTTACCAACATGGAGAAACCCCATCTCTACTAAAAATACAAAATTAGCCGGGTGTGGTGGCGCATGCCTGTAATCCCAGCTACTTGGGAGGGTGAGGCAGGAGAATCGCTTGAACCCGGGAGGTGGAGGTTGCAGTGAGTTGAGGTCACGCCATTGCACTCCAGCCTGGGCAACAAGAGCGAAACTCCGTCTCAAACAAAACAAAACAAAACAAAACAAAACAACATAAAAACATTTACTAACAACATGATTCAATGTATAATTATGTGCCTGAATGAGATATACAGGCAAAAATACTCCAGGGAAGAATTCATAGGAATTGAGATTACTTTATGGACGGACTGACTATGGAATTCTTGAGTAGGGTTGAAAAACGGAGGTACTTTCAGTCTTACAGACCTCACTGCCTAGAATTTTGGCAAATTATCAGAAGGGAGTATAGTAATAGCTGGTTTGGTTCTGTTTTCAGGTACCTGTTGAACCCAGGCTATGGCTTGGACAGGACTATTATAATTGCCAAATTATATTTTGCATTGAAATCCTCTATTGTAGCCCACAAATCATTGATTTGGTTTATATGATATGTGTTATCAATGAAAGGATTTTAATATGTAATAAAAATTCAATATTAACAGAAAATTATTTGGATTTAAAATTGCTAGTTAAAGGTTGAAAAGAGCAGTTTTTTTTTTTTGAAGTAGCAACAGGGTTTCACCATGTTGGCCTGGCTGGTCTTGAACTCCTGGCCTTAAGTGATCCACCTGCCTTGGTCTCCCAAAGTGCTGGGATTGCAGGTGTGAGCGAACGCTCCTGGCCAAGCAATTTATTTTTTAAGTAGGTATTGATACTGATTTCTTGATCAAAGTCATACCCAAGTCTTTTTTTCTATGCAGACTTACAGTCCTTTCCCCCCCATCCTCCCTCTTTTCTTGTATCCTTTGCATTTGTATTGTGAGAAAAAAATATATATATTCATACATATATAGCAATGAAAATACTTATTCTGTTTTTTTGAGATGGGGTCTCACTCTCTTGCCCAGGTAGGAGCACAGTGGCACGTTTTTTAGCTTACTGCAGCCTCAAACTCCCGGGCTCAAGTGGCCCTCCCACCTCAGCCTCGCAATGTCACCACACTTGGCTAATTAAAAAAAACATTTTTTTTCTGTAGAGACAGGGTCTTGCTATGTTGCCTAGGCTGGTCTCAAACTCCTGGCCTCAAGTGGTCCTCTCTCCTTGGCTTTCCAAAGTGCTGGAATTGCAGGTGTGAGCTGCCAGGCCTGGCCAAAAATACTTTTTTTTTTTTAAAGATGGAGTCTTGCTCTGTAGCCCAGGCTGGAGTGCAGTGGCGTGATCTCGGCTCACTGCAGCCTCTGCCTCCTGGGTTCAAGCGATTCTCCTGCCTCAGCCTCCCAAGTAGCTGGGACTACAGGCGCGTGCCACCACGCCCAGCTAATTTTTTATGTTTTTAGTAGAGATGGGGTTTCACCGTGTTAGCCAGGATGGTCTTGATCTCCTGACCTCGTGATCCGCCTGCCTTGGCCTCCTAAAGTGCTGGGATTACAGGCGTGAGCTACAGTGCCCAGCCCAAAAATATTTTTTAAGGAAGAAAAAAAAACCTTTAACTTACTTTATCCTTACTTATTGTCTTTTTAGGTTTTTTAAATTATATTTTCATAGCTTATCATTATGCACACACATTTTTACATACATGTGATAACATAATTCTTATTGTTATTTTTTTTAGACCAAAGGTGAAAGTGCTAATTGTGAAAAGTATGGGAAAGTTATACCAGCAAGTGCTGTTATATTTGGGATGGCAGTAGAATGTGCAGAGATAAGAAGACATCATAGGTAAGTGTATTAGTCCATTTTCACACTGCTATAAAGCACCTCCCAAGATTGGGTAATTTATAAAGGAAAGAGGTTTAAATGACTCACAGTTCTGAATGCTGAGGAGGCCTCAGGAAACTTACAAACATGGCAGAAGGGGAAGCAGGCACGTCTTATATGGCAGCAGGCAGGTTATGGGGGGCAGAGAGAGAGAGAGAGACAGCACGAGACCACGTGGGTGAGTGTAGGAAAAACTACCATTTGTAAAACCATCAGATCTTGTGAGAATTCACTCCCTATCATGAGAACAGTGTGGAAGAAACCGTTCTCATAATCCAGTCACTTCCCTCCCTCAACTTGTGGGGATTACAATTTGAGATGAGATTTGGGTGGGGACACAGAGTCAAACCATATCAGTAAGTGACTATTTAAATAGTAAATATTGAAAAATAGTAATTATAAAGAGAATATTACAGAGGTTAGTTAGTGAATATGTATTTGGGTGAGGATTTGTAGTTTTGTGACCTTTAAATTCATGCTGCTTACACTGGTCTTATTTTTTTTTTTGCCTATTTTAAATGAAACTTCATGGTTAAAGCCAGTTTTTTTTTAATGGAAAATTAATTTTGATACAACTTAGGACTCTAGTTGTGATATATTCATGTAGAAAAATATTAAGTTCTGACTGATTTTAGGTGAAGTTGGAATGAAAGATTCCACTGTGAAAATAAATTTTGGTCTAATTACTTCAATTTCCCTTTTCTTAATAATTTCACTAATACTGTAATGATTTGTAGTTGGGCTGGATGGAATTTTAGGATCTTTCTAAGCTTCTTCCAATAACTTAATCGTAAATGTAGCATATAAATATTTTAGGACATACTGATAAGTGGTTTGAAAAAAATGAAAACCACTGTGAACCCCTCACCAGTAAGTAACTACTTTTCATCTTTGTTATATATTCCTTTACTCTTTTTCTTTGTATGTTACAGGGAGATAGTAAAAATGTTTAGAGATTGGTAGGACACAGGGCACTAACCAGACAGTGGACTTAATTAGCAGATTGGCTGAATTAGAATGTACTGGTTGAATATTAGTTCCATTTAAGTAAATGTAGGTGTGTGTAAATTTAATTTTGTTTAAAAACTCAGTAAATATATTTGCTTTTCCTTTGTGAGCCTTTTCATGTAATAGATTTGGTTCATGACTTTAAAAAATCAACTTCTTGGTGTTGTAGTTACTGGAGTTTAGAATTTTTGGATTGCTTCCACTTTTCTGCTTTTAAGAAGTAGGATAAACATCTTTGCACTTATGTCTTGTGGACTTGTTTCTATTATTTTCTTAGGATAAATTCCTTAATAAGGAATTACTGGGTTAAAGAATATGTACAGTTTTCAGGCTGTAGGGATGCCTTACTGCATTGCCCACCAGAAAAGCTAGGTTGTGTCTTGCTGAGATTTCTTGCTGTAACATGGCTGGACCCCTTCCCTCAATAGTTCCTCTTTAGGAGACCACTAATATTGTTTGTCTAAGCAAAGGAGAAATTAAATGGCTGGTATCTACATTTTGAAAAAGAATAACTTTATTATTGACTCACTTATTTAGCAAATGAGTGCCTGATTACAGTAGAAGCACCATAGGAGCTTTTGTAAAAATAAAAAGGGTTTACAGTTTGATTGAATAGGTGTAGGTCTGGATGAATGAGGCCAATATCTTTTTTTTTTTTTTTTTTTTTTAAACAAAGTTCAGCATTATGGGTTGAGGACTATGAAGAAAGGTGTTGACAAAATAAATGTGAGTGCTACTGTTTTACCTGGTAGAAACATTTATAAATCATTATTATAAAAATTGCCATTTGGCACCTAATCAGCTGAATTTAATGCTCTTCTCAATAAGCAAATGTTTAAGAATATCCAAGGAAACTAAACTTGCCTTATTAGATATAAAAACCTAGAAGTAAAAAACAGCAATGTATTGATGCAGAAAGACAAATACATCAGTGGAACACAATAAAGAATCTAGATACAGACCTTTGAATTTATATGGATTTAGTATATGATACAGGTGTGATATTTCAGATCATTGGGGGAAGGGATAAACTATTCAGGAAATGGAAATGGTGTGCTTCATTTGGGGAAAAAAGTTAGATCCCTACTTTTAATTCTGGGTGAGTTAAACATCTGAGGGCCAAAAAATCTATTTGATGGAGACCTTCCAAAGCAAAACACAGAGTAGGGCCCAGAAGCCACAGAACATTGACAAATGTGACCACATTTTAAAACAATTGAAAAAAATCTATCTGGTGAAGGATACTATAAAGTTAAAAAACAAGTGACAGACTGAGATAAATATTTGCAACTTTTATAACAAAGCATGAATATAATTGTCTATTAATCAGAGAAATGGAAATTAAAACCAATGGGATAACAATTTCTAACTGCTTATGTTAGCACATTAAAGTTGTTTGATATCTTATTTTCTCATAGGTTTATGGAAAATTTATACACTGTTAGTGCAACATTTTAGTAGCTTGATTTGGCCTTTTCTAGCAACACTAAAGATGTTTGTGTCCTTGATCTAGCATTTCCGTGTCTGGGAATCTATCCTGATAAATACTCATACATGTGTGCAGTGATGTGTGTACAAGGATGTTCACTATAATACTGTAATTGGAAAAATCAAAGCAAACAAATTATCTGAATGTTTATATTAGTAAGAAAGTATTTCAATAAATTATGATGTAACAGTCACCTAATGTAGTATTATGCAAAAAAATGGTTAAGGTACATGTATAGACAAGGAAGGAAGTTTATGGCATACTATTAAGTGAGAAAGACAAGGCATAATCTTAGGAGCAGTGAGCATACCTAGAACCCAGATCTTGGTTTTTAAATACCATTTCTCACCAAAAGGAACTATAGCTTCTTGGAGCAATGGCTGATTCCAGTACTGGGGTGGAATAGATTCAATATGATTCTGGGGCATCCTGTATTAGAAAGTGAGGAAGTGCTCAAAAAGGGATTTGGTGGGGGAAAGGGGAGCAAAAGGACACAGCAGCATGCTTGAAGACTCTCCCACTGGCCAAATCTGGGACAATTTAATCACCAAAATAAATAAGGGCCCTAATGGATTGAAACCCACTGAATAAGAATCCCTGAATTTCTATGTATCTTAAGCAGATTAATAAATACATAAATGGGGATAAAAGTACAGCTCGTCCTTACAGTAAATGCCAACTAATAGTATAGAAAAAATGAGGCAGAATTAGTTTTTGGAAGGCAAGAATCATCAATAGATCCTAAATCAATGGAGGGAAATCTGATGAGGATCAGGGCATTTATATAGTTTCAAAGTATCTTTCAAATTACGACAAAAGGAAAGATTGTAAGTATATAGGGAAGAAGCCAGACAACATCTTTTTTTTTTTTTTTTTTTGTTTAGACAGAGTTTCGCTCTTGTTTCCCAGGCTGGAATGCAGTGGCGCGATCTTGGCTCACTGCAACCTCCACCTCCCATGTTCAAGTGATTCTCCTGCCTCAGCCTCCCAAGTAGCTGGGATTACAGGCATGCCTGCCACCATGCCCGGCTGATTTTTTGTATTTTTTTTTAGTAGAGAGGGGTTTCATCATGTTGGCCAGGTTGGTCTCGAACTCCCGACCTCAGGTGATCTGCTTGCCTCGGCCTCCCCAAGTGCTGGGATTACAGGTGTGAGCCACTGTGCCCGGCCTGTTTTTTTAAAAAATTTAATTTAATTTAATTTTACTTTAAGTTCTGGGATACATGTGCAGAACATGCAGGTTTGTTACATAGGTATACATGTGCCATGGTGGTTTGCCGCACCTATCAACCCATCATCTAGGTTTTAAGCCCCGCATGCATTAGTTATTTGTCCTAATGCTCTCCCTCCCCTTGCCCCTATCCCCCAACAGGCCCTGGTGACCACACAACATCTTAACCAAGTGATTAAAGCTAACATCAACAGTAAGATTGCTCCAGATTTGATGCTTTGAGGATGCATTGCTTATATAGTACCACATCCAAAATGTACAGCCTGCAATCTAATTGTGAGAAAACCTTGGACAAACCCTAGTTGGGACCATTCTGTAAAACAATTGGCCTACCTTCTTAAAAAATGTCAGTGACATGAGAGACAAAGCAAAGATGAAGAACTGTTTAAGATGAAAGGAGATTAAAGAGACAGGACAGCTAAATTGAAACTATGACCTGTATTGGGGAAAAAAACTATATATGTATATTTTGATCTTGCTGTGTTGCCCTGGTTGGAGCACAGTGGCTCAATCATGGCTCACTGCAGTCTTGACCTCCCAAGCTCAAGTGATCCTCCTACTTCAGCCTCCTGAGGAGCTGCCAACCACAGGTGTGCACCACTATGTCTGCTTAATTTTTTAAAGTTTTATAGAGACAGGGTCTTGCTGTCTTGCTGTGTTGAACTCCTGGACTCAAGGGATCCTTCTGCCTTAGCCTCCTAAAGTGCTTGGATTACAGGCATGAGCCACTGTGCCCTGCCTGCATTATTGATTTTTGATTCAGTTGACAAATACAGAATATGAACTGTAGGTTAGATAATACTGAATTTGATTGCTGTGATTAAGAGAATATTCTCATTTTTAATAAAGATACACAAGTATCTTTTGAGAGATAAATAGGCATGATGAATATAACCTACTCACAAATGATACAGAATGTTTCAGTAATGTACAAATAGAGTGTTATATACAAATATTAAAAAAAGGTATGGAAGGATACACATTAAACTTTTAACAGTGAAGAAATGAGAGGACGAGTACTGTGAAGGTGGACTTTTTACCATATGGCTTGAAGTTTTGACAATATATATTCACGTAGTTTATAATACATTAGCAAGAAATTGTCTGGCTGGGCGCAGTGACTCACGCCTTTAATACCATGACTTTGGGAGGCAAAGGTGGGCAGATGGCCTGAGCTCAGGAGTTTGAGAGCAGCCTGGGCAACACAGCGAAACCCTGTCTCTATAAAAAATACAAAAATTAGCTGGGCGTGGTGGCATGCACCTGTAGTCCCAGCTACTCAGGAAGTGGAGATAGGAGAATTGCTTGAGCCTGGTAGATGGAGGTTGTTGCAGTGAGCCAAGATCACACCTTTGTACTCCAGCCTGGGCGACAGCATGAGACCTTGTCTCACACACAAAAAATTGTCACATCTTTTTTGTTTCAACTTGTGACTTTTAATTTTGAGTTATTGAAATCATAGTAGGCTGGGCGCGGTGGTTCATGCCTGTAATCTCAGCACTTTGGGAGGCTGAGGCGGGCGGATCATGAGGCCAGGAGATCGAGACCATCCTGGCTAACATGGTGAAACCCCGTCTCTACTAAAAATACAAAAAAGTAGCCAGGCGTGGTGGCAGGCGCCTGTAGTCCCAGCCACTCGGGAGGCTGAGGCAGGAGAATGGCGTGAACTGGGGAGGCTGAGCTTGCAGTGAGCCGAGATTGTGCCACTGCACTCCAGCCTGGGCGACAGAGCAAGACTCTGTCTCAAAAAAAAAAAAAAAAATTATTAGTAGTTCCATTTGCTGATTCATCTTTTGAGAGTGTAATAATCTGTAAAAGTAGATTATTTGAACTTTTGAAATTTTATAAAGGCAAATTCTCTTAAAAAAGTGCCACTGAGATGAGGTAAGGTGAGATGAGGTTGGAGTAGTTTCCTTTTACAAAATGTTTAAATTTTCATTGTAAATTTTCTTTTTTGTTTTTTTTGTTTTTTTGAGACAGGGTCTCGCTCTGTTGCCTAGGCTGGAGTGCAGTGATGTGATCATAGCTCATTGCAGCCTTGAACTCCTAGGCTCAGGTGATCCTCCTGCTTCAGCCTCCCAAGTAACTAGAACTCTAGGCACACACCACCATACCTGGCTATTTTATTTTATTTTACTTAGAAGAATCTTGCTATGTTGTCCATGCTGGTCTTTAACTCCTGGACTCAAGTGATCCTCCCACCTTGGCCTCCCAAAGTACTGGGATTACAGGTGTAAACCACCATGCCTGGCCCAATGTAAATTTTTGTTGACATCAAACATTGTTATAGCAAGTGTGTAAGCCATAAGTTTATGATTTGATGAATTTTCATGAAGTTGATAGACCTGGGTAATCAGTGCTGACATCAAGGACCAGAATATTACCGCTATATAATATAAAGTGTGCAGGAAGAAACCCCATCTCTTTACCAGTGCCCCACTCTCCCTAGAGCACCTACTATCTGACTTCTAACACCGTAGATTAGTGTTGCTTGTTTTGAATTTTATACAAATAGAACCATACAGTGTGACTTGTTTTTGCGTGCCTAGCTTCTTTTGTGTTTAGTTTGTTTATTCTCATTGCGGAATCATACTCCATTATATGACTATACTAGATTTGTCTGTTATATTACTGATAGATGTTTAGGTTATATCAGTTTTTTTTCGCTATCAGAAGCAGTGTAGCTATAAACATTCTTGAACATTCTTTTGGTGATAATATGTATTAATTTCTGTTGACTATATTCTCAGAAGTGGAAATGCCAAACACTGTGAGGTTCCTACATTAAGAATGAATCTGAATAGGTATGCTCAGCTCGAATTGGTACTACAAAGTAGTCTTCCAAAGTGATCTTACTGATTTTATACTCCAATGGTGTATGAGACTGTATCCTTACCATACTTGCTATTGACTACTTGTTTTTTTCCATTCTGTCAGATGCGTAGTATGCATTGTGAATTTTTTTTTTTTTTTTTTTTTTTTGAGATGGAGTCTCGCTCTGTTGCCCAGGCTGGAGTGCAGTGGCGTGATCTCGGCTCACAGCAAGCTCAGCCTTCCGGGTTCACTGCATTCTCCTGCCTCAGCCTTCCAAGTAGCTGGAACTACAGGCGCCCGCCAACACGCCCGGCTAATCTTTTGTATTTTTAGTAGAGACAGGGTTTCACTGTGTTAGCCAGGATGGTCTCGATCTCCTGACCTCGTGATCCACCCGCCTTGGCCTCCCAAAGTGCTGGGATTACAGGCATGAGCCACCGCGCCTGGCCTGCATTGTGATTTTAACTCCATTTCCTGGGTGGCTGTTGAAGCTGAGCACCTTTTCTCATGTGCTTATTGGCCATTTGGATATGTTCTTTGGTGAAGTGTCTAAGTCTTTTGCCCATTTTTGTTTTTTATTGATATGTAGGAATTTTAAAATATATTTTGGACATGAGCCCTTTATTGAATATAGTTATTACAAATATCTTAGTTGCTTGCTTTTTACTTTATTACAGGGTGTTTTTTTTTTTTTTTAGTGAGCAGACATTCTTAATTTTATTATAGACCTATTTATAGTTGTTTTCCTTTATAGTTAGTGGTTTTATATGTGTGTGTATTATGTAGTTATGTTTAAGAAATCTTTGCTCATGAGGTTTTATTTCATTTTTGTATTTTTTTCTGGACTCAGTATTAGATATGTTACTTGATTCTAAAAAAATCCATCTTCCTACCCCTCCCCTATTTTCTCTCTCTCCAGAGTGGGTATTAAGGACATTGCTGGTATCCATTTGCCAACAAATGTGAAATTTCAGAGTCCGGCTTATTCTTCTGTAGATACTGAAGAAACAATTGAACCTTATACAACTGAAAAGATGAGTCGAGTTCCTGGAGGATATTTGGCTTTGACAGAGTGCTTTGAAATTATGACAGTAGATTTCAACAACCTTCAGGTGAAAAAAATTCAGTTACTATTTTCAAGCATTAAATTTCATGCATTGTTTAAAATAATATATAGGACAGACAGTCTTTATTTTATGAGTTTGCATGAAGATTCCACTTATTGTATGTAAAGAAAATGATTAAAGGGTAATTAGAATTTCTTCCTGAAATTATTTGCTTTCTTCCTTGGTTTCCTTGCTTTTCTTTCCTTTCTTTCTTTTCTTTCTTTGACAGTGTCTTGCTCTGTCACCCAGGCTGGAGTGCAGTGGCACCATCTCGGCTCACTGCAGCCTCGACCTCCCAGGTTCAAGCAATCCTCCTGCCTCAGTCCCCCAAGTAGCTGGGACTACAGGCATGTACCACTGTGCCCGGCTAATTTTTATATTTTTAGTAGAGATGCGGTTTTGCCATGTTGCCCACGCTGGTCTCAGACTCTGAGCTCAAGCGATCTGCTGACCTTGGCCTCCCCAAGTGTTAGGATTACAGGCATAGGAGCCACTGTGCCAGCCTGCTTATTTAAATACAGAGAAAACCCCTCCTAAGATTGTTGGGAATATATAGGGTGCCAGGTGCTTTCACTTGTGTTCTTAGGCAGCTCTTATGACATACTGCCATACAATTATAATTATCCTTGTGTTACACAGATGAGGAAATTGTTGCTCACATTAAATAATTTCCCCCCAAGTTATTCAATATGTGAATACAGGGGCAGGAATTCTAACCTAGGTCTTTCTGACTTATCTCTATATCATGCTGCCATTTCAAATTAACAAAATGAACAATAATCCAAATCTCTAGGTTGTATGTGCATTATGGTGACCAGCCTTCATGGTTTGTCCAGGACTGAAGGGGGTTCCAAGACTTGAGACTTTCTATTTTGAAACTAAGACATTCCTAGGAAAAGCAAGAGAAGCTTATCACTCTAGTGTGTGTGTTAGTGAATGGCGTGAGGATGTTCTGTATAAAGAAAGTGCCCAGCCAGGCGAGGTGGCTCATGCCTGTCCTCCCAGCACTTTGGGAGGCCGAGGCAGGTGGATTACCTGAGGTCAGGAGTTCAGGACCAGCCTAGCCAACATGGTGAAACCCTGTCTCTACTAAAAAAATACAAAAAATTAGCTGGGTGTGGTGGCGGGTGCCTCTAATCCCAGCTACTTGGGAGGCTGAGATAGGAGAATTGCTTGAACCCAGGAGGCGGAGTTTGCATGAGCCAAAATTGCGCCATTGCACCCCAGCCTGAGCAACAAGAGCGAAACTCCGTCTCAGAAAAAAAAAAAAAAGAAAAGAAAGTGCCCAAAGAAATTGGAAAGGTTACATAGAATTCTCTAAAGATCTTTAATAGGTAAGGTTAAATGTTCAAGTACATAAATGTTGTAAGTGAAACCTGTTTGGAGATAGAAGACTCTGTGAGGGTAATTTTAGCCTAAGATTTTTTTTTCTTTTTTTTCTTTTTTTTTTGAGACAGAGTTTCCCTCTTGTTGCCTAGGCTGGAGTGCAGTGGTGCGATCTTGGCTCACTGCAGCCTCCACTTTTCGGGTTCAAGTGATTCTCCTGCTTCAGCCTCCCGAGTAGCTGGGATTACAGGCACCCACCACCATGAGCGGCTAATTTTTGTATTTTTAGTAGAGATGGTGTTTCACCATGTTGGCCAGGCTGGTCTCGAACTCTTTTTTTTTTTTTTGAGGTGGACTCTCACTCTGTCGCCCAGGCTGGAGTGCAGTGGCGTGATCTCGGCTCACTGCAAGCTCCACCTTCCGGGTTCACGCCATTCTCCTGCCTCAGCCTCCCGAGTAGCTGGGACTACAGGTGCCCGCCACCATGCCCGACTACTTTTTTGTATTTTTAGTAGAGACGGGGTTTCACCGTGTTAGCCAGGATGGTCTCAATCTCCTGGCCTCGTGATCCGTCCGCCTTGGCCTCCCAAAGTGCTGGGATTACAGGTGTGAGCAACCGTGCCCGGCCCCAAACTCTTGACCTCAATGATCCACCCACCTTGGCCTCCTAAAGTGCTGGGATTACAGGCGTGAGCCACCATGCCCAGCTAGCCTAAGATTTTTATAATTTAATAGAAGCTTTCCTTTATTATTTGTTACCACATTGTTCTTGAGGAGATCTGGAACTAATTTAACAATTTGGCCTTGCTTACTGAGGCTGAGCTTTCTGAGCTTCAAGAGCATTCCTTACCTGTTACGACTTTCAATAGCAAGTAACACGTTTGTAGCTGCCATTTACCCCCGAACTATCCTTTTATTATTTTAAGGCTTTTTAAAATTTTAATTTTTCTTAGCCACACACAAATCTTACTAAGGTTTTAATTTCAAAAGTCATGCCTGCCTGTTTAAGACTTTCAAGCAATACAGGATAGAAAGGAAAAAGTCCTAGTATTTTTCTTCCTTTTTAAAATCTCAACCCTTTCCCCAGGTCACTAGTTTGAAGTACATCTTTCCAGACTTTCTTTTCTGTACACACACACACATACACACTCACTCTCTCTCTTTCTCACTCTCTCTCTTAAACACATGCTCTCTCTCACTACTCCCTCTCTCTCTCTACCCCCCTCCATCCCCCTCTATTTTCTAAACAAAACAATCTCCACTGCTTTGTCACTTAACCTTTTCAATTCAACAATATATTATGGACTTCTTTCCATATCAGCAATATATATCTGCTTCATTCTTTTTAATAATAGCTGCATGGTATTCCAATAAAATAGGTCAGAGCTTCCCAACCAGTGGGCCTTACATGGTTATAGGTGTGCCAAGATACTGAATCCCTAAGGGAGCTGGGCAGGACTAAGAACTCCAGAGATGGAAAATGGTAAGATACTGAGGCAAGTATATATGAAATATATAAAACCGTTTCATTCCTTCTACATTTTTCTCAGGAATTAAAAAGTCTTGCAACTAAAAAGCCTGATAAGATTGGTATTCCTGTTATTAAAGAAGGCATACTAGATGCTATTATGGTTTGGTTTGTGCTCCAGCTTGATGATGAACATAGTTTATCCACAAGTCCTAGTGAGGAAACATGTTGGGAACAGGCTGTCTACCCCGTACAGGACCTTGCAGGTAGGTCTTGTCCATTTTTTTTTTTAACCTCTTGCTTTAATCTTCTAAGTATTCAAGTCAGTGGCAAAAAAAAAATTACTTTGGATATGAAGGTTTCAGTCAAAGGAGGTTGGTTAAATCTTTCAGAACTTCATTTTTTTTCAAAAGAAATTTGAAATAGGTAATATTTGTGGTTAAGAGAGACAAACACAACTCTGTTGCATAGCATTTGAAAAACCTATCATTATTTCTTCAGCTCTGATTTTTCTTTTTTCTTTTTTTTTTTTTAACGACAGAGTCTCGCTCTTTTGCCCAGGCCGATTGCAGTGGCTTGATCTCGGCTCACTGCAAGCTCCGCCTCCCGGGTTCACGCCATTCTCCTGCCTCAGCCTTCCGAGTAGCTGAGACTACAGGCGCCCGCTGCTGCGCCTGGCTACTTTTTTGTATTTTTAGTATAGACCGAGTTTCACCGTGTTAGCCAGGATGGTCTCGATCTTCTGACCTCGTGATCCACCCACCTCGGCCTCCCAAAGTGCTGGGATTACGGGCGTGAGCCACTGCGCCCGGCCGATTTTTCTAGTTATCAGTAGATGAAAGAAATCCTGCTCCATTATTTCATGGAAAGTACTGGAAAAGTATTGCTTTTAGTGCAGGAGTTCTTACTCCTTAGAGAAGCCGATAACGTCTGTGGAGCCCTGCATCATAAAAATGTACACACTCATATAAGCACAAAATTTTTCAGTTTTAGAGAGTTCATGAATCTGAACTTCCCTAGGGAAGTTCTGTATAAAGATTTTTTTTTTGTATGGAAATTTTTTTTACAGTGATTCGATGGGTTTCAGTAAGTTTAAAGTAGTTGAATTATATAGAAAAACTACCCTTTTTAGGCTGGGTATGGTGGCTGACACCTGTAACCCTAGTACTTTGGGAGGCCCAGGTGGGAGGATTGCTTGAGGCCAGGAGTTTAAACCAGCCTGGGCAACATAGCAAGACCTCATTTCTTTTTTTCTTTCTTTCTTTTTTTTTTTTTTTTTTTTTTTTGAGACAGAGTCTCGCTCTGTTGCCCAGGCTGGAGTGCAGTGGCGCAATCTCAGCTCACTGCAACCTCCGCCTCTTGGGTTCAAGTGATTCTCCTGCCTCAGTCTCTTGAGTATATGGGACTACAGGTGCATGCCACCACGCCCAGCTAATTTTTTGTATTTTTAGTAGAGACATGGTTTCACTGTGTTAGCCAGGATGGTCTCGATCTCCTGACCTCTTGATCCATCCACTTCAGCCTCCCAAAGTGCTGGCATTACAGGTGTGAGCCACCGTGCCCGGCTGCAAGACCTCATTTCTACAAAATGAAAAAATTTAGCTGGGGATGGTGGCAAGTGCTTGTAGTCCCAGCTACTTGGGGCACTGAGGAAGAAGGATCGCTTGAGTCCAGGAGGCTGAGCCTGCAGTGAGCCAAGATTATAACACTGCACTCCAGCCTGGGCAACAGAGGGACATCCTGACACACACACACACGCACACACACAGAAAAACTCTACCCTTCTTAAACTGGAAGTTAATACATCTATTTCTGTTTAGTTTCTTAATCAAGGATCTAATTTGGCAAGGTCATAAAGGCCTGGAATCAGTATATTGTTGTAGCCAGTATGTTGTTTTTGGAGTTAGGTAGATTTGGATTCAGTTCTTGTCTCTGCTACTTACTCATTCCTTCCTGGCCATCCTTGCCACTTGTTTCTCAGAGCTTTTGTTGTATCATATATAAAAACGGGATGATACCATTTATCTTGCAGCACTGTTATAGGGATTCTTAGAGATAGTGGGTATAAAATGCCGACCACAGTGACTGGCACTCAGTGAATGACATTTTTTACTTGTGTTTATTCTAACTCTCTTATACCTGTAGTAACTTAGACAGATGATCTTTTGTTTTTTAAACCTTCTTAGAGAAAGGACATTTACATGTTTAAGCATAAGAATAGCAATTTATGGCTGGGCTTAGTGGCTTATGCCTGTAATCCTAGCACTTTGGTATCCTCCTGCTGAGGTAGGAGGATTGCTGGAGTTCAGGAGTTTGAGACCAGCCTGGTCTCTACTAAAAATATTTAAAAATTCAGGCATGATGGTGAGCGCCTGTAGTCCCAGCTATTCTGGAGGCTGAGGTGGGGAGGATAGCTTGAGCCCTGAGATTGAGGCCACAGTGATCATACCACTGCACTCCCGCCTAGGCAACAAAGCAAGACACTGTCTCCAAAAAACCCAAAAAAGTATAACAATTTGTATTTTCAACTGGTTCCAGGGTTAATGAGAAGGAATTGCGATTATACATTTACATTTTAAAATTTTACCACATGTAGGCCAGGCACAGTGGCTCACGCCTGTAATCCCAACACATTGGAAGGCTGAGGCAAGAGGAACACTTGAGCCCAGGAGTTCAAGACCAGCCTGGGTAAAATAGCAAGACCTCATCTCTATTTAAAAAAAAAAAAATAGCTGGGCCTGGTGGCATGTATCCGTAGTCTCAGCTACTTGGGAGACTGAGGCAGGAGGATCACTTGAGCCCAGGAGTTGGAGGCTGCAGGGGACCATGTTACACCACTGCATCCCAGCCTGGGTGACAGAGTGAGATCTTGTCTCAAAAGACAAAACAAACAAAAGTTTTCCCATATATGAAGGGAGTATCATATGGTCTTTATTGTAGGACTTGGTTCTTCCTTATACTTTGAAGTTCCTAGACATGCAAGAATGTCTAAAATACTTACAGTTAACAAATATAACTGATACGATTCTGTTGAATGTTACCTTGTTCTTTTGGACATTTCTCTTAAAGAATGTCCCTTTAAGCTAAAGTGAGGTTTGATATTTATCCCTGAATTTTATCTTTGTTGTTGTTAGCCTTTATTACCAAAGATGATAGAGTCCCCTGCAGTACTCCACCAACACCCCAATTTGGGGATATGGAGAGACCTAGTGATGGCATTAAAAACATTATCATACTGATAGTCTCAGAGTCAATAATGGAGCTCTCAAATGTCTCCATTATGCTACTGGTTAATTGAGTATTCAAATTTCAGTTTTTCCCTAAGTAAATCTGGTAGAGTTTTCCTAGTTTTTTGTATATTAAATGAGTATTTGTAATCCTTTCTATAGTGATCTAAAGAATGGGGGGCTAGATGGAGGATGGAGATGTTTATGTGATCCTCTGGCTTATAAGTACTCCATATTTTTTTTCTTCCTTACTATTTAATGAAGACTACTGGATAAAGCCTGGAGACCATGTGATGATGGAAGTATCTTGTCAAGACTGTTACTTAAGAATCCAGAGTATTAGTGTCTTGGGTTTGGAATGTGAAATGGATGTTGCAAAAAGTTTTACCCAGAATAAAGACTTGTTATCGTTAGGAAATGAGGCTGAACTTTGTAGTGCCCTCGCTAACCTTCAGACCAGTAAACCAGATGCTGTAGAGCAGACATGTATATTGGAATCTACAGAAATTGCTTTGCTTAACAACATCCCATATCATGAAGGCTTTAAAATGGCAATGAGCAAAGTTTTGTCTTCACTGACTCCAGAGAAACTGTATCAGACCATGGATACTCACTGTCAGAATGAGATGAGCTCTGGAACTGGACAGAGTAATACTGTACAGAACATCCTTGAACCTTTCTACGTGTTAGATGTGTCCGAAGGCTTCTCTGTTCTGCCTGTTATTGCTGGCACACTTGGGCAGGTTAAACCATACAGTTCTGTGGAGAAAGACCAGCATCGTATTGCTCTGGACCTCATATCTGAAGCCAATCACTTTCCTAAAGAAACACTTGAGTTTTGGCTGAGACATGTGGAGGATGAATCTGCTATGTTACAAAGGCCAAAATCAGACAAGTTATGGAGCATAATTATATTGGATGTCATTGAGCCATCTGGGCTCATTCAGCAGGAAATAATGGAAAAAGCTGCAATATCCAGGTAAAACACAAAATAATAACTTTTGGCTTTGTTTTTTTTTTGAGGTCAGATTTTATGTAAATTCCTTAAGTTCTTTAATCGCTTAACTGTAAAAATAAGTCAAGATCACTGTATGCTCCTCAAGCATTACTTTTCAGGACGTGTGACTTCATTTGCTGCTAAAATCATCGCTGGTTTGGCCAGTGGGAGGTCCTCTAAACTAGTTCCTGTGTCTTTTTGACACGTTCCCATAATTCTTTAAGCATGTTCTTACTTTGGTGCAACCAGATGTTTTACTTTCATCTTGAATTTTTCTCAACCCCAGCCTTAGGATTAGTCTTTCTCCAAGGGACTCTGGTTCCTTTTGGTTCCTTTTAGTGGAGAACCATATTTTGAAACCAAGATATATATATATATATTTTTTTTTTTTAAGACGGAGTTTCGCTCTTGCTGCCCAGGCTGGAGTGTAATGGCTCAATCTCGGCTCACTGCAACCTCCGCCTCCTGGGTTCAAACGATTCTCCTGCCTCAGCTTCCCAAGTAGCTAGGATTACAGGCACACCCCACCAGCTAATTTTGTATTTTTAGTAGAGACGGGGTTTCACCATGTTGGTCAGGCTGGTTTTGAACGCCTGACCTCAAGTGATCCACACCCCCTTGACCTCCCAAAGTGCTGGGATTATAGGCATGAGCCACCATGCCCGGCTGAAACCAAGATCTTAATGATAGGTCTGTATGCTTATTGCTACTGGTCATTGCTTTTAGGCTCTCTGAGTTGAAAAGGCTAGGAAGAGGATGTGTGTGTTTTTGTGTGCATGTACACACGCATGAATCCATATATGTGTGCACAATCACACATACAGGTATTTTTAATTTATCTATTTATATAAAATCATGAGTGAATACTGATACCTTCAGTTCTAATCCACTATCACATGGTACATTATAGTGTTCCCTTTTTTCATATTTATATTCTTTCTCCAGCAATAACAGCCTGGCTCTCACTAACATGAATATACTTACTCATTTGCTCATAGGGAGAATCCACATAACATTGTTTCAAACTTGGTAACACATACTACTGTGGAAAGCAAAACTACCAACGAGAGTTCAGTATTAGTTTATAGATTTTTTTTTTTTGTTTTTTCGTTTTTTTTTTTTAGACACGGGGTAGGGTAGAATGGGGTCTGGTGGGATGGGGTGGGGATAGGGTGGGGTTGTGGTGGTTCTCACTGTGCTGCCCAGGCTGGTCTTGAACTCCTGGGCTCAAGTGATTTTTCCACTTCAGCCTCCTGAGTAGCTAGGGTTACAGGCATGTGCCACTGCTTATAGGTTCATAGGTTTTAAAGTATACATACTGATGAAATCCTATGTGTACAATTAGGTAAGTTTTGATAATTAAGTGATTTTTTTTTTTTGTTTGAGATGGAGTCTCGCCCTGTCGCCAGGCTGGAGTGCAGCGGCGTGATCTCAGCTAATTGAGTGATTTTTATCAAAAAGTTTGTTTTTGAAATTGCCTTCATAACAATACATTGATTAGGAGAAACAGCAGTGGCAAAGGTGGTTTTATTTATTATTTTTTATTTTTTGGTAAATAGCCAGAAATTTTGTGGAGGCCTTTTTATAATGTCATTATTCAAATTTGGTAAGTTCAGTTTTTTTTAAATTAATTAAATTAGAAAGTAAAGAAATTGGTTAAATTAGTACCAAAGATGTATTTCAGACATGTTTTGAATAATGGACCATTTTGGGGATCTTCTTTTGTTTTTGTTTTTGTAGTTGCAGTGTGACTGTTGAGAATGGTGACACATGAATTTGCAAATTCTTCTATGTGTGCGAAAAAATTCAGTATAATCACTTTATAGCCACATTTTATTTTATTAAAAATTGTTTTGAAATTATGATAAAATATTCCTAAAATTTAGTCAGTCATTTTTCACTTCATTAGTGTGAAGTATATTCACCTCGTTACATAAATTATCTCCAGAGCTCTTTCATATTGTAAAACACTCTATACTGAATAAATGACAATTTCCCATACTCCCCTCCCACCCTGGGTCCTGGCATCCAGCAATCTACTTTCTGTTTCTATGAGTTTAACTAACTCTTGAGACCTCAAACAAGTGAAATCATACAGTATTTATTTTTCCTTTTCTGACTGGGTTGTTTCACTTAGCATAATGTCTTCAAGGTTCATCCATGTTGTAGTATGTGTCAGGATTTACTAATGATTAGTGATGTTGAGCATCTTTTCATACACTTTTTGACCATTTGTACATAGTTTGGAGAAATATCTATTCAAGTCTTGCCCATTTTTTAACCGGGTTATTTTGTTATTGAGTTGTAGGAGTTATTTCTGTATTCTGGATACTAACCCCTTATTTCATGTATGATTTGTAAATATTTTTTTCCCACTTCATAGGTTGCCTTTTCACTCTTTTGATCATTTCCTTTGATGTGCAAAAGTTTTAAAATTTGATTTAGTCCTATTTGTCTACTTTTGCTTTGGTTGCAAAACAGCTTTTGATATCATATCCAAGAAATCATTGCTGAATCCAGTGTCCTCAAGCTTTTCTCCTGTATTGTCTTTCAGAAGTTCTATAGTTTAAGGTCTTATATTCAGTTGTTTAATCCATTTTGAGTTAATTTTTGTATATGGTGTATATAAAAATATACATGTTTTTGTATATTTTGGAAAACATATTTCGGATATGTTTTCTGAACATAATTTGTGGGTTTATTTATATGGTCTCTTGTTTCTTTTTTTTTTGAGATGGAGTCTCACTCTTTTGTCCAGGCCAGACTGCAGTGGCGCTATCTCACCTCACTGCAAGCTCCACCTCCTGGGTTCAAGGGGATTCTCCTGCCTCAGCCTCCCGAGTAGCTGGGACTACAGGCGCATGCCACCACAGCTGGCTAATTTTTTGTATTTTTAATAGAGACGGGGTTTCACCGTGTTAGCCAGGATGGTCTCGATCTCCTGACCTTGTGATCTGCCCGCCTTGGCCTCCCAAAGTGCTGGGATTACAGGCATGAGCCACCGTGCCCGCCTTGGGCTCTTGTTTCTAGTTCCGTTGGTCTGTATGTCTGTCTTTATACCAGTACCATACCACAGTCTTGATTGCTGTTGCTTTGTAGTTTGTTTAAGGTCAGGAAGTGTGAGGCCTCCAACTTTGTTCTTTTTCAAGACTGTCTTGGCGGTTTACAGTTCTTTGAGATTCCATATAAATTTTAGGGTAAATTTTTCTGTTTCTACAAAAAACACTCTTGGGGTTTTGATATGGATTGCAGGTGTTCCCATCCATGAACACAGTGTGCCTTTCCATTCATCTGTGTCTTTAAATTTTTTTTTAAGCTATGTTTTATAGTTTTCAGTGTACAAACAAGTCTTTTGCCTAAGTATTCCTAGGTAGGTTTATTCCTAAGTATTTTATTTTTTAGATGCTATTATAAATGGATTCTTTTCTTAATTTTCTATTTAGCTTAGCCTTTGCTAGTACATGCAAATGCAGCTGATTTTTGCATGTTTATTTTGTATCCCATAATTTTGCTGAAGTCATTTATGAGTTGTAACAGGTTTTTGTTGTTGTTTTTCTTTAGAGTTTTCTATATATGACATATCATCTATGAATAGAGATAATTATACTTCTTCCTTTCCAATTTGGATATGTTATTTTTTCTTGTGTAATTTCTCTGGTGAGGACTTCCAGTACTGTGTTGAACAGAAGTGGAAAGAGTGGGCATCTTTCCCTTGTATCTGATCTTAGGAGAAAAGCTGTCAGTCTTTAAGTGTGGTGATGTTAACATGATAGTTGTGGGCTTTTCATATATGGCTTTTATTATGTTGAGGTAGTTTCCTTCTATTCCTAGTTTGTTGAATGCTTTTATAATGAAAGTGTGATTTTTGTCAAATGCTTTTTCTGCGTCCATTGAGATGATCATGTGGTCTTCATTCTGTTAATGTGATGTATTGTAGTAACTGGGCTCCTGCCTTGGCTTCCCAGAGTGTTGGGATTACAGGTGTGAGCCACTGTGCCTGGCCTGCAGTTGTTTTTAAATGTTCATTCTTGCTGGATGCGGTGGCTCATGCCTGTAATGCCAGCACTTTGGGAGGCCAAGGCGGGCGGATCACCTGAGGTCTGGAGTTTGAGACCAGCCTGACCAACATGGAGAAACCCCGTTTCTACTAAAAATAAAAAAAACGTAGCCAAGCGTGGTGGCGCATGCCTGTAATCCCAGCTACTTGGGAGGCTGAGGCAGGAGAATCGCTTGAACCCTGGAGGCAGAGGTTGCTGTTAGCTGAGATCGCGCCATTGCACTCCAGCTCTGGGCAACAAGAGTGAAACTCCATCTCAAAAAAAAAAAAGTTCATTCTTAAGTTCTATTCACTCATGCTAGTTTAAAATACAGATGAAAGCTTGAAGGTTTGGTAAGCTCTTTCGTTTTTTGTTTTTTTAAAAAACCATGGCTATGGTTTGAGTGTCTCCTCCAAAGCTCATGGGTTGGAAAGTTAATCCTCAGTGCAACAGTGTTAAGAGGTGTGATATTTAAGGGGGGATGAGGTCAGGAGGGCTCTGCCCTCATTAGTGAATTAAGGCCATTATCATGGGAGTGGGTTTTTTTTACAGGATGAGGTCAGCCCTCTTTCCCTTTCTCTCTCTCTCCCTCTTCTCTCTCTCTCTCCCTCTTCTCTCTCTCCCCCTCTTCTCTCTCTCTCTCTCTGCCCTCTGCCATGAACAGTCAGCCAAATAAGTTTCTGTTCTTTATAAATTACCCAGTCTGTTGTAGTTTGTTAGACTTTTGAGTTACAACGTTATTTTTTTCATTGCTGAAGGCATGGATGGTTCTGAAGTATCATTTAGCTTTGCAAAAGATTTCTGAGGAGCCTAGCAGTTGCAGTAATGTAAGTAACAACAAAACACTTAATGTTAGTAAAGATAAGCAGAGTTTCAAGGCAATGGTCATTTTATCTGAACATAGCTAAGATCTGACACTATCTTTTAGCCCCCAACCTAAGGGTAGGGAGGGGGCCTTAGTCACCATTCATCTCATTCACATACATAAGTTGAGTTGCAAGGATAATAACAGAGAAAAAAAAAATTGCAAGCATACATAACAGACAACTAAACTGATTATCACTTAGTTGATAGTGTCAGGTCCCACAGGTTGAGGGCTCAGTTCCACAGACTGCCCCCTACTTCAGATGCCAGTTACAAGTATGTCACTTGTACTTCTTACAGGCTGTAAATCGGAAGTTCCTGAGACCACCTCTTCGAGTTCCATTACTTTGCTAGAGTGGTTCACAGAACTCAGGGAAACACTTTACTTATGTTTGCCCATTTCATTTATTATGAAGGATATTACAAAGGATACAGATGAAGAGCCAGATGAAGAGATGCATAGAGTAAGCATGTGGGAAGTGGCATGGGGCTTCCATGCCCTCTCTGGGCACCCTCTAGGAACCTCCATGTGTTCAGCTACCTGGAAGCTCTCTGAACCTTGTCTTTCTGGGTTTTTATGGAAGCTTTGTTATGTAGGCATGACTGATTACATCATTGGCTATTAGTGATCAACTCAACCTTCAGTGTGTCTCCTCTCTCTGGAGGCTAGTGGGTTGGATGGAAAGTCCCAATCCTCTAATCTTGCCATGGTCTTTTAGCCCCCAACCTAGGGCTAGGTAGGGGCCCTTAGTCATCATTTATCTCATTAGCATACAGAAGATACTCTTACCATTCTGTAGGTTCCAAGGGTGTTAGGAGTTCTGGGGCAGGAAACAAGATGAAGACCAGATATATATGTATCTTATTATAATCACAATATCATATTTGCCCTATGTATACTTTATATTCGGCTATTCCTGAGTTGTATCCTTTGTAATAAATCCGTAAATATAAGTAAAGTGTTTTTCTGAGTTCTGTGAGCCATTCTGGCAAATTATTGAACTCAAAGAGGACATTGTGGGAACCCTTGATTTGTTACAGCCTGATGGGTTCTTCTTACCCACTGCCCAGAAAAGCCAATACAGTGAGAACAGCAGGAGTTGCAGTAGGGAAAGTTTAGGTGGGTTCATGCCTGTAATCCCAGCACTTTGGGAGGCCGAGGTGGGTGGATCACTTGAGGTCAGGAGTTTGAGACTAGCCTGGCCAACATGGTGAAACCCCGTCTCTACTAAAAATACAAAAATTAGCTGGGAATGGTGATGTGTGCCTGTAATCCCAGCTGCTCAGGAGGCTGAGGCAGAAGAATCGCCTGAACTTGGGAGGCAGAGGTTGCAGTGAGCTGAGATTGTACCACTGCACTCCAGCCTGGGCAACAGAGTGAGACTCCGTCTCAAAAAAAAAAAAAAAGAAAAGTGTAATTATCACAAGGCAGGCAAGTGGAAGAATGGGACATGTTTTTCGAATCCACCTCCCTGAGAACTCAGAGGCTAGTTTTAAAAGATAATTTGGTGGACTGGTGGCTAGGGAATGGATACTGCTGATTGGTTGGGGATGAAATCATAGGGATGTCAAAAACGATCTTCCTGTGCTGAGTCAACTTTCTGGGTGGGAGTCATAGAAGTATTTGAGTCTGAAAAATGTCTCAAAGACCAATCTTAGGTTTTACAATACTGATGTTATCTATAGGAGCAATTGGGGCAGTTATACATCTTGTGACCTCTGGCACCATGATTCCTGAGCAGTAGGGCATTATAGAAAAACAAGCTAGGGTACAATGACTGGGTATCATTTAACTGTGCCTACATTTTAGCAGAATTCAGGCTCCTCCCATAATCCTAACCTTGTGGCCTTTCCTTAGTTTTACAGTGGCTGTTTTGGTCCCTGAACAAGGAGGGGGTTCATTTCAGGAAGGGACTATTACCATCCGTGCTTTAAAGTTAAACTATAAACTAAAATTTCTCCCACAGTTAGCTTACCCTATGCCTGGGTCCGTCAGTTTGTGAGGTTAGAAGCAAGATGGAGTGAGCTATGTTAGATTTCTTGCACTGCCATAATTTTTGCAAAGGTGGTTTCAGATTTATAGATGGCCAAAAGTACTAGGACCTACAATTGGCATCAGAACTGGGGGCATTCATGTGGGACTGAGCTTTTATAGCACCTGATGCTAACTCCAGGTAGTGTCAGAATTGATTTGAATTGTAGTACACTCAAAAGGTGTCTGAGAATTTTTTTGGGGTGGGAACCTCCTCCCTGCACCCCCCTCCCCCCCCTCCCCAGCCCACCACCACTTTGTGTCAGAAGTTTTATTTTTATTTTTTTTAGGCAGGCTCTTACTCTGTCACCCAGGCTGGAGTGCAGTGGCATGATCATGGCTCACTGCAGCCTTGACTTCCTGGGCTCAACCTATGTTTTATAAATAGAAATGGTTCCTAAGACTACCTAAGTGACTCACATGGTATCGTTCTCCAACTCTCTTTCTCCCATAGATTACATAGCTACAAGGTTAGCTTTTATTAACCTGTGTGCTTTTTTAGCTTGCTAATTTCATAGAATGATACCTCTTTGGCTATTTGGGGAGTGGAGGGTTGTTAGTCAAGCAACATAAAGTTCTGTGGCTAGTCTCTCCTTTCAGAGACCTTTGTGATCTTGAAGAAAATTAGATCTGATCTTCACTTAAATGGATCACAGTTAGCAGATAACTTCAGTTGTTCAGATAATAACATGAGTTTTCAGGATTAAACTTGATCCTTTTGAGGAAAAAAGATTTTTCCAGTGATTTGGGAAGACATAAAATTTTAGCCAGTTTGGTAAAGGCATAGATTGCAATTTGGTTAAGAGCTGTGCAATCTTATTAAGATGTGTGAAATTTCACTAACTGTGGAGACTGAATTTCTACCAGACTACCTATTATGACAAAAAGTTGATAGGAAAGGAATAGCAACAATGAGTAAAGCACTGGGGTCAGGGTGGAGTCCATTTTTAGGCTAATTTATGAATATAGGATTTATTACAACTCAGAAGGATCATGTCGTTACATTTAGTGGGTAAAGAGAGATTATCCTGGTTCAGGAACATGACTTATCTTTATCAGTCTGGTGCCATTACACTTAGGAGTCATCTCTAACTTTCCTTGCTGAATCTGTGCTCCTCACATCACGGCTGGGGATATGGCTTCCGGTTAGCTTGTCTTTAGGAGAGAGTGAGCTGTTACAAGAGCAGACTGTTTCCTTGTTAACTTTTCCTCAAATGTATTATTTTGAAAATTTTCAAACTTAGGAAAAATTGCAAGAATAATAACAGAGAACACTAGATTATTGTTTAGTTTACTGAACCATTTGATAGTTGATTGCTGGCATCATAAACTTCATATTTTCTTTAGTATTTAGCATGTGTTTCCTAAGAACAAATGTTTTCCCCTACATATCACAATAAAATTATCACTCAGGATATTTCACATTGATAAAACACTATTATATAATATATAGTGCATATTAAAATTTTCCATTACCCCAGTAATATTCTTCATTGCTTTTCTTCCCAGTCTAGTTCTAATCAAGAGTCTTACATTGCATTTAGTTGCCATGTCTTGTCATTATAATTTAATTGTCCTTGCTTTAGATATCTTTTAAGTGGTTATAAAATTGAGATAATCAGTTTAGTAAGAGACCAGAGAATTAATTTAAATCTAATTCAAGAGCAGTAGTGCCAAAGTAGTTTTGAGGAATGGGGTGTTTTATAGCTTAGCTTGTTTAGGTTTTAATGATCTATTTAGGGAGACTACATAGTATATAATTTTGGAAATGTATATGAATTACTTTTTAAGATATGAAAAAATGTGTTGGTGAAATGTTTAGTTCTGTATTTTTATAAGTGGATTCTTACTCTATTTAACTTAGGAGTAAAAACATACTGTGAAATGTACATATGATAATATAAAGTTCACCTGCCTAGTATCCTGTTCTAGAAATTCAAGTAGGAACAAGCTTGGAATATTCAGTAAAAATGTAGATTTGACATTTGATTGTAAATGTGGCAAATGAAAATAATTATTTGGTTTAAAGTATCCTCCACCTCCATTTCACTGGATGTCAGTAGGTGGCCCACCCACCCTTCTCTCCCTTCACACATAGCACATAGCTCAGGTGTGAGGAAACAAGATTACATAGGTAGGTGTGGAAGCTGCCTTGACTTAACAGCCCTTAGCTTCATATAGCAACTCTTCTCCCATGGGCACAGCTTCCACGGCCTAGCAATATGAACACCTGGTTACACTCTCAGGGAAGCCCACATGTGGTATGGGTTCCCGTCAGGCATTTATCCTTTGTTCGTAGTTCTCTCCATCCAGATATAGTCTACCTATTAAGAGGCATTCTTTTTTTTTTTTTTTTTTTTTAACCATAAGCAGTGTTCCTGATAAACACAGCTGACATTCTATTCTTATAAGATTTTCAGGGAAAGAGAAGGTAAACCCAAGGTCAACGTAGGAAGAGAAAGGATTTTGTTAACCCTTGACTCTCTCTCCTCCAGTATTAGAGTATTTGGACTTTTTTTTTTTTTTTAAATTTTGCATTTGGAGTGTGTAACCTTTTATTTTGAAATAATTTTTAAGCCTTTGGAGAAGTTAAAGAATAATACAAAGAACTTACCATATACCTTACACTCAGTAATAGTAATACACTATTACTATTTTGCCACATCTGCTAAATTGTTCAGGAAAAAACATTTCAGGCTCTTTCCCTGAACCATAGATACAATGTGTCTTTACTCCTAATACCTTGGAATGCATAGGACATTCACTGATATAATCACTGTACAATTATTAAAATCAGGAAATTTACAGGGACACAATACTGTTATCTAAGCTACAAATCTTATCCAGATTTCACCAGTTGTCACAATAATGTCCTTTGTAGCTTTTTTGTTTCTGGTCTGGAATCCAATCCAGGATCATATATTCCATTTAGTTTTCATGTCTCTTTAGTGGTGCAGTCACTGTCACTGCAATGTGGACCTCCTGGGCTCAAGCGATCCTCCCATCTCAGCCTGTTGAGTAGCTGGGACTACAGGTGTGCACCACCACACCTGGCTAGTTTATTTATTTGTAGAGATGGGGTCTTGCTATGTTGCCCAGGCAGGGGTTGAAGTCCTGGGCTCAAGCAATCCTCTCACCTTGGCCTCCCAAAGTATTGGGATTATAGGCATCAGCCACCATGCCCAGCCTGTCCCATTGTTTTTGATGTTAATACAATCACATGGTTTAAGTTGTATCTACACATTTCTCCATTCAGTAAGTTACTGTTTCCCCCTTTGTGATAAGTCATTTTTGGGGGTGATACTTGGAGACTGTAAAAGGATATTTTCCTAATCAAACTTTGACCTACTAGTTTTAGCATCCATTGATGACTCTTTCCTGAATCTAAAGACGTGTGTCCATTTAAATAGCTAACCTGTCATTTTTCTCTTTCACTGATCAGTAGTTACTTTGACTTGGGAAATTATTTCTAGTGGTTTACTATTCTGAAATACCAGCCATGAATAACAGAAAGTCCATTAGACTCTATGTAATCTGTAGCTCTTTACTAATTTATCATGATTCTTAGTTACTGATGTTTATACAATGTAGGGGATTACAAAGGGTTTTTTTTTGTTTTATTTTATGATTTTTTGAGACAGAGTCTCACTCTGTCACCCAGGCTATAGTGCAGTGGCGGGATGTTGGTTCACTGCAACTGCTACCTCTTGGATTCAAGCAGTCCTCCTGCCTCAGCCTCCCAAGTAGGTGGAACTACAGGTGCATGCCACCTGTGGATCTAGTTGGCTAGTTTTTGTATTTTTTGTAGAGATGAGGTTTCGCCATGTTGCCCAGGCTGGTCTTGAACTCTTGGGCTTAAGTGATCCACCCACCTTGGCCTCCCAAAGTGCTAGGATTACAGGCGTGAGCCACTGTCGCCCTGCCCCAAGAGCTTTTTAAAATATGTACTTTTTTTCTTAGGTGTTTACTACAATCTGGAGGCAAGATCTTTCCTCAGTATGTGCTGATGTTTGGGTTGCTTGTGGAATCACAGACACTCCTAGAGGAGAATGCTGTTCAAGGAACAGAACGTACTCTTGGATTAAATATAGCACCTTTTATTAACCAGTTTCAGGTAAGTGTCTAGAGGAGAAGTTCAACCAGGATGCTGTTGAACAGTCTACCATCGCTCTCTCTTTAGTCACTGTTTAATCTAGCTAAACACAGTGACTAAAGTTTAGCTGGATTAATCACAGTGACTTAGATTTTTACCTATAATAAGTTCCTAGAACAAAGGAACTTATTATAGGTAAAAATCAACCTAGAGGTTACAATAACCAAGGAATTTTGTCATGACTGCTGATAAAAGTTTATAGATATTTGGCCAGGTGTGTGGCTCATGCCTGTAATCCCAGCACTTTGGGAGGCCCAGGCGGGTGGATCACTTGAGGTCAGGCGTTCAAGACCAGCCTGGCCAACATGGTGAAATCCCACCTCTACTAAAAATACAAAAAAATTAGCCAGGTGTGGTGGTGCGTGCCTGCAATCCCAGCTCCTCTGGAAACTGAGGTGGGAGAATCGCTTGAACTCAGGAGGCAGGAGTTGCAGTGAGCCGAGATCGTGCCACTGCACTCCAGTCTGGATGACAGAGCGAGACTGCATCTCAAAAAAAAAAAAAGTTTTTAGATACGCCTTCGAATCACTGTCATAAATGGAAGAAGGGTCCTAGGTTTTAATCTTATGAAAAAGAGTGGTCTTTGTCCAAAAAAGATCTATGTTCTAAACTTGAACCCTTACATTGAGACCTCAGGCTGGCAGCTGATAAGTATCAGCAGCTAATGCTCAGATTCTAAGAAATCAGACTGCAGAGAGCAGGAATGCAGGAGCCTAGGAAAACAGAGCTCAAGGAAAAGGGGGTTAGCCTCTGTTTAGGAAATAAGGAGTCAAGACTTAGAAATGGGCTGGGCATGGTGGCTCACACCTGTAGTCCTGGCACTTTGAGAGGCAAAGGTGGGGCGGATTGCTCGAGCTCATAAGTTCAAGACTAGCCTGGGCAACATGGGGAAACCCTGTCTCTACAAAAAATACAAAAATTATCTGGGTGTGGTGGTGCATGCCTGTAGTCCCAGCTACTTGGGAGGCTGAGGTAGGAGAATTGCTTGAGCCTGGGAGGTGGAGGTTGCGGTAAGCTGAAATCACGACACTGCACTCCAGCCTGGGTGATAGAGTAACAAATTTTTACTGAATGTCTACTACATGTACATTTAGATTTGGGGAATAGGGCTATGAAATAAAGAGAGAAGTTTACTCTCTCGTGGATTTAGCATTTACATTGGAAGAGACAATGAACAAGTAAAAAGACTGCTGTGATGGTGAGAAGTGCTGTGGACATAAAGCAGGTTAAGGGAGTGTGGCGTATGGGATATACTATTTTATAAAGGTTACACCTAAGGAAAGGACTCATGGGTAAGTGATAAACAGAGGCCTGAAAGAAATAAGGGAGCAAATCACACAAATCAAAGGATCAGCAAGTGTAAATAGCTAGAGGCAAGATCACGATTGGAGTATCAAAAACAGCAAGAAGCAACCAAGAGGGAGAGTGATGAGAGATGCAGTCAGAGTATTAGGGGCCAGATGTTGACCTTCTGGCCATTTGTAAGGACTGTGGCTTTTGCTCTGAAAGGGGTAGGAAACAACTGGAGGGTATTGAACAGAGGCTTGACATGATGTGACTTATGTTTTGAAGGGCTTGCTGTGGTTGCTGTGTTAGGAATAAAACACTGGTGAGACCAGGCAAAGGCATGAAATTATTGTAGTAATCCAGGTGAGAGGTGTCAGTGGCTTTGACTGGAGTGGTAGCAGTGAAAGTGGTGCAAAAATGGTGAGATCCTCAATATATTTTAAAGGTAGGGCTGGTGTGGTGGCTCATGCCTGAATTCCCAGCACTTTGGGAGGCCAAAGTGGGAGGATTGCTTGGGCCCAGGAGTTCAAGACCAGCCTGGGCAACAAAGTGAGACTGTCTCTCTACAAAAATTAGCTAGGCATGGTGGTGTGCCCCTCTAGTCCCAGCTACTCGGGAGGCTGCGGTGGGAGGACGGCTTGAGCTCAAGAGGCTGAGGCTGCTGTGAGCCAAGGTTGTGCCACTGCACTGCAGTCTGGGCAACAGCAAGACTGACCCTGTCTCTAAAAATAAATAAAGGTAGAATTTTTGATAAGTTGGATGTGGGCTATGAAAGAGGACTCCTTTTTTTTTTAGGTGAAAGCAGCTGGAAGAATAGTTTCCATACTGATAATGGGGAAAATAGGATCAGGCTTTGTGTGTAGCTGTGGTCACTGAGCAATTGGGTAAGAATTCAGAGAAAGCTCTGGGCTGAAGATTTAAATTTGGCAGTTAGCAGCATGTAGCTGGTATTTAAGGCCATAAGACTGGATGAAATAGCTTGGGGGCATGTAGATAGAGAGGGCTGGGAACTGAACTCTAGAGAACTCATAAAGTTATGAGCTTGGTTTGGTTGGTTATATAGAAGGAACTGGCAAAGATGACAGGAGGGCCGGGCATGGTGGCTCATGCCTATAATCCTAGCCCTTTGGGAGGCCAAGGAGGGCAGATTGTTTGAGTCCAGGAGTTCGAGACCAACCTGGACAACATGGCAAAAACCCATCTCTACAAAAAATACAAATATTAGCCAAGTGTGGTGGTGGGCACCTGTAGTCCTAGCTACTTGGGAGGCTGAGGTGGGAGGATCACTTGAGCCCAGGAAGCGGAGGTTGCAGTGAGCTGTGATTGTACTACTGCACTCCAGCCTGGGGAACAGAGTGAGACCCTATATTAAAAAAAAAAAAAAAAAAAAAAAAAAAAAGACAGGAGTGGACCAGTTAGTGTGAGAAATAAAAGTGGGGGCCGACTATGAGGTATGGGTTCAGCAGTGTGGGGATTAGGAGGCAGGTGATAAGAGGTGACATGAGAATCTAAGGCTTCTTCTGGTTTGATGTAAAAATAGGAACAAAAGGCATAACAAGGAGTCTTAGAAATGGTGTGGGGTTACTGTTGAGTTTTTATGGGGAATAAAGGCTGGATGCTTTCAAGGATGCCCAGGGAGAGGTGAATGTATCTGTGTCCTGTTTCGCCTTATACAAGGAAAAGTGGTTTTTAAATGACAGTTTCCTTTGTTTCAAATGAGGATGAGGCTAAAAATCATTAGTATTAATAGTAGCATTCAGTTGCTACTAAACTTGATAGAACACTTAATAGTGATTCACAACTTTGTACATTGGAAACATCTGGGGATCCTAATGCCAGATGGTTTGGGGTGTGGCCTGAACAGCTGGGCTTTTAAAAACCTCCCCAGGTGATTTTAATTTGCAGCCAAGATTGAGAGCCACTGCCTTCTGGAAATAAACTTATTTTCCAAATGAAATCAACTATTGTTTGATTGAATCTGGCATCATTTCTGAGACAATTCAATTAGTGTTGTACCATTATTTCATAAGCAAATCCTTGGGTTAAAAATTTTAGAGCTGTTTGGCTTAAGAAAAAATTTAATCTGCTCTCATCCAAATGAAAGATCTACAGGTAATGGAAACCAGAGCAAATTATCTAACCTGCCTAAACCTTGGTTTGTTCATTCTTTTTGTACTGGAACAATGAAAGTTCTAATGAAAGCCAGCCTTAGCTTGATGTGGGAATATAAAGGAGGTAATGTAAAAAGCATTCTGTCAAGTACTATTGAGTCAAGTACAAAGCAATCCCTGACCACAAAAGGAATGTGTAAAAGTGAAAAACTTGAGCCCTGACCACAAAAAGAAAAAGTGAAAGTGAAAAATTTATACTTTCTCTAGGTACCTATACGTGTATTTTTGGACCTATCCTCATTGCCCTGTATACCTTTAAGCAAGCCAGTGGAACTCTTAAGACTAGATTTAATGACTCCGTATTTGAACACCTCTAACAGAGAAGTAAAGGTAAGGACAACATGCAAAATGATTTCGTTTGTTATTGTTTAGAATAATTATCTTAAATTAGGTAATACTTTTATACATACTTTTAGCTACTTTAAAGATTTAAATCTAGTGAAATGTATTTTAAATTTTTGTATTTAAAAGTAACTAAAAAGAGACTTATCTAAGTCTACTCTATGCACTCTGATATTTTCCTAATTTCTTTATTTTCATAGGTATACGTTTGTAAATCTGGAAGACTGACTGCTATTCCATTTTGGTATCATATGTACCTTGATGAAGAGATTAGGTTGGATACTTCAAGTGAAGCCTCCCACTGGAAACAAGCTGCAGTTGTTTTAGATAATCCCATCCAGGTTGAAATGGGAGAGGAACTTGTACTCAGCATTCAGCATCACAAAAGCAATGTCAGCATCACAGTAAAGCAATGAAGAGCAGTTTTCCAATGAAAACTGTGTAAATAGAGCATCAACAAGTACAAAATTCTTGTCTTAATTAGTGGGGGTATATAAAAATTCCTTGTAATGGTCAAATATTTTTTAAAATTGACATTAATAAAGCATATTTTAAAAGATTCTAAATAAAAGGGTAGCATTATTATAGAAATACTGCTGCAGATTTGCTTTCTGGAAAAGGATACATCACTAGTTTTTTAAATTAGGAAACTTCTTTTGCTCGATTTTACAGAATAGGGATTTTAAAAGTCTTATCGTTATTGACATGTGTAAGTAAAGCAAAACTTTACTTTTGTAGGCATCTTGGCCTTTTTTCTTAAATCCAAACTTGTAATTGGGAAACACTGAAAGGCTTCCACTGAAGACTGAGGGTTATGGTTACCTGTAAATTCCAATCTTGCTTCCTTTAAATACTCAGTGTACATCTGAAACATCTCAGGTTTTGTTTTGAGAATGCAAGCTTGAAAAAGAATTTAAGCTATAAGCTAAATGTAATTAAAACAGTAAAGGAGTTAGGGAATACATCTTCAGGAGGCAGCATTTTTCTTGGTCTACTTTGGCAAAAGAACATTTAAAAGCTGGTAACAAAACAAAGTTAAATTGAAGGAAGACTTAATCCTATACTATTTTTCAAAGTTTTGATTTGGATGTACAATAAGTACATTAATTGATCCAATTTTTACAAACTTTTGAAATAAAGGAAGATCATTATTATGCCTCCTATACACTGCGTGCTCTTTGTAAGTCACAAATAAGACGGATCTTTGCTCCAGACTACCCGTTCTTGTTACCTCTATTATTATACTACCCAGCTTTATTTTTAAAATAAATTTTATTGCATACATTTAAGGTATACAATGTGAAGCAAATTAACATATCCATCATCTCAGTTACCCACATATTTTTTGTTTTTTGACAACAGCAGCTGACATCTACTCATTTACCATGAATCCCAAATACAGTACAAATTTGTTACCTAAAATCCTCATGTTGTACAATAGATCTCTAGACTTATTCATCCTACATATCTGCTACCTTGAATCCTTTGACCTACATTCCCCATTTCTCCCTATCCCCCTATAACCAGTTTTGCTCTTTATATATTTAAATTTTTTTTTTAGATTCCACATATATGTGAAATTATGCAGTATCTTTTTTTCTGTCTGGCTTATTTCATTTAGCACAGTGTCCTTCAGGCCCATCCATGTTGTAGCAAATGGCAAGATATCGTTGGTTTTTTTTTTTTAGGGATGAATAATATTCCATTGTGTGTAGGCATATATATACACAGTTTCTTTATTCATCTGTCAACGGACACTTCAGTTGTCTCCATGTTGGCTACTATGAATAATGCTGCAATGAACACGGACTGCAGATATATTTACAAGGTGGTGATTTCATTTACTTTGAGTATATGCCCAGAAGAGGGATTGCTGGATCGTATGGTAGTTTTATTTTTCTTTAGAAACTTCCATTCTGTTTTCCATAATGGCTGTACCAATCTACATTCCCACCAACAGTGCACAGAGTTCCTTTTATTCCACACCATCACAACATTTGTTGTCTTTTGTTTTTTTTGATAACAGCTAGCCTAACTGGTGAGAGGTAGTACTTCGAGTGGTTTTTATATGCATTTCCTTGATGATTAATTATGTTGAGCACCCTTTTATATACCTGTTGGCCATCTGTGTGTCGTCTTCGGAGAAATGTCTTTTCAGGTCTTGCCCATTTTTAAAATTGAGTTGTATGAATTCTTTATAAATTTTGGATACTAACCCTTTTCCATATATATGCCTTACAAATATTTTTTACTCAATCTGTAGGCTACTGTTTCATTTTGTTGACTGTTTCTTTTACTGTCAGAAGCTTTTTGGTTTGATGTAGTCACATTTGTTTTTGTTTTTGTTGACTGAGCTTTTGGTGTGATATCCAAAAAATCATTGCCAAGGGTCAGTGTCCAGGAACTTTTCTCCTATGTTCTCTTCTATAGTTTCTGGTCTTACATTTAGGTCTTTTATCCATTTTGAATTGATTGTTGTGTAGGTCTAAGATAAGGGTCTGATTTCATTGTTTTGCATGTGGAAGTGCAGTTTTCCCAGCATCTTCATTAAGAACACTTAATGAAGACTGTTCTTTCCCCGATGTGTCTTCTTGGTGTCTTTGTCAAAAATTAGTTGACTGTGTATGTTTGGATTTATATCTGGACTCTTTCTTCTGTCCCACTGGCCTGTGTATGTGTTTTTATACCAGTACCATACTGTCTTGATTACTATAGTTTTGTAGTATAATTTATAATTAGGAAATGTGATGTCTCCAACATTTTTTCCTCAGTATTCTTTTGCCTATTCAGGGTCTTTTATCGTTACATATGAATTTTAGGATTTTTTTCTGTTTGTGTAAATAATGCCATTGGAATTTTGATAGGATTGCATTGATTCTGAATTGCTTTGGGTAGTGTGACCATTTTAACAGTATTATTCTGATCCATGAGCACGGGATACCTTTCCATTTATTTGTGTCTTTCTTTCATCAGTGTTTCATAGTTTTCAGTGTACATACAGATCTTTTACTGCCTTGGTGTTAAATTTATTCCTAAGTAAGTATTTTTTTTATGCTATCATAAATGGCATCTTAATTTTTCAGTTAGGTCATTATTTTCATTATTTATGTATAAAAATGCTAATGCTTTTTGTATGTTGATTTTGTATTCTGCAACTTTACTGAATTCACTTGAGTTCTAACAAACAGATTTTTTTTGTGTGTGTATCTTTGGGGTTTTTACATAGAGCCCAGTTTTAGTTTTAATAGAAATGTTTATAATAGTGGATGGAATAAAGACTTTGTATGATTACTGTGAACCACTATCTCTCTCTATATATATAGATAGATATGAATGAGTATGTGTATAAATACATAAAGCAAAGGCTTTGAGAAACAATACTCATCTTTGCTTTCTGTAACATACTATGGCACTTTCTGTTTTATTTTCATTATAAAATGTCAAACATGACCCAGTGGGGTTGTGATTAGCAATTAGAGAAACCCCATCCTAGGTAATAAAAAGTTTTCCCAAATAGCACCTATATGTCTTTCTGACTGTGGTTTAATGAGTAATTAAGACCATTCAGCCAAGATTTACATTTGCTGCCACCTTTAATAGCACTGATGAAAAGTAGAACTTTTTTTTTTGACTTCTTTTTCACTGTGCCTCTAATCAAGAAATTTTTGTTAAAATATTAAGGGTTTTTAATGTTTAAAGAATGAGACATAAAAAAGTTGCAGAAAATAAATGATAAATTCTTATTTATTGAAAGACATTCAGTTGAGGAATAGGGATATAACTGTTTGTTAGGTAAGCTTATATGGCACATGATTAAGTTCCACTAATTCGTATTTCTGCATTATGCTTTCTGATAATTCCGGAGCATTATACTCATGCAGCAGTGGTAGGAAGTACTGATGTTTTTTTAAAAAATGTCCATTCTTGGCCAGGCGCAGTGGCTCACGCCTGTAATTCCAGCACTTTGGGAGGCCGAGGTCGGCGGATCACGAGGTCAGATCAAGACCATCCTGGCTAACATGGTGAGACCCTGTCTCTACTGAAAAAAAAAAAATTAGCTGGGCATGGTGGCAGGTGCCTGTAGTCCCAGCTACTTGGGAGGCTGAGGCAGGAGAATGGCATGAACTTGGGAGGCAGAGCTTGCAGTGACCCGAGATTGCGCCACTGCACTCCAGCCTGGGTGACAGAGCAAGACTCTGTCTGTCTCAAAAAAAAAAAAGTCCATCCTCTTGATAAAGCAGTGTAACATCAGGAAGATTTAGTTGGGGTCATTGTCTACCATTTGAGTATGCGATACCCTAATGTTAAGAAATCAAGTCTAAGTCTAGGAAATTTAGACCAATTATTTTTGATATACAAAACTTACATATATAAATGCAGTAGTTGTACCTGGCTTTCAGCTATTTTTGTGTTGACATTTTCCATCATTTATGGTCTGTCCCAAGCACAAAATCCATGGGATACCAGGTAATGATATAATGTAGTAGTTGCACAGTTTGCTTTTCCATACTGTTCAGGAATCCACGGATTTATCTGAAGGTTCTTTTTTCTCTCCTATAGTATCACTAAGGATTTCATCAGATATCTTAGCTGTGGTAGGTGTAGTCTGGGGAGTCACAGTGTGTCCAAACCCTTGGTAGTGACCCATGGGTGAAGGTGGCATAGAAGAAGCAATGGAAATTGCATCTTGTGATGATGATGATAATAAACTTGTATGTTCATTTTGATCTTGATCCTCGGGAAACAATTTTTTCCTGGGATGTCCCCTGACTGTCCGTCCTTTAATATAAAGTTTTCTGTTAGTCAAAAGTTATTTTTACCATTATAAACTTACCATTCTAAAAATAAGCTCCCCACTTCCCCCTCTCCCACTCCCCAAAGTTGATGAGCCTGCACTGTGGTACTGCTTTAAAGTCTTTTTTCATCTCTAAATAGATAATAAATTGCCCTAGTAGGAGAAATTCAATATCCTACCCAACCTATTTGGTTGAATTAAATAGCTGGTACTTACCAACATGCCTTACTTGTTCAGAAATATCATCTCTAATATCTGAGACATCCCACATGGCAAGAAAGGAATCAAAGCATGAGCCCTCTTCTGCTTCTTGGACATATGGTTTATATGAGAATGTGTAATGATGAGCAATGGCAGCGAGGAACATCTCAATACAGATAATAAAATCCTATGAGAACAACAATAAGATAACAGCCACCTTTGGATTTAAATCTAGGTTTGTAGAGTGCTATCTTTCTCTACTTGCTTTTCAAAAGTGCTAAGATAAACAGCTGTGTTTTTTCTTCTCAGATTATATTCATTTTTCCATTTTCTAAAATAATTATTTTTGACCCCTTCAAAAAAAGACAAAATGCCAAAATGTGAATCTATTTTGCACTTCCTCAAGTAGCAGCCTTGAACTCCTGCATTCAAGCAATCCTCCCACTTCAGCCTCCCAAGTAACTAGGAGTATAGGCATGTGCTGTCATGCCTGGCTAAGTATTTTATTTTTTAGTTTTTTGTAGAGATGAGGTCTCTCTTTGTTGCCCAGGCTGATCTCGAATGCCTGGTCCAGTGATCCCCCAACGTTGGCCTTACAAAGTGCTAGGATTACAGGCGTGAGTCACTGCACCAGGCCAGCCTCAAGTATTTCTTAGCAAAGTACATTTCATTCTCAATCACATCAAGTATATTGCATTCCACCACCCAAGGACTACAAGGAGAAATGTGGAAAGAGAATTGGACTTAGGAATAATGAAATCCAGGTTTTATTCATGGATCTGCTACAAATTAGTAATTATGGCCAATTTCTCTAGGGTTCCCCTGTTTTCTCACCTGTAAAGTGAGGATAATAGCCCCATACCCTGTGTGTTGTCAGGTTTAGTGGAGATATGTAAAAATGCTTAACAAATAGTAAAGTTCTATTGAATTCAGAGATGGCACTACTTACCTGGAGTCCGGTGGCCACAGCTTCTACAGTTTGCCATTCCCACGTATGCTTTTCAGAAATAACGCCAACTTTTACCAACAAAGCAATAACTACTGCTTGCCTATATGTTAGGAAAAGGTAAACGCCAAATCTATATCAAGCATAAAATGAGCAGTAGTTTTAAAAATGTGCCATTAAAAAAAAATCCAGTGCAACCTGTGTACCACCACCACCCTGCCTTTACAGCATATTGCTGAAGAAACTCTATGTTAAATATATTAATTTGCTTTACAAATTCATTTTTCTAGTAGTTTTGTCTCAAGATAGGGAGTCAAGCTGAGCATTTCAAGCAAATCTAGAGATAATGGCCCCAGGTAAAATTTAAACAGCAAATAATGACATGGACATGCTTTCATAGTTGTATACATAAGAATATTCACTTCAGTGTTTCTTATAATGGTAAAAAAATTAGGAACAACCTGAATATCAAAAGGAGATTAGTAAAAAGTTATATCCACATAACAGAATACTAAGCAAAATAAAAATAAAAATAAAAATCACCCCCTCCACAAAACAAAATAATATTTCTGTTTACTGACAAAGAACTGTATCTACAATATACTACTGAACATTGTCGAATTCCAAAAATTTTTATAGTATGAAACTTTCTCTGGAGTTTTATATGTGACACAGGTTTACCAAGATGTTAATCATTCTTTTCTGGGTGGTGGGATTTCAGGGATTTTTCTTTTTCCCTTTTTGTATTGTTTCTAGCTTGTTAAATTTGGTGTATTTGTTTCTAGGACCCCTATTACCCACCTCTTTACTAAATTCTTTTTTTTTTTTTTTTTGAGACAGAGTTTCACTCTGGTGCCCAGGCTGGAGTGCAGTGGCATGATTTTGGCTCACCGCAACCTCTGCCTTCTGGGTTCAGGTAATTCTCCTGCCTTCCCTGCCAAGTAGCTTGGATTACAGGTGCCTGCTACCATGCCTGGCTGATTTTTGTATTTTTAGTAGAGACTAGCCATGTTGGCCAGGCTAGTCTGGAACTCCCAACCTCAGGTGATCCACCTGTCTTGGCCTCCCAAAGTGCTGGGATTACAGGCGTGAGCCACTGTGCCCGGCCCTCTTTACTATATTGAACTATGTATAGTTTTACCTTCTGTTTTAAAAAGATTTACTGATTATTTTCCCATATAATTAAATATTCTACATCATGCTTTCTTCCAAACTCCATAGTATTCTATTATATGACAGGGCCATGATTTATTTTAATAATTATTCTAGTATTGACATATTTAGGTTGTCTCAAACTATTTTCTTCATATAAATGTTACAGCGACCATCTAATTATTTCTTTTGAAAATTGTAGAAGGGCTAAAAAGATGAACTTTTAAAAAGAGAAGTAGAGACATTTTAATCTATCTTCCGCATTAAGACTGTTTAAAAATCCTCCTTAATCAACGGTTTTTACTGCCCTTAAAAAAATGAGAACATTTAAAAAAAAGTAACACTTACCAAAAAGAAACAAAAACCACCAGCTTTACACAAAGAAATTTGCCAACAGGTTGGATTGGGCTCAGTTCTTCTTTTAGTACTTTATAAAAGAGCAGGAGACAATACATGGCAAACTAGAAACAAGATTAACATTTAAACTTGTTCAGTAATAGATATGGTAATAGAAATATTAAAGTTACATACCAGAGACCTGGTACAGAGTAATGTTTCAGGCAAACTTTTCTAGGCTTTATTATTCTATTTTTAGATTAACAAGCTTTCATAGTTTACTATAGATGAATATATACTACATACAACATCTTCCGTAAAAATGTTTTTAAGTGTTCACTTCCTGGGTTCCATAAAGGGAACAATAAACAAATGATTGACATAAATGGAAGAAATGGCTCTTGTTCAGCCAAAATAAAAAAATCCATCTGTAACGGCTTTTAAACATAAATTTCTGACCACTCATTTTATGAGGCTTTAGCTTATTACCTAGTCTATCCTATGTAACTAAAGTAACCCATTAAACAAGTACAATTTCAATAAAATTGTGACTATGAAATCTGAATGTAAAGAATCAAACAATTTTTCCTGAGAGCGGTGTATTAGTTCAGCTAGATTTATTTTTTAAAATGAACAAGACTTACTAACTTTTTAGAAATCTGTAATAACCTAGTGTAGTGCTGAATAACAATAAACATTTTCCTGAAAGTTCACTATTCCCTATTAAAATCATATAAAATGCAAATTCAAAGTATTTTAGAATATGAAACCAGTAAAGAAAGAAAGAATAAAGTGATTCATGGTGTCCAATCATCCTTTTTACACATAAGCCAGTTTTTAAATAACTGTCATGAACTAATTATAAAATTTTATTGCCTAATGTTTTTTCCACTTAAAATACATAACTTCTATATGTTTCATCAGGCTTATTTTTAGTAACTGCCTAATATTTTGGCCAATGGAAAGACCACAGTGCATTCAACTAGTCCCTAACATTGGGTTTTGGATTGCTTTCAGCCTTTTGTTATTTACAAGTAATGGGCTTTATATACAAAGATACTTTAGGCAAACATACTTTTGAACACTTCTTTAGAATACATTCCCAGAAACAGAATTACTGGTTCCAAAGAGGATGAACATGTGGGAAAACTTTAGCTACATGGACATTTAATTTTTATTATAAAGCTCTAATACCAACCATGCATACCACTGCATCTAAATTATTTTGCTGACAGCATTAGTCAAAGAATTTAAATAAAATGCACATTTTTTTAAGCTTGTAAGATCAAATAGGACATTACATCATAGGTCTTTGGAACATACAGTTTCTAGAACATCATCCATTTTTTTAAACTTGGCATTCTCAATTTTCCTTTAACTTCAAATATATGATAACAGAGAATTTTATTCTCACATTTTTATTCAAACCCTGTACCATCAAATACCAATTTGATATTTTCTCTTCTGAATATGTTCAGTATATGTGGGCGTGTGTGTGTATTTTTTTTTTTATGTAGCACTGTGCTTTTATTTATGACATACTCATACAGCTATGCAATGAGCAACAGAAATAAATGAACAAACATGGTCAACATGTGAGGGTATAAGTTGCCAAATAATAAACAAAGATGTTATTATATCTTTATATATGTATTAAGATATATATTAAATTTTTTTCAAGTCTTTCTATAAATTAAATTTCAGATTTAATTTATAGGAAGATTAAAAAGAAGCAAGCCTTATCCTAAGAAGAAACTTTGTCTAAAGAAATTTAGTTATAGATACGAATTTAGTACAGTTTAAGAAAAGTGAACATTTTACTTACCAACTGTGACATGTTGTTTATTATAACCAAATAAGTCCAAGCATTTGAAAAGCTAAAGTTCCCTTCGTCATATATACCAAGCAGCTCACAGATTCTAAAAATAGTAAAAATGAGATATCTCTGATTAAATCAAAATCGTACTTCAAAATACAGCAATAGCAATACTTAAATTTAGAAGTCAGTTTATTTGAGATCTCACTGACAATCACTTGACTTTGGACACAGAGAATTTAGAAGTCAGTTTATTTGAGAGATCCATTGACAATCACTTGACTTTGGATCTAGAGGTGGTTCAAAAATGAAAAACCCATTTTTTTCTAGAAATATTACTATATTCCTTCAACTTGAAGGAAATCCCAAATAAGACACATAACACTTAACTAGAAAGAGTACTAAATTTAAAAAAAAACAACTATGCTGTCTAATTTTGGGAAAGCTTGATTGTTAAACATAATATAATGCAGGTGTATATAACTGTAGTTGTTAATTTTTTCCCCTCAATTGTCTTGGAGGTAAATTTTATGAAGACCCAGATCCCCTCAAGTAAGTATGACCATCAGTATTGTTATAATCTTACCCAATTTCTAAGCTGCAGGGAAATAAAGCATGCCTTCATAATTAAATGGCTAAATAATTGCTAGCTCAAAGGCAGAATAAAGAATTCTTTCACAAGTCTTTCTTTCCACTTTTCCTCTGTGAGCATGCAAAATGTTAGTAACAACTAGGAGATAAAACATGTAATCTATTGGCATTAAAGTATTTGATGTTCTTGAATTTTTAGGGAATAGTTTTGCCAGGTAGCTTAATGATACCCCATTTTACCTCAATTCTAAGCCTTGATAGAATATATTAAAAGAAAATATGACTTCTTTCTTAGAGTACTTCTAATATATTCTAAATTAACTATGTAGAAAATAGAACTGTAATTAACCTAAAGTAGCATACTTTAACTTCATGCAATAGGGTTTCTGTCAAGCTATGTATCTGAAAAAGAAGGTATTTTTTTTTCAAAGTGCTTTACGGCCAGCTAGCTCTGGAGAGGATGTGAATATTTAGGAGACCCCTGTGGTGACTCTTTGCCTATAAATGGTCATGTTATTTATTTTAATAGAGTGAGTTTCTATACAGTGTTTTTTTTTACAACAGACTAGACCTGCATTATAAATAAGCACATTAACACTATGTTTTCTACTTAGTTGTTCCCACATAAGATCACAAGGATGAAAAAAAAAGTTCATATAAAATCCGAGTACTTACAAAGCAACGATGGTGGTGAAAGGTCTGACAACTGTGTACTGTAATACACCTAGTTTGCACCTAAACAGCAATACTCTGCAAAAGAAAAAGAACTTAGAATTTCAACTACTCATTTAAATAGCATCAGATTTTCCCCAAAGCCTCCAAATTAAAATCACTTTGATGAATGATACCATATTTACAGTTAATTCTTTCAATGTAGTCATCCTTAATAGCAGTGGCAGAAGAATGTGGATGGCAGGAAACAAATTATCTAAATACCTTTTTTATTTTTTGAGATATAGGATCTTATTCTGTTGCCCAGGGTGGAGTGCAGTGGTGTGAACATGGCTTACTGCAGCCTTGACCTTCTGTGCTCAAGTGATCCTCCCACCTCAGCCTCCTGAGTAGCTGGAACTATATCTGCATACCACCACACCTGGCTAATTTATTTTCTGTAGACATGGGGTCTCACTATGTTGCCCAGGCTACTCTTGACCTCCTGGGCTCAAGTAATCCTCCCACCTCAGCCTCCTGAGTAGCTGGAACTGTATCTGCATACCACCACACCTGGCTAATTTATTTTCTGTAGACATGGGGTCTCACTATGTTGCCCAGGCTACTCTTGACCTCCTGGGCTCAAGTGATCCTCCCACCTCAGCCTCCTGAGTAGCTGGAACTATATCTGCATACCACCACACCTGGCTAATTTATTTTCTATAGACATGGGAGTCTCACTATGTTGCCCAGGCTACTCTTGACCTCCTGGGCTCAAGTGATCCTCCTGAGTAGCTGGGACTGTAGGTGTGTGCCCCCACACCCAGCTATTTTTAAATTTTCTGTAGAGATGTGGTTTCACTGTGTTGCCCAGGCTAGTCTCAAACTCCTGGGCTCAAGCCATCCTCACGCCTGTAATCCCAGCACTGTGGGAGGCCGAGGCAGGTGGATCACTTGAGAGCAGCCTGGCCAACATGGCAAAACTCTGTCTCTACAAAAAAAATAACAAAATTTAGCCGGGCACGCCTGTAATCCCAGCTACTTGGGAGGCTGAGGCATGAGAATTGCTTGAATATGGGAGGTGGAGGTTGCAATGAGCTGAGATCACGCCACTGTATTCTAGCCTGGGTGACAGAGCAAGACCATCTCAAAAAAAAAACACAGTAATCTTTGAAAATGAAATTTAGATACCGGTTCTCTGCATAATATCCTATAAATGGTTTCTCATTTGACAAAGACTCTCATTTAGACAAACTTTAGACAAGCCTCTGATGCCTCTTTTCAACTTGGCTTCATCCTTGGGCCTTGTCCTTGTCCTGTGTCAGTCAATCTAAAAGAATCTTGCTAAGTCATTCCCCAGCCCCCTTTGATATCTGATCACCTTTGACATCCGATCAAATTCCTCAGCACCCACCTTGGATGACTAAGGCCTTGGCCTGCCTTTAGCAAGAATTCTGTTCAGTTTAGTGAGAATCCTCCTAGCCCTGATGTCCCCTCTTCGTAATTCTGCATTCGCTGACCCCCTCAACATGCTCTAGCTATAAATGCCCATTTGTCCTTGTTGCCTTCAGAGTTGAGCACAATCTGTCTCCCTTGATAACCAATCTATATTAATTTGTCATTACTATTCTCTCATGGCCTCCTGTCCTTCTTCCTTCATTGCATTTCCTGAAATAACTAACTATATATTTGTGTCTTAATTCCTAACTCTCCTAACCAAACTAAGTTCCATGAGGTCTATGTCTGTTCTGTGCACTAAGGTATTTCTTTATACTAGCACGTACTTGGTGCTCAACATATATTTGTCAAATGAACACATTAGTAGCTTATTTTTTTAAAAAGCCAGGTAGCTCCCTGTCATTTCAAGGGTGTAAATAGAGACAAAATTTGTCAGGACGTTGTACAAATGGTCCTGTACTGCATAGGAGGCAATGCACCCATTCTTATGTTGTATGTCTACACTGATCACTCTACCTCCATTTACCTTGGCTTGTAACTTCCACCTTATTCCTCATTTATTAGTGAAACTGCCTTTGCAAAATTATGACTGAGACAGTGAAAGAGATAACTTAAACCGACTCCATCTTGTGTCTAACCTCCAAGCTGTCCTTGTTCATTCCTGGGCGTAGGCTGAACTAACTTTGAGAGAAACTTAGTTTATAGTTTCTCCCAAAGCTATAGAAATAGCCCTGCCCCAAAGCAAACCTCCTTGCCTGGGGACTAGATTGCCTTTGTAGGACTAACATTAGCCATAAGATTAGAAATTATGGTTTAGGAGTCATGCAGCTGGAGGCTACAAGATTCTGGCCCTCCCTAAACTGCTCCTAAGATCAGTGCTTGTGATATTTTGCAGACCCTGCATTTGTTGAATCAGCTGGCACCACCCAGATCAATAAACGGGCTCATCTCACCTTGTGGCCCCCACCCAGGAACTGACTCAGTATAAGTGGACAGCTTTGACTCCCTATGATTTCACCTCTCTCCAATCAGCACTCATGGCTCACTGGCTTCCCCCTACCCAGCAAATTATCCTTAAAACTCTGCTCCCCGAATGCCTAGGGAGACTGATTTGAGTAATAATAAAACTCCTGTCTCCCGCACAGCTGGCTCTGTCTGAATTACTCTTTATCTTTTGCAATTCCCGTCTTGATGAATCGGTTCTGTCTAGGTGGCTGGCAAAGTGAACCCCTTGGGCGGTTGCATTAGTGGACATGTCCTATTGATTTTTCAGTTGCATTCTCTTATTGCCTTTCTTTTCTATTCCAATCTCATCCCCCTTTTCAGTTTTATTTCACAAATAGATTATTATAAACTCCTAATTTATTTCTCCATCTCTGGAATCTTCTTCCTTCCAATTCATCCTTTATGATATTGCAAAATTAATCTTTCTAAAACACTGTTTCCAAATGTTTGCTTGCTGAAAAATACCAAGTGGTTCATTTCTATAATAAATGCAATTGTAAACTCAATTTATTTTTCAAAATGAAATGACATAAGTTTTAATGTCCTACATGAACATATAATAAGGCAAGCTGATGTATTATGTTACCAAACACTGTTACTTATTGCTCCTACTTCATATCATATGTGGTTCTACAACCTACATTATCTTGTCTATGTCTTTTAACTAGCTGTGTGTTCTTACATAAGATCTGCAGACCTTGGTTCTCAACTGCAAAAGCATATTGATTAAATGATTACTGTTTTTACCTGCAATACTTTAATTTTTGGATTTGGGATTAATAATGTAAAAAAGACTAACATATATGTGGGATTACAAAACTGTTTTGTTAGCCTTCAAACAACTATGAACTGCATCAGGAGCTGTCTTATACTTATTGTTCTGCTATTAATACTTAATGCACTGCCTTGTAAAGAGCTGATTGCTACTTAAAAACTCTGCTTAAATGAAAAACCAAAACATAAAAGAATTAAACCAAACATACTTACTCTCCCATAGCCCATGGTGGACAGCAACATAAAGGAGGGAAATGTTTCTGTTGATCTTTGGCTTCAAGGATTAATACCAGATTTGGATACCGGTTAGTTAGATAATTGGTAAGGAATCCCATAAAGTTGTAAATTACATAAGCTTCATAGCATTCTCTGCAGGTATCCACATATATTGCAATTCCGGGATATTTCAAAGCTATCCACTATGAAAAAGCACAGATGTTAAAGATAGTTGCAGCTAAGATAAAATGAATCACCACTCCATTCATGGTACTCACAATAAGCTAATTTTTATGCTTGAGATGTCTTGTCATATACTTACATGGGACTCTCTAAAATTTATCATTATGAGGGCTATCAATCTGTGAAATGAATGCTTAAAAGCAATAAACATCTTAGATATTGGTAAACAAAAACAAGTGTTTGAGGGGTAAATAATGAATAAAGAGAGAAGCTAAAGTAAGTACTTGTGTTCTTAAATCTGAAGTTTTTCTTAATATGATCATAGATAATGCTGCTAAAGATATTTCCTTTAATATTTACTCATATTAGAAGCAGTCATCTACAACAATTTCATGTGTATCCACTGGGGAAGGTTTTTAAATTTTTGATTCAAATAAAAGACGTAATAAATAAAAAGAGTAGTATATTAATTTAAAATATTACATTCTTTAACAATCTGAAAGTTTAAAAGAAAGCAAACAGCTATAGATTTTTAAACATTTATAATATAACATTTTACATTTTTAATTATACTTTATATTCTCTATCATTAGAAACAAGTGAACCTTTTTACTTATTAATCTGACTCCTTGTCAATAACATACTTTCATTATCTTAAGCATTCTGTAATTATAGTATCATCAAACAAGTCCTTAGTTAATGAGATAAAAATGAAACATACTTACACTATCTAAACTGTAAATAGGTACCATCCAAAGAATCCTATTGGAAAAGGAAAACAGAAATTTAAAACATTTTATGTCATATTTATGAAATAAGCCAACACAACAGTAGTGGAATCAAAATTATTAAGACATACCTTATTATTGGTTTTTGTAGTTCAGGTTGTGTATAATGCACTAAGTGTTGCAATATCACCCACAGTGATATAGGAATAGTCAACAGCAAAAAGATTCCAGCAATAAACCAAGCCTTGGTGTGTATTCCAACCTTAAGAAACAAAATAACATGTTAATATAAATTCTGATATTAAAACAAAAGAGCTTGGCCAGGCTCAGTGCCTTGTGCCTATAATCCTAGCACTTGGGGAGGCCGAGGTGGGAGGATCGCTTGAGGCCAGGAGTTTGAAACCAGCCTGGGCCTACAAAGTGAGAACCCGTCACTACAAAAAAAAAAAATTAAAAAATTGAAAAAAATTTGTGGGGGAGGGGGGACTTTTATATTAACTTGTAATCTTGCCTTGAAGAGTATGAATCTTTTTTTTTTTTTAAGGGGAAAAGGTGGGCATTTATTTTTGATGCTTGAAGGGTTGAGCAGTTTACAATTAAAATAGAACTAAGGTCTACAACCTTAAGTATCACTGTTTCTTTTCTTTTTCTTTTTTTTTTTTTGAGACAGTTTTGCTCTGTTGCCCAGGCTGGAGTACAGCGGCGCGATCTTGGCTCACTGCAACCTCTGCCTCCGGGGTTCAAGCGATTCTCCTGCCTCAGCCTCCCAAATAGCTGGGATTACACACCCAGCTAATTTTTTTGTATTTTTAGTAGAGATGGGGTTTCGCCCTGTTGGCCAGCCTGGTCTGGAACTCCTGACTTCAAGTGATCCGTCCGCCTCCGCCTCCTGAAGTGCTGGGATTACAGGCATGAGCCACCGTGCACGGCCCAGTTTCACTGTTTGAACAGGACTTTTTCTTCCTCTACCAGGGGCCAAAGATAAAAGAGGTAGAAAACAAAAGTATGGAGAACAAATGCATTTTTACAACAACAAATTTCCACATTAAAATGTATAGAAAGCTTGAAAAGGGCTGAGTGAGGTGGCTCATGATTGCTTGAGCCCAGGGGTTCCATCCAGCCCAGCCTGAGCAACATGGCGAGATGCCATCTCTACAAAAAATAAATTAGCGAGGCGTGGAAGCATGTGCCTGTAGTCCTACCTACTAGGAAGACTGAGGTGGGAGATCTGCTTGAGCCCAGGAGTTCAAGGCTACAGTGAGCCATGATTTGTGCCACCGTACTCCACCCTGGGCAACAGAGTGAGACCCTGTCTCAAAAACAAAAACAAACCAAAAGCTAATACAAAGTCTTACTGATTGTGGGGGCGTTAATCAAACAGTAAATGAAAAGCAAATATATGGACGTAAGACTCTAAAAGGAATGTCTGAGCACTCATATTACAGGGCTTTTTGCTTTTATCCATTTCATTTAAAATTGAGTACAGTAGTCCCCACTTATATGTGGGGATTAGGTTCCAAGACCCCCAGTGAATACCTAAAACTATAGATAGTCCCAAATCCTATATGCATATACTATGTTTTTTCCTATACATATATACTTATGATAAAGTTTAATTCATAAATTGGACACACAGTAAGTGGTTAACAAGAAAATAGAACAATTATATATTGTAATAAGTTATTTAAAACTTACAAATTACTTATTTCTGAAATTTTTCATTTAATATTTTCAGACCATGGTGGACAACAGGTTACTGAAACCAAGGGAAGTGAAATTTCAGTGATGATCTAAGAAAATAATAATAGGATAAGCATATTCTAGATCTCCTTTATTATAAAGGATGGTACTGCGGCCAGGCGCGGTGGCTCATGCCTGTAATCCCAACACTTTGTGAGGCTGAGGAGGGCAGATGGTTTGAGTCCAATAGTGTGAGACCAGTGTGGGCAACATGGCAAAACTCCATCTCTACAAAAAATACAAAAAATTAGCCGGGTGCCAGAGGATCACTTGAGCCCAGAAGGTCAAAGCTGCAGTGAGCCATGACCGCGCCACTGCACTCCAGCCTGGGTGACAGAGCGAGACCCTGGCTCAAAAAAAAAAAAAGAAAGAAAAAAAGAAAAAAAAGTATTGCCAAGTAATTGCTTATTTTGATTGCTTTAGTTCCAAAAACTAGAACTTGGTGGTACACTTAAGAGAAAAATGATGTGCTTGTGACTAATGAAGGTCAAGTGTCCTCAGTGTGCTATAAAGAAGAAAGTTGTTTTTGTTTTTTAAACAATCATAAAACAAGTGACTAGAGACTTGGTCACTGCAGGCCAAATTTTAAAATCCTGTACCACATAATATCATTTTTACAGTGCAAGTGGTAATTTAGTTTCAGAAAAACATCATCTCTCCACATTAATGTCATTAATTTTAATTATTGGTTTTACAGTTGTTTTGATTTTTGAGCTATATAAAAGTTACATGCACAAGAAATTTAACCTATTTTATGTGTGTATATATTTAAGTAACATTGTAATAGAATAACTCAACACTAGCTATCTGCAGAAATTATCAATATAATTTTTTAATTTTATGTTTACCTCTAAATAATTTATTCAAATTTGAGACACATTGATGTAGATACCAGTAATATTATTCTTAATCTTTATCAGCCATGAGTTGAGTTTTTGGGCTCACGAAATGAGGAGGAGATAAACAGATTTTTTTTCATGGGTAACTTTAGGAAAGAAGAGAGGAAAGAAAAAACCCTTAAAGACAAGCATCCAAGAATAAGTTAACTCTCCCTCAGCAAAATGCTTCAAAACAGAGAGTGGAGATGAATAGGAGAGAGTGCTTTCTGGGCCAGGTCTTCCTGAGGGGAGAGAGTAGAACTGACCTAAGGGCATGAGGTAAATGTGCTGAGGTTAAAAAAAAAAGTGTGCTGAGGTAAAAAGACTAGAGCAGCATGCACATTCACTTCAGGTATACATGGTCAGCCAAGTGAGTGGGAAAAATAGTTTAAACAGTGCAGATGGTCACCCTACCATTCCAATAAATGGGTATATGCCCCACCATGGGCATGGGATGAGCTTCCAGAACTGTGAGAAAATAAATTTCTGTAGTTTAAGCCACTCAGGCTATGGTATTTTCTCACGGCAGCCTGGGGACACCAAGATAAACTCTCACATTTGTATCTGCAGCTCATATCTTTCTGAGCATTAGATGTGCATATCCAACAGCATATCTGACATGCCTATTGAATGTCTCTTATTAAACTAAATGTCCATAACAGAACTCAATTTCTCTCAAACCTGTTCCTAACCCTCAATTTTCTATCTCAGTAACTAGCACCACCATTTACACAGTTGTTCAAACAAAAAACTTCAGAATCATCTTTGATTTGTTCCTTTCTCTCACTGCTTCTCCTCTGGAATCCAATCTTCCTGCTACGTCTTGTTTGCTCACTTCTAAGGATACTTACAATTCAGTTTTCCATTTCCACTCCTGCTATCCTTACCGGGGCCATAAACCATCATAGCCCAGGCACCCAACACCTCTCACTACCATAAAGAGCTTTCTAACTTCCCTTCACTTCTGCTTTATTTTCCATAGCTGGTAGAGTGGTCTTTTGAAGTTATGCAATTAGACTGCCCTGCATGGTAACTTCTCAGATCTTTTCTGGTTTCCTCCACAGCATTTTATACAATTTTATTGATTTGTTTTTGTTGGTCCCTTTTGTCTCCACCAAGTTCTATGGAGGTAATGTTCTCTCATATAGTATACAAAGCCTGATTCATCACTGGGACTCAGTCATTTGGGCAGAAAGAGGGGGAAAGAAAACAAAGTAAAATATGTATCGTGGTAGATGGTGGTAAGTCCTATGGAAAAAGTAAAGCAGAGAAAGGAATATGAAGAGTTGGGGTGGGGGGAAGTTGACAATGTTAAATAGAGTAGTCAGGTGACATTTGAGTAAAGACCTGAAGAACATAAAGGAATGAGAATAATATCTACGGAAAGGAAATTCTGTGAAGGGGAAACATCGTGCAAAGTTTCAAGGAGGGAGCATGCCTGGGATTTTTGAGCAAAGCCGTGCAGTGGAAGCCTAGGACTTGAGGAGAAAAAGTCAGAGGGGGATCAGGTGGGAGTGGTGTCAGATCATGTTGGACCTTGATGGCCACAGTGAGGAATACTGGCCTTTACTCTAGGACTAGAAGTGATTTAAGATGACACACATAATGTGCCAAGTTTTAACTGGTTACTCTGGCTGGTGTGTTGAGAAGAGTCCAAGCAAGACATGTTGGGAACTTGGCTAGGACAAGTACAGACTACAGATTCCAATTTTTCTTAAAAGCTAGTGGTACCTAAAAACTACATTTGAAACTAACAACTAAGAGAAGTCTTAAACTGGACTGATATTATGCATATTATTAACCTTTAAAGTGGTTCCTATACTATACTCCACGGAAATATTTCAAAGTAAGAAAATCCCATTTGTATTAAGATGCTTATACCTAAGTTTTTGTAGACAAATTGTGGAAAGAACCTAAATATCTAACAAATGGGAAATATTGAATGTAGCAGAATATTACATGGCCATTAAAAATAACTATATGGGCCGGGTGCGGTGGCTCATGCTTGTAATCCCAGCACTTTGGGAAGCCGAGGTGGGTGGATCACAAGGTCAGGAGTTGAGACCAGCCTGGCCAACACCGTGAAACCCCGTCTGTACTAAAAATACAAAAATTAGTTGGGTGTGGTGGTGGGCACCTGTAATCCCAGCTACTTGGGAGGCTGAGGCAGGAGAATCGCTTGAACCTGGGAGGCAGAGGTTGCAGTGAGCCAAGATCGCGCCACTGCACTCCAGCCAGGGCGACAGAGCTAGACTCTTTCTCAAAAATAAATAAATAAAAATAAACAACAACAACAACAAGTAAGTATATGGGGCTGGGTGCGGTGGCTCACACCTGTAATCCCAGCACTCTGGGAGGCCGAGGACAGATCACCTGAGGTCAGGAGTTTGAGACCAGCCCGACCAACATGGAGAAACCCCGTCGCTACTAAAAATACAAAATTAGCCGGGCGTGATGGCGCATGCCTGTAATCTCAGCTACTCGGGAGGCTGAGGCAGGAGAATCGCTTGAACCCAGGAGGCGGAGGTTGCGGTGAGCCGAGATCTCGCCATTGCACTCCAGCCTGGGCAACAGGAGCAAAACTCCGTCTCATAAACAAACAAACAAAAAACTATATGGACTATGCTAGTATGGGAAAGTCATCAGAAAATAATTTAGTGTAAATAGAGAACACAAATGTATATTAAATACAGTTTATGTAAAAATCATTTCCACAATAAAGAAGGGCCTAAAATAGTCATGGTCTTATTATAGTTCTTGTAATAGGTGTTCCTCTGTAAAAGTACTTGGTGGGTTTTATTAACTCCGAATTTAAAGTTCATTATATAATATTTATATCTGAGTTATTTACCTTGGGGTTTTCCAGCTTGTAGTACATTACTGATGTCACAATAAGCATATGACATCAAAAAATATATATAAGGGACTTTTTGCAAAACCTTTGTTGGGTAAGAGCTAATTTCCACAGTAAAAACAGACACCAAAGTTAAAACAACTAGAACGCTTTGATTCAAGAAGCTAGTTAAAAGCTAATAAAATTCAATACATGGTTTTCAAGGTAGTTTATTTGACCTAGTTTCGTCCAATGTCTGAACAGATCAGATTTCAGCAATAAAATTACCTTACTTTCAGGGAACTGATGAATACTTGCAAAACAGTGCCCTTCTAAGCAGCTATATTAATATATTCTATTTTCTCGACCCGGTCCCACCTCCACCTGTAGCATGACTTGAAGAACCGTGAACAAGAAATTAGACAGGTTTATATCCTAAGAGTAGGCTCGTTTACATTAGATGGTTTTCAGGACTGTCAGGGCAGAAATGGGGTAAGGGTGTCTCTTTCCCAACCATAGATGGGTAGAAGAAAGTGTACAGGCTGATGGTGCAGAACCCTCTTACCTCCAGTTTCTGTAATTCCCACACGCATAGGGGAACCGCAACCACTATTGACACCAGGTAGATGACCGCTACTAAAGGTCGAATCCACTGTCTCCAGTTCCTCCAGGTACAAGTGCAAGGCATGTTTTCGCACAAATCAGATCCGGTTAGCAAGGGAAAAGATCTCGAAAAGATTGTAATGGGGAGCCCTGTTCTCTGGCTGTTTTGTCAACTCGCATACTACGGAGAAAAAGCTGTCGGGCGACTTTACGAACAGCTCGAGCCGCCTCCTGGACCGGCGCTGTGTCTTCTGCTGCTGCTGCTTCTGCAAATGTAGCCTCTCAGGGTGCTATTGGCGAGCAGTGCAGGCAACATCCTTTCTTCTCCACCCCGCATCTACCCGGTTGTACTGCGGTGGAATCCCAGGCAGAGCCGCTGCCCTCACCTGGGGATCGCCCTGAGCTCTGCCTGTACCATGGCTTCCAGGAGAGCAGCACAGACCAGGAACCGGCCTCTAGGGACCCTGCACACTCCGGTTCTGTCTCGCAGCTGCCTGCCCACTCGCTCTTTTCTTTGGGGATCGAGCTTCCTACCTCCCGCACTGGCAGGCGTCTCTTCAGTCGATTCCGCTAGTAGGTAAGGCCCCAGGATCTCCTCATTCTTTCGCACGGGACCTCCCCTACAGCGGAACCCAAGGCCAAACCAAGACTTTCAGCTCTTTTCCGCTTCCGCCCCTGCTGTCTGAGGCAGGTGATTCGTCGTCAGCGCCAAACTGGGCCCGCCCCATCCGACTCACTTTGCGCCCTCTGATTGGTCAGCTGTGGGGGCGGGGCTGCAGGATTGCGTACTGGGGTTAGAAAGAAGAGCAGGTGCGTGGAAGTGGGTGGAATTGCCGCAGATGGTCCAGCGGGCTATTGCAAGGATTCTGGAAGCTGCGGGAATTATTTGAGGACACTTGAAGCACACCTACTACATTCTTCTGCTGGCGTTATTCCAGTTTAAAGAAAGCTTGGGTAAGGGGCGGTTACTTCAGAGTTGGACTGGAAGAGAGAAGGCCCATCTCTACACAAAACATCCCCTATTCAATCTAGAGTGGATACAGAAGCCCGCTGGAGTAAGAAGACAAGGAAGAATGGGAAACCTCCACCTAGTTTTCTGTCAGTTGCTAGAATCTAGGGGCTAGGCCGCTTGGTTATTTCTGGATCCTACAGAAGGATCATTCTAAAGGTAGCTTCATTTTAGAATTAACCGCAAATAGGGAATGTCCCTTCTACATTTGGAACTTGTGTTAAAAATTTGCACTCATTTAAGTTTTAAAAAGTTGACATTCCATCTGACAAAGGAGTTTCATATGCTTAAAGCCTTTAGCTAAACCAATAGAGTAAACAAATATCTACTACTCAATTACATATACAAATGCGTTTTATATTGTAATTGTAATTTTCAGGGGGACAGGCACTGTACTAAGTTCATTACCTACATTATGTAAGTTGTTCTGCACAAAAATTTTGAGAGGTAGGCATTTTTCCACTTTACAGATAAAAAAGTCAAGTGGCTGATAAATTTGCCCAGGCTCACTGAGCTAGTTAAGTGGTAGTGTGGAGATAGCAACCTTGGTCTTTGTGACTCCAAAGGGCATTATATTTAAGCATTTGACCTGCTAGTACCTGCCACCTGGGGAATTTCCGCCTAATGACCATACGGATAAGGAGGCTTGTAACATTGAGTACACCTAGCCCAGGAGTCTCACAGAGACACCTAAGGAATATTATGAGCCCCTTTTTTGGTATCGTCTGTTTGGACTTGACTTCACTGCCTACTTCTCAGTTGTTAACATTTGTATTTTACAACCTGACCCAAACTACTTTCTACCGGAAAAATAGGCCTTATGTTTGTTCTTCCTAAGCTTACTTTAAAAATGGAAATTAAGGCTGGGTGCAGGGGCTCATGCCTGTAATCCCAGCAGTTTGGGAGGCGGAGGTGGGCGGATCATGAGGTCAGGAAATCGAGACTATCCTGGCTAACACAGTGAAACTCCGTCTCTACCAAAAATACAAAAAATTAGCCAGTTGTGGTGGCGGGAGCCTGTAGTCCCAGGTACTCAGGAGGCTGAGGCAGGAGAATGGCGTGAACCCGGGAGGCGGAGCTTGCAGTGAGCCGAGATCAAGCCACTGCACTCCAGCCTGGGCGACAGAGCGAGACTCTGTCTCAAAAAATAAATAAATAAATAAATAAATAAAATTAATTAAAAAAAATTCCTGATCATTAAATTAATGCTTGCTCTGTTGTTAAAGTTCATAAAAAAGAAGAATAATGAAGAGAAAGTTAATTTTACTCTACGGCCAAGTATAACTACTCTTTACTTGTTTGGTACACAGTAGAGGCTATCTTGGATATGCCGTATGCGTAGATTGTCTCTGTGCTTTCAGCTACAGCGTTTTTGCTGCCTATAATCTTTCCCATTCTTTCTCATGGGCAAACTTTTTTTGCCTAATTTGTGAGACCTTCCTTTATTTTTGTTTCCCCATGTATTCTTACAGCATTTATATGGTATTATACTCATTTACTTATTTGTCTTGTTTAGATTTTGAATTCCTAAAGCAAAAATCTAAATCCATTAGAAAAAAGCAAAAGAGAGAAGAGATGAGACAGATGCACAAATGATTTCACATACCAGTTTGCGAACTGGAATTCTTCTATGGTGAAATTTCTTCAGCTCAGCAGAGAAATTAAAAACAAAATTACAGATTGAGTATGCCAAATCTGAAAATCTGAAATTCAGAATGCTCCCAAATCCAAAACTTTTTGAGTACTTATATGATGCTCAAAGGAAATGCTCCTTGAAACACTTCAGATTTTGGATTTTCAGATTTGAGATGCTCAACTGGTATGTATAATGCAAATGTTCCCCAATCTGAAAAAATCTGAAATCCAGAACACTTCTGGTCCAAAGCATTTCAGATGAGATATATGAATTTTTCATTTAGTTAAATTTCTTCACTCTTAAGGACCATGTTTTATTTTGAAATTGTCTATCCTATTTTTTAATATGATAATAGATAGTAGTTGTTCTTCAGATATTTTTACTTTGGAGAATAAAAAGTTGATAGCTTTATTTGCCTACCATTTGTTTCATTTTTTTCTCTTGACCTGTAAGATCCTAAAGTCTAGTAAGGATAGGGAATAGGCCATAATGCTGATGTGATCCTAATCTACTTGCTTTGCTTGCTATAGGCATTCTCTGCATTCTTTCTGGATATGAGAGCCTAAGCCTGAAGGTGGATCTGAGCTTGATGGTGTTTGAAAAATAAGAAATGGTTAAAATTGGCAGATGGTGCTAGGGTCAAAAACAAGCTATTAGTCAATTTTGATGCAAGTTATAGAGGTTAATTGAAGTTTGTTACTGCTGCATCACATGCAAATAGGTGGAATTTGCTATTATTGAAGGATAAGTTTGGATTAATCTGAATTAAGATAATAGATTAAATGCACTTTGAGGGATCCTGGGGGATGGACACTGTTAACCCTTTGCCATGTATCTCCATTTCTCTATAAATATGTCCATGGTAGTTTTAAAACCTGGCTGCAACTTCTTTGATACTCATCTGATAACAAAATAGAGTCTGTGTTCCCTCTCTTTACATGTATGTGGGCTTGTGATTGATTTTAACCAATAGAAGTTGGTGAAAATGGTCACAGTCACCATATGTGACTTCTGAGGCTAGGTCATAAAAGACCATGCAGTACCACCTTGTCTGCTGGAACATTTACCTTTTGGAACTCCCAGCCTTCCTGTGAGAAGTTCCACTGCCTGAGGCTGGCATTTTGTGAGAAAGCCCAAGACAGACAGAGAGACCCTTTGAAGGTAATACTGATCAACAGTCACAGCTGAGCCCAGGCTTTGAGTCAGCCCAGCCTAGGTGCCAGTCACGTGAGCTGAGAAGCTGATTCCAGCTCCTAGCCATTCTCGCCGCTCAGCCATTTGGGTCATCCCAGCCGAGGCCCTCATCATGGCCAGAGACATACAATGCCTGCTCTGCCTTGTCCTAAGTCCTGACCTGAAGAATTCATGAGGGTAATGATTGTCGTTTTACTTCAGTGAGTTTAGGGTTGTTTGTTACACATCTCTTCCAGTGAATAGATAACTGAAACAGTTGTCTTTTGTCTATACATTTATGTACGATTTATCTAATCTGAAAGAAGTTTCTTGCTTATAGTGACTTTTTTTTTGCCTGCAGCCTACATACAGTCCGTTAGGTTTTTCTTTTTTTAGGGATAGGTTGGCTCCAGAGTCTGAGATTGTGCTAACTAATCCATGAGTTAAGTGAGTTTTAGATTTAAAGGTTGCAAGCATGCAGGGGAGAGATCTGAGTCTTTACAGTATGCTTAATTTTCCAATGTTTCCTTTTTTCTCCTTTCCAACACATGGGAGGGGAAATGGTCTACTGTGTACCAAATGAGTGCAGAAGAAAATAAAAGTAGCACAAGTGGTAAAATTAAACTTTCAAATCTGAACCTTTAAGCTGTTTCTGTCCACTTCTAAGCTTCAACTTTACCTACCACTGTATTTCAGTGGCATTAACTGCATTTACATTTTGCAACTATCACCCCTATCATCCTCAGAACTTTTTTATCACCCAAAGAGAAAATGTGTACTCATGAAACAGCTCCCCATTAGCCCTTGCCTCTGGCCCTGGTAACCATTGTTCTGCTTTCTCTCTTTATGAATTTGACTATTCTTGGTAACTCATATATGGAATAATATAATATTTGCCCTTTTGTGTCTGGCTTATTTCACTTAGCTTGATGTTTTCTAATTTCATCCATGTTGTATCATACATCAGAATTTCATTCCTTTTTAAGGTTGAATGATATTCCTTTATGTGTATATGCCACATTTTGTTTATCCATTCATCTATTGATATGACACTAGGTTTCCACCCTTTGCCTATTGTGAATAATGCTGCTGTGAACATGGGTGTACAAATATCTGCTCAAGTGCCTGCTTTCAGTTGGTTTCTACATTTTTAAAGAGTTGTAAAAGAATATTTTAAAATATTTACTATGGAACTTTTATAGAAAAAGTTTACCAACCCCTGATTTAGAGTAAATTTTAAAATTTTGATAATGGGCTATTATGAAGTTGCTGAGTGAATCTTTCCATAAAGTTCATTCATTTCTTCATGAGGAAGGTGATACTTAAGTCTTAGTAGAGTTTCTCTAAATATTTGAGGAACTCTGTTTGGTCCCAAGACCAACACTGAAAAATTACTGCTTTGTTTTTGTTATTAAGGAAGAACGAAATTCGCTGGTTTGAAAGCAAGATTCAGTGATTTTAAGGGGCTCCTGCAGTGAATTTAGAATGAGAGCGCACAAGAGTTTTTAGAGCTAGCATTGAGCTATGAAAAGGCCCCACTGTGTATAATTAGGTATGCAGAAGCTAGAGGCACTGTCCTTTCCACTTTTCATCTGCTACTCTAATTTTACTCTGAGTAGGCAATGTCCTTTGAATCCTAGCATGTCCCTAAGGCAGAAGTTTCCAAACTTTCTTGTTTCATGGTGCCCTTAGAATCTCACTAGTTTTTTCATGGTGTCCCTTAGCCAAAGAAATTCTAATAGTTTCACTTATTAAGTAATTAGTTCCAAACACCTAATTACAGACATTCGCATACGATCTGACAGATGTTTTTGTGTTTCTTTTAAAAGTATAAAACATCCTAAGGTGCTTCTGTGAGTTCACTCCAGCACGCTGTCGCTCTTCAGCACACGATTTGGGAGTTGCAGTCCCATCTGTGCTTCTGACCTGGACTAGCCTTTGTCCTTGGCCTTGCTTCTTATTTTATTCCAGATACTGTTCCCCACATTTTCAGGCTTGCCCAACAATTGTTTCTCATGGCTTCCTCTGCTTTATAGATTTAAATTTTACATTCTTGATTCACATTTATTCCCCCAGTATATTAACTTTTATATTGGGTTTTCTTTATAAAGGTTCTTTGTTTAAACTACTGAAATAAATATTTAAATGAATAGAACATTTGCCCTCATCTTTAAAGATGTGTTACTAGAATTACTGGATTAATCACTATAGTGCTGTCTAGTTTCCTCACAAGAAAGGTGATAAAGCAGTTTGAGCACCCAATAGGCCTTAGAAGTATATGTGGTGTTTTGTCACTGAGCGAAGAAGATACTTTGAACGGTGCAAACAACTTAACATAGTAAATAATAAATTACCTTTTCTATAAATTATTACTCACTAAGTAAGCTTTCTAGTAGCTCTATCTGGTGGGGAAGTTTCTTTTTTTTTTCTCTTTCTTATCTCCATTGATGTTTTATTTTCAGACCAATTTAAGTGATACTTCTAGAATATCAAGTTTCAGGTTAAAAGGAACTAGAAAAACTTAAATTACTTTAACAGATTTAAAACTAGGTAATTCAGTAGATTTGGGAGCAAAGGTCTTTCTGGTTAGGAAGAAGATTCTGTGTATTATTAAAAATGTGAGAAAGGAAAAATATTTTTATACTGAGACAAATTCTTTTAGGATTTAAATCAAAATTATTATGCACTGTATTTGTCCATTAGATGCTAGCCTGTGGTGATCCCCATAGAAAGAAGGCTTTGACTTACACAAGGTAAAGAGAATTCATGGGGAATTTTGTCCTAGTGTGGAGGAGTTTTCTTCTTTGAACATGAGGAGTGGTCTCTATGAAGTTTGAGTTTTACCTTTACTTTGTTTGTGTATTTAAGGCTGTTGAGCATCCTTGTGTAAACTCATGAACACCTGTTCTAGATGGTTTTCTATGGGTGGGATGTGTGTGTTCGCATGCCTGTGTAACTCCTCCCACACTGTAAAAGGAATGTTCTGTGCATGCAAAGCTCTGAATAGAGTCCATCAGGCTTGGGCCATAAATGGTGCCTCTACTTATGAGGTATCCTTACTATGTAGAGGTAGAACTAGATATTTTTCTCCAATAGTATAAATTCTATGATTTGCATTTTCCAATTTTCTTGTTTGGGAAATGAGAGGGAAACAGAAGAGCAAGGTCTTTGTTTTTTCTCTTCTTGCTTCATCCTCTCCCTGGAACCATGTGTAGGTCAGGATATAAGAATCTGGCAATTGCCCTAGAACCAAGCTTTTAAAATGCTCTCTATTCTCAGAAATACCGCTTTGTGATCAATGTCCCCAGGGAAGAAGATTTAAGGGGAAAAGTATCTTATCTGATGTATAAGATACATCTGTTTTCCATTGTCACCAGAACAAATGAACACAAACTTAGTGGCTTAAGTAATGCATATTTAGTATCTTACAGTGCTGGAGGTCAGAAGTCTAACATGGATTTAAAAGGGCTAAAACCAAGGGGTCAGCAGGCTGCATTCCTTTCTGGAGGTTGTAGGGGAGAACCTATTTCCTTGCTCATTGAAGTCAGTGGCAGAATTCAGTTCCCTGCAGTTGTAGGACTGAGGCCCCGCTTTCTTTCCTGGCTGTCAGCTGAGGGTCATTCATAGCTTCTAGAGAATGTCCACACTCTTTGGTTCATGGTCAGTCCCCTTCCTCCACCTTCAAAGCCAGCAACAGAGAGTGGAGTCCCTTTCATGTAATATCCCTTCTTCTTCATCTTATACTCCTAAGGACCCACGTGATTAGATTGAGCGCACTCAGATGATCCAAGATATTTTCCCCAATTCTTCTTTGTTATTGGTTGATTGACTGTACAAATGGGTCTTGCTATGTTACTCAGGCTGGTCTCAAACTCCTGGGCTCAAGCAATCCTCCTGCCTCAGTCTCCCAAAGTGCTGGGATTACAGATGTAAGCCACTGTGCCTGGTCAATGTCTTAATCTCAAGGTTCTTAACTTTAACCATGTCTACAAAATCCCTTTCTGCTCTGTGAGGTAACATATGCACAGTTTCTGGAATTGGGACATGGACATCTTTTGGGGGAGGATGGTCATTATCCTGCTTACCACACTGGTGATGTTAAAAAAAATAAGTCTTCAATTTTCAATCATTCCACAGGTCTCAGTTTTGTATATTGTGTATTAATATCCAGAGCTCCTTTTCCTATGCTAAATTTAGACTTTTCTACATACACTGATAAGCATTCGAAGACAATTCTTTTTTTTTTTTTTTTTTTGAGACAGGGTCTTGCTGTGTTGACCAAGTTGGAGTGCAGTGGCATGATCTCAGCTCATTGCAACCTCTGCCTCCTGAGTTCAAGCATTCTCCTCTCTCAGCCTCCCAAGTAGCTGGGACTACAGGCATGTACCACCACACCTGGGTAATTTTTGTAATTTTTTAGTAGAAATGGGGTTTCACCATGTTGACCAGGCTGGCCTTGAACTCTTGACCTCAAGTGATCCACCCACTTCGGCCTCCCGAAGTGCTGGGATTACAGGCGTGAGCCACCACATCTAGCTGACAATTCTTTTATAATATTTAATTATATAGAATAAAGGGAGAGAAATAGTGAGGGGGGATATGGAAATGAGTTTTACTTTTCCTCCCAAAGTGGAAGAAAATAACAACAATCTGTGAACATGTTTAAATGCTGATGGGAAGGAACTGGTAGAGAAGGAGAGCTGAATGTGGGGAACTGGAAATTATTCCTTGAATCTGTTCTTCCTTTCTGTCATAGTAAAAGAGTTTTAGTTAGGCACCTGGCCATCCAGCTAGAAACTACATTTCCCAAACTCCTTGCAACTAATGGTCTGAATAGTGACTAGGTTCCCCTAGTAATGCACTCTCTTGGTATGCTGGAAGGCAGAATGAGGTATCCAGCACAGTTGTGGTCTTCCGGTGGAATGCTAGGGTTCAGCATTCAGAAACTTGTGGCAGTGGCTTTTAAATTTGTCTCTTTAAAGCCCTGTTATTAGCAACCAGCTCTGCTACTACCTAGCAGGAGGTTTGGAGAACACCTCTTCACCAAGCACTGGGGAAGGGGCCTTCCTTGGTAGCTGTCCTCTGACTTCCAGAGAAGACAATGGAAATGCTGCAAAAATGGCATGTCCCAATTACAACGAGAAAATGGGATTCCAGAGAGGTAGAGGGTAGGTGGGAGTTGTTAATAGACAAAGACAAATTTATGTGCAGTTAGCACAATGCATCATGGAGAAGGAATGGTCATAGGAGTGTTTTGACATGAAATCAAGGGGCAGCTTACTGAGGTCCACTGAGTAGACCTAGACCTCTAGGACTACTGGGCAGAAACAAACTAGACACCATGTTAGGATTCATGGCTTCCTACCAGAGTCTCAGAACTCAGCCAGTGGACGGATGAAGCCCCTCAACAGAGATGGAGGCCAGTTGCCTCTGAAGAAGAACTCTGTACTTTAGCCATAGTGTATCCAGTGGATTTCCTCCCAAGTCTTCCACAGGGTGACCTGGAGCTATTCACCCAGGGGTCTGTGGACGGGGAGAAGGGAATATAAAACCTACTGGGAAGTATCACATACTGGCTCTGATTTTACACTTATGCCACAGACCAAAAACATTACAATCATCTGCCAAAGTAGGGCTTATGGATGTCAGGTGTTAGATGAATTTGTGGCTCCAATTCATGTAACAGTGGACCTACTGGGATTGCAGGCCCATCCAGTGTATATTATCCCAGTCCCAGGATATCTGGTGGGAATACATACACACACACACACACACACATATGCATACAGGTACACATACACATGCATGTACACATACACATGTACATGCATATGCATACACATATAGTTGGTAACTAGCAGGATACCATTCTGGTTCCCTGTCCTGTTGAGTGAAGGCTACTATGAAAGGAAGGACTATCTAGGGCCACTGGAGCTCTTCCCAAACAATTCACCAAGCTACTAAACAGTAAGTGATCCTGCTAGGGGAATTGTAGAAATTACTGCTGCCATAAAGACCTTGAGAGAAGCAGGGGTAGTAATTCCTACTATATCTGCATAAAACTTTTCTGTTTGGCTGGAACAAAAGCCTAACGGGCCTTGAAAATGACAGTGGATTATTGCAAACCTAATCAGGTGGTGAAGTTAGTTGCAGCTATGGTTTTGGATACAGGATATTTACTGAAACAAATGATCCCCCCAGGCACCTGACATACAACTGTTGTCCTGAAAATGCGTTCTTTCCCATCCTAACCAGTAGGCAAAATCAGAAGCAGTTTGCATTTATATAGCAGAGACAAGGGTATATCTTTATTGTATTCTGTGGAACATCACACGAGTTCTTTACATTGATAAGCATGTTGTTTGTTGGACCTAGTGAGAAGGAAGTAGAAAATATATATGCTAAGGGTGGGAGATAAACCCTCTGAAAGTTCAGGGCCCTGCCACCACTTTGGTGACGTGTGAAAAGAGGCCAGTGGTTTGTAGCATGTTAGGAAATCACAAATGGCAGGACTTTGCACCCTCCACCACAAAGAAAAAGGCACTGTATTTGATAAGCCTCTGGATTTTGGTGACAACATATACCACATTTGGGCATGCTGCACTAACCTACTTAGGAAATAACCTATAAGCTTCCAGTCTTAAGGAAGTCCTGGAACAAGAATAAGACCTGCAGCATGTCCAGGCTGGGTTGAAAGTTGACATGCCACTTGAGTCTTATGACCTAATGGATTCAATGGCATTGGAACTGTAGCATGGCAGCAGAGATGCTGTTTGGAGACTCTGGCAAGTCCCAGAACAAAGCACTTGGTGGTCTAGTGACTGGACAACCTAAAACACCTACCACAAACTAACTATCATCTGATCACAACCATAAAACTGGGCATGCCCAGTAGTATTCCATTGTAAAATGGAAATGGCAATTACGAGACGCAGCCCTAACAGGTCCAGAAGGTACCGATAAACTATTTTGTAAACTGAGCATGAGCACAAGGCTCAGACTCATGTCTTATTGTGAGTTGGTATCAATTCAGACATACTGTCACCTGAAACCTGAAATATTAGTATAGTTACATTTAAGATGTGGGAAGTTGGGAGGGAGAAACAACTAAATAACACAAAATACAGTGACTACAATCCTCCAAGTTGAAAACTGTATGAATATTGTAACTTTTCATCACCTTTGACAGCTCTAAGTTACATGGTTGTGATGCTCACACATATCTAGTTTTTTTTCTCCTCTTAGAAACCTGAAAGATTACACTTTGCTGTCCTCCTCGCAGTTGGGGCCATGTGGTCCTGGCCAATAGGTTATGAGGTGAAGTCACATATATCACTTTCAGGCTGAAGTATTTAATTGCTGGTGTAATAATCTCTTGCACTCTCTTCTCTTACTTCGGCAAATCTTGCTATCTGGAGCAGCTGGAGTGATCCTAGATGACTGAAACGTGTAATGTGTTGGTCAACACTAAATAAAGTCAAAGTACTTAAAAATCTTTCCTTTTATTTTTAGTTGATGCATAATAATTGTCTATATTTATGTGATATTTTGATACATGTATACAATGTGTAACGATCAAATCAGTGTAATCGGCATATTCATCACCTCCAGCATTTATCATTTCTTTGTGCTGTGAACATTCAAAATTCTGTCTTCTAGCTTTTTGAAAATATACAATAAATCATAGTTAACTATTTTCACCCTAATGTCTGCAGAACACCAGAACTCATTCCTCCTCTCTAGCTGTAATTTTGTATTCATTAACTAACCTCTCCCCTCCTCCTCTCCCACCTGCCTTTTCTAGCTTTTAATATCCACAATTCTACTCTCTGCTTCTATGAGCCTACATATGAAAGAGAAGATAAGGTGCTAAAATTTCCTTGGCATAACATAGAGGGAGAAATGTAAAGATTTTGGAAATAAAGATACTAGAGTAGATTTTTCATGTGTAGCCCACCCAATCACCCTCCCTCTAACGTTATCTCCCCAAGAAGGGGCCTGATATATAGTGATGTTTGTGATCATAAATATCAAAATAGAGTCACTTAGGACAAGTGACTCAGGCCATGGTCAAAGTGGAAACCATGTACAGGTTGAAGGGAAGTAGACACACTTTATGTTGTTGTCAAAGAATTGTTTTGGGTGAACACTGTGGAATAATTTTTAGAAACGATTAGTGATCATATGATTCAGTCAAGAGTCCAGCTGAAAACACATGGTAAATTAAATTGAGTGATTTGAAGAGAGTTTAACAGGTTATTCACAAAGGCGTGGGCGAAGAGTATGGAAACCATTTGGGATGGTGCAGTAATGGGACAAAAAGGAGGAAGTAATGACCTCTAAAGGGAGGTAGACAGGCTGTGTGAATGAGCCATCTGAAAAGAGCTGTGACCTTCTGTGCAAGAATGAGCCCTTAGAGGGGAGCTGAAACAATGAATGCTCAACCTCACTCTCCTCCCTTGTCTGATCTCTGGTTACTGCCTGCTCTTGGCCAAACCTGGTGGAAGCCAGAGGACAGGGAAGCCTGTTGTAGTCCAAACAGATCAGCCTCCCAGGGCATGGAGCACAGCAGAGAAGGGGAGAGGATGGATTTGGTGTGAAAAATGGAAGAATTCCAACCTGACATAATGTAACAGAAAATATTTAAAACATACTGTAACAGAAAATATTCCAATTCCCTGATGCTTCCATTACTGCATAACATTTTTTTCCTTTTTTTTTTTTTTGTGAAAGGGAATGAGCTGGAAATCAGATGTTTGGGACATAAATCTACCTACATTCATATGATACAGTATTATTTATTTTTATTCTGCACCTATATAAATATTAATTATTTACATTTTTCTTGCTAGTGTCCATCTGAAATTGGCTGATACCACATCATCATCATTCCTATTTTACCCACAGAGAATGTGATTCATTATGATTTTTGAATGTGCCCTCATTCTCCTGTGGCCTGCTGCAGATTTGACCCAATTATTTCAACCATCTTCACGTTTGATTCTCATCACTATGGGTTGAATGAACTCTGTGGCCATCGACACTGATTATGAAGGGGCTTGCAGGGATAAGGTTGGCTGTGCCACAGAATAATAATCTGGCACAGAAGCATTCTCAAGACTCTGTTTAGATAAAAATCAGTGGAAAAGAAGATGCTGACCTGTTGAAATTCTTTTCCATTTGAATTTTCAGCTACACTTTCACCAGCATTAAAAAAAAAAAAAAAAGTAAAACAACAGGCCAGGTGTCCTGAAATAGGCCCCCTTTGTCTTTGGAAAGAGCAAATGGGTGACAATATCCAGATCTGAAGGTTACAGCAACACGAAGCTGACCAGTCTGGTTTTGCTCAGGGAACCCAGAGCCGTGCCTTGTGTATTTTCTGAAAGAGGCGAAGGAAGGCAGAGCGAAAACAAAGTTTGAAACCGAAGACTAGTATACTTTTATGCAAAAAAATATAATACCAAAATGAAGCCTGGTGGCCCAGTTTTCTTTCGAGTTATAGGTAATTCCTAATATTTCTAGTAATGAGCCATTATTGTATTGTATTGCATTGCATTGTATTGTATTGTATATTATTGTATATTGCATTAGCCATACCATTGTTGTCTTTATCCATGACCTGAAAGAATTTCAGCTTTAAGAGGAGACTGTAGTTTCTTAATTAGATTAGTTTAAGTGTGGGAGATTATATGTGTGCGTGTGCATATGAATATACAGTCACAAACTCTTAGATCTAGCAGGGTTTTGTTTTTTCCCCAAAGATGGTTTATGACACTAGACACTTTCTTGTTGTGAAAGCTTATTGATATTAACTCATATTTCTGTTTATAATATTTATATTATTTGTTTTTATAAACATATCTTACATATTACATGTATAATATGAAAGATCATATTTATTTTGGAAACCACATAATCTAGTTTATTGCTGATTTAATAAACAAATTTCTTTAGCCTTACCTGGCAGCTCTTTTTTCAGGAAAAGGTTAGAAATCTTACAACTTATCTCTTAGTTGCTATTTTAATCACTGTTTTCTTTTCTTTTTTTTTCTTGAGATGGAGTCTCACTCTGTTGCCAGGCTGGAGTGCAGTGGTGCAATCTCAGCTCACTACAACCTCCACCTCCAGATTCAAGCGATTCTTCTGCCTCAGCCTCCTAAGTAGCTGGGATTACGGACACCCACCACCATGCCCGGCTAATTTTTTTTTTTTTTTTGTATTTTCAGTAGAGACAGGTTTTCACCACGTTGGCCAAGCTGGTCTCGAACTCCTGACCTCAGCTGATCCACCTGCCTTGGCCTCCCAAAGTGCTGGGATATAGGCGTGAGCCACCGCTTTTTTCTTTTTCTTTTGCTCAATAGGAATCCAGTACTACTTTTCAAGCTTTTCCACTTTTATATCCCTAATGGCGGAGAAGATTGAACGCCTGTTTCCCAGGGGTCTGAGTATTGCAGGGAGATTCCACAAAAGGCAAATTTATCTCAAATCTTATATTTTATTTGAATAATTTATTGGAACTTTGTGATTTATGTACATATGTATACCCATGCACTTATATATAACATATATGAATATATGTTTGTTTTAATTTTTTTTTTTTGAGGCAGAGTCTTGCTCTGTCGCCCAGGCTGAAGTGCAGTGGCACAATCTCGGCTCACTACAAGCTCTGCCTCCCGGGTCCATGCCATTCTCCTGCCTCAGCTTCCTGAGTAGCTGGGACTACAGGCACCCGCCCCCACACCCGGCTAATTTTTTGTATTTTTAGTAGAGATGGGATTTCACCGTGTTAGCCAGGATGGTCTCGATCTCCTGACCTTGTGATCTGCCCGCCTTGGCCTCCCAAAGTGCTGGGATTACAGGCATGAGCCACCGCACCCGGCCTGTTTTAATTTGTTTAGAGTTTTAATTTACTTACCAATAAATCTGGTAAAACTATGTCTGTTTTTGTCTTGGTGCTCTGGATATTCCCTAAGACACTGCTACTCCTTTTATGCACCAAGTTTGAGAGGCCCTGGGCATGCAGGTGGCCTGAATGTCTTTCAGCCATCCAACAAAATATTTACCGAGCACCCACTATTGCTCAGCACTGTACTGAGCACTTAAGTTACTGTGGGGAACTAGACGTCCTTTTTCCTGGCTCTGCACATCTGCCTATGTCTGCCCCTTGTTTAGAATGCCCAGACGGACATGGTAGCTCGTGCCTGTAATCCCAGCACTTTAGGAGACTGAGGCAGGAGGATCTCTTGAGCCTGAGATTGAGACCAGCTTGGGCAACATAGTGAGACCCTGTCTCTAAAAAAAAATTAGGCAGGCGTGGTGGTGCATGCCTGTGGTCCTGATTACTCAGGAGGCTAAGGTGGGAGGATTGCTTGAGCCCAGGAGTTCAAGGCTGCAGTGAGCTATATTGCATCACTGCACTCCAGCCTAGGTGAAAGAGCGAGACCCTGTCTTAGAAACAAAAAAAAGCCTTTGGAAATAAGCCTGGGCAACACAGGGAGACCCCCCATCTTTACAAAAAATGAAAATATATATTAGTTGGGTGTGGTGGCACGCACCTATAGTCCTAGCTACTCGGGAGGCTGAGGTGGGGGGATTGCTTGGGCCTAGGAAGTTGAGGCTGCAGTGACCCATGATAGCACCCACTGCACTTCAGCCTGGGTGACACAGAGAGACCTTGTCTTAAAAAAAAAGTGCCCAACCCCTTTCCCCTCACCTATCCAACTTCCATCTGTGAGTCTATCCTCCCATCTCACCTTACTCTGGACTACATTTCTGAGAAGACTTAAGTTATCTCATTCCTGGATGAGCACAGTGGCCCTCCCTCAACAAGGCAACAAGATGGCTGAGCAGGGAGGGGTATAAGTTTCAAGGCCTCTAGCTGAACCCAGTGCTGATATGCAAATTAATATCTGAGAAAGGACATTTTTTTTTTCTTGTACTAACTAGGCTGGATTTCCCAAATTGTTTGAGTGGTCCCTGCCCCTCTTAATGCTTCTGTAAGAATGCAAGGTGTCAGGGGACCTGTGTCCTTTTCCTGGAGCACAACCATGGTGTGTCCTGTTATATTCTTTCCAACAGTTGGATGGCAAGAATCCTGAGTACGCATGCATCATGTTCCCCTTGTACCATTTCTTTGAGCCTACACTGTGTGATACAAAGTCCTCTTGCTACACAACAAGGACTATTTGGACAAAGACATTATTTAAATGTTTTGTGAGTATTTGCAGACAGTGACCAGAATTTTGCTTCATTTAGGGATCTAGCAGAGTTCTCAGCAGGTAAGAGACACTCAACAAGTGACAGGTGGATGCAAGAGTAGAGTACACTGCACATTTGAATTGAAATATTCTGCCAGTGGAATCGTATTATCTCCCATAACTCTCATGCCTCTTATCCAGGTTATACACCATTGTCCCTTTACTCTTACATGCATTAAGCATGATGCCCAACTGAAGAACTATTGAGTGAATGAGCAAATTATTGAATGACTGAAGGAATACATGTTAGATAAAATCCAGGCTTCGATTCCTACCTCCTCCTGATAAATTTTCTGACTGTTGCAGTCTCCAGAGATTACTTCCTATTCTGTATGATTCACTGAGTGTATTCATTCATTCATAGGCTACCATAAATGGTTGATTATACAGTCTATGTCTGTGTTCTATCCACTCAACCAGATTTTTTTTTTGAGATGGAGTCTTGCTCTATCACCCAGGCTGGAGTGCGGTGGTGCGATGTCAGCTCATTGCAACCTCTACCTCCCACGTTCAGATGATCCTCCCACCTCAGCCTCCCGAGTAGCTGGGGATTATAGGCATCTGCCACCACACCCGGCTAATTTTTGTAATTTTTAAGTAGAGACAGGGTTTCACCATGTTGGCCAGGCTGGTCTTGAAAGTCTGACCTCAGGTAAACCACCTACCTTAGCCTCCCAAAGTGCTGGGATTACAGGCGTGAGCCACCACACCCAGCCCACTCAGCCAGATTTTAAAAGGCTGAGACTATGTCTTACACACTTACATCTATTCATTATGCCTGGCACGGTGTCTTGTGATAGCATGCTCAATATGTATTAGTTGTTGATAATGAAATTCTGTGAGGACAATAATGAACTTCCAAGCTGTTGTTCCATTTTGCTTTGACCTTTCTGGTAGAAGTTCTTGAATCTGAAGTAGTGTCAATAGCAATTTACATGATTATAGCACATAGGAATTTTAGCTTTGATTATGCTAAACTAAATGTACTCCAGAGTGAACACATTTTGTTCTATGAGAAAGAAATTGAAAGTATCTTTTTATCATATTTACTGCAGTGGATGATCAAGGGTGCAAGGCAGTGTGTAATAAGGAAAAAAGCACTGTGCCAGGAGGCAGAGTTATTTCCAGGTGTATAGATTGGTGGTAATTTTGTGTCTCTGTCACCTGTGAAATGAGAAAGGACACAGTAGAGTATAGCTTGGGAAGTTTGTCAATATGCAACATTGGGGGAAAGCCCACGGCATAATGACAAACAGAGTGACTGGAGCCCCTTGGAACACTGGAAGTCAACGAGCCCTCTTTGGAGCCAGGCCAATCTTACTATAGCTAGTTTTGGGACTTAAGTAAGATATAATCTCTTTGTGTCTCAATTTCCTTATCTGTAAAATGGGAACAATAATGGTAACAACCTCAAAGTCTTGAGATAAGCACTCAGTGAGATAATGTATGCAAAACTCTTAGCATAGAATCTGTTATATTGTAAGTACTAATAAATAGATCTTTCCTCCTGCAGTGGATGCCTATGGAGCTGCTTTGCTCCACATTTACTTTCTTCTGAAAACTGTTCTCCCCTTCCCTATCCACATGGCACAGCAGGAGCAGCCGTGATACCATGTGACCCAGTCCTCTGGCCAATGAGTCCCTTCTCAGAATTTATTGGACTGGGCATGAAGAGACAGAGCTGAGAGTCTCTCTTCCCTTGACATGTCTGAAGAAGCTGCAGGGAATCATGCTTAGGGGTTGTCAGCAGTTAGATTTCCTGCCGTGGAACAGGCCGGTCTAAAGGGAGGCAGGTAAACAAGCAGGTAACTTGAGAGCAGCAAGAGAGGCAAGATACCCAGAGAGCTTAATGGCATCTGAACTCCTGTTTCCAGCTAATTTGAGATCCAATCTCATTCCTGTCCTCAGTTCTGTGAGGAGCCCCAGGACTCTAATAACAAATTCATCTTTTGCTTAGTCATTGTGCTGGATTACACCATGGTAGGTGGGTTAAGCTGGGAATTACATTCCATGCATGGTTCTGGGTTAGAGTTGGCCATAGAGGAAGATGCACGAGATTTGGAAGGTGGAAAAGAAGCAACGACCATTATTCTTGGAAGGTCTCATGGTCAGATAGATAGACACAGAGGTGTCTGGGTCCACACTTGTTCTTCCTCTCCTCCACACTGTCCAGCTCGGCTTCCTGATTGCCAGCCCAACTCACCAAAAGCAGACCTACTCCCTCCTCCCCCTTACCCAGATGCTTGGCTGCAAACCCATAGAGGTGGTAGCTACACAGAGGGAACATCTTCCCGTAGACCTCTCTGAGAGCTCCCGCTTTGCAATCTCACTAAAGTGGCTGGGTATATCTGGTGTCGCAGATTTCCCTGAAAGCTCCAGTTTACCTACTCATGCCAGTGCTTTCAGAGGATTCATTTATGACTCTTTCTTAAATTCTCTGACTTTCACTTTCTCAGCTGCTCTCACATTTGTGTGAGATCTAAATTCCTATAATAAATCTTTTATTCCCATAATAATCTAGTGGCTTTGCTTCTCTGATTTAACCCTAACTGCTATAGCTAGTTTGTGTTTCTTTCACAAGCCGAAATGATAGCAATCTTAGATATTTTGCAATCTTAGATATTTTGCATTCTTAAACAAAAGGACACAAAATAAAGGGAAACATCAAGGCAACACTTTGAGAAAATATATAATAATAATAGTGATAATAATCTTTTTGAGACAGGGCTTGCTATGTTTCCCAGGCTGGCCTTGAACTTCTGGGCTCATGAGATCCTCCCACCTCAGCCTCCAAAGTAGTTGGGACTACGGGTGCATGCCACTGCACTTGACTTTATACAATGTTTTTAAAGGAAACAAATTTTAGATTTTCTTGCAACATTTTTTTTTTTGAGATAGAGTCTCGCTCTGTCTCCCAGGCTGGAGTGCAGTGGTGTGATCTCGGCTCACTGCAACCTCTGCCTCCCGGGTTCAAGCAATTCTCTGCCTCAAACTCCCAAGTAGCTGGGATTACCGGTGCCCGCCACCATGCCCGGCTAATTTTTTTGTATTTTTAGTAGAGACGGGGTTTCACCATCTTGGCCAGGCTGGTCTTGAACTCCTGACCTCGTGATCCACCCACCTTGGCCTCCCAAAGTGCTGGGATTACAGACATGAGCCACCGTGCCCGGTCAACATTCTTTGTATATATAAAGGACAGATTGATGATAACTCATAGTGATTTTATTAAAATTGCCTAATATGTCCTGAAATTCTTGAACCAAATTGAGAAAGATAGATGTGACTTGTGCCTTTCCCAGGCAGGTAGAAAATGACACTTTAAGGAAGGTACATTATGAGAACATCAAGCCTTGGGGTAAGGTGGATGCACTTTGAACATGGATTAGTGACAATGTCCTCAACTTTACCACTATAGATTGAGCCAGAGAAGCAGAATCACCAGGAAATGTGTGCATGTGCATGCACGCTCACGCGCACACACACACTCACACCATTTTTTATTTTGTTTTATTTTATTTTAACAGTTATTTAACCTGATGTGTTTGGAATAGCTGGTTCAATAGTCTCTTTAAAGGCTTTTGTATTTGTGTTTGAGGATGGAGCTCCAAGTCCAATCTTCCTAAGGCTTGATACCTTCCTCCGCAGTATACCAGGAAAGTTCTTCAGACCAAGGTGTACTAACTTCCTTAAACACAGTTGGAAGAGCTGCTTCTCTTGACAAAGAAGGCTCAACCAAATTTAGAGGTTCAGGTCCCCAACTTCACTGGAATCTGCCAATTTGTCTCCATTCCAATTTTCTAAGGGCCTACTCATTTTGGGCGTGTGAAAATATCCCTTCCGAGGTGAGGGACAAGTTGTTGCATCTGTCCTCTATAAGTTTTCTATTGCTAAGTCACAAATTACCAGAAACTTAATGGATTAAAGTAACCCATATTTATTATCTAACAGTTTCTGTAGGTCAGATGTTGGGGCACGGCATGGCTGGCTTCTCTGCCAGGTATTTACTCGGATGCAATAAAGATATTAGCTGGGACTGTGATTGTCATCTGGGCTTGGCCATTTGTGGCTTTGCTTTTTTGGAAGGTGTTTTGGAGATCTTCCTTTGTTATTGGCCTCACATAGGAGGGTGTGCAACTAGAGCAACCTTTTACAAGTTCCTCAAGGTAACTGCAAACAAACTAGGCATGGAAGGCAGAGAGAGGGGAGGAGTAACATACTTGGGGTGGTCAAGGAAGGAAGAACTTCAGGAATGTGATTTTTAAGATTGAGCTGTGGGCACAAGCAGAACACATTTTGATAACAAGCTAGTAAAGCTAGCTACATTAAACATTTTTTTTTGGTAGCAAGTGATCCAAATTTAATTTTATTTCCTTAAAGAAAAAAAATTTGTTGACGTAGTTGGAAAGTTCAGAAGCTCAGCCAAGTTCAGATGTGGCTGGGTCTAGGGGTTCATAGTGTGGCTGGGTACACGTGTTGTCTCAGATTTCCCTGACACCGACAACAAATTGGGGATTGTCAGCAGTTAGGTTTCCTACAGTGGAACAGACTGGTCTACAGAGAGGCAGGCCTGAGAGAGTTTCTCTTCTCCAGTTTTAGCCAGGCCCTTTCCTAGTCTGCATCTCATTCTGTAATCTTTCAGTGTTAATTTTGAGCTCCTACCTCCTAATATGGACTTTAATTGTTGCAGAAAGAAGTGCTTCCTGTTACTTCTCTAGAATAATTTCATGGATAGTGATTGGCTTGGCTCCAGCCACATACCTCTTTCTGAATCACTGTGCTATGCACATGGCATGGGGTAAACAAATTGGCCAGGTCTGGGCTATGTGCCCTTTTTTGTAGCTGGACAAGGGGTAGGAGGAGATTGATGGGGGCGGGGTAGAATGGGTCCAACTGCACCTGTGCTGCATGGAATGCAATCTCTACAAGAAATACAAATGGTGTTTCCAGGTGCAGGGGGAGGGGATGTTTAGCAGGCAGAAACAGCAGATATCTTCTACACTCAGTAACTATTGGCTTTAGTTCTATAAGGTCATGGAGAGGGCTGAGGAGAGTGGAGGAGAGATAGCTCCTCACCGAAAGGTTTGAGTTACTTTTGTCCACCAAGGGGGAACACATCCATAATTCCACATCATTCAGAAAAATCTTCCCAATGTATAATTTTTAGGGAAATGATGATATATTGAGTTATTTTAGTCATTTTCTTATGTACAACTTTCTAGTTTCTTGTTCATGTTTCCATTTTCCCCATTATCCAGGTACAGTAAAGGAGCTTTCTTTATTCTTTCTCCTCTCTGACCCATCAGTGACTCAGATTTGACAACTCTTGCTTTGTAATGTAGTTTACACCTTCCTGTTCATTATTCTGGGTTAGATCTTTATTACCATAGGCATAGCCTGTCAGGAGTCTACTAACTATTCTCTTTACTTCAAGCAATCCTGCCCTCTACTGCCGGATGAATCTGATAAAATCTTATTCTGATCATGTCAATTTTCTACTTTCACAGCCTGCATTTGCTCCACATATATATTCAGATGAACTCCATATTTTTTACCTGGTGTCTTAATCAATAATCTTATGTTTATAACAGAATAACTGAAACTGAATAATTTATAAAGAAAAAGAACGTATTTCTTACAGTTATAGAAGCTCAGAAGTTCAGGGTCAAGGGACTGCATATGGTGAGGGCCTTCTTGCTGATGAAGACTCTCTGCAGAGTCTCAAGGTGGTGCAGGGCATTACTTGGCAAGGGGCTGAATGTGCTAGCTCAGGTCTTTCTCTTCTTATAAAGTCAGGAGTCCACTCCTGTGATAACCCATTACTCCATTCACCCCTTAATCCATGAACGGATTAATTCCTTGATAAGGATGGAGCCCTCATGATCTAATCACCTCCCTAAGGCCCCACCTCTCAATCCTGCCACAATGGATTAAATTTCAATATGAGTTTTGGAGGGGACACATATTCAAACCATAGCTCTTGGCATCCCCAGGCCTCTATAATATGGCCTGGTTCCTGCTATCCTGTCCTCAGGCCATCTTTCTGTTTACAGTCACAGTAAACATGCCCAGTGCTGCTTCTGCACGGTGCCTACTCATCCTTCTCACTCACAACTCTCTCCTTTCCCTGAGTCTCCCATTTGAATCTAACTCATTCACTCCGGCTCAGCCTAAGTCCAGCCACCCATGAGATTTCTCTAATATTCCCAGTTGACCCTTATCTCTCTTCTGAACTCCATAGGGATTCTTCTCTGAGCTGCCTGTCACACATTTCCCTTACTCTCTTGTGTCATGAGTTATTTTTTCATGTATAAGTGTTGTGTATTCTCAACTCACTTTTAAGTACTTCAAGAGAGGCGTGTCCTAAAGCCTGTTGTATTATTGTCTGTGGGTCTCAGGGAGGTGGTGTGTTGCAGGAGGATGGCACTCCTTTTTTTTTTTTTTTTTGAGACGGAGTCTCGCTCTGTCGCCCAGGCTGCAGTGCAGTGGCGCAATCTCGGCTCACTGCAAGCTCCCCCTCCCGGGTTCACGCCATTCTCCTGCCTCAGCCTCCCAAGTAGCTGGGACTACAGGCGCTCGCCACCACGCCCGGCTGATATTTTGTATTTTTAGTAGAGACGGGGTTTCACTGTGTTAGCCAGGATGGTCTTGATATCCTGACCTTGTGATCCGCCCGCCTCGGCCTCCCAAAGTGCTGGGATTACAGGCGTGAGCCACTGCGCCCGGCCCTTTTCTTTTTCTTTTCTTTTTTTTTTTTTTTTTTGAGACAGAGACTCACTCTGTCACCCAGGCTGGAGTTCAGTGGCGTGATCACAGCTCACTGAAGCCTTGAACTCCTGGACTCAAGCAATCCTGCCTCCTAAATAGCTGGGACTATAGGCATGTCACCACACCCAGCTAATTTTTGTATTTTTTGTGTGGATGGGATTTTGCCATGTTGTCTAGGCTGGTCTCAAACTCCTGAGCTCAAGCGATCTGCCAGCTTTGGCCTCCCAAAGTGCTGAAACTTCAGGTGTGAGGCACTGCTCCCTAACCAAAGATGGCATTTCTATGACTGTGTGACTTTGGAAAACCCTCTGAGCATCAATTTCCCCGTTTGCAATTTGAGCATAATGATAGCTACTGGGCAGGGTGGTGGAAAGGGTTAGCCAAGATGCATGTAAACGGAGAGTCCCAGGGGCTGGTACATGATAGGAGCACAGTGCTTGGTAGCCAGAGGCAGTGCTGAGTAAGGGCTGAATGAGAAGGCTCATCACTATCCATCTTGGTGCCTTCAGCATCTGGCATGGTCCCTGAACCTCTCATCTGCAACTGAGGATTTAATTCAATAAGCATTTTGTTTTAGTTTGAGTTCCCTCAGAAGAGACCATGAGACAATAATGTAAATGTGAAAGTTTATTTGGGAGGTGACTCTAGGAATCATAGAAAGGGGAGTGGGGAGGTGAGGTAGGGGAGGAAAGGAAACCAACACAGGATACGTTAATGGGCAGGTTACCACTGAGGGCAGCTGGGCTCCAACCTACTGGGACCATCTGAAAGACTTTGTAGAACATGCTCAAAATCATCACCAGAGAGACAGGAAGTGAGTACCTTTACCACCAAACTCCATCCGCTGTGGATCGTCGGCTGCTCACAGAGGTGCTGACAGCCCTACTTTTCTGGACTCTTCCTCCCTATCGTTGAGTTCCTGCAGCAGAGGGAGCTCCTGGGCAGAGAAATTCAGGAAAGAATTGCCAAATTTAGCCAGCAAAAACACAGAATGCCCAGTTAAATTTGAAATCTAGGTTAACAACAAATACTCAAAAAAATGTGTGTGTGTCCCATATTATAGATATTTAAAAATCATTTTCATGGGATATACTTAGAGTAAAAAATTGTTTATCTGAAATTTAAATTTAACTGAACATTCTGTATCCTACCTGGCAGCCCTAATTCAGGGGCTTGCTTGGGGGATAAAGGTGGAGTAAACTGTCTTCTTTTATTGAGTACTTACTATGGGTCCAGAGTGAGATTTATCGTGGGAATGCAGAATTAATGAATAAGTCTCCAGACCCTGCCTTGCCCCTTGAAGTTGTAATTAGATTTGAAAGAAAGATGTGTGTAGAACTGCTTTGAAAATGATAAATGCTGCACAAATGACAAAGAAGTATTCACTTTTAAAATGTATTTTTAAAAACACTAGTAGTGTGTCTAGCATAGTAGCTGCTCAATGTTTGTCATGTCAAACTGAATTATTATTATGATTTTTTTATTCTTTTATTTCTATTATATTTCAATAGTTTTGAGGGAAAAGGTAGTGTTTGGTTGCATGGAAAAGTTCTTAAGTGGTGATTTCTGAGATTTTGGTGCATCTGTCACCTGAGCAATGTACACTGTACCCAATGTGTACTTTTTTATCCATTGGCCCTCTCCCAACCTTCCCCCTGAGTCTCCAAAGTCCATTATATCATTCTCATGCCTTTGCGTCCTCATAGCTTAGTTTTCCATTCCTGTTTGGTTTTCCATTCCTGAGTTACTTCATTTAGAATAATGGTCTCCAACTCCATCCAGGTTGCTGCGAATGCCATTATTTTTTTCCTTTTTGAGGCTGAGTAGTTATATATCCCACATTTTCCTTATCCACTTGTTGGCTGATGGACATTTAGGCTGGTTTCATATCTTTGCAATTGCGAACTGTGCTGCTAGAGACATGCGTGTGCAAGTGTCTTTTTCTTATATTGACTTCTTTTCCTCTGGGCAGATACCCAATAGGGGGATTGCTGGATCAACTGGTAGTTCTATTTTTAGTTCTTTAAGGAATCTCCACACTGTTTTCCATAGTGGTTGTACTAGTTTACATTCCCACCACTAGTGTAAAATGCACTCTTTTCACCACATCCACACCAACATCTGTTATTTTCTGATTTTTAAATTATGGCCATTCTTTCAGGAGTAAGGTGGTATTTCACTGTTGTTTTGATTTGCATTTCCCTGATAATTAGTGATATTGAACTTTTTTTTCATATGTTTGTTGGCCATTTGTATATCTTCTTTTGAGAATTGTCTATTCATGTCCTTAGCCCACTTTTTGATGGGATTATTTGTTTGTTTGTTTTTTTTCCTTGCTGATTTGTTTGAGTTCCTTGTAGATTCTGGATATTAGTCCTTTGTCAGATGCATACAAACTGAATTATTATTATGGGCAAATAATACTATTATTTGTTGATTACTGTCATGAGACTCAGGCAAGGTTGTTTTAACATCTCCCTAGGTCCTAGATCCATGCTTATTTTTGGAGTCTTGCTTCATATTATTCATATTAAAGTGAATATTCATATTATTCATAATATTCATATTAAAGTGAATATCTCACACTAATCAAGGGAAACATATATATATTGCTTAAGCATTTTTTTGACAGAATTTAAGAATTTTAAAATTTTTTAGTTTTTGAAAAGATTTAGCTGTGACTTATTTAAGATTAGCTTTGATTTCTTAATTCAGGAGGGTAAGAAGGTCCATGAACTTGGATGAAAAAAATCTGTTTTCATTAACTTCAAACTGAAATTTGTAATTTTATTTATTAAAGAATATAGGCCATACATCACATTAATATTAACAATATCTCTCTCACCAATAGAAACAATAGATATATTCATGTCACATTACAGGGATTACGAATATCCCAAAACATCATTTATACTAATTGCTACTTTGAATATATAGTTGTGACATTGTTATTAAATCTTGTTATTAAATGCATTAATAAATAAGCACATATTTACAAATTAGTATTTTAAAGTTTTTTTTTTTTTTTGAGATGACTCTTGCTCTGTTACCCAGGCTGGAGTGCAGTGGTGCAATCTCAGCTCACCACAACATCCGCCTCCTGGGCTCAAGAGATTCTCCTGCCTCAGCCTCCCAAGTAGCTGGGATCACAGGCGTGTGCCACCACACCCAGCTAATTTTGTGTGTGTGTGTGTGTGTGTGTGTGTTTAGTAGAGATGGGTTTTCACCATGTTGGCCAGGCTGGTCTCAAATTCCTGACCTCAGTGATCCATCCACCTCAGCCTCCCAGAGTGCTGGGATTACAGTCGTGAGCTACTGCGCCCGGCCGAGTTTTTAAAAGTTTTTTGAAAATTTTATTTTAAAATAGTTGGCTTTCTTTGTGGGGCATTTTAAAAAAGTTCCAGGAGCTTCACTTAGGCTTCCAAAGGGATCTATGGCACAAAAGTGGAAAAGATCCCCTGCTAGGGCCTCGTGGGTAAAACAGCCTGGGGCTCAGGCTATGGGTCACTCTCGCCTGGTATTTTTTCTTTGTTCTTTTGTAGAAAATAGTGGGGACTTAGCAGGCTCAGGAGAGTGCAACTGCAGGCAGAAACAAGAGAAAGTTCAAAATATGTCTAAACTTTACTGGAAGATTTACTGGTTATCAAGTCAGAAGACTTTGGATCCAGTCCAGGCTTACCTTTAATATTCTCACAGTAGATGCATTTGCTCATTGAATCAGCCAATCTTTAAAAAGGGCCTATCACCAGCCTGACCCTATGCCTAGGCATTGGAGCAGGCAGGCCCAGGGTTGAGTCCATTCTGTCACTCACCAGAGGAGTGACCTTGAACAAGTTATTTCATATCCTGAAGCCTCAGTTTTCTAATCTGTAGAATGGAGATACTGATTCTGAATTTAACAGGGTGGTTGAGAGGATTAGATAAGATGGGTGTAAAGTACAATAAACACAGAGAAGATTACAGTTACTATGAATCACCATTTTGTCTATAAACTCTTGCATCAATGTGCTGCTAGTTGTCAAAGAAAAGCATATAAAACAGTCTTCTCTTGTATCACTGATTAAATATTTTTTTCTGTTAATGTTTTTGAAGCATTGTTTAGAGAACTGTAAAAGTAGTTAAAAAGAGGAAATATGACTGAAAATTCATATTCCTGAAAATATATGAATGTTAAAAATTGTATCAGGTGATATAATGACTCATCAATAACCTTACTAGATTATTTATTCTTAAAAGATATATTTGGTCAGGCGCAGTGGCTCACGCCTGTAATCCTAGGTCTTTGGGAGGCCGAGGTGGGCGGATCTCTTTGAGTTCAGAAGTTGGAGACCAGCCTGGGCAACATGGTGAAACCCTATCTCTACAAAAAAATACAAAAGAAAAAATAAAAAAGAAGTGGGTGTGGTGCCTCGTGCCTGTGGTCCCAGCTACTCGGGAACTGAGGCTGGAGGATGGCTTGAGCCAGAAAGCGGAGGTTGCGGTGTGAGCTCATATCACGCCACTGCACTCCAGCCTGGGCAACAGAGCGACACCCTAAGGGAAAAAAAAGTATATTATAGTTAAAAAACTTAAAAAAAGTTCTATCTGTAATTATGATTCTAAGAGAGCCATCCCACTGTTTTCTTTCCTGATACTATATTTTCTAAAAGTCTAAACACAAGGCTTTCCTTTGTTTTGGTTTTGAAACTTTGACCATTTATTCATAAACCATGCTAAAAACAGCAACTACCACCAGGTCGCGCTGTAGTTCCACAATGAAAACAGGCTGGGGTCTAAGGAATTCTCGAAGGTCTCAGTTGTCACATCATTTCTGTTTTTTGAAGCAAAGAGGGGTGGAGACAAATATTTAAAAGGAAAAAGAAAAGCTTTTGCTGAAAATAAATAACTTCAAATTCACTATAATTTAAACGTTGATATTCAGCAAAAAAGATTTTATCTGAGAATGTTGCTATTGCTACTTTTAGAAAAAATTGCTTTCAACTCAGTCCTGTTATTTTCCGGATGGAAAAATATAAAATAAATAAATAAAAACCGTGCTGAAAGTTTTCTTTCCTATATTCTCTAGTGGTTGATGGATAATACTATTTTTTTAAAATCCCAAGATGAGGTATATTTTATTTAAAAATTATAGTGATAGCTTAGGTATAAACCAGGCTTTAGAAAATATATAAACACTTCATCTTAAAAACAGTTTTTTTTTTGTTTTGAAAAAGCCCTTTTTTCTTTTTTGGTCTTATTTTTCCCAAATGTCAATATTTATGAGTCAGGGGTTGTGGGAAATGTTACCTAGAGCTACAAGGGCCGGAGATTGCCCTCTTGTATCCCTGGGGAGTTGAGCATGAGTGCCAGAGGGCAATGTTTGGCTGGAAGGACCCAAGCCTGCCTTTCTTTGCACCCCACAGTATGCCCTTTGAAGTGAAAGACATTTCTGTACTCAGCTCTACTTCATAGGAATTCAACTCAGGATGAGCAATGCACACAAATTTCTGTATACCCTTTTAGTATAAAAACAGAGGCAGACTAACAGAAAACCAAAAAAGCCAGAATTAATGCAGGCTGTTTGGAGTTTTGGAAACTCTTCTGATAACTTAAGTCACAAATCTAAATTTCTGGATGAGACTATTTTTTGATCATGTCACTTTCAGAACATCAGTCACTTGAAGTTTAACCCCTTTTAGGATTTGGGTGGTATTATTAGGAGTTTTGTCAATGGCAAAGACAGAAGTCCATGAGAAAGAAATCCTCACAGAAATAAGGTAAAAATCACGAAATATCAGTAAATTATGAAGCTTACATTTGTTTTGAAAATGAACCCATCAGCATAATGAAAAAAAATGCATTATTTAATCCAAGTGTTTTAGTTTGCTTCCTTACAAATTGTCCGTTATTAGGGACTGAACAAGAAAATAAAAGCTGAAAATGAACAAGATTTACTGAGTGGAATACAGGGGAACTGGGAAATATGCTGGCAAATTGGAGCCATTAACAAGTTAAAAAAATCAGAAACAGTTTTGAAAACCAGAAAGTCACCAGTAAAATATATCCGTAAGGTCAAATGAGCTGTCCTGATGTTGATTCTCAATTTCCTCCTGCATTTATTTGAAGGAGCTTCTCTTTATTATTATTATTTTTAAATTTAAATCTTTAACCCCCATAGATGGCTATGTCTCCTAGTATCTTTCAGCTAAGGATTATAACTTTTTCTTTGCTCTATGAACTTTAACACTTCTTTATTTAGCTTGATTTATTTTTAAATGTCCCACCCAAATACTTAACTGGTTCAAGCACTTAACTGGTTTCCAAAGGCTTGTTGTATAAATAACAAGATAAAAATTCATAGAACATTTTATTTTCCCACATTGGGAGGTAATAGTCCTGTTTCATTTTTGGAAAAATATGGCAAAGAATTATTGAGGTTAATGAAAAATTAAGGGAAATGATAGCATCAGGTTTTTTGGGGAAAAAAAGATTCTCTCTGGGAAGAGACTTTCATTTCATTTTCTAAACACATGGGTGTGGCCTTTGGCTTTTTTCTCCACCCATTGATCAGCTAATTCTAAATGCATTTTCTCCACTTGCCAATGGTATGCCAGCATTCTGCTGTTTATATTCTCTAGCCTAGTTTTTTATTTTTATTTTTCTGTAAATGGGGATTAAAATATTTAGCTCGGAGATGTTGAGAGCATTTAAATAGTAACGTGTTCAGCCCTTGGCGTACAATAGGTATTCAATGTGTGATACTTTCCTTCCTCCTTTCTTCATTAACTGGAACACACACACACACACACACAAAACACCAGTTTACCCATATTAAATACCTCTATGAGAATGTAATGCAAAACGTGTTTAAGTTAATTTGTACAGCATTTACCGTTCAGCATATACCATTCTTGCAACCCAGTTATAGACATGCTTAATGAAATTAGCATTGGAATCAAGGCTCTGAAATTAAAAGTAAAATTCAGGTGGGTAGAGTTGGCATTTAAATATTTTGTATATTTAATTAATATCCGTATGCATATTTATTTATCACTACATTTATGTTTAATTTATTATTTATCTTATGTATAGTATATATTCATATGTATATTTATGTTTATCAGTTGTGCATACGCCTGTGAATGTTTTAAGTCTGTTTTGGAATAGGTCACTAAGGCATGGTTCTATGAAGGTATTTCAGGTTTTGCGCTTCTATTCACTTCAAAAATGAATTGTTAAATAAAATTTGATACTGTAGGAAGCTGAAAATAGTCAACTTCCCTTAGCTAGGCACCAATAACATAGAGTTTTTGAGAAAATCAAGCAAGGCAAGGATGGCCTATTTTTCTCTAAGAAATTCATCCGTATGTTCAAATGAATGTCTTCCTTTTCAGAGAAGTTGCTTTGGGAGTCTAGACACTTCTTTCAACTGTACTGCTATTGCACTAAACATTTTAGGAACTTTTTTTGGAATTACCTTTAGGGCTAATTAAGGAATCAAAGTAAAAGCTAGTCTCATTATATTGTAGGCTACAGCACTTCTATCCAGTCAGTTACCGTCTGCCTTATTAAATGGCTTGGTTGTTTCCAAAAATGAAACTTACCCTGATGAAAAAAAATATTTTTAAAAAATACCCTGACATTCAAAGCAATTCCCGTAGTGTGTGAAGGAAGGAAGTTCCTAACTGGAGTTTCAAAACTGTTTTGAAAATCGCTGGAATGTTGCTGCCTACTTTGATGGGGACATCATTCATTTGTATGGATAAATTCAAGTATATTTGTTCAAACCCAGTGTCATTGTCTTATAGTCATGTCTTTTGACAGTAACTATTTATAATGTGAAATAGGGATCCTTTTGAGCTGAGAGACCTCATCAAAAGACAAATGCTATTATTTAAAAAGGAATCATGGTGAATTTTTAACTAGAGTCTGCTGCGTTCAGTTACAGGCTCCAGAAACTTCTGAAAACAAAAGGAGAAAAATACAAAGGCCATTGTGCCCAGATCAGGCCTGTGATGTTCCTTTTATCCTCACATGGATTTGTTTAGCGAGTTACTGCAGTGCTTGTGTATATGATTAAATTTAAGCCAGTCATCATGGAATAGAATTATAAAGGCTGCGGGGTCCATATTTTGAAACAAGCAGGAAAACAACATGAACTTGTTAGAGGATGAATCCAGACTTTGATCTTAGCAAATACATAAACAGTAACAAGATGGAAATAAAAGGTAAAAATATTTGTAATATATTTATGTTTGGTTATTAATAAAAAGGGAAATCGGTGAAAAAGGCAAAGCCAAAAAGAAAAAAAAAAGCTTCTGCTTAGGTACTTCGTTAAACCACATAAAAACTGTGAGAGTCCTGAGCAAATGAAATCTGTGACACATACTGAAACCCTTGAGCTGGGCCTCCAAGGGCTTCATGGTTTTAAAGAGGCTGTTACGGACCTGGAGCTTTTCTGGCATGCCAGTCTCAGACCCTCCAGACTCGGGGGCTGCCAAACTGCTCATTTCCCACAAAACTTCAGCAGACTTGTAGTCTCTGACCATCCATCCATGTGCTATATTCCCAATAAAGCTATGCATCCTTTCAGATGACCCATATTGTGGAAACCAGTATCTGAACAAATCTGGGACCCTTTTAAAAAACTCGGTAGCTATGCTGTGCAAACCACGAATGCACTACTTCCCATTTGATTAGACATTTTCTTCTGGAAATGATTTTTGGAATTGATGTGGTGTCTATTTTTTTTTTCAACAAAGCTGTCTCTCTTTTAAAATAAATCCCACGAATAATTTACTCTGCTGCCAGAGATGTGCTTGCTTTTATTTTTATTAAGGCCTGAAGTGTCTGGGATCAGCATCCTTGTGCCCCTCAGGGCTGTATGACCTTATGACCTGCATGGTCCTGCCAGGTCGCTTTCAGGGAAGGAAGCCCTCTTGATGGTGTGGAATGAGCCTCCTGAAGTGTCCACACATTCTCCATCCTGGCCCAGTGCCAGCCTGTGTTCAGGCTGCCTCAGACCTCCACAGAAAGGGTTAATAACGCACAGCAGAACGTCCAGGCAGATGAATAACAGATGAGTTTCCCAAATCTTGGTAAAACAGTGATGTAGAAAGTTGGTGAGGTTTTAGAGATAACTCCCAAATGTTTATATCATAAAATATTCTCCTTTCCATTTTTCACTTTCCCTAGCTAAGGAGGCTAAAATTCTTTACTAAGTGAAGGAAGTCAGATACAAAAGGTCACATATTTATATGAACTCTCCAAAATAGGCAAATCTATAGATACAAAAAGCAGATTCATGGTTGCCAGGGGCTGAGGGGAGGGAAAAGGGAGAGTGACTGCTTACAGGGTTTCCTTTGGGGTGATAAAAAATGTTCTGTAACTAGATAGTGCTGATGTTTGTAGAACATTGTGAAGGTAATTAACAGTTATTAAAATGGTAAGTTTACGTTATATGTATTTTACCACAATAATTTTTTTTCTTCCTTAGGTAAAGTACAGGTGAAATGCAAATAGGAAAAGTAATTGTTAAGTCATTTGCACTCATCAATATCTTAGTAGTAATTTTTAGGGCAATTAAGGGGTCTCCTAGTAAGTCCCTGATTATTGGGTAAAACAAAAAAATTGGTTATTGGTGAAAATGGATGAAAGGGCAAAGCTGGTGTAGCACGTGTGAGGAAAGGACAAGAAGGCAGGTCGGGGTAAGACTGACCTAGTGTAATGGTGAATTTTATGTGTTAACTTGACTGGGCCATGGGGTGCCCAGTGCCTAGATATTTGGTTAAACGTTACTTCTGAATGTGTCTATGAGGATGTTTCTGGATCAAATTAACACTTGAGTCAGTAGACAAAACAGATTCCTTCCCCAGTGTGGGTGGGGCTCACTCAGTCCATTGAAGGCGTGAAAAGAACAAAAGACTGAATCAGAAAATTTTTTTCTCCCTGCCTGTCTTTGAACTGGGACATTGGTCTTCTGCTGTTCATCTTTGACTCAGACTGGAACATACACTATTGTCTCTCCTGGTTCTCAGGCCTTTGAACTTGGACTGGAACTATACCATCGGTTCTCCTGGGTCTCCAGCTTGCTGACTGTAGATCTTGGGACTTCTTAGCCTTTATAACTTCATCAGCCAATTCCTTATAATAAATATCTTTATATTTTTATCTGTATCTGTGCATGCATTTCTAACTATGGATATATATATTTCTATCTGTTACTGGTTTTGTTTCTCTGGAGAACCCAGACTAACACAGGTTTTGGTACCAAGAAGTGAAGTGTGGCAGTAAAAGATATCTAAACATGTGGAAATGGCTTTGGAGCTGAGTAACGGGTAGAGGCTGAAAGAGTTTTCAGGTGCATGCTAGAAATATGGATATAAAAAGAGATTTTGATGAGGTCTCTGATGGAAATTAGGATCATGTTATTGGAAACTGGAAGGAAGGAAATTCTTGTTATAAAGTGGCAAAGAACTTGGCTGAATGGTGTTCAGGTGTTTTGTGGAAGGTAGAACTTGTGAGCAATGAAATTGCATATTTAGCAGAGGAAATTCTTAAGCAAAGTGTTGAAGGAGCATCTTTGCTCCTCCTGAGTGCTTGTAGAAAAATGTGTGGGCTGGGCACAGTGGCTCACACCTGTAATCCCAGCACTTTGGGAGGCAGAGACAGGTAGGTCACTTGAGGCCAGGAGTTCAAGACCAGTCTGGCCAATATGGCAAAATCCTGTCTCTACTGAAAATACAAAAATTAGCCAGGTGTGGTGGTGCATGCTTGTAATCCCAGCTACTTGAGAAGCTGAGGCAGGAGAATTACTTGAACCCAGGAGGTGGAGGTTACAGTGAGCTGAGATCATGCCACTGCACTCCAGCCTGGGCTACAGAGCAAGACTCTGTCAAATGTGAGAGAAGAGAGATGAATGAAGAAGAAATTGTTAAGCAAAAATGAACCAGAGCTTTAAGGTTTGGAAAACAATCAGCCTATTCATATTGCAAGAAACCGAGAAAGCATGTTCTGAAGAGTATGCCAAGGGTATGGCTGGATTATGGTTTGAGAAAGAGTTTATGGGATGATATGAGCAGAAACACTGCCAGTTTGAACTGAAGGGGATGGAGATGTAACAAAATGAAGGAAGGCTGTTGGAATTCTTGGATTCTGTGAAAAGGACTGTATAGCTATTTGGCTGTGAATGCATGCTATTCTTCAAGGAAAAGGAAGAATGACTTCAAATGTGACTCAGAGATCATCAGGGCTGTCACTCCTACCACAGACCTAGGGGATAAGGCTATCTCCTGTTTGGTTTCAAAGAGTGTGACCACCCCTCTTGTTTTAGAAGGTGAGAAAAGCCCTACTCAGTGCCTTAGGAGTGAGCCCACAAAGTGTAACCTTGGGAGCAGAGCAACTCAGAGTCTCAGGTGCATTACTTTTTTTTTTTTTTTTTTGAGACAGGGTTTGGTTCTGTCACCTAGGCTGGTGTGCAGGGGTGCAATCTTGGCTCACTGCACCTCTGTCTCCTGGGCTTAAGCCATCCTCCCATCTCAGCCTCCAGGGTAGCTGGGACTGCAGGTGTGCACCACCATGCCTGGCTAATTTTTGTACTTTTTGGCTTTATTTTGTTTTGTTTTTTGTAGACATGGGGTTTCACCATGTTGCCTAGATTGGTCTTGAACTCCTGGGCTCAATTGATCTGCCTGCCTCAGCCTCCCAAAGTGCTAGGATTACAGACTTGAGTCACTGTGCCTGGCCTTGGGTGCATTACTTTTTCAGTGGGTCCTGAAGGTGGGAGTGCTACCCTACTGGGCACAGAAGGCAGAGCATGGGACCAAAGAGAATTATTCTTGAGCCTTAAAATCTAATGGAATTCACCTTGCTAGGTTTTAGATTTTCTTGGGACTTGTCTTCCATCTTCTGGCTTCTCCCTTTTGGAAGGAAAATATCTATCCTATGCCTGTCCCACCATTGTATTTAGGAAGAAAATAGCTTGTGTGGTGAAACTAAATACAACTTAAGTCAGATATGTCATATATGAGTGAGACCTTATCTTTGGACTTTAGACTTGATGCTGGAATGAGTTAAGGCTTTTGGGGCTATTAGGATAGAATGAATGTATTTTGCACACTAGAAGGATATAAATTTTCGCAGTCCGGGGCAGAATGTTACAAACTGAATGTTTGTGTCCCCTCAGAATTCATATGTTGAAGACTTACCTGCCAATGTGATAGTATTTGAAAATAGGGACCTTGGGAGGCAATTAGGTTTAGAGTAGGTCATGAAGGTGGGGCCCTATTAAGAAGAAGACTTTTTTTTTTTCTTATTCCACTTGAGCACAAAGGAAAGGCCATATAAGGGCACAGAGAGAAGGTGGCCATCTGCAACCCAAGGTCAGAGACCCCTCACCAGACACCAACTTTGCTTGTGCCTCAATCTTGGATTTTCCAGCCTCCAGAACTGTGAGAAATAAATTCCTATTGTTTAAGCTACCCAATATATGATGTTTTATTATTGCAGTCTGAGCTGACTAAGACACCTGGTGCATCTCATGGGGAAGACAGAACAAAATGAAAGTGTGCATGAGCTGGGAGAGGGCCAAAGGCAAACCTGCTGCCTTGTGTTTGTTCAGGGCTTGTCCCAAATTCTTGAGTTATTAATACACCATAAAGTATTTAAAGGTTATTGCAATTATGCATGTTTATTTCTGATGATGATTGCTCAATGACTTCTAGGTGCTGGGAGGAAGTGGAATATGGGGAAGAAAAGATTCTCACTCCCACATATTTTCATGGGGAAAGACAAATGAAAGGTCCCAACCACACATCCATTTTCTATAATTGTAGTTTTCAGCAGTTAGGGTCAAATGACTTCTTAGTATTTGTCTGCTATTAGTTTAAATGGGTAGCTCAAAGGAGAAATAGTCACATCTCAATGTTTCGTTAAATTATAAAGCAGCAGATTGGACAGAAGCCTCCTTTTGTGAGCTCCCTGACAGTGCAGGGGTAGATTGGCCCTTGCGGTCGAGCTTTCTCTTATCTTTAAAGACTTGTCCCCTCCTAAGCGTTTATCTTCCTCCTGTCCTCCATTCTACACAGTCCTCTTACTGCTACCACATTGAACTACTTAATCCCCATCCCCAGAATTCTGGGGCCGTTTGAAGAGTCCATGCTTTGCACATGCATTTCTTTGGCCTGGAAGTTTCTCTTGCCTTCTTTGTTTGACACAATTCCTACAACCTCCTAACACCCCAAGACATTTTATGAGCTGTAAGAAACCTTAGAAATCACATCACACTGACCAACAATGTGGGTAACAACTCTTGGGAGAATCTAATTTGGCTTTCTTACTGAGTCATTACTTTGGGTAGACAAGTTATCATCTGAACTCTTAACTAAACTGAGTAAAAAAATATACATAAAAGCATTTCGTAACAGCAGATTCTGTAAGGGAGGCTGACTTTGCAGATGCTTGGTGTGTTGTGGGAAGCACAAGGAAATAATAAAACACCCTGAGTCTTACTACACAGGCCTGAGTGGACTTCTGTAGCCATTTGTGCTGCTATAACAAAATGCCACAGACTGGGTAATTCATGAGCAATTGAGAATTATTTCTCATAGTTCTGGAGCTTGGGAAGTCAAGAACAAGGTGCTGGCATCTGGTGTCTGGTTAGGGCCTTCTTGTTATGTCCTCACATGGCAGAAGGTGGAAGGCAAAATGGGGCCTTTAGCCATATTATAAGGCATTAGTCCATTTACAGGGATGGAACTCTCATGATTTAATCACCTCCCCAAAAACCCCACCTCTCAATACTACCATGATGGGGTCAAGTTTCAACATAAATTTTGAAGGAGGAACGTTCAAACCATAGCATCCACGGAAAACAAAAAGTAAGCACGGATGTGCCCCTCTGGGGAAGGCTGAGGGTCTGAATGTGCTTCTGGCAAGAGAAATCATGGAGGAATAAAAAGAAAGCACATTACTTGTGCTATTATCTACCTCTGGGTTAAACTGAACAGTGGGATCAAAGTGGTTTGTTTGTTCTACTAGTTTGTTTTTTAGTAAAGCACTTGTTTATTTTGTTTTGAGGTAGTTTCTCTGGAGGGATTGAGGGCAAATCTGAGTGGAAATTACTTGTTTTTTCCATGTAATCCTATAATAAGTACAAGTTTTTTTTATAGTCGTTTGATTCCCACAAAGAGCTCTGTATTCGTGTGTGTGTGTGTGTGTTGTGTGTGTGTGTTTTGGGAGGTGGGGAGACAGGAAGCTGAATACAGAGGAGCTAAACGTTGAGAAAGTAAGAGTAGGAAAATAGGACATGGTATGTTGGAAGGTGAAATAAAGAGAAGTAAACACAGGAGTATCAGGAAAAAGGAAAGAGAAGCTCACAAGGGATAGTGTGGGGAAAGGACATAGGGTAGGTAACACAGTAAATCAGAAGGAAGCAGAGCTGAGTTGAATAGTGATGTGGTTTGAATCTGTGTCCCCATCCAAATCTCTTGTTGAATTGTAATCCTCAATGTTGAGGTGGGGTCTGGTGGGAGGTGATTGGATGATGGGGGCAAATTTCCCCTTCAGTGCTGCTCTTGTGGTGGTGAGTAAGTGCTCTTAGGAGCTGGTTGTTTTACAGAATGTGTCATCTCCCCTGCCTTCCTCCTGTTCTGGCTGTGTAAGACGTTGGCTGCTTCCCCTTTGCCTTCCACCATGATTGCAAGTTTCCTGAGGCCTCCCTGGAACCTGTACAGCCTGCAGAACTGTGAGCCAATTAACCCTCTTTTTTTTTTTTTTAAATAAATTACCCAGTTTTAGATGTTTCTTTTTCTTTTCTTTTTCTTTTTCTTTCTTTTTTTTTTCTGAGACAGAGTTTCACTCATGTTGCCCAGGCTGGAGTACAATGGCATGATCTCGGCTCACTGCAACCTCTGCCTCCCAGGTTCAAGCGATTCTCCTGCCTCAGCCTCTTGAGTAGCTGGGATTACAGGCACATGCCACCATGTCTGGTTAATTTTTGTATTCGTAGTAGAGATGGGATTTCACCATGCTGGCCAGGCTGGGCTCGAACTCCTGACCTCAGGTGATCCACCTGCCTTGGCCTCCCAAAGTGCTGGGATTACAGGCGTGAGCCACCGTGCCCAGCCTCAGGTATTTCTTTATAGCAGTGTGAGAATGGACTAATACAAATAGTAGAGTGTTGAAGCCATCCTCTTCATTTTGAAGATGAGCAAACTGAAGCCCATGGAGGCTATGTGAATTAGCAAATTGGTTAAGGCCAGAACTAAGGTGAGCCCTTGTCTCCTGTTCCATGAAGTACATGGCTGTGTGTGGTGGGTGGAGGTGAGAGGGGAGACCTCTGAGCTGAAGACAGAACCATGATGTGATTTTTTTTCCTGTTCATTATTGTTAAAGGCTAATTTTTAAAAATTTATTTTTACATTATTATTATTATTATTATTATTTTAAGATTCAGGAGGTGCATGTGCAGGTTTGTTACATGGATACATTGTGTAATGGTGAGGTTTAGGCTTCTAGGGTACCCATCATCTAAATAGTGAACATTGTACTCAATAGGTTATAATTTTTTTTGACATTTATCCTTCTCCCCTTCTCCCCATCTTTGCAGTCCCCAGTGTCTATTATTTCCATCTTTATGGCCATGTGTACCTGTTGTTTAGTTCCCACTTATAAATGAGAACATGTGGTATTTGATTTTCTGTTTCTGAGTTATTTCACTCAGGATAATGACCTCTAGCTCCATTCAGGTTGCTGCAAAGAACATGACTTCATTCTTTTTTATGACTGCATAATATTCCATGATGTATATATACCACATTTCCTTTATCCAGTCTTCCATTGATAGGCACTTAAGTTGATTCCATGACTTTGCTATTGAGACCAGTGCTGAAATAAACATGTGAGTGCAGGCATCTTCTTTATATAATGATTTAAAAGGCTAATATTTTTAAAAGGTGAATGTTTATATCATGCATCTGATATAAATATAAAATGAATACATGTAACAAATTTTGGTTAACTCACTAATTGTTGAGGGAACCCATAAAATGTTACTGGTTGAAAGAATTCAAAGTACTGCATACATACATATAAGCAGATAAAGAATGCTTAAATGGATAAGTAAATGTGACTTGGCATAGATTTTATTTAAATCATTAACTATTGAGAGAACCAGTAAAAACTTACAACAGGTTGAAAGTAGAATTTAAAGTACCATACACATATGTAAGAAGATAAAAAATACTAAAGTGTGCTGGGTGCAGTGGCTCGTAATCCCAGCACTTTGGGAGGCAGAGGTGGGAGGATTGCTTGAGCCAGCTTAGGCAACATAGTCACACTCTGTGTCTACAGAAAATAGAAAAAATTACCTGGGCACGGTGGTGCATGCCTGTAGGGTGAGGAGGGAGGATCACTTGAGCCAGGGAAGTCGAAGCTGCAGTGAACTGTGACCAGGCCACTGCACTCCAGCCTGGGTGACAGAGCCAGATGGTGTCTCAAAAAAAAAAAAAGCTCACATGAATTTGAAGGCATATGTAACATTGATCTATCCACAGGTGATAATCAATTGCATTCCAATACAACTAATTTGCATTTGTATGGACAAGAAACATTTGTATTATTTTTGGCTCTCTACAAATTATAGAGTTGTAAAATAGTTGAAATACAATAAAAGGTAGCAATATCATGGGAAGAGTATGCTGTATAGAACATTCTAGAAAAGAAAATAAATCTTCAGAGAAAAAAGTAATCTTTTTTTTTCCGCATTCCGAAGTCTTACACAATTTTTCTCAGCAAGAGTACATAATTGGAGCTGAAGGTGCTCCCTCAACTTTTTTGGGTCACAGAATATTTGGCAATGATGGAAACCAGGCCAAGAAAAGTGGAGGATTCTAGGAATACCTCCAAGGTCATACTGCAGGCACTTCCGGTCAGGATGCCACTGCTGCCATTGCCCTGCTAGATGCTCTCCACCAGCATTGCCAGATGACTCATGTGGCCACCTGACCCTGCATCTTTGCACTACATTCTCAAGTTTCAGTCTAGGAAAGGGGCATCGAGTTGACTCAGATCCCATGCCCTCACCCTAGCTGCCTAGACTGGGAAGAAGGAATATGAAACCACATGATTTCACTATGACAAACCAAGACGGACACAATGGGGATTTCTCGCCACAAAGGAAGGATACGTGATGTTGGCTAGTAAAAAAGAAAAGGCAAATATTTACTGTAAGCACTATACTAGGGATATACAAAACCATCAGAGAGGATTTAAGCTTTTTCTGGAGAAAGATAACATAATGAAGTGGGAAGATTAAGAGCTCATCTCTACTAAAAATACAAAAATTAGCCGGGCATAGTGGCATGTGCCTATAATCCCAGCTACTCGGGAGGCTGAGGCAGGAGAATCACTTGAATCTGGGAGGCGGAGGTTGCAGTGAGCCGAGATCGCGCCACTGTACTCCAGCCAGGCAACAGAGACAGTGTCTAAAAAAAAAGAAAGAAAAGAAAAAAAGAGCTCTAGACTCATATACCTAGGTCTAAGCCAGGTTCCAACAGGCTGAGTTATGGTGGGAAAATTGCAAACCTCTCTGAATCCCAGTTATCTCATTTATGTTAACATTACTATCTGTCTCAAAGATGCTTATGACTGCATAATCTGGTCCATTGCTATTTCTATGACCTATCTTCTTCTATGACTTGTCTCCTTGCTGAACTCTGCTCCAGCCCTCCTAGCTTCCTTGCTGTTCTTTGAGCACACAAACATCCATCTGCAGTAGGCCCCTTGTACTTGCTTGCTCCCATGTCTGAAAAATGTTCCCCCATATGAAATTTGTTTTCTCACCTCCTTCATTCAGCTCTCTTCTCTCTCTCTCTCTTTTGAGACAGGGTCTCACTCTTGCCCAGGCTAGAGTGTTTTGGCACAATTCAGTTCACTGCAGCCTCGACCTCCGGAGCTCAGGTGATCCTCCCACCTCAGCCTCCTGAGTAGCTGGGACTACAGGTGCACAACACCATGCCCAGCTAATTTTTTGTATTTTTTGTAGAAATAGGGTCTCACTGTGTTACCTAGGCTGATCTCAAACTCCTGCGCTCAAGCAATCTGCCTGCCTCAGCCTCCCAAAACAGTGGGATTACAGGCATGAGCCACCACATCTGGTTAGCTCTACTCTCAAATGTCACCTTGGCTTTGGTAATACCTTCCCTGACAACTCTGACGAAAATTAGAACTTATTTTACCTGGCACTACCTTACTTAATTTTTCTCTATAACATTTGTTACTTGTCTGTCTCCCTTCTCTAAACTGTAAGTTCCATGAGAACAGGAAATCAAATCTGTTTTAACATGGCTGTATCTCCAGAGCCTTGAACAATGTCAGGAACATAAAAAGTGCTCAATAATATCTGTTGGATGAATGAATAATTGCAAAGTGCCTGGCGTACAGTAGACACCAAACAAATGCTGATTATTGCTGTTTTTTATCAGACTCTGATTTCTCTTCCCATACCCTAAGCTGACCTGCTTTCCCAGAGGACTTATGATCTAGTAATAAAATTTACCAGTGCAGGAACTCAATCTCCTAATTCAATAGAAAACAACTAGAATATTGTAGTGTTCATATTGGTGATCACTTTTGGGATTTCACACTTATTCTTTGTTTTTTAATGTGTCTGATCTATGGTGGTGCTACCAAATGATTTGTATTAGCAGCTGGAAAAATCTAATAAAATTACTTTGAAAGTGCCTTTTGGGCCAGGCGCAGTGGCTCATGCCTGTCATCCCAGCACCTTGATAGGCCGAGGCAGGAGGATTGTTTGAGTCCAGGAGTTCAAGACCAGCCTGGGTGACATAGGGAGACTCTATCTCTACAAAAAATAAATAAATTAGCTGAGCATGGTGGTGCCTTCCTGTGGTCCCAGCTACTCAGGAAGCTGAGGTTGGAGGACTGTTTGAGCCTTGGAGGCCGGGGCTGTGGTGAGCTGTGAGTGTGCTACTGCACTCCAGCCTGGGTGATAGAGTGAGACTCTATCTTAAAAAAAAAAAAAAAAAAAAAGAAAGAAAGAAAACAAAAAATCAAGGTGCATTTTGAAACACAGGAGAGTCAGAATTTTTTTTTTAATTTTATCTCTAATAGGAAGACTATATTAGAACATAAGACTGCACATGACTATGTCACTGTTTCAGTCAGCATTCTTTAGAGAAACATTAGTTATAAGAAGTTGGCCTATGCAATTATGGAGGCTGGCAAATCCCAAGATCTTGTGGGGAGAGGTCAGTCAGCCAAGGTGATATCTGAGAGTAGAGGTGAATGAAGAAGGTAAGGGAGAAAGTCATAAGGGAGGACATTTTTCAGACACCAAGGAGAGCCAATGCTTTAGTTTCAGCCCAAACCTAAAGTCCTGAGAACCAGGAGAGCTGATGGTGTAATTCTGGTCTAAAGGTCAGCAAGCTCAACATCCAGGAGTTTGAGTTTGAGTCTTAAGGCAGGAGAAAAGCCAGTGTCAGCCAGACATGGTGGTTTATGCCTGTAATCCCAGCATTTTGGGAGGCCAAGGCAGGCGTATCACCTGAGGTCAGGAGTTCAGGACCATCCTGGCCAGCATGGTGAAACCCCGTCTCTACTAAAAATACAAAAATTAGCTGGGCGTGGTGGTGTGCACCTGTAATCCCAGCTACTCAAGACGCTGAGGTAGGAGAATTACTTGAACCCTGGAGGCGGAGGTTGCAGTGAGTGGAGATCATGCCATTGCACTCCAGCCTAGGCGACAAGAGGGAAACTCCATCTAAAAAAAACAAAACAAAACAGAAACAAAGCCAGTGTCCCATGTTGAAGATTGCCAGGCGGAAAGAATTATTTTACTTGGGGGAGGGTCAGCCTTCTTATTCGGATCAGGCCCTTTAACTGATTAGGTGAGGGTCACTCACATTAGGGAGGGTAATTTTTCCTTAGCCTATCAATTTAAATGTTAATCTCACCAAAAAACACTCTCACATAAACACCCAGAATAATGTTTGACCAAATATCTGGACACCCTATGACCCAGTAAAGTTGATACATAAAATTAACCATCACATTTAGGCTGGGTGCAGTGGCTCACACCTGTAATCCTAGTAACTTGGGAGGCCGAGGCAGGCGGATTACATGAGGCCAAGAGTCCAAGACCAGCCCGGCCGACATGGTGAAACCCCGTTTCTATTAAAAATAAAAAAAATTAGCCTGGTGTGTTGGTGCACGCCTGTGGTCCCAGCTGCTTGGGAGGCTGAGGCAGGAGAATTGCTTGAACCCGGGAAGTGGAGGTTACAGTGAGCTGAGATCATGCTACTACACTCCAGCCTGGGTGACAAAGTAAGACTCTGTCTCGGAAAAAAAAAAAATTAACCATCACATTCACTCTATCTTGTATATCTATCATCAATTCTTTAGTTGTCATGGAATAGTTGTTATAAAGGAAAGCTGTGGGAAACAACAATCTCTTGAGTAAAAACATGTTTAAGTCAGTTCCCATATGTAGATGGACCCATTCAGTGCATGTGTGAAGGCTTTTAATGCTTAAATTAGCATAGCGATCCCATTGACGATATAACATCAGGACTACAACAAGGTCTGGGCACTTGCATTCTAGTTCCTAGCTAGAGATTCAACTTTTAGCAATTAATTTAACCTTTTTGGATTTGGTTTTCTCTTCTGAAAGTTAGGGGGTAGGACTAGATGATTTTTTTTTCTTTTTTTTTTTTTGAGATGGAGTTTTGCTCTTGTTGCCCAGGCTGGAGTGCAGTGGTGTGATTTCAGCTCACTGCAACCTCCACCTCCTGGGTTCAACCAATTCTCCTGCCTCAGCCTCCCAAGTAGCTGGGATTACAGGCACCTGCCATCACGACTGGCTAATTTTTTTGTATTTTTAGTAGAGATGGGGTTTCACCATGTTGGGCAGGCTGGTCTTGAACTCCTGACCTCGGGTGATCGGCCTGCCTCAGCCTCCCAAAGTGCTGGGATTACAGGCGTGAGCCACTGTGCCCAGCCAACTAGATGATTTTTTAAAGATCACTTGTAGCCCTGGAATCTTTGGTTCTAGATAACAGAATAAGCTGTGAGGGAAGCCCTCTCTGCTGCTAGTAGTGTGACACACAGGGACGAAAACAACACATTTTTGGAGTTATGTATGGCAGTGCTGTCTGTCTTGGCAGCTAAATGACAAAAATAATTTGGCCTGAATTTTATTTGTTCCCAGTTGGCTGAAAGTAAACGGAAGTTATTCTAGGAACAACTGTGTCTTCTTTATTCTCTATTTTTTTGTTTTTCTTTTGTTTTTTGTTTTTTGTTTTGAGATGGAGTCTTGCTCTGTTGCCCAGGCTGGAGTGCAGTGGCATAATCTCGGCTCACTGCAACCTCCACCTCCCAGGTTCAAGCGATTCTCCTGCCTCACCCTCCCGAGTAGCTGGGACTACAGGCGTGCACCACTACACCCGGCTAATTTTTGTATTTTTAGTAGAGACAGGGTTTTACCATGTTGGCCAGGCTGGTCTCAAACTCCTGACCTCAAGTGATCTGCTCACCTCGGCCTCTGAAAGTGCTGGGATTACAGGCATCAGTCACCGCACCCTGCTGTGGACTGTCTGGCTTCTTTATTCTTTTTTTTATTTATCAGACAGAGGGGCTCTGGGCATTTCATGCAGTTACCAGACAGCAGTGAAGGTGCCAGGCTCCTGATCCATGAGAGCCAAGGTGTCTACTCTCAGCATCTTGCACAGTGCCTAGCACAAAGTGGCCCCCCATAAGTGAGACATTGAACAAGTCACATGTCTGGCCCCTTGACACAGCACATGAAACACCCTGGGGGACCTGACTTAGTTCGTTCGCACTGCTATAACAAACTATAGTAGACTGCATGACTTATAAACAACAGAAACTTATTTCTCACATTTCTGGAGGCTGGAAGTCTGAGGTCTGGGTGCCAGCATGGTAGGTTCTGGTGAGGGCCCTCTTCCGGGTTGCGGGCTGCTATCTTCTTCCTGTATCCTCATATGGAGGAAAGAGAGCAAGAAAGATCTCTGGGGTCCCTTTAATAGGGGCACTAATGCCATTCATGATGACTTCACACTCATGACCTAATCTCTTCTAAAAGTCCCACCTCCTAACACCATCACAGTAGGGATAAAGCTTCAACATAGGCGTTTTGTGGGGACAAAAACATTCAGGCCACTGCAGTGCTTGCACCACTTGGGAGATTGCAGTGGTTTGGTCAGTTGCAGCGCCTATGAAGCCCCTTTCTTCACTACTGCCCTGTGCTGTGCTTTTCTAACAGACACCAGATACATTCTACCCTCCCTTCCATCTCTGTTACTTTGAATCTCTGATATTGGTGTCAACAGCCCCCTTCCCCAGGTCCCAGGCAGGGTAGCCCAGACACTCAGTCTTCTGCTATACCTTGACTTCCCAGCCAAGATGGTGGAGGTAGGTATGAATAACTTTTATTACTGGAGTCTTCAGCAGGAACCAGAAGAGTGGGAGTTTCTGAGGGTATTTCTTCATCCAGGCCTCTTGCCCCTTGTGGCCATTGAGAAAAGGAGAACTTTGGAAATCAAAGAGAGCCTCATGGAGGGAGTGAGAAACTGGGGGTCTGAGTATGTGGATGGAAAGAATTGCATTTTTATTTTCATTCATTTCCAACTTAAAATTAACATTTGCTTCAGTTATGAATATAAAAAACACATCACAGTGGTACTAGCAGTACCTATGACTGTCACCAATAGAAATCACAGATATATTCAAATCATATTAGTTACTGACAAATCTCACAAAATACTATCTATGCTCAGGCTGGGTGCAGTGGCTCACGCCTGTAAACCCAGCACTTCGGGAGGCCGAGGCGGGTGGATAACTTGAGGTCAGAAGTTGGAGCCCAGACTGGCCGACATGGTGAAACCCCGTCTCTTCTAAAAACACAAAAATTAGTCCGATGTGGTGGTGCACGCCTGTAATCCCACCTACTTGGGAGGCTGAGGCAGGAGAATCACTTGAACCCGGGAGGCAGAGGTTGCAGTGAGCTGAGATTGTGCCACTGCACTCCAGCCGGGGCGACAGAGCGAGACGTGGTCTCAGAAAAAAAAAAAAAAAAAAGCAAAACCCTAAAAACAAAAACCACCTATGCCCATCACTATGTGAAATTATGATAGTTAGATAACCTGCCCCTAGATTTTATTATCTAATGTGTTAATAAAGAAGACATATATTGTCTCATCACAAATTTGTTTTTTAAAAATTATTTTAATAACTATGTTTTAATATAATTGGTGTTCATATAATTCTATGCATTAAAAAATGCATTGAAGAGATTTCTTCACTAGACTTCCAAGGGATCCATGATCCAAAAAAGATTAAGAGTCGCCTGTACAAGGAGAACCTTGCACTGAAAGAAATTAGTCATTGAGGTGGTATTGGTGGCATAGCATTTGCTGAATGAAATATCTTATTCAGGCATTTCATGAAATTGTTGTAATACTATTTAGCAGTATTTTGATAGCCGAATGGTTTCCAACTTATACTTAGTTCCTTATTAGGCTCAGCTAGTTTCAACATGTGAGAATCAATAAGTTAGACTATAAAACTATTTCCGACAACAAATTAAAATGTTTTCTTAGAAAAGTTTGACTAATCCATTGGCATCTTGACAGATACTTTCCCTCTTTGGTAAAGACACTAAAGACTCATTGAATGGCTTAGTATCTCACTTTGCCCTGTGTGTTGTGGGGTAGAATCGTTTATTCCTTTAAATGTCATGTTATTTATTTATTTTCTCTACATATAAACATTTCTCTTTGGAGAGCTCAGAAGATATAAATTATTATTGATTTATTTAGATAGAATGCTTTTATTTGGCTTTGTATACAAGCTAAGTGCTCACAAAAGGTATTAGATTAATGAGGCTGGAGACTAAAGTCTTCTGTTTGTCTACTTATTTGGGAAGATCTCTAAGTCATTCAGTGTAAACATGCTTGCCCTATGTAGCTAATTGACTCAAAGTTGACTCAGAAAACTTTAGAGCTTCATCTAAGAAGCCATAAAACATCAGCTACCACTTTAAATCATTGTATAAGTAGCTTCTTCCTTCCCTTTCCTCTTCATCCTTTTACCTTTTCTTCTGGGATCACCGGGAAGCCACAGATCGGTATTCTCAGACTTTTCCTCTCCTTTTTGGATCCAAATACTTAAAGTGCCCACAACAATCTCCTTTCTAGTCTTTCCTAAATTCATTTTGTTCTTCTCTCTACCTCTTCTCTTAGCCCTGTGTACTTACTTTGCTCTGTTAGTTGTGTTTAGCAACTGCTTCCTGAATTAAACAGAAAAGTGGGTATGTGGATTTCCAGTCGTATTCTGTGAAGCTCCTTACTGCATAATCTGACCCAGGAGGGGGAGCCTCTGGTCCTACCGGCCCTGTTTCTGCAAGAACAGTTTTTATCCATTATGTTTGTCTGAACACCCCTAATGAAATGTCATTTGAACAAAGGATTCTGTGGGTAAAGGGTTTGGAAATCACTGAACTAAAGAATGCTCTTGGCCCGGTTTACCGTTATACTTTGGCTCTGGCACATGTTAGGAGAACACTTTGACTGTTCAGTTATCCAGTGATGTAAATCATTATAAATGTGCATAATAACCATTATTATAACAAGATAATATGTATAATAACAGTTACTCTGTTGGTCCCTGAAGCCACATTTCCGTGTGGCCAAAAGGACAGAACTATGCAATTAGTTATTTGTCTTTGGAGCCTGTACTGGGTTGAATAGTGTTTCCCCAAATCCATGTCTACCAGAAACCTCAGAATGTAACTTTATTTGGAAATAGAGTCTTTGCAGATGTAATCAAGTTAAGATAAGGCCATACTGAATTAGAATGGTCCCTAATCCAATAACTGGTGCCTTAAAGGAAGATGGAAACTTGGACACAGAGACACAGACATACACAGGGAAGAAGCCATGTGAAGACAGAGGCAGAGATTGAAGTGATGGATCCATAAGCCAAAGATCACCAAGGATTGCCTGCAGCCACTACAAGCTAGGAGAGGGACATGGGATAGTTTCTCCTTCAGAACTTCCAGACAGAACCTTTCATTTATCTCTCTTACTTCATTACCTGCTTCCTGAGATCATTTCCCAAATAAATTACCTGTACTTTTACTCAAGTCTGTGTCCAAGACAGTGAGTACTGGAAGTGGCTGTCAATGAGTGGTGGCGGATACCTGCAGCCATAGCTCCTTGGGAGGCTGAGGCAGGAGGATTGCTAAGGCCCAGGAGTTGAAGGCTGTAGTGAGCTATGATCACACTACTGTGCTCCAGCCTGGGCAGCAGAGCAAGACCCTGTTTCTTAAAAACAAAGAAAGACAATCAGGTTGACATTGCTCAGTGGGACTGAATCACTCAACAGCCAGATAGCAACAAGAACCCTGGTGCTGGTGGAAGTAGCATCATAATAACTAAGAGTCTCAGAGAAAGTCTTGGTTAGGCTAATGCGGAACCCTTGGGGAAAGATTTCCCATTAGAGGAATCCTATGATGAGCAAGAATGGACCAGCTCTAGAAACTTTGCCATGTTTAGTCTTTGACCAGGACTATGTGGCCTTTGAGTGAATGCTGCGAAAGACCTCAAAGTTGAGGCAGCTGGAGGCTGTCAGATAACTACATTCCTCATGGCAATTTCTTCCTTTAAAGGAGATCTGAGTGGCACACCCCAACGGCTGGATGCCTAAGGCTCCGTTCTGTATGGAACTGGGTTCTATAGTGTCAATTGTGATGATGGAATTCCAGAATAGCAGAGGTCAGGGTAGTAACATTTAACCATCAGTATCATGGTGGATGTAATTATCATGCCAGGTAGAAAGACCAGAGTTGCATCTGGGGCACTGAGTCCTGCACATATCTGTGGCAGTGTCTAATAGACTATATTTTCCTTGGGGCAAATGAGATAAAGAGTGAGCTAGCACATTGCTTGGCTTATACAATCAGAAAAAAAAAAATCAAGAGTTGCTGTGAAGAAAACTGATATCAGCTACCATAGTGGAAACCTGCAATCTCTGGTCCAGTTTCCAGCTTAGTTAATTCTTTTGATCAGAGACCACCAATTGGAGAGGCTGTGTCTGCCTAATGAAAGACCCCTCAATGTCACTGCAAGCATATACAATATATCAATCCTAACTCAAAGGAAACTGTAGCTGTTTAACAGAGTAATTGTATGCTATAGAAAGAGGAAGACTTTTGAGAGCTTTTGGACATAGGATCTGAACTGATGCTGATATCAGGGGATCTGAAAATGCTTTCTTGGCTCCATGATTACAGAGGAGACATGTGGAGTCTTAGCCTAGATCTATGTTACAATATGTACAATGGGTCCAGAGACCCAACCTGTGATCATTTCCCCAGTCCTCTTGGGCATAACTGGGATTGATATTCTTTGCAATTGGAAGAATGCTCATATTGTTTCACTGACCTGTGAGTAAGAACCCTTATGGTAGGAAGAGCCAATTGGTTAAAGCAACTAGTTGGCTTCTGCTATTCTAAAATCCTATCATCCCCGAGATTGTTTCTCCAAGCCAAGACAATAAATCAGAGCAATATTATATCCTGGGTGGAATTGCAGAAATTAATACCATTTTTCAATATTTAAAGAATGCAGGAGTGGTGGTTCCTATCATATTCCCATTCAGTTTACTGCTATCACCCCTGAAAAAAATCAGATGGATCAAGATGGGTGATGATGAACTGAGCCCAGTGGTAGCCCCCAAAGCAGTATCTTATTAGAGCATAGTATCACAGGTCCAGGTCCAGCCTCTGGCACTTGGTATGTGGTTGAGTAACTGCCCAGTGGGTTCACCTTGCCCACTCCCTAGACAGAGCTGATTTATCAAGACAGGGGAATTGTGATAAAGAAAGTAATTCACACAGAGCTGGCTGTGAGGGAGAACTGAGTTTTGTTATTACTCAGATCAGTCTCCCCGAGCATTTGAGGATCAGATGTTTTAAGGATAATTTGGTGAGTGGGTGGCAGCCAATGATTTGTGGATGCTGACTGATTTGGTCGGAGATGAAATCACAGGGAGTCGAAGCTGTCTTGCACTGAGTCGGTTCCTGGGTGAGGGCTACAAGTTCAGATGAGCCAGTTTATCGATCTGAGTGGTGCCAGCTGATCCATCGAGTGCAGAGTCTGCAAAATATCTCAAACACTGATCTTAGGCTTTGTAAGAGTCATGTTATCCCCAAGAGAAATTTGAGGAGATTCAGAATCTTGTAGCCTCCAGCTGTATGACTCCTAAACTATAATTTCTAATCTTTTGGCTAATTCGTTAGTCCTACAAAGGCAGTCTAGTTCCCAGGAAAGAAGGGGATTTGTTTTGGGAGAGGGCTGTTATCATCTTTGTTGTAAATTGTAAACTAAGTTTCTCCCAAAGTTAGATCAGCCTACACCCAGGAACGAACAAGGACAGCTTGGAGGTTAGAAGCAAGATGGAGTCGGTTAGGTCAGACCTCTTTCACTGTCTCAGTTATAATTTTGCAATGGCAGTTTCAGTTGTTGATCTGGCAGATGTTTTCTTTTCCCATCTGGAAAGAGGATCAAAGCAGAGGACATTTATGCAGAAAAGATAGCAAAATATATTCCATGCTGCAAGGTTATGTTAACTCTTCAGGTTTTTGTCACAGTATAGTAGGAAGGAACTTTGTGTATCTTAACATTCCACAGAGCATCATAGTATTTATTATATTGATGACATCATGTTAATTGTGTTGGTGCAAGGAAGTGGGAAGTATTCTGGATACCTTGGCAAGACCCATGGGTCTTGCGTCATAGCCTGAGAGATAAATCCTACAATGATTTAGGGGTCTGCCATACTTATGAAGATTTTAGGGACTCAATGGTTTGGGCTATGCAGGGATATCCCCTTTAAGGTAAAGCAAATGTTATCGTACTTCAAACTTTTCACCCCCAAAAAAGAGCACAGTAGCAATGGGCCTCTTTGGACTGTAGTGACAGTACATATTCTACTTCAGAATACTGCTTTGACTAATTTCTTAGGTAAGTTGGGAGACTATTTTGAGTGGAGCTCAAAGAAGGCTCAGAAGCAGGTGCAGCCTGTAGTGCAAGCTACTTTACTGCTTAGGCCAGAAGACCAGGCATATCCAATGGAATTAGGAGTAATCATGCTAGGTAGGGATGATGTGCAGAGTTTCTGGAAAGCCCCAGTAAGAGGTATGCAGGAAAGAAGTCTAGAATGAGCACAAATTAGCATATCAGAGAGGTACTCACCATTTGAAAAACAGCTTCTAGAATGCTACCACAGTAGAAATTGAGTGCCTGACAATGGGAGTATCAAATAACTATGGGCTTTGTCATGAGTTAGATTCCCCAAGTCATAATGTCAGGAAGGTGAAGTTACAATCTTGTATGATAGAAATACTACATTTGGGTTTCATTCCTGTAATCCTGGCACTTTGGGAAGCAGAGGTGGGAGGGTCATTTGAGGCCAGGAGTTTGAGACCAAACTGCAACATAGCGAGACCTCGTTTCTACAAAAATGAAAAAAAACTTAGCTGGACATGGTGGCATGTGCCTGTAGTCCTAGCAACTCAGTGAGGCTAAGGTGGGAGGATTGCTTGAGCCCAGGAGTCCAAGGTTACACTGAACTATGATTGTGACACTGCACTCCAGCCTGGGTAAAAGAGTGAGACCCTGTCTCTAAAAAAAATTACTAAATAAAAGCACTTTAGGGAGCTTGTCAGGGGGCACAAATAAGTCACAAAATTCCAAGGACAAAGAGAAAAATCACAGATGTGTGAAGAGAGAATAAAAGAACATACCATTTTAAATAAAAATGTGATTGTTAAATGTCTCATCAACAAATATGGATACTGAGGACACAAGCAATACTTTCAAACTTTTGATAGAAAATGACTCTGTACCTAGAATTTGTTACCCAGCAAAACTATCAATCCAGTACAGGGAAAAAATAAAGACATTTTCCAATATTTTCAAAATAAAGTCATTTTTTTCCATTAAAAAAATTACCCAGGGATGTTTACTAGAAAAAAAAAATAAAGAACTTAAAAAGATACAGCATTCAGAAACAGAAACCAGGAGTTCAGTGGAAATCAGTTGCAGCCATCCTGCAGCTACATTTGGGATTCATGCCTGTAATCCCAGCACTTTAGGAGGCAGAAGTGGGAAGATCACTTGAGGCCAGGAGTCATCCTGCAACTGCTTTCCTTGAAAGAACAGAATGCAATAATAGCACATAATAGAACAGGAAGCACAGGCTCTGTAAAGAACATCTTTTAAAAAATGGTGTCCATCCCCAACTTGTGTAATTAAAAACACAGAGCATCTTAATATCCTGAAAGTGTATTTCTCTATAGTCATCAAAATAATAAAAGGAAGACAATTAGAAGGTAAAAAAAACTTTATGTCATGCATAGTCCAAATACAAAATGAAGCAAGGCCCACACTGCCCTTCTGGTTTGTACTGCAGTTTCTAGATAGTTCTGCCTGGTCCTGTCTTGGTCAGAAGATGAGGCTTTCCCATTGTGATACTGTCATCCTGAGGCAAGAGAATAGGGCCTGGAGGCAGGGAACCTAAGGACTTCCTAGAACTAAATCAAACGAAACACTTTAGCTATGACAGGAAATATCCTCTTCATTTATATAGGGCATACACCAAATAAATAACTTTGTAACTTCACTTTAGCTTCTTCATTTACATAGGGCACACACCAAGTAACCACTGGAAACCTCTAGAGTGTATATAAACCCCGGAAAATTCTGTAACTGGGCTCTTGAGCTACTTGCTCAGGCCCGCTCCCATCCTGTGGAGTGTACTTTTGTTTTCAGTAAATCTTTGCTTTTGTTGCTTCATTCTTTCCATGCTTCATTTGTGCGTTTTGTTCAAGATGCCAAGAACCTGGACATCCTCCACCAGAACAATCTCACAACATGTCAAGTTTCCAGAGATTGGTGAGCATTTTCTCAAACTAAATACTCATTGATGATGGGTGGTAAATGCTCCTTGGATGTTAACGTGAGTGACAGCTTGGGTCGAGTCAGGTTCCACTCCATTCTTTTTATTGGGATGGAAAGGTCTTCCTCTACCCTTTCCTTGGGTTTTGTCCAGTTCTTCCTCACATTTCTGATAGGCCCTTCTGCTTTCTTTTACATCCTCTCCATCCCAATCTTATCTACTTTCTGGGAGTAGAAGCATTGATACTGCAGACACACTTCTGGGTCTTTATGACTGGCATTTTGTCCAGTGGCTTCGATTTTACTCTGAGTGTTATAGACTTTGTGGCTACTTCCAAAGTGGGTAACTCATTTCTGTTATAACAAGATATACAAAGGAAATTTCCCATTGGTTCAGAATTTTAGCTAAACTCTCAAAGCAGAGGAAAATGGTTAAAGTATCCCCACATTCTTTTTCTTTTTTTTTTTTTTGGTGGAGTCTTCCTTTGTCGCCCAGGCTGGAGTGCAGTGGCGCGATCTCGGCTCACTGCAACTTCTGCCTCCTGGGTTCAAGTGATTCTCCTGCCTCAGCCTCCCTAGTAGCTGGGATTACAGGTGGCTGCCACCATGCCCGGCTCATTTTTTTTTGTATTTTTAGTAGAGATGGTGCTTTGCCATGTTGGCCAGGCTGGTCTTGAACTCCTTGAGCTCAGGTGATCCACCCGCCTCGGCCTCCCAAAGTGCTGTGATTACAGGCACGAGCCACCGCGCCTGACCCAAGTATCCCCACATTCTAAAGAGAAGTGTTAGAGATTCACTATTTGCTAAGGATTGGCTACTGGGCAGCCAGACTGGCACAGCTACCATTGCCCGCAACAGCTTACTTCACAGAAGGCTATTTGTGGAAGGACACATGACTGTGATGACGGAATCTCCAAGGGACTTCCCCTGCCATCATCAAGCCTAGAGCCATCCTTGACGGATGCTCTCTGAGTTGTGGAGTCACAGCTCCATGGAACTGGAGTAGTTTGGTGAGAGAATTATTGGGAGGGTTTTCTTCTTTAAATAGTTTAAATAACGTGGTGGGAGTGCTTTCCTGGAGTTTGGGAGCATGCGTGACTCCAGAGACCAGTGCTTACTGGTCACCTCGATAATTTTAAAGACAAGGAGAGGCTGACTGAAGTTTCCTCTGGCAGCTGAGGGCAGCTATGAGGGAAAGCCGCATTTAGAGGACAGGGCATCAAGGGCTAAATGGATGCCAGGCAGGTGGCAAGCCTCAAGTCTGCTTGAAAGATCTTTGTCTTCCTGAGTGAGGAGGCCTTGGCAGGAAGAGGCCATGGGGTGTACTGCCAGAGGATAGAGTTGGGTGGGGGTGGTGATGAGATAACACCTGGAAGGTGATTTAAGTGCATTGCTCATGTCAGGAAAGGGTGCAATTTGGAGATCTCTGCAGCTTTGTGTGTGGCTTTTGTTCATCAACGCTGTCAATGAACACCTGCCACATTAAAGGGCCCAGGCAACTATTGTTGGCCAAAGGAGAACCACCAACATGACCTAAGTGAAAATTCCTTTGCTCCTTTCTCCTCTGATACCTCCTTTCCCTTCCTCTGCATCAGATGATCCTGCAGTAAGAAGGGAAGAAAATTGGAAAGAGCAAGATCATTCCATCTTTCTCCACTGCTGTCCTGAGTGTGGGTCAGGCCTGAACTGGAGGAAGGAAAAGAGCCTTGAAATGATGGTAGGATTTTGGTTAGACTGAACTGGACATTTTAACATCTAAGAACATGACTTTTCTAATATCTGAAAGTGGCAGCATCTGCTTGGGTTAGTATTCTCTACTAAAAATACAAAAACTAGCCGGGCATGGTGGCGCATGCCTGTAATCCCAGCTACTCAGGAGGCTGAGGCAGGAGAATTGCTTGAACCTGAGGGGTGGAGGTTGCAGTGAGCCAAGACAGAGCCACTGCACTCCAGCCTGGGCTACAGAGTGAGACTCTGTCTCAAAAACAAACAAACAAACAAACAAACAAAAACTCTGCTCCCCAAATGCTGGGGGAGACTGATTTTAGTAATAATAAAATTCCTGTCTCCACACAGCCCACTCTGTGTGAATTACTCTTTCTCTATTGCAATTCCGCTGTCTTGATAAATCAGCTCTGTCTAGGCAGTGGGCAAGGTGATTACAAGATTTCAATAAAGGAAGTGATTAGGGGCAGGGGCTCTGGGTTGGTTGCATATGGAAGGCATGCTTTCAGGGAAGTTCTTTATTATCTCTAGATATGGCAAAATCTGGGAGGGGCACTCCCATCCCAGGTCAGCAAGGCCTAGATGCCAAAGCATCAAATACAGAAATGAGAGAATATGGTTATTACAGGAATGTTTGAAGGCAGTAGGAAAGGAATAAAAAGAGCTGTTCTCTGATGTTACCTAATTAGGTTCATCCTCTGTACTCTTTAAGAGTAACCCTGGCAGATCCCAACCCTTTCCTGCCACTTTCAGGTGTTAGAAAATCATGTTCCTGGATGCTAAAATGTCCAGTTTAGTCTAACCCCAAACCTAACTGATCATCATTTCAAGGTTTTGTCTCTTCCTCCAGTTCAGTTTAGTAAAATGATTAATTCATATGGTGGGCCAGAGTTGGGGAGGGAAGACAGACTTTAATTTTTCCTTTTATAAAATATATATACATATTTTTACCATGTTTATGCATTCCTTTTATAGACAACATGTACCATTTCAAAAAATCTCTTACAAAAGAAACATAAAAAATAGTTTTTAGAATCTATATTTTTGAATTTCCCATTACAAAAAAACTCTATAAAAATGCTACTGGTTGTATTTGATAAAAATTTTGCACTTGATTTTCCACTATTTAATTTAGTATTGATCAAACTCTTTGAAGGTGACAAAGAGTGTTTTTCTTTCTTTCCATTTTCAGCTACTGCCTTCTTAAGCAGATTTTCAATGACCTAAGTTCCACTGGAAGTAGACCTAACATAACTAGGATGAACAGGAAACCTCTGAATGTGAAAGTGAACACTATTAATACTTACATGAAGGCAACAGGCATGAACTGGAACAACCTTGGCCATGCTGGGACGTATGTTCACCCTAAGCAAAGGTCTTCTTCATTGGATTCTGTTTGCTTTATGGATAAACTTCAAACTCTTTAGAAAAGCACACAGCCCTGTATAATTTGGCCCTAGCCTCTCTCATGCTACTCCATGCTTCCATTTTATGCTTGGGCAGAGTGTAACTGCTTGTAGAGCTATCCCTGACCCACCGGCAAGCTATGCTTAACCCTCTGCTTGTTTCTGGAAGTTGGCCCATTCTGCACCCCACCTGATTGACCTCTCTCTTCACAGGAATGATGCTTATCCCTACTCAACAATTTTGTTAATTTCCTGCAGAAGAGCCTTGAGGGGGCAGCCTGTGCTACCATGTGCTTATTTGTTTATTCATTTATTTACTTTGAGATAGGGTCTTACTCTGTTGCCCAGGCTGGAGTACAGTGGTTTGATCATGGCTCACTGCAGCCTCAAGGTGCTGGGTTCAAGATATCCTCCCATCTCAGCCACCCAAGTAACTGGGGCTATAGGCACCACCATGCCCAAATAATTTTTGTATTTTTCATAGAGATGGGTTTCACTATGTTGCCCAAGCTGGTCTCGAACTCCTGGGCTCAAGCAATCTGCTCACCTTGGCCTCCCAAAGTGCTGGGGTTACAGGTGTGAGCCACCGCACCCAGCTTATGTGCTTATTTTTATTATTCTCTGCCACATTGTTTATACTTGTCTTAGTAACTTACTTACTTAGGTCTTGGTCCCTCCACTAGAGTCTGAACTCCTCTGTGGTGACAGCTGCCTCAGTCTGTTTTTAATCATTGGCCCTGACATTTAAATATTTGTTGAATGAATGAGTGAATTAATGAATAACACACTTCAAATCCATTTTCTTAAAAAGCCTACAGTCTTTAGAAGGCAGAATGACTTATTCTTGGACAGAAATTCATGGATGTATCTATCTAGAACACCCATGAATTTGATCTTGATATCATTAATGTAAAACTTGCTTATCAGATTAAATGATTACTTTGCGAGGATGGATATTAAATGCATTGAGATTTTAGATCTGTTTTGAAGATCAGTTCTTTCTTTTATATATTTGTATTCTTTACTGATTTAACTTTTTATGAAACTCCGTCAGACAGGATGACTCAGGGCCGGAGCTCTGAGTTTTAATTTATTATTTTTTCCCTGACATCCTGCAGTTTGAAGTATAGTCCGCTACCCAGATAACTGTAGATAAATATGAAGACTTACCTGGATTTAAAAGAACTAAGATGATCTGTAACGGCTTATGGAAGATGTAAACACAAGAAAGGGACTATCATAAGGATGGTGGAAATGTTTTTTTTGGTTTAGAGTACAGGATGTTGCTACATAGCCTGGCCTCTGTTTTTATGACTCAAAGAGAACTCAGAACTCTTTGATCTCAATAGAGCACATAGTATCTGGAAGAGGAAATAATCTAAATATCCATTAGTAAGGCACTAGTCAAATAAATTATAGTAAATCCATACAGTGGAATATTAGGCAGCCATTAAAGTCACTGAGGCAGCCGCTGAAGTCAATTTCTTTTTTGTTTTTTTTTTTTGAGACAGAGTCTTGTTCTGTTGCCCAGGCTGGAGTGCAATGGTGCAATCTCGGATCACTGCAACCTCTGCCTCCCGGGTTCAAGCGATTCTCCTGCCTCAGACTCCTGAGTAGCTGGATTATAGGCACACACCACCACACCTGGCTAATTTTTGTATTTTTAGTTGAGATGGAATTTCACCATGTTGGCCAGGCTGGTCTCGAACTCCTGACCTCAGGTTATGTGCCCGCCTCGGCCTTCCAAAGTGCTGGGATTACAGGCATAAGCCACTGTGCCCGGCCTGAAGTCAATCTAAGTGTGGTCAGCACTTAGATGTATAAGTACGTGTATAGGATGTATAAGATGTATACTTAAATGAGGGCAACAGGCTTATACAACATTTAGATGTATAAGTGCTGACAACATTCCATATATTAAGTGGAAAATATAGAATAATACATAAAGAATAATACCATTTTTGTTAAATATATGCTAATGTGACAAGATACAAACATTAAACTATTCAAATTTTTTGTAACTTTTAGTTTTGAGATAATTGTAGATTTTCATGCAGTTGTAAGAAATAATACAGAGATTCCATATGCCCTGCACACAGTTTCCCCAGTCTTCTACACTATTGTACAGTATCACAACCGTGAAATTGACATTAATATACTTCATCAACCTTAATAAGATGAAGCTATTTTTAATTAATTTTTATTTTTATGAAAATTAAAATTACCAAAGTGCAGTGGTGTGCACCTGTGGTCTCAGCTATCTGTGAAGCTGAGGAAGGAGGATCGTTTGAACTCAGGAGGTCGAGGTTGCAGTGAGCTGTGATTGTGCCACTGCATTCCAGCCTGGGCAACAGAGCAAGACTCTATCTCAGAAAACATTTATACATGTACATAGTTTAAAAATTAGTGATGAAGACTTATTACTACTAAGTATGAACATACTAATGTCCCAATTGTCTATTGCTGCATGGCAAACCACCCTGATATGCACTGGGTGAAACCAACAACAATTTTATTATACCTCATGATTTTACAGATCAGGAATTCAGGCAGGGCTTGGCTGAGTGACTTCTCTGTTCCACATGGCATTGACACGGTACGTTTCAGCTGGTGGCTGGCCTGGTCTGGTGGGTCCAAGGTAGCTTTGTTCACATGCCTGCTGTCTTGGTGAGGTGGCCAGAAGTTTGGGCTGAGCTAGTTCTTTCTCTCTTTTTCTGCAGTCTCAGGGCCTCTCCATGTGTTTTCTCGAGCAATGTGTTTGGTCTTCTGGAATTATGATTCATGGATTCAAGAGACCACGGTAGAAGCTTCTAATCCTCTTAAAAAGCAAGACTGATCATGGGAAACTGTCCTGTCCACTAGTACATTATTTGTAAGTAGTAGAGGCCAGCCCAAATTCTTAGGGAGGGAAGATGAGCTCCATCCCTCCATGTGAAGGGTGTCATTTGTGGCCATCTTTAATCTTCCACAGCTTAAATGAAAAACAGAAGCCCTCACTCATCCTTCACTTCTCCTGATGCCTGTTCCCCTGAGGCAACCACTTTCAGCTGTCCAACTGCTTATGTTGGTGTTTAACGCCATGTTTTTGAACAACATGGCTATGCTGCCATTTCCCTGGATTTATCAATTTCAGACACTGGCTTCTTTTCAGAGTAGATGGCGTCTTACCTCAATCTTTCTCCTTCTCTCTAATCTCTCTCTCTGTATGTCTCTTTCTTGCCCCCTTACACACACACATACACACACACACACACACACTCTCACGTAGACACACACACAGATACACACATACACAGGCACACACACTTTCCCTTCTCTGATTACCGCAAATACAGCAATGTCATAATTTGGACAATATTATGTAATCTACTAATTCTATTTCCTCCTGGAGACCAAACCTCTCTTCCAGAGCTTTCTGCCCTCCTGCTGCAGTCTAGACTGGGTTCTCTAGGCCTGTGGCTGTCAGCTGTCATGCCGGGCCTTCTCTTCATTCTTATTCTGGGAAGTCTCTTTGTCTCTTTCCTGGGTTGGGGCCCCTGTTTGTCTGAATCCCTTATTTTCTCTTTTTTGGTTAACTACCTTGTTTTACTGTAGATAATCTATTTTGGCCCCCAAACTCATCTTGGGTTTGTCTCCTTCCTTCCTTCCTTTCTTCCTTCCTTCCCTCCTCCTCCTCCTGCTTTTCTTTCTTTTTTCTCTTTCTTTCTTTCTCTTTCTTTCTTTCTTTCTTTCTTTCTTTCTTTCTTTCTTTCTTTCTTTCTTTCTTTCTTCTTTCTCTCTTTGTCTTCCCTTCTTTCTTTTCTTCCTTCCTTTCCCTTCCTTCCTTCCTTCCTTCCTTCCTTCCTTCCTTCCTTCCTTCCTCCTTCCTTCAAGCTTTCTTTCTTTTTCTTTCTTCTTTCTCTCTCTCTGGAAGTCATTTGTCCTGTTGGGCATAGGAGGACGGTAGTAGTGAATGTTTGGGCAACCTTCTTTAGCATGGAAAGCAAACCTCTCCCTTCTCTTTCAGAAATGGGAGATCTGGAAATACTGTTTCTGGAGAAAGCTCTTCCTGACCTTGAGGAAAGGAATCAATGCTCTGGGGTCCAGGTTTAATGGATTATCATTCCTGTTAGCCATTAATAGCTACTGTGTCAGAAAAAGAGAAAATAGAATTTTTCTTCAGTGGCAACAGGAGAAAGGGGACGTAGGTTAAATTGGCTGAGGAAGGGGGGAGAAGTGTATGTGTGGAAGTGAACACAAGGGCTAGCAGGGAGGTCACTGCCAGAGAAGTTCCATGCCCCACCCTGATGGTCCTGGTCTGTATTGGGAGCTTCGGTGCTGGCCTTAAGCGTACTGCAGGTGAACGACAGCCACTGTGGGTGCCCAGCTGAGTCCTCTTTCCTTTACTCCGCAGCAATCAGAGGAAGCTACTCTCTGATTTGTAACCTACTTCTGTCTCCAGGACAACCATAAGACCAAAGGACTCCTTGGACACCTAGTCAGGAGGGTGGTGAGTTGAACTGAGCAAGCTTGAGCATCTCAAACTGAAGTGGACACTTGCGCTTTATACAGAGTAAGGCCCAAATTGAATTAACCTGGAGTGAGTCTGCAACAAGCCTAGCGTCTGCATTTCTATAACTGATCTCAGCTAACACTGGAGCTACTTAAATTCCCAATGATTTTAGAAAACTATTTTTTTTAAAGTGTGTGATTTGAAGGTAAATGAACCTATTCCAATTTAACTGCTTTATTTTTGTGGTTGCATATATAATCATATTTAAGCAATTTAAAATCCAAACTCCCTTTTGGAGCTGTTTTATTTTCTGAAGGGTCTTCCTTCCTTTTTCTTATGCCCAAGATGGTGTCTGGGTGCAGAAGGAAGCTTATTTACCTTCCGGCTTTGGGGAAGGGCTCCTTACCCAAGTGATGTGGTTCTCTCGTTTCCCTGTTGATCACCAGCTGAGATATGTACTCACCTCACTTGACTTCTATCCTCACTGTGTCTGCTGATAAAATGTCAGTTTTGTCCTCCATTAGCTTTCTGGCCTGCCTGTGTAACCCAAGGCCTTCAGTGTCATCTCACCTCTCTCTGTAGTGACCCAAAGGCAAGTTCATAGATTCCTGACTCTTGGCTAGCTTCTATGACTTTTTCTAGGAACAAGTAGGAGCTTCTGGCTCTTTTCTATACTGCAAGGGAAAGTGTAGTAAACTTGAGGATGGCTAATACAGTCCCCTCTAACAACTCATGCTTCTTTCTCCTCCACTGCAAACACACATGCTGGTTTAGGCCAGCAGGCACTATGTGTGGTGTGGTGGTCTGCCCTCTGTCCCAGACAGGAATTGCAGTGCCTGAGGGCCTTTTTCCACCCAGGGCACAACTCGCCAGTTTGAAGTTTCTAGCTTATCTATCTTCTCTGCCTCATTTCTGGCTCCACATTCAACCCCTCCACTGGCTAAATCTTAGGGGTCCAGAGTGGGACCACTGAGATCCTAAAGAATCCAGGCAGGGCGTGCACTTTGCTCCCTGCTAAGCTCTCCTGCTGCTCAGGAGGGGTGTGTGCCCTCTCCTCAATCTGGTAGATACTTCTTTCATCATTGGTTTTGAAATCCTCCACTGATGACTTTGTTGTTCTGGGTGTTTCCTCTGTCCTCTCCTCTCATATCTTAATGGTGGATAGGGTTTTAGGGATTAAAAAATCTCTGGATTACTGAAAGGAAAAATGTTTAGAGAGGCATTTAAGATGATTTTTCTTATTATCACTTTTAAACCCACACTGAAGGTCTAGGTCCTATACCTGTTCTGTTGGAATCTTGGCCAATCTCACAGTTTTTCTGGTCATTCTTAGAATAGTTATAATGGCCTTTGTTTAAAAAACAATTTCATATGAAAACTAAAATATGCAGGTCAGCATAATAATCAAACCCTTATACTCTTACCTAAATGTCATTACGTAGGTTTCCCCCAAACATCACCTCCTCAGGGAGGCTTTCTCTGACCATTAAATGTAGCCTCATGGAAGTTCTAGGCAACCTTTGCCATTTCCTGTTGTAACACCTTGATTTAGTTCACTTAACATATACATATTGGGGGCTTACTACGTGGCATCCAGAATTATTCTAGGCACTAGGAATATCACAATAAATAAGACAGAGCCGGTCCTTTACCTAGTGGAAGGACACAAGCACTAGACAAACAATTAAATGAGCAAGAAAAATATCATTTAGCAGCATGTGCTATGCAGATAATTTTGTTTTTTGAGACAGAGTCTCACTGTGTCACCCAGGCTGGAGTGCAGTGGTGCAATCTCGGCTCACTGCAACCTCCGCCTCCCAGTTTCAAGTGCTTCTCCTGCCTCAGCCTCCCAAGTAGCTGGGACTACAGGCACCTGCCACCACACCAGGCTAATTTTTTTTTTTGTATTTTTAGTAGAGATGGGGTTTCACTATGTTGGCTAGGCTGGTCTTGAACTCCTGACCTCGTGATCCACCCACCTTGGCCTCCCAAAGTGCTGGGATTACAGGTGTAAGCCACCACGCTCAGCCTATGCAGAGAATTTAAACAGAGTGGTATGATAGGGTGACTCAGTGGCTAGTTTAGATTGTAGGGTCAAATAAGATCTCTCCAAGGAGAGACCTGAAATCAGGACAACCACCTTCAACTTGTTGCATACTGTGTGATCGACAGAGGCAAAATCTTGTAGGATTGTACACCATGCAGCATAATTTCTGGATGAGAGTTCATGAGCATAACCAGAGAATAGTCTTTGGAGTATTCTGCAACAACCTGGTGAAATGACGAGTGATCTCACGCGTGGTCAGAGGTAATGCCATTATTTTGCCTCAACCAATTCATGGTTCAGTAGAGTATTAAGCTCCCATGATCCTTCTATATTTTGATTGAAAAAGACCTGAAATTCTGGGCTGATTAAAAAAATGAGTGGTTATACCACCTAACCAAGTCCAAGGAGTTTTGCAATTCATAATGTAATTGTTGGATATTTAAAATGATACTGGATCTGAGAAATAGGGGGACAATGTGGAGAAAGTGGTGAACTCAGAATCCCTTCTGCCTAATGAATATTGAGCCCAAGTATATTTGGAATCTAGCACTTGGTGGAGGTGTGTGGGAGGGGAAGGAAGGAGTTAGAAAACAGTCTACTATTTTTTTTTTTTTTGAAACAGGGTCTCTCTCTGTCACCTAGCTGGAGTGCAAGTGGCACGATCTTGGCTCACTGCAACCTCTGCCTCTAGGGTTCAAGCAATCCTCCAACCTCAGCCGCCTGAGTAGCTGAGACTACAGGCATGCATGAACATGCCAGGCTAATTTTTATATTTTTTTGGTAGAGATGGGTTTCACCATGTTGCCCAGGCTGGGACAATCTACTATTTTATAGATTTTCCGTAGACATACACAGGAGTGGAAGATAGGCATGTTAGACTGCCCTGGGGCTTCATCTCCTGCAGCAACCCTAACTGATAGATTTGGAACACCTAGAAAGACTCTTTAATGTGGAACAGCTTTGAGATTAGGACATATCTGTCAAATAAAAGATTAAGGGATATATGCAGACAGTATACACCTTCAGCTTCTTGGAAATGTATTTTCTCTGATTGGTTCTCTAAGAAAGCATACATATATAAAGAAAAGATTTTGATTTAACTTGGGTATATAGTGTATAGTCAACTGTTAAACTGAGGAAGTTTAAACACCATTATCATAAAAAATTATATATATATATACATATACATATATATATATATATATATAAAATGTGTGTGTGTGTATTTGACTGCCAGAGCAATGAATATTCCTTATAGAAAAAATCTGCACAGTTATGTTTCCACTGGTACACAAAAATAGCCTTGAGCATGACTGAGATGCCTTCTGACTCCAGCCCTAGGTGAGTCTTCCCCTAGTTCCCCTGGCTAGATGGTGGCCAAGGTAAAGTGTTCATACTGGTGCATTGGATGGTTATCTTTCCAGGATGCTCCTATAAGGCACTATTTAAAAAGGCACTGATATAGTTTGGATATTTGTCTGTGCCCAAATCTCATGCTGAATTGTAATTCCCAATTGTATTAGTCCATTTTCGTACTGCTATGAAGAAATATCTGAGACTGGGTATAAAGAAAAAGAGGTTGAACGGACTCATGGTTCCACATGGTTGGGGAAGTCTCACAATCATGGCCGAAGGCAAAGGAGGAGCAAAAGCACATCTTACATGGTGGCAGGCAAGAGAGCATGTGCAGGGGAACTGCCCTTTATAAAACCATCAGATCTCATAAGCCTTATGAACTATCACGAGAATAGCAAGGGAAAAACCTGCCCCCATGATTCGATTACCTCCCACCAGGTCCTGCCCACGACACGTGGGGATTATGAGGGCTACAGTTCAAGATGAGATTTTGGTGGGGACAGACCCAAACCATATCATTCCACCCTGGGACCCTCCAAAATCTCATGTCCTCAAATTTTAAAACCGATTATGTCTTTTCAACAGTTCCCCAAAGTCTTAACTCATTTCAGCATTAACTCAAAAGTCCACAGTCCAAAGTCTCATCTGAGAAAAGGCAAGTCCCTTCTGCCTAAGAGCCTGTAAAATCAAAAGCAAGTTAGTTACTTCCTAGATACAGTGGGGTACAGGCATTGGGTAAATACACTCGTTCCAAACAGGAGAAATTGGCAAAAACAAAGGGGCTAAGTCCGAAATCCAGTGGGGCAGTCAAATCTTAAAGCTCCAAATGATCTCCTTTGACTTCATGTCTCACATCCAGGCCATGCTGATGCAAGAGGTGGATTCCCATGGTCTCAGGCAGCTCTGCCACTGTGGCTTTGCAGAGTATAGCCCCTCTCCTGGCTGCTGGCATTGAATGTCTGCAGCTTTTCCAGGTGCACAGTGCAAGCTGTTGGTGGATCTACCATTCTGGGGACTGGAGGCTAGTTGCCCTCTTCTCACAGCTCCACTAGACAGTGCTCCAGTGAGGACTCTGTGTGGGGGCTCCCACCCCACATTTCCCTTCCCCACTGACCTAGCAGAGGTTCTCCATGAGGGCTCTGCCCCAGCAGCACACCTCTGCCAGAACATCCAGGAGTTCCCTACATCCTCTGAGATCTAGGTGGAGGTTCTCAAACCTCAATTCTTGACCTGTGCTCACCTGCAGGCCTGACACCATGTGTAAGCTGTCAAGGCTTGGGGCTTGCACCCTCTGAAGCAATGACTTGAACTGTACGTTGGCCCCTTTTATCCACAGCTGGGACACAGGGCATCAAGTCCCAAGACTGCACAAAACAGCAAGGCCCTAAGCCCAGCACAGAGAACTATTTTTTCCTCCTAGGCCTCCCTGCTTGTATTGGGAGGGGCTGCCGTGAAGACCTCAGACATGCCTGGGAGACATTTTCCCCATTGTCCTGTAATTAACATTTGGGTCCTTGATACTTATGTAAATTTCTGCAGCAGGCTTGAATTTCTCCTCAGAAAATGGGTTTTTCTTTTCTATTGCATCATTAGGCTGCAAATTTTCCAAGCTTTTATCCTCTGCTTCCCTTTTAAACACAAGTTCCAATTCCACACCTTATCTTTGTGAATACATAAAACTGAATGCATTTAGTAACACCCAAGTCACCTCTGGAACACTTTGTTGCTTAGAAATTTCTTCCACCAGATACCCTAAATCATCTCTCTCAAGTTGAAAGTTCCACAGATCTCTAGGGCAGGGGCAAAATACTGCCAGTCTCTTTGCCAAAACATAGCAAGAGTCAACTTTGCTCCAGTTCCCAACAATCCTCATCTCCATCTGAGACCACCTCAGCCAGGACCTTATAGTCCATTTCACTATCAGCATTTTGGTCGAAGCCATTCAACAAATCTCTAGGAAGTTCCAAACTTTCCCACACCTTCTTGTCTTCTGAGCCCTCCAAGTCTCTAGGAAGTTCCAAACTTGCCCACATTTTTCTGTCTTCTTCTGAGCCCTCCAAACTGTTCCAACCTCTGCCTGTTACTCAGCTCCAAAGTCGCTTCCACATTTTCAGGTATTCTTATAGCAGTACCCCACTCTACCAGTACCAATTTATTGTATTAGTTCATTTTCATACTGCTATGAAGAAAAACCTGAGACTGGATAATTTATAAAGAAAAAGAGGTTTAATGGACTCAGAGTTCCACATGGCTGAGGAGGACTCACAATCATGGCAGAAGGCAAAGGAGGAACAAAGGCACATCTTACATGGTGGCAGGCAAGAGAGCATGTGCAAGGGAGCTGCCCTTTATAAAACCATCAGATCTCATGAGACTTATTCACTGTCATGAGAATAGCCTGGGAAAAACCTGACCCCATGATTCAATTACCTCCCACCAGGTCCTTCCCACGACAAGTGGGGATTATGGGAGCTACAGTTCAAGATGAGATTTGGGTGGGGACACAGTCAAACCATATCACCAATGTTGGAAGTGAGACCTGGTGAGAGGTGTTTGGTACATGGAGGCAGATCCCTCATGGCTTGGTGCTGTTTTCATGATAGTGAGTTATCACAAAATCTGATTGTTTAAAAGTATTGGAGATGAGTGAAGAGAGCTTCCCCCCACGTCTCTCCCTTGCCCCTGCTTTTGCCACGTGACATGCCTGCTCCCCCACCACCTTCCACCCTGATTGTAAGCTTCCCAAGGCCTCCCTAGAAGCTGAGCAGATGCCAGCACCATGTCATCTCCCATAAAGCCTGCAGAACCAGGAGGCAATTAAACCTCTTTTCTTTATAAATTACCCAGTCTCAGGTATTTTTATAGTGATGTGAGAACGGCCTAATACAGGCACTTTTCTTTGTATGGCACAAATAGGCCTTTGTCCTTAAGCCTAACATACAGACAGAGGACATGGAACTCATAGGAAATCCTATGCCTGAAGACACAGGCACTTTTGATCATCAGTGAAGACCTTCTTCCTTTCCAAGACTGCCATTTCCTCCCCCTCTCACCTTCTCTGGGAACTTCATCTATCAAATATCTTTTTATTTTCATCCCTACACAATTTTTTCCTTTCACTGGCGTCAATTCTTCTGTCCTAAAAACGCTGAGGTTGTATTTTTCTTGAATATACATACACCTTTCCTTTGCCCCTGCTGTTTCCTCTGGCTGCTGCCCGAGTTCCCAAGTGTTCTCACAGTCACACTCCTTGGACGAGCAGCCTGTGTGTGCTGCCTGCACTTTCCCGCCCACCCTGACTTAATCTTGTTACCTCTCTTACTGGTTTGCAGCTTCATAAATGACTCAAATTTTCACGTGACAGCTATTTGAGAGGGGCATGTTCTGTAAAGGGCAATTGCAGCTGCTTTCTGCCATGAGTAACATTTGGAGACACAGAAACACCTAACAGTCATACCCCCTGAGAGTCTGAAATGGAGTTCCTACAGGGGTCGACGTGACTATCCCACAGAAAAGCCATGCTCTTTGACAGCAGCTGGGACTGCAGCTGTGGGGGAGGAAGCTTGGATTGTCAATTAGGAGAGATTTTAGTATATTATATTAAGATGGCCCAGTAAAGAAAGTGAAAGTAGTTTTAAATAGGAGCCCAAATTTAGTATGCTGAAGAATCTAACATGATCAATGTCTGGAATTTGTCATTTATGTTCAGCAGTGAAATAGAAATGTGTGTCTTTGCCCAGATTCTTCCTGAAGCTGAGCTTGAACCAAGGATTTGGGTGTAAGTGGTTTGTTAAGGCACAGCTTCCAGAGGAAATTAGTAAGGGAGTGGAAGAAGTAGGCTGCGGGAAGGAAAGAGAGAAACTAAGTAAAGTTGAGATGTCAGGTGAAGTCCCAGACTCAGCCTGATCTCCAGGGTGCAAGGTGTTTACCCCACCTTGAGATACAAGAGCTGGTGTAAGTCCACACCAGTAAGTCATTGGCTATAGGTCGTGGTGGGGGTGGAGGAGGATATACAATTCCAAGGCAGTTCTTCTTACAGTCTAGGCGGGCTCCAGTGTCCAAGGGTGAGCCACCGATTGTTGCAGGTGTAAATATTAAGCAGTAGAAACACTGCTGAGCCCAGGAGTTCGAGACCAGCCTGGGTAACATAGCAAGACCCCCCTCTCTACTAAAAACAAAAAGTAAAAAAATAAAAGAAAGTCAGGTGTGGTGGCATGCACCTGTACTCCCAGCTACTCAGGAGGCTGGGGTAGGAGGATTTCTAGAGCCCAGGAGGTCGAGGCTGTAGTGAGCTGTGATCATACCACTGCACTCCAGCCTGGGCGAAAGAGCGAGACACTGTTTCAAAAACAAACAAAATCCAACAAAAAAACCCCAAAACTTTGAAGCTGGAGATGAGTGAAGAGAGCTGGTAAAATGGATGCAAGGGGGTCCGGTCTGGTCTTTGACAGTGTCTGCTTACGTGTCCCTAACGGTGTATGCTCCTCCATCGTGATGGTTCCAGTGTAAAGTGGAGCAATTTCATGGCATCTGGAGCTGTTGAACTCTTCAATGATGGATCAACCCAGGACTAGTTTGGCCATTCTGGAGACATCCTGGCTGTAACTGGTGATATTAACTATGCACAAACCTTATGATCCAGCAGCAGTCCTGCTTACATCTCCCAGAGAAATCATGCAAATCCCCCTGGAGACTTGACAATGATGTACGGCACTGTCTTGTTTAGGGTAGCAAAGGACTGGATAAGTCAGATATATATCCCCATATGTATTAGTCCGTTTTCAAGCTGCTGATGAAGACATACCCGAGACTGGGCAATTTACAAAAGAAAGAGGTTTATTGGACTTACAGTTTTATGTGTCTGGGAAGGCCTCACAATCATGGCAGAAGGTGAAAGGCATGTCTCACATGGCGGCAGACAAGAGAAGAGAGCTTGTGGAGGGAAACTCCCCTTTTAAAAACCATCAGATCTCATGAGACTTATGCACTATCACAAGAATAGCATGGGAAAGACCTGCCCCCATGATTCAATCATCTCCCATTGGGTCTATCCCGCAGCATGTGGGAATTATGGGAGCTACAAGATGAGATATGGGTGAGGACACAGAGCCAAACCATATCACCATATATAGGGTTTCCCTCCATATATACATGGATTGTTCATTAATTATTGTTCTGTAAGAGTTTTAAAGACATTATTGACATATTTGATATATTCTTTTTATAATTTGAAAGGGAAAATTATTTTTAAAAACTAATAACAATTGATGAATGAACTGAGCTAACTATGTCAAAAAGGAGCTGAAATAAGGAGTAGCAAGATATATAGACAAGTCTCCTTTCTTTTTTTTTTTTTTTTTTGAGACAGAGTCTTGCTCTGTCACCCAGGCTGGCATGCAGTGGAGTGATCTTGGCTCACTGCAACCTCCGCCTCCTGGGTTCAACCAATTCTCCTGCCTCAGCCTCCCGAGTAACTGGGATTACAGGCACCTACCACCATGCTTAGCTAACTTTTGTAATATTAGTGGAGATGGGGTTTAGCAATGTTGGCCAGGCTGGTCTTGAACTCTTGACCTCAGGTGATCCGCCCACCTTGGCTTCCCAAAGTGTTGGGATTACAGGTGTGAGCCACTGCGTCTGGCCAATTCTCCTTTCTTTGGGAAATCACCCTTCTACCCCCAGCTCCAGGGGTTGGCCCTGCTTGCTAGATCTAAGTTGTTCAGCAGAATTCCATTTGTCCCAATGGAATTTTGACTGAGAGTGAGGGAGAGTAATCCAGGCCTACCCCTATCAGGTTTCATAACATAGAGAAAAAGTTGGACCTATGACATTAATTTTTCATTAGGCACAAATGTATTCCCTTTACTTGCTCACACTTAGATGTTCTCATTTTAGGATATTTTAAAAGCACAAGCACTTAATTGAAGTTAACACTAAAAGTCATACTTTGAGAGAAATAGAGAGCTATAGTTCATGGAGAAATGGCATTATTCTGAAAAAAGCATGCACAAATGGAGTGAGTAAGAGGACGAGTGGGGTGGCTCACGCCTGTAATCCCAGCCCGTTGGGAGGCTGAGGTGGGTGGATTCCTTGAGCCCAGGAGTTTGAGACCTCCCTGGGCAACATGGTGAAACCCTGTCTCTACTAAAAATACAAAAAGTAGCGAGGTATGGTGACATGTGTCTGTAGTGCCAGCTACTGGGGAAGCTGAGATGGGAGGATTGCTTGAGCCCAGGAGGTCAAGGTTGCAGTGAACCAAGGTTGCACCACTCCACTCCAACCTGTGCAATAGAGTGAGATCCTGTCTCAAAACAGAACAAAACAAACCACCCACCCTGCAAAAAAAAAAAAAAGAAAAAAATGGAGTGAGTCAGAGCTGTGCTCTGTGTGCTCTGGAGGTGCCTTGGGCCTGTGATTTGGCTGACAATGTGGTAGTATGCAGACCGCGCAGGGTCATTACTCCCACCTGGGACAAATCTATCACACAACATCAAGTATACAGTTGTATCTACCTTCATAGAATCAAATTCAAGTAAAAGATGATCAGTTCCATTTAGATAAACTAGATAAAGGGCCTGTGGTTTAGGACTAAAAGGGAAAAATTTGTGGAATTCTCTATATTCCTCTAGGAAGATTCCATGACTCTTCGGATTCTAACTAGGGTTGGCATTGCTGTTCCTAATTTATTACCACCCCCAAAGAAATACAGCTGGTAGAATCTACTGAATAATATTGATGCTAAAAGCTTGGGAAAGTAGGAGTTACAATGAGTTCTGGCTTCATCAAATCAAAAGTGAACTATTCTAGCATGCCTCATAGGGAAAGCCCAGTTTTGCAGTTACAATGCTATTTTCAGTCTTTGATTCTTTCCTGATTCTAGGAACCCAAGTCTGTCCCCTTTCAGTTTTAAAAACAAAAAAGTCAAAATACATCAGTGCTGACCAAATATAGACCTTGGTTTGTCTTTGTTACTATTTAGAGAAAAGTATGGCAGAAACTTCTTCAAATGTAGGATTATTAAAAAAAAAAACAAAAAACCACTGGGTTTTAATTGTGAAGACCCCATTGGAATTTCAGAAACATTCAACTGCATATGGTGAACTTGCACTCTGATTTAACTTTGCTTTGAAGTATGGAGTAAAATCAATAAATACAGGGCTGTACTCTATTATTTTACAAATAAAGAAAGAGAAGACTCAGAATCATGAGCTTGCAGTGTTTTGGGAAGGCTGGCAGTACGTTTCCTTTACTCTACACATAAAAGGTTTTCCATGCTATCTCATGGACTAGTGATACTCCTAAGAATAACAATAGAGGTAATAGATTAGTCAAAGATTGACATTTGTCTCAGGTATTTCCTAATTATATCTAGGAATTGTGTTTCATTATTTTGATAATTTTAAATTACTTTTGAATGGAAAATAATATGTATTTACTGACTTTATAAAAACTCACAATGTAGAGACAATACTATATTGCTTATTCTTATGCCATTTTCCTAGAGGTGACATAATGTTCATGCAAAGTAAAATGAGAGTTGTGGAAGCAAAGGCCCTCATACTTGTCTGCTGATGCTCACCAACTGAAGTTAAAAGAATTTTGACTACTCTTTCCTTTGTGCCTTTACCAGCCCCTATGCTGACGTCTGTTGAGTCACCACAAAGCTCGTCACTGCATTTATTTATTTATTCATCTGATTTCCTGTTCCCAGCTATTAGCACAATGTAATATGATGGTTGTTCATGGTATTTGTGTTGAGTGAACAGATAAATCAAGAAGGGGATGGAGGGATGGATGAAATGATGCAGCACAGGGATTTTTAGGGCAGTGAGGCTCTTCTGAATGATACTGTAATGGTGGATATGTGATATTATACATTTGTCCAAAGCCATAGAATGTCAAGCACAGAGTGAACCTTAATGTAAACTATAGTCTTTAGTTAATAATATTGCATCCATATTGGTTCGTTTACTGTAACAAATGTGCCACACTAATACAAGGTGTAAAAAATAGGGGGAAATTGTGTGGAGAAGGGGGGAGAAAGGAGGGCATGTAGGAATTTTCTGTAATTTTAGATCAATTTTTCTGTAAACCTAGAACAGCTCTAAAAAACATAGTCTATTAAGTTAACGACAACAAAATATAACTCAAGATAACTTAGATGAGATGGTCTTAGAATGTGCGTATTGCAAGCAACAGAAAACCAGATTTAACTAGTGTAGGTGAAAAGGTAAATGTGTTGGTTTGTTTACTGAAGCCATGAGAAAGCATCAAGGAGAGCTAGAACTGGGGACTTTGATGCTCTTCTTCATCTTCATGACACTCTAGATTGACTTTCTTCGTAATGCTCAACCACAGCGTCCAGGCACGCCCAGGCTCACAACTTCCCAGTCCTGCTTTAGTAGGAAAATAGCTCTATCTGACTTAGTTCTTACTGAGAAACTCCCAGAGGATGCTGGTCAGCCTCGCCTAACCTAATCACTTATGGGAGAGGAGAGACTGGCTCCAACTGGAATACAGCTGTTTATAAGGCTGGACATGAGTAGGCATGTCAGGAGCCTATTGTGGTTATCCTGGCAAGAGAAGATGGTGCTCAGACTAGGGAGGTAGAGGCAGAGACAGAGAAGTGGTCAGGTTCTGGATATATTCTGAAGATAGGGCTCTCAGGACTTATGGAGATGTTGGCTAAAAGGTGTGAGGAAAAGGAATGAGCAATGACTTCAAAGTTTTTATCCTGAACAACTCCTAAAAAATGGGACTGTCTATAACTGAGCAGAGGAATATTAGGCAGGGTAAGCTGGAAGATATCAGGAGCTTCATTCTGCATATATTATGGTGTACTAGCCATCCAACTGTGGATGTCAAGTAAACAGTTGGATATATATGAATCTTTTCCTCCAGATATCTACCTAATATATTGCTTATTGACTGTAACTGTTTATTGCCTAGAATGCAAGCTCCATGGAATCAGGGACTTTGCCTGTTTTGTTTACTATGTCCCCAATATCTGGAAGAATGCCTGGTGCATAGTAGATGCCCAATTAAACTTACTGAAAAGGTAAATGAAGGAATGAATGACAGAGTTAAATGCTCAGTACAACAAAATAGGTTGGTTGAGAATAGAGGTAGGAAGTACCTGTTTGATAGTAAACTGCTTTCCAGGATATTACTAAGGAGAGGTTTGCAACAGGCATTATGTAACAAACATTTTCTATGGAAAACTACATAAAAATGAAGAGACACTTGCAAGGTTTCTGTAAACTTTTATTTTACACTTATGGGCCACTGCCAACTCAGGGCCTTGGCTTCTGGCTCATTTCTACAAAGTTACTTGTTGAAAAGATGTAGTAAAGGTAGAAATTGGAAATATTCCTGCTAGTAAACCACAGTTACTTACCAGTCCATAAATAAAATGCACGTTGACGCCTTCAGAAATCTATGACTTTCTGAATTTATAAAATGCATTTTTTTCATATGAAAGAAACAAAGCATCTTGAAAAAAAGACAATTGTCTAAACAAAATGGTGTGAACCTATGGCTTATATTATAGGCATATATCACTGCATATGATGCGCCAGTGGAATAATAGATTTGACTGCTAACACACAAAAGGGCAGTACTTCTTAGCCTTGCAATTCAAGCAACTGGAACCTGATGTTATTTTACCTGTCCTAAAATATGGCCCAACAAATTATCTTACCTAATTTATTATCAGCAATCTGTCTGGCGAAGTCTGAAAGAAATATCAGACAACCTGGCAATTTCATCACCACATTGAATTGAGGATAAGAACAATATAATACTTCAAAGTGTAATGACTTTTGCTCCAGCACAGGAAACAATATGACCCCAAATACTGCTTTATCAAACCAACCAACCAAACAAAACCCTATATTGCTAGTCCACAGCTCATCTGCTTTCACGCTGCCTCTTATATCCCATTTGTAATGGTAACATGATTACAAGATTTATGAATGCAGAAGGTTGCTACAGGTTAAAATGGACTGAGGCAGGTTGTCATGATGAACAATCACCTAGATTTTACTCAGACTATGCACTTTGGCACAACTGCGGGGCACAATTATTAGATTAGATTAAATCCATACATACCATCACACACATGCATATATCACACACACAAATATATTCCACAGAGACAGTCTAGAAAAATGGGCTAAAAGAAATTTACAATTGTTTATATATATACACACACACACTAGTAAAAGATTTTCTGCTGTACTCACAGTCTGTAAACATCTGGGAAAATGCCCAGCAAAAGTCACTGTGGGCCCTTTGAAATGGTGACAATGTGGGAGGGAGATGTTGGGGTGGGGAGTTAGGTTCATACTGAAAACCCCAAGAAGTGAAGAATCGTAAGTTCTGGTGGCATTTGTGGGTAATTATTTTTCACTGACATGATAAACTCATCTGGCCACTTCAAAATTATGTTTCCTATATGGAAAAGGGAATGATCAAAAAAGACTTACTGCCAGTTAACATTTTAAGAAAAATTAAGAGAATAGGAGGTGATATGTATATACATATATATGTCACTATTACAAATACCTGAATGAAAATTTCTGAATCATCTGAAAAATTCGATCTTTTTCTCTTAGGTGTGTTTTAGACTTCTATATACAGTGCACTGAAAGTCTCAGGCAGAGTTAAATGACACATACATTAACATTTTGGTACTTGACATTGATTTTTCATACAAAATTTACATGAAAAACAGATTGAACTTGTGAAAAAGAACTATCTGATTGAAGCATTACTTTTGAATTTAACATACAAAACATGTTCAAGGTCCCTTGTAATAAAACACCATTTAAAAAATAAAATACAGTTCTTAAAAAATTCTTTGAGTAACATCTATTAAACTGCCAAATGTGTCATCAGACTGTGCTTTAAGGGCCTGTAGTATTTGTTGTAGCTTTAGAATTTGTGTTTTAAAAAAATAAACAGTGACGTGGAAAATACTAATCTAATTGCTCACCTGAATACTATTTTTGTCTTTTTTTTTTCAAACTATGTGTAAATAAGTTCAAATAATCATGTTAGGCTATTATGCAGTTAAAAAATACTGGCACCAAATGACATTTCAAATAAAAGTGACTTGAGCCCATATTGTGTTTGGCTGAAGGACAAAAAAATCACTTAAAAAAAGTAGAAAATCTTGTCGTTAATCTCTAAAGTTTCATGGTGACCAGTTCCCATTGAACATTCACCAGAACTGCCATAAAAGCTAGCCATGTACTTGAAAGCTCTATTTTCATGCAAAAGTAGTAAATATCCTTCTGGTTTCATTTAACAGTCTTCATTCTCCCCCAGCTCCCACCATTTTTTAGTGCTGAATACAACACGCAGAATATGTAAATTAGATCAATTAAAGAAGTACGATTCGTAGATGTTGTGGGTGGATAAACCAGTCTACCCTTGCGGTTTTGGAAAGCATTTCTTCTTGGGTGTGGGAGTGAATTAAGGAAGAAGGATCAGAGAAGAGATTCCCGGACTCACAGTTGCCTTGTGATTTTTTTCTCCGAGAGGATTATGGGAGTACCGAGGAGTGCTTCTAAGGGTGGTCAGTTCATGCTGTCCTTATGGCTGCTCCGGTCTGTGTTGTGGTTGTTTTGATCGTGGTTCTTCCACTGGATGCTTGTTCCGTTCATGGGGACCGAGGTCATCAGACTTTTGGACTGGTAACAGCAGCAGCAGAGGCATGACTGGGGGAAGGAACAGACTCGAAGTAAGGCGAGCCTACCAGCCCATTCCCGGCCAAACACAGCGGCCCTGGGCCATGCTAATGAGGGGCAAATGTCCATTCGCATTCGAGGGAAGTGAACCTTGACAGTAACCTAGAGTGGAGAGCCTGTTATCACCAGGCAGGAGTTACACTGTCCATTCCAGTGCAGAGAAATAGAACCCTTGTTTCTCATTTTAATTTTATTACCAAGTGCAAGAGAAAGGGAAGGCACTGTAGGTGAGAGGAAGGGCTCTCCACAGCTTGGGGCAGGCACGGGTAGGGCTGGGCTGGTGGGGGGGTCCTAGCGTTTCTTCAGTGTGCACCACCTGTGTGGCTCTCCGCACCAGGTACCTTATCAGATCCTCACAACAGCCTTGGATGTTCTCCCATTTTATGCTATTCCCCCATTTTATGAATGAGGACAGTGAGGTCCAGAGAGGATAATGAGAGTTAGAACTGGAATTAGAACCCAGGACTCTCTAGATTTGGGCTCTTTCTCTTGGATATACTGCCTTTTTAGGAAGATTCATCAAAAAGTGGGGTTAATTTCTGATAATTTTTACCTTGATTTTCCCTCCCCCAATGAATATGTAAATTAATGAGTAAGTAATAATTAATTTCACCTTATATAATGTACTAATTTTAACCTGCATGTTAGTCAATCCATTTTGGGCTGAGTGTTTTGTGACTGGCAAACATTTCCAAGAAGACCTCAGAAATACGGCCCCAAACTTCCATACCGAGTTTCATCTGTTTGTGTGATTCCTTGGTTAATATATGTCTGCCTCTGTTTAGACTGTAAGTTCCATGCAGGTCGTTACTGTGTTTTTCCTCTCTACTCTGTCCCTAATAGTAATCAACTCATATTGAGCACTTATTATTTCAAGCATTTTACATATATTACCCTCCTTATGAGAGAGATACTGTGATCATCCAATTTTATAGGTGAGGAAACTGAAAAAGCAAGAGAGGCACTACCTGGGGTAGATAGTTAGCAAGTGCAGGGCTGTAATGTCCATCGAGGCTCTTTGCTTCCAGAGCCTGCATTCTTGACCTCTACCGCACTCTGCCTCATATGTACCATAAGCTAAAGTTAAACAGCCTGGTCCAAGATAACAAAATCCAGTGAGGATTAAGCCTATGCTAAAATGATTTCAGGAACCAGAAAATTACACATCAATAAGACAGGCTTAGAGCTTCTGAAGGACATGGGTGGCTGAGCTGGCTGGAGGTTTGAAAGCAGAAGGAAACTGATTTTGAATAAAATTATATTTGTTCAGATTCCCACAGCAATAAGCATTTACTTTCCTTGAAGATTCTATTACTAAGTACACAATTAAACAGCATTTAGTGAGACCTTTCTTTTTTTTTTTTTTTTTTTTTTTTTTTTGAGACTGAGTCTGGCTCTGTCGCCCAGGCTGGAGTGCAGTGGCGCTATCTCGGCTCACTGCAAGCTCCACCTCTTGGGTTCACGCCATTCTCCGAGTAGCTGGGACTGCAGGTGCCCGCCACCATGCCTGGCTAATTTTTGTATTTTTAGTAGAGACAGGGTTTCACCATGTTGGCCAGGATGGTCTCGATCAGTGAGCGCTTTCTTAACAATAGAGCTTATATTTTGTCAAGACTTTGGTTCAAGTCTAAGACAAAGTAAGGTATGAATAGGTCTTATGTACTCTCTGTGGCCTGGAGCATACATTGAAACATTTCTCTCTAAAGGAGGGTTCTAAACTGGCATGTGATTTAGTCCTTTTGATTTTAACCTCTTTGTATGTGGTTGTCTAAATAGGAACTGCTTTTCTGTTATGCCGACAATCTGACTCTCTTTCTGGGTAATAAAACATGATTTTCACTTCACTGCTAAAAAGTAGTATAGCTGATCAAAGTAATATTACAACTGGAATTGGCTGTGTCTGTTGACTGTTTAATATACTCATTTTGTTGTCTTTAAAAAATACTTGAAAAATCATCTTACCTGGAAACAATTTTTAAATTTCTTGCTCACAAAATACAGAGCTATGGGGTTTATACATGAATTCATGGTTGCCAAGTTAATACCGATGTAATCCATGAGCAGTAAGAAACTAGAGCAAAAGAAAATGGTGTAGAATAATTAGAATATATTGTTTTAAAATCTGCTCACTAGCATTTCTTCCTAGAATAAGCATTTTTCTTGCCCAGAAGCCATTTCGTATGGGTGGCAGTTAGAATTTTGTAAAAAGTGCTTGTTTAAACGGCAGTTTCAGTTTTGCAGGACAGTTACAGATACATCACTAGTTGGTTAGCTCAAACCCTTATGCACAGCCTCAGGAGGGGAGGGGCAAGATAACAGATGTGGCTTGCACACATTTTGGGATCAGTTATAGGCTATGTCAGCTAAAGAAAAAAATCAACTTTGCAGTTTTAATTTTCAGGGCTAACGGGCATGTAGAGTAGCTGGTTTTGTAAAAGTATTATAAATATGAAAATCTGAGAAACTCCAATTTTCTAGCGAGTACACAGGATCATACCTAAGTAATTCACATCGGTTCTTGTCCATCTCGTTATACACAGTTTTCTTCAATATACGGCTTAAATGAAGAGGGAACCAGCAAAGAGCAAAAATTACAACCAAGCAGAAAACTGTTTTTGCCACTTCTCGACGCTAAAGGAAAGTGAGAAAAAAATAGGACAACAAATTTAGTGTTTTTATACTAGATGCAAGAACTACAGTACCAAGAAGTAGCAGACACCAGAGAAAGAATAATTCAAAGAAGAGCCAGGAGAACAGCCTGGCTTACACTGCCTCTACCTCTTCAAGATTCTAAGGTCAGTGTTCTAACGAAGGAATTGCTAATGATGCTTCTGGGCAGCTTCCAGGAAGGATGGGGGCCTCAGGTTGGTTATTAGGGCCAGGACGGAGGTTATATGCCAGGAGAGAGGTGGAAACTGGCTGGAGGTGAGCCAGCTGAGTCTGCAGCTGTGTGTGTGTAGGTGGCTGAGTCTGCCTGTGTGTGTGTGTAGTGGGGTGGAGTGTGACTGCATGGGGGAAAGGGTTAGCTAATGACTCTTAATAACAGGTAACTAATTAGCATTAATGATGGCATGGAAGGCAAGGAGACTGAACATCACATGATATTGCATGGACAAATCAACAAAGACCTGGAGAAAACAAAATAGGAGTGGGGAGTAGAAAAGGAAAAGTCATAGCACTATGTTTTTTCCTTTTCCTGATCTTGAACATAGCTATTATTGGGATTTTTTGCTCTTTAAATTCTTTTCTTAATGACATGTAGTTTCTTAATGACATATAAAAATATTATATGTTGTTTGCAAGCAGAAGGATGAGGGTAAAGGATTATCAGCAGTGATGACTAGAAAATCTGAAACATGCTGACCTTGGACGGACTTCATGGAAGGTTTGCATGCCTTTCAGTCTGCTCAGGATCAGAAAATCTATAAATTAGGAATTATCTGCAACCATTCATTGGTGTGCATTATTTGAGTATTATATTGCATGCATTTAGAAGCCTGACTAGGAACACAAAATGCAACTTGTCTGTAACTGGGATCAGTTAATGTCAAAATAAAACTGATTAAAAACAGGGTCTGGAAGGGTAATGCTGGCTCAACCTGAAACATATAACATTAAGTCCGGGAAGCCTACAATAAACTCACATGATTGGCTGAGCCATTCAAAATATTCTGGGGCAGTTTTCATAACTCGCTACTCTAGCTAAAGGAACTGGGAGTTCTTTAACCTCTCATAGTTATTGGGCTAGCTGGGATATGGCTCCGGAGTAATGACTGAGGGAAGAAATAAAATATTCAAATCTTCAGGAATGGGGGCTCTTTTTAAAAGGGTCATTTTGTGTGTCCAGAAAGACAGTGTGCCCAGAAAAATAGAAAAGCAGTGTATTAGGGGAGAGGTTACCTTTCCTGAGTGCATACTCAAAGAGGATAACGCTTTTAAAAGCAGTATTAGTACACTGCCATGATAGTCTGATATTTGCTTAACCAATATCCATTCTCCTGTCTTCCTTACCATCACTCTGGTCTTGATTTGTTAAGGCAGCTGGGGAACCTGGCCTAATTATCTACATGGCCACTTGGCAGGGTTTTGACCCGTTAGATGAAATAGAAACCATTGCATGGGTTTCCGGAAGAGCTACTGAGAAGTATAGGGACACTCTTTTGATGCACACCCATGACGGGTTGTTTTCTGTTCTTCCCCTCTTGCTGCTTGGAAATCAGATATAAAAGTAGAGCTGCTGCTACAGTCTCCTGAGACTGAAGCAAAGATCAGCAAAACAGTAGATACCTGGCCTCTAACTTGGCTTGACCACTAAATCTTGATGTCTGAACTTTTTGCTATGGGAGAAAGATAAACTCCTTCTTGGTCAACTAACAGTTATTTTGGGTTTTGTGTTCCCAGCATCCGAACACAACCCCTACTTGATAAAACTGTCATCATTATGATGAGGAGAAATTAGAGACAACCAAGCAAGAAGCAAAACTATGAGCCCCACAGAGTATTAGTCAAGATGGCAAGGTTTTGTGCTCTATGCTGTTTCTCCCGCAGTCCCATCTGCAGGACTTTCAGCCACACTTGCTCTTCTGTACTTAGGATTTGCTACAGATTTGAGTGGCACCAAAAGGAACGTTAACTGCATGAGGACAAAATCTTGGGTTCTAATCTCCATTTGGTTGAGCAAACCTCTAAATCACCTGTATAATAAAGAATATATATCCTACTGATCTCAGAGGGTGCTTGGAGGAATCAAATAAGAAAAAGACATGGAAATGGAAATGCACTTTAAAAACTTAAAAAATGCTGTGTAAACATGAAGCAGCATATGACAATTATTTCTTTCCACAATTAAATAATTAATATTATTCCAAAATTAAATAATTAACTATTTAATTATTTCCACAGCAAATACCACTCATAGCTTAAACAGGCTCAATCATGGTGCGAATGCAAAAATCCATATTTTAAAACACTGTTTTTCACAAACCCATACTAACTACCTCCATTCCAAGAATGAGAGGAAATAATTGTAAACATATTAAGCAATTGGAGTATTTGAAACTTTCATGCCTGAACAAAGTCATACTAAGGTTTCTCAATGTAATCTTCTTGCTAAATGTCAATGAAAGATAATAGCTACCATTTGTATGGCATGTTAGATTTTATAAAGTACATGCATACACATTCATCCTTTTGATCCTCATAATACTATTGATTCATATATTATGCCCAATTTACAGATGAAAAGCTGAAGCTCAGAAAAATCAGTATAGTAGTTGAAGAGTTGCTGATGAGGAACTATGCTTGCACATGGTAATTATATAGGACAGATTTACAGACTCCATCAACAACTCACATTAACTTTTGGTGTAGTTGGCCACCATTATATACTTTTCTGTTGCAACAGGGAACTTACCTGAAGTCCTAGGTTTCCTCTTAGAATTAATGTAAATTAACATTTGCTTAATACCTACTAGGAGCTGGGTACTATTAGGCACCTTATATGTCTCAGGTAATCCCCATGATGTATTATTACATACATATTATGAGAAACTAGAAGTTCAGAGAGATTAAGCAATTTGCCCAAGGTCAGAGAGCCAAGTATGAGTCTAGTTTTGCCCTTGAAAGCCCACAGCTTTATCTGTTCTAATTTCACCCAGGAGGGACCAACATTAGCCTCCTATTGACATGTTCAAATTCCTTCTAGAACTTTGGGTCCTCCAACACTTTACCTCTTCTAATGTACATGATCCCATTTCCTAGCATAAGTCTCACATTAGACATTGCTCTAGAGAGGTTCATCTCCTTTTTCCCATTCCCCAAATGCATGGTTCCTATTCCACGTTCTAACTAGACTCCTGTTCTTCCACCTGAAATGCTCTCTGTCAACTTCTTCCCCATCAAATCCCACTTATCCTCCAAGGTCTGGTTCAATCCCCCTCATCCATGAACAGCTTCCCCATGACTCTATCTCATACCCTTCCTGGCTTTCCATAGCACAGGCTACTTTTACCACACCTGTGGTTCTATATTCCAGTTGTTTTGCATGCATATTTTATTTCTACAACAAGACTGTAAATCTGCATGGGGAGAAAGTTACATGCTTTTTTGTGTCCTGGTACAGTTTCAAGCCCAATTGAATGCACGAACTCACATACACACATGCTCAGTACACTCTTGGCAAAATAGAGGGATAGTTCTTCTCTATTTGGGCCCAGCCTTCAGGACCACTTGTTTTACAAGCAGGTTTCCCATTTTACAAAAGAAATTTCTAACACTATTACTATAAAGAAAACAGTTACAGGATAGTATTTTTATTTTAGGAAATCAGGCTAATTCTACTAAAGATGGTATTTGCAGGCCTGCTGCTGTCAAGGACTAACCAGTCCTGGCCAGATTTTCATGATGTTATGGGATTTACCTGCTTAAGATGTTCACTGAGGGCAATTCTCAAGCTGCCATTCCTTCTGTTCAACATCTCACAAGTCATGAGGGTGTAGAAGATCGCAGTGCACACCAAGGGCATACAGAAATAGAACCCGAAGAGCCACCAGTCCTTTACATCTTGGTAGAACTTCAAAGTGAAAAAAAAAAAAAGAGAAAAGGAGGAGCAGAGTCATGTCAATTAACCATGCTGTGCCTCTGGTAGCTTTAAGGTCTTTAAACTTGCAGATACATCTGTAAAATCATGCTCTCTGGTTGCAGTGATGGGTTTGGGAGTGGGGCTCAAAACTCAATTCAGTTGGAAGCTTCAGAAATTATCCTGGCTTTAAACAGCACATAAAGAAACTGCACTTACAAAAATTATCTTGACAAGGATACTTGATACTTTTCATAGATTGAAGGTTTCAACTACACAACGGAAGAGCCCTAATCAATAAAAATAATGTCCTTCTAAAGCTCATAAAACATGATTTTGAGACAAAAGAATATACATGTTTATCTTTATTTCTGGATGAACCTCAAAATTTTGTTAGCGCCTGCTTTACTTTTGACTATTGTGGTGAAAGTGTATTTAACCTGAAACGGTGAAGGTTACGAATGGCTTATCTGTGTAGCTTTGGTTAATAGGGGTTAACCCTCTGCCTGGTATGCCTGCTATGTGACCTTAAAGCCAGCCGCTTTGAACTTCAATAGCTATACTCTTCTCCCTCCTTTAATACTTACCACCTGGAAACTATTGAGGCAGCATATCTCAACTGAAGCATATCTGGTATTATCTAACTGGGCAGGATTTATAAATACCGAGATTATTCGGTTTTACTTCTGCTTAAAGAAGAAAACTTAATACCCTATAAAAATGGAAAATGAAAAATGATATCTAAATTCTTCTTCCCACAAAATTAATCACCAACTTGGGACGAAATGCTTTTTCTTTCCTTATAGTGCTTCTTCAGATTGTTAATTTACTAAGGACAATGCAGTTCCCACAGTAAAAAATAATCATGTTGCTCTGTAAAAAATGGGACAGTTTCTGAATATAGAAAGAGGCTAAGAAGGCTGCATTTATAACATGGCTATTAAAATAATCTAAAAATGGTTCCTAAAGACAAAAAATTTGGGGGAGGAGTTCTTGACTATTTTTATGCCACAGACCCTTTTGGAAGTCTGGTAAAGACTATAATCCCTTCTGAGAATAATACTTTTACATGCATAAAATAAAATACATAAGATTGCAATGGAAACCAATTACATTAAAGCACAGCTATCAAAATATTAGAAATTAAATTTAGATATAGTAATATTGTGTTTATTCACAAATAACAAACCTAGTGATGGTTCTAATAACTACCGAACTGTTGAAGTGTTGAAGTTCTGAAGAGCATAAATAATATTTTGAGATTATACAAGTGTTATATCGTATGAAAATGTCTGCTATTTTTATTACTGAAAAAGTCATGATACTGGTAAACACTATGGTGATTTGTTGGGTACATTCATAATAGAAGGAAATAATAAATTCAGTTAGAAGTTAGTGAAAATAAACATGTTGTTTCTTTTCCAACCAAGTTCACAGATCCCTGAATTCTATCCTCAGGTTAAGTGCAAACTCCCAAAGGAGTTGGTTTATTCTAAACTGCTTACACAAACATTTCCCTGTTCCCAACACACTGTAGAAAGATTTCAGTCCTGAACTTAAAAAAAGTCAGAAGCACTCTCTCTCTCTTTTTTGAAGTGCAACACGAACACTCCTTTGAGCACCCATTCTCCCTTCTTTTGTATCCTCTTTTTCCGGGTGCATTTGCTGGCTGGGTATAAATGATGCAGAAACAGCTGCAGAGGGTCTAGAGGCTGACCCTTGAGAGGGCTGAATGGAGTCCCCTGCCCCCTCCATGGCAAAGGCCCACAGAGAAATGGGTAATGCATCTCTTTGGAACTGATGTCATCAACATGGGTAGAGAGGGGCCTACCATCAGTCTAGGGTAAAGTTGAAGAGCAAGAATGGAAAAAATAGGGGAAATAAATTTAGAAAAAGAGAACAGGACTTCAGACTTGGAATGAACTCTAAAAAATTATCTGTTCAACTCATACCCTTTACTGCAACCGTCTAGCCCACCCATGCCTGAAGGGTAGCTACCCTTTACTTGAACACGTCTAGATAGGAGACAGTCTTTATGAAACAGCCCATTTCATTTTGTCTGGCTGTAAGGATTAGTAAGCTCCTTCTTATAGTGAACCTCTTTTCTCTAATGTTTGCATCTGGAATATCTAGATTGCTTATTCACACAGCCCAAATTCTGACAATCTCCTACTGTCTACTTTGTTTTTCACTTTGAAGACTAACCCAGTAAGAAACTTCAATTTTAAGTTGTTAGTTTGGCAGTTTTCATGAGCACTTTTAATTTTAAAACAAGAATTTCCAAGCAGGATAACTGGTCAACTGTAAAACCACGAATTCTGTGAATTTTCCAAGTTGGGAAAGCATACCTTGAGATGTCTGTAAATAATTACATGTGGAATGTGAGCTACATGAAACTTACATCAAAGCACTAAATTATACTGATTTAAGAGAAATAGTTATCCTTTTGGTTTTCCTCCTCAGTCCACATGTAACTAGTTTTGCAAAGAAAAGATGCATTTTAAATAGGTTTCCCAAAACAGTCATGTGATTAAGCTTTTCAGAAAAACATTAATATGGTCAGGTGTACTAAAAAAACCAACAACTGAATTTGTTAAACCAAAATATTATTTTAAGAAGTTCTACAATTTTATATTATTTGTATATTAGACATAGAAACCGTACTAATATAAGTACATGTAAGTACTACTCTCTACTTTGAATTAGTAAATCCATCTTTAAAGAATGTGAGAAATGTGCTTCTCCCCAAGTGACATAAGATAAACATCAGCACGTCTTCCAGATGGAAATTGTTGTGTTGTATTCATTATTATAAAAACAAATAGCATATGTATATATATATATACACACACACACACACACACATACACACACACACACACACATCTAGTCCCTCTTAGTAAATTTGCTTTGGTATTCTTAGTGGTTTGGTGCAGAATAACAGATATGTCTACCATTGTGGTATAATACAAGAGTGAAAGCCAGCATAACTGTTCTATTCAAGAATCTAGACACAGGTTTAACATCTACTTTTCATGCAACTGAGGAATATTTGACAGAAGAAACCACACTTGACATTGTGGCGATGTCATCAAGTCTCAAGATGGTGAAGTCTAACGGAGGACCTCCTCCCTTCCCCAGTTAATTCCTTTTAAACGTTTAGTACCTCCATGAATTTTGATGTGGCATTGAGCATACAGGTTTTATGCTGTTCACCCCTATATTCAAAGGGTACCATGACGAAGCCAATCGCTTCAGGAATGGCCAGGATAAAGGACAGGATCCAGATGGAGACAATTTCAATGGCAGTTACCAAAGGAATCCCAATTCCCTGAACACGACTCCAGGAGGCAACTGCTCTGTACCTGAAAAAAAGGGTAATGGAACCAAGTTGTTAGGAAATTTTAAATGTATTTCAATTAAACAAAAATTGTAAGTGCTGGGAAGTTCCTCCTCATTGCCAATACCAGTAATTGTCTTTTTAGGAATTTTCTGAGTCTTGGTATGAAAACCAAGTGGGTTTTTTTTTTTTTTTTTTTTTTTTTGAGGCAAAATCTCGCTCTGTTGCTCAGACTGGAGTGCAGTGGCACCATCTCGGCTCACTGCAAGCTCCGCCTCCCAGGTTCACGCCATTCTCCTGCCTCAGCCTCCCGAGTAGCTGGGACTACAGGCGCCTGCCACCACGCCCGGCTAATTTTTTGTATTTTTTTTTTTTTTTTTTTAGTAGAGACGGGGTTTCACCGTGCTAGCCAGGATGGTCTCGATCTCCTGACCTCGTGATCCGTCTGCCTCGGCCTCCCAAAGTGCTGGGATTACAGGAGTGAGCCACTGCACCTGGCCTTTTTTTTTTTTTGAGACTGAGTCTTGTTCTGTCACCCAGGCTGCCAGGCTGGAGTTCAGCGGCAGGATCTCAGCTCACTGCAAGCTCCGCCTCCCAGGTTCACGCCATTCTCCTGCCTCAGCCTCCCGAGTAGCTGGGACTACAGGCACCCGCCACCACACCCGGCTAATTTTGTTTTTGTATTTTTAGTAGAGATGGGGTTTCACCGTGTTAGCCAGGATGGTCTCGATCTCCTGATCTTGTGATCTGACCGCCTTGGCCTCCCAAAGTGTTGGGATTACAGGCGTGAGCCACCACACCCGGCCACAAGTGGGGCTTTTAAGAGTTCCACCCATTTGGAAATCAACTGCGTGGCAGGCCTGAGTCTGAGGTCTTTATTTGGTCTAGAGAAATCTTAGGAGAGTTTAGAATGTGGCGGTAACAGACAGTTGTGCCTATGTTTTTTAAGCTGGGGGAGAAATTGGATGGATGGGAGGGATCATGAAAGCTGCTGGTACTTGTTATAGTAATATGTTATTCCTCTTTATAAAATAAAAAAAGAAACCTTAAAGCATTATCTATGAAGTGGGTCTAGATATCCTTGAGTGAATAACCACCACAGATATTCCATTGTTTCCTCCCTTCTTATGTGAGCACAGTGGGCTTGTACCAGGTGGCAGTTTTAGTAAATACCTATTTGTGGTAAATGTCAAAGAGGGATTATATCACTCCCATTATGGCCCTGTGCTAGAGCAGATAAAACTTATTTAAAGATACTTTGGTTCCTAATCTTTAGGGTTTACAATCTAACAGAAAAGAATGGTTCAAACAGAGTATATAACATAAATGTGACTGAATGATTATGTCAATCAAAAAACTGTCTGATAATAAGAAATTATGCTCACCCTATTTTTTACTTCACTATTTTAGTGATAATAATCACATTTAAATGTTATGTCTAAGGAAGGTTTGGTTTAGAAATTCTATGTTCTTTGACCTGATGTGAAGGTCTAATGCTAACTGCTTTTAGACTTACTATTAAGAAGAGACCTGTGACGTGGTATGGTATTTTTGTGGCCTCATTCCTGAAATTTTTGTTGCTGCCGTAATGGAAAAGAAACATTTTCGTTTTATAGTTTTCATTAGATAGTGCCAGAAGGCTGTAAAACAGACCGAATGCATTGGAGACAGGTGCTCATGGGTTTGCAGGACATGCAAAGTAATGTAGAAGATTAATCAATAAAGCCAAGGCAACATACAAGCTACCCATATCCACCAAGACAAGCCCCCATCAGTTATATTTAGTGTACTGTCTCAGTACATTTACACAGTACATCTGTGAAAACACAACTCTTAGAATTATGTTGACTGTTTCTTCACCAGAATTCCCTAGAGATGAGCATGTACAGATTTGGGTATTTTACGATGATGCCACATGGCATATTATATAGCACAATTTACTGGAGAAATGTTTTATAAAAGATTTTTAGGGTAAATAAGATTTGTGTACAATACAAATCTCAAAAAAGTCCAGATTATTTCAAAATGGGATAAAATACAGCTATGCAAACAGACCAAGAAAATCCTTTTATGATATAATCAAGATTGAATTTTAAAATTTATGGTTATTTCCATAAATTGTCCAGTGGGATAAAAATCATTGTTTATTTTTCTTTGTTCCCTTGTTAAACTGGCAGCCTGATACCCAGTAAAGCTAAGAGGAATGGAGACAGGATGTCTATATCCCAAGGCTGTCAACGGAGTTACATCTATTTCTTCTTCCCTTCTCTCAGGTTGTTTACCAGGGAAGGTGATTTAAATAAAACACCCTGTTTCATTAGAGAGTAAGAAAACCTGATTTCCTTGCCAGGATTTGGGGTGAAAAGTGGCTTAAGGAATAAAATGTGGTCAACATGTTCTTATGATGAACATGTTCACAGACCAACTTCATTTTTATAAAGCGCCATGAGTTCCCAGAATATTACACATCCATAATCCAATGTAAATTCAACATTCACAAATAAGTAGAAGTCATTTTTAGAGTCTAGTTTAGCAAATAATTCATGATCAGTCTGCTCCTTCATTAACCCACTCACTGAAAATTAGAATATTTTCCATTTATAATCACACAGATCTCGATAACATCTCCATGAGATAAGGGGAAAACAGCCATAAGAACAATTAGGAACAATCATTTGTGATAATGGAGGTGGGGAAATGTATGGAAACCATGAAACACTGGATGTTTCAAAACTGATTTCTATTTTGAATATAATGGCACAACACACTGACACACAAATATGCTTTTCTCATGAGGTGCGATTATAAATAGCCTTCCATCTAGTCAGTATGTATATACATCTCTCTCTGTATATCCATGACATCTTCAGTTGTCATGGAAAATCTGCAAGTGTAGATTCCACCACTGACAACTGCTGTTCCAGAAAGAATCCCTCCTCTCTGAAATGCTTTCTTCACTTGATTTCCACCACAATCTCCCAGTTTTCCTTCTGACTTACTGGCCATTCCTTCTCATTTACCTGGCTGGACCCCGCTTTCTCCACAAATTCTTAGTATTGGATTTGTCTGAGGGCTTAGTGCTCAGACGTTTTTTCTGTCTATGCGCTCTCCTTTGGTGATCTCATCTAGTCTCGTGGCTTTAATGTCATTTAACTATCCATCTAGCGGTAATTCCTAAATTTATACCTCTAGCCTGGTGCCTCACCTTTAACTCTAGACTTGTACCTCCAACTGCCTACTTGCGAGCTCCACTAGGACACCTAACAGGCATCTAAACACTCCCAAATCAGACTCCTTGTCTTCCTTGTGGCTAAACCTTTCTGCAGTTGTTCCCATCTCTGGCCCCAAACATTGGGTTAGATTTCACTCCTCTTCCACCACACATCCAATCCTTCAGCAAATCTTGCAACAACTTCCTTCAAGATATATCCAAATGCAACCACTTTTCACCATCGTACCTGTTATCGCAGTGCCTTGATGATTGCCATAGCTTCCTAACTGATCTTCCTATGTCCACCTTGCTTTGCCACAGCCTCGTCTGAACATAGCAACTGGAGTGAGGCTGTTACGTCAGAACATAGCAACTGGAGTGAGGCTGTTACGTCAGACCATAGCACCCTCTGCTCCAAACCCCCCAGTGGCTTCCCACCCCTGTGAGAATGCCTACAGGTGTCCTCAGAGCTGCTTCCTCACTTCCTTCCGGTTTTTACTCAATTGCAGTTTTCACAGAAGCCTTCCCTGGAGACCCTACTTAAGTTTGCCAACTCCCCCTCCAGAATTGTCTCTCTCACCCTGATTCATTTTTCCCCATAGCACTACAATGTGACCAACAATGTTCTATTTATTTATTTGGTTTATCATCTATGCTCTCCCCTCTCCTTTAGAATGTAAGTTCCCAGCCGGGTGCGATGGTTCATGCCTGCAATCCCAGCACTTTGGAAGGCTGAGGGGGGCGATCGCTTGACACCCTGGGCAACATGGTGAAATTCCATCTCTACAAAAATACAACAATTAGCCAGGCATGGTGGTGCATGCCTATATTCCCTTGGGAGGCTGGGGTGGGAGGATCCCCTGAGCCCAGGGAGGTTGAGCCTGCAGCGATCCCTGATCATGGCACTGCACTCCAGCCTGGGTGACAGAGTAAGACCCTGTCTGAAAAAAAAAAAAAAAAAAGAAAGCAAGAAAAGAAAAAAGTGAAAAAAAGCATATAAGCTTCATAAAGGCTGACATTTTGTATGTTGGTCACAATACCTAGAACAACAAGTGCCAAATAAATACCTGTTGAATGAAGTGTCTTTTTGTTGGCGTTTTCATGCCTGTTACCATGCATGTACCTTACCTCACCTTAATTGGCTAGGGAATTCTTAATCTCTAGGGAATTCTGGTGAAGAATCAGTCAGCATAATTCTAAGAGTTATGTTTACACAGATGTACTGTGTAACCTTACCTTACCTTAATTGGCTAAAGCTAATAGCACACTACATTCTGATCATTTTCCTATTTTTCAAGCTAGCCATGAATTAGGCCACAGATTAAAAGCTAATACTTTTAGAGGACCAGATTCAATAATTTAAAGGAGGGATCTATGGGCTGATCTTTCTGCCCCATATGTTCCAGTTGGGAACCTGAGAGCTGGCATCTTGTCGCATCCTCTGCCTGGTCTCCAGTGAACCTGGGGCGTCTGGACCATGGCTCAGGGCTGCCAACTCCCGGTAGAGCCTTTTTGCATTATATCACCTTGTACCCTGTCATGTGATAGGCCAAAATAAAAGTATAAAATATATATTTTATTCATGTAAAGATGTTTGTTAGTGCGTGTGCCTATAAATAGATTTTTACATGTTATTAAGGCCAGAGGCATTTAATGCATGTTTATTGAATCTTGAAGGTGTGGTCTGGGATAGTCATTAAGTTTAAAAATGTTTATTCTTGAAAGAACTTTAAAACATTATAAAATAAAACAAATTAAAAAGATACCACTTCAACAAAATCTATTTTTTTATTCTTTTCTTGTTTTGATTCTCACAGGCATAGTTTGAATAGACTATAATCATATGACTCACAATTTTTAAATTTTAGCTTTATTTACATTAAAAATACTCTCCTATGTTTCTACACGGGCGTGGCCCTTATCAATTTAATGGCTACACAGTATAACAAGATTTTGATATAATTTACTTGAATTTTTTTTCTATGTTCACATCATTTCTAGTGTTTCACAGCTGTGAATAAGACGCCTATAAGCTTGTTTGTACACATAATTTTTTTTCTCTTTCTGAATGATTTTTCTGGATTAATTATCTTGAGTGGGATTACTGGATCAGGGAATAAATAGGTGGCTGAAGTGCCTTAAGAAAGAAGTTTCTACCAAGTGCCTGTTAATGAATGCTTGCCTGTGTTAGAATTTATTATTTATTCTTATTTACCACTTCCATAAGGTACAGTGCCGCCCCTATCTTTACCTCTGCACATCTTTAATTAACAGCAAACTTGATCATTTGTAATGGTTGTTAATGATTTATATCTCTCATACCATATGGAGGTTTGGAAGCTAAATGCTAGCAGGAAGAATTCTTTTTTAGAGATAGGGTCTTACTCTGTCATCCAGGCTGAAGTGCAGTGGCACAATCATAGCTGTAGCCTCCAGAACCTGTACTCCCTTAAGGGATCCTCCTATCTCAGGCTCCCTAGTAGCTGGGACTATTGGTGCCCACCACCATGACAGGCTAATTTTTAAAAATATTTTTTGTAGAGACAAGGATCTCGCTATGTTGCCCAGGGTAGTCTTGAATTCCTGACTTCAAGCCATCCTCCTGCTTCGGCCTCCTAAGGCTGAGCCACTGCAACTGCTTGGCCAATTCCAATTTAGAAGAGAATCAGGTGTGGTGAATTAAAAGACAGCTGCAAATGCTTTACCACTTCTTCAGTTGAGTTCTTAAATTGAGCTGGCCTGTGACTACTTTGATCAATTGAGTGTGGCTAGAATGATGTTTTGCAGTTCCAGGTCTGGCCTCTGAAAGGAGCCTTGAGCCTGCTGGAGCAAAAACAGAGAGGACCCTGAGACTACATGGAGGGGGAGATGGGCTCTGCTGAGCTCAGACATCCAGCTGTCCCTGCCAAGGTGCCAGGCATGTGAGTGTTGGACCTCTGACACAAGCTCAGAGTCAGCTGAAGTCCACCAACCCCAGGTGACGTGACAAGGAGCAGAAGAATTGCCCAAATTCCTGACCTTCAACATGGTGAGATATGATAAAACGGTTGTTGTTCTGAATTGCTAAGTTTTGGGGTAGTTATCAAAGAGAAGTGGGGTAGCAAAATTAACCAGTTGCCTGATCTTGACAATAGAATAAGATAAAAGAACAAATAACTCAGTACGATAGTGAACAGACTCCCAAATAAGATCCTATTGCCCTAGCCAGCCTTGGACTTTGTCCAGTTCCCTGCTCATGTCTTCTGGCTCAGACCCTTCCTCTGTGTCTTCACTATTGTCATGGTGCAATAGAAAACCATAACACCAGGAAAATAAGGAGAAACCAAGTCCAACTCTAACAAAGAGGTTTTTCTGAAAACCACCTTCATGTTTCTTGAGTTAGGATATACCTTTGAGAATATCACAGAGACCACTGATCAATTATTTGAAATGATGGGTTCAAGAACTGACATCAGCTTTTCAGCCATATAAAACAAAGCTGCCTCATTAATGGATCTTTGCAACTTTTCCAAGTATCTAATAACACATCACTCTGGAATAGTTGTTAAAAGAGTTTTATCTTTTTATAGCCTTCTTCCCCAGGCAACTTTTAACAAGTTGGATCTGTACCCAGACCTTTTTACTGGTCTGACCCCATCATCATCATCTTCCACTTTAACACGATTTTGCAAAGATCAACAGTGATCCCTCCTACCCCTCTCCTGCTGCTGCTTTTTTTTTTTTTGCCTCCAAACAAACTCAAAGTAATATATAAAACTTGTCACTTTCAGCATGTAAAAATAACTATTTTAATAGCTGGTAATGGCTGGTTATTCATTTTTGTTGGGAAAAGTTTATTCATTATAGAAGTATACTGCCTTAGAATTAAAAAGATAATTCAACAAGAAAGCTGGATAGGGGTCAAAATTTGTTTCTGAATTTCTTCAGTTCCTGATTTGTCTTTTTCTCAAATGACCAAGGATGTGAAACTAGATTTGCGGAGGAATTATTCAAAAGGTTAAACTGAGACAAGTCCATAGTTGAAATTAGCAATGAAAGCCTATCCATTCTGGCAGAAATCATGTGCTTTCTCTCAGTCCTGTTTAGCTTATTCAGATTAAAAGCTGATAGTGAGAAAGCTAGATATTTTCTTTGATCTTACATCATTCTGTAATCATTGATTGACGAAGTAATAAAGAAATCCTATAGAACTTGGATGTAAGGTTTCTCTCATTTTCTTTCAAACAACTCTGAAATGTGAGATAATTATGTTTTTAAAATACTGTGTAAAAAAATCATGGGAACTCTTTGTCCTGGGCCATAATTTATTCAGCTCATAAAATGAAAGCAGGGATTCACAAACTGCAACAGGTTCCAAACTCCCTTTTCATTCCTTGTTTCATTTTAAAAAGTGTTTTTTATTTTTTATTTTTATTTTTTTTTGTAGTAGTAGAATATAATGCAACCAAATTAAGAGTTAAAGCAAATGGAATCTTATCTTCAGGAATTAAGTGTGAATGATTCATTCTCTCGTGTGAAAGCTTTTGAAATAGAAATGTCAAATAGATTCCCTACATACAAGTCCTGAAGCTTAGGGTCAATACCAAATGAAATGTAAAAATAGTAAAGTGTGTGTCTAGGGAACAAAGAATGATTAGTTTATTTTCAAGGAAAGACCTTTTGGATTAAGGCTGATTTTTGTGAGAGTGGAATTTTAAAATAGTTCATTTCCTTGATCTACAACTCAGATCAAATCTTAATGAGATAGATTCTTGGCATCATTTTTTCTTACTTTCTTTTCTTTTTTTTCTTTTCTTTCTTTTCCTTCCCTCCTTCCTTCAGTCCTTCCTTTCTTTTTAACTAAGAATGACTCACATTTCATTTGATACACAACTATTTATCGTGATGGAACATCTTATTTCTTTTTCTTCATGCATGAGATGAAGAGAGGAGGTGGTATTGGGTGAGGTGACCCGACACTAGATATAGGAATCTATGACCTAACTTTCCCAGTATCTCCCCGACTCAACACTGGGCATGACTGAAGCTCCGCATGATGCTCCTAGATCCCCCCAAGGAAGAAAGAGGAGGCAGAACAAAAAAGTGAGGAGGAACCAGCTCTGCACCCTGGGCCTGTGGGAGGAGTGACAATTTTTCCTAGCTTACTACTTTTTTTTTTTTTAAGTTTTATGAATGTTTAATCCAAAGGTTTTAAAATACTATATCTTAAAATACATTTATAATTTTGTCCAGCATTTCTACCATTCTTTTAAAGTTCAGAAGGGTCTTCCTTCCCTTTCCAGAGATCAAAAAGATAGTCTATTTTCTTCTACTCCTTTATGGTATAAACAAAAATAAAATTCTAAGCCCCTCAAATGACTGAATGGACTCCTCCTCTTGGCCAAGGGGATTTCAAAGAAACCTAAAATACGAGTTCAGGCCATGATGGGAAGGGGATGTCAGACCTGCCTCTTCATACTTTCCTCTCTTTGGAATTTAGGCACAACAGGCCAGCATTAACGTTAGAACAGATCTTAAGACTAACAAAACAGGACGGGCGCGGTGGCTCATGCCTGTAATCCCAGCACTTTGGGAGGCTGAGGCGGGTGGATCACGAGATCAGGAGATCGAAACCATCCTGGCTAACACGGTGAAACCCCGTCTCTACTAAAAATACAAAAAATAAGCCGGGCGTGGTGGTGGGCACCTGTAGTCCCAGCTACTCGGGAAGCTGAGGCAGGAGAATGGCGTGAACCTGGGAGGCGGAGCTTGCAGTGAGCCGAGATCAAGCCACTGCACTCTAGCCTGGGCCACAGAGCAAGACTCCATCTCAAAAAAAAAAACAAAAAAAACAAAAAAACAACAACAACAAAAAAAAACAAACACCCAACAAAACAGACTCTCTGTAGCAGTGACATACCAAATCCCAAGCACACTCTAGTATAGCATCACGTGACAGAGAGAAGGCCCTGAAAGAAATAGAAGTATTTCACTCCAAAATATATTTCTTTGACCTATTTTGAAATGGCCCTGTATAGGCATCTCTTGTGGAGAAAATTTACATTCTGTAGATTATTCCCTTCCATTTCCAGGTCTTTTCCTGATCCAGGAGAGATTTAACTAAGAGTCTGGCACCTTTTAAGATCTGATAAGAGGCATTTACTATCTATTCTCATACTACCTGGAGGCTTCATCTACATAGAACCTTGGCTTCCACAACCCCCTTATCCTAACCCCAAGCACTTCTTGTCAGCATTTGCTGACTTCAAATCTTTAGACAAAACTTAACTCTTTCAACTAAATGCCAGTCAGGAAATCTTTGAATCCACCTGTGACGTGGAAGCACCACCCTGCCCTCCTCACCCAACCTCCACTTCAAGATGTCCCATGTTTCCAGGCCAAACCACTGTAAACCTTACGTGTATGGATTTATGTTTTTGCCTGTAACTTCTGTCTCCCTAAAATGTATAAAATTAAACTGTAACTCAACAACCTTGGGCACAGGTTCTCGGGACCTCCTGAGGCTGTGTCACGGGTCATGGTCTTCACATTTGGTTCAGAATACATCTCTTCAACTATTATTCAGAGTTTGGCTTTCTTCATCAACAATGGTTTGAGTTTTTACATGCTTGAGTATAGTGGTTAAGAATGCAGACTACCAACATTTGATTAGTGGCTCCAGCACTTAGTAGCCATGCTGACTTGGTTAATCTCTTTCAACCTCAGCTTCCCTATCTGTAAAGTGGAGATAACACACCAACTATCACAGTTACATAAACTAATTTTTTTTTTTTTTTGAGACAGAGTCTCACTCCATCCCCCAGCCTGGAGTGCAGCTGCTGTTGTCTAATCTCGGCTCACTGCAACTTCCACCTCCCGGGTTCAAGCGATTCTTGTGCCTTAGCCTCCCAAGCAGCTGGGACTATAGATGCCTACCAGCATGCCTGGCTAATTTTTGTATTATTTGTAGAGATGGGGTTTCACCTGTTGGGCAGCCTGGTCTTGAACTCCTGGCTTCAAGTGATCTGCCCACCTTGGCCTCACAAAGTGCTGGGATTACAGGCATGAGCCACCTCACCCAGCCCTAAACTAATTTTTGTAAAGTATTTTCAATAGGGCCTAACACTTAGTAATATTCAATAAATGGTAATAATTATAAATATTATTATTGATATGTACAGAAGACTTTAACATGCTTTTTCCCTCAGATGGCTAAATAGCATAATTTATTGATAAATCTTTCCTCCCCCGATTATATTCAAAGTGATTTCAGCCTATATTATTAATACATTCTTGTGTATTCCAGCACCTGAGTCGAGTTTTCCCACTGATTTGTCAGTGTGTTCATGGGTTTGCATTACATTGTTTAAAACATTGTAGCTTTATAGCATTTAAAATGACCATATAGGCCACTGCATTCTAGTCCGGGTGACAGAGCAAGACCCTGTATTTTAATAAAAAGAAAAATCATATAGGAAGAACATGTGTGTAGGACACATTGTTCTTTTTTCAAAATGTCATGATTATTTTCCCATTTCTTTTCTCTACATGAATTTTAGAGTTATAACTAAAAAATTTAATTAGATATTATAATGAAAATACATGGTTACATCTCTGAAAGAAATGTAACTTGATGATATGCAGCTTGATGAATACAGGAAAAATTTTACTTGTATTAGCAATGTAATAGGTGCAATTTAATGCTTTTAATTTTTAGATAATATAACATTTTGAATGAAAGAAGAAATGATATTGGGATGCTGGGAGTGGGAACATCAGAGTGAGAATTTATTAGTGAATCAAATCCACATCATAAGTGTTTATTCAGCTTTTTATGGTCTAAGGTACCATGATCTCAAGATTATATAGTGGCCACCTATGGTATGTAAGTGTTTTTATGCAGCAGCCTTTAACATCTAATATAATGTAGATGTAACCCAAAGAGACCCTAGACTTTCCTACAAATCACTGAAGGGTATTATTAATAGATGATAAGGTTATTTCTGATCTTTGTGTTTACCATTGCAATGGGAACATTTTTGTCAATGGTATGATTGTGTTTTAAATTACTAATGAAATTATTTTTTGTGTTTTATTTTTAATAACATTTTTATTTTGTGTTTCACAGTTATAGCCATTTATTTATTTATTTATTCCTGGGCTCAGGTGATTCTCCCACCTTAGCCTCCTGAATAGCTGGGACTACAGGCATGCATCACCATGTCCAGCTAATTTTTTGTATTTTTGGTAGAGATGGGGTTTTCCTATGTTACTCAGACTAGTTTCAAACTCCTGGGCTCAAGAAGTCAGCCCATCTTGGCCTCCTAAAGTGCTAGGATTACAGGTGTGAGCCACCGTGCCCAGCTGACATAAATTTATAACAAGGATACCATTCTAATTTTCTAATTGCTGATTGAATGCACATTTTTATGTTTTAACAGTAACAATTTTTGTCCTAACAATAATTATAAATGTAAAATAACAGAATATCTGTAAACTCTTTAATGTTCTTTAGAAGAGTGAGCCTTTTATTTCTATAATGATGAGACTCAGGTTCCCTGATAAAGTGATTGTCAGGGAATGAGTTAGAATGAAAACCTCTTCTAAATTGTATGTAGGCTAATTAAATAGGCCATTATACACCACTTGTGTGAGATTATAGTAAATATAAAAGAGTGCCACAGAATGTGTTATAAAGTTCCTAATTTCATTCTTATAATTGCTGCTATGAAAACCAGAAGGTAAAGAAAATACCATCTAGAAGTTCACAGAATTCAGAAGGGCTTCTTTAGAGAACGCTTAACAATCATGCGTGCGGATTCTGGAAAGACTTCGGGACATTTGATGGAGTTTTCAGAATTGGATAAAGGGATGCTTCTGGTGTTGCACTCTTTTTAAAACTTATGAAACATTTCAGTCTTTCAAAAAGGCAGGGTGAAGAACATAGCAATATGGTGCACTTACCTCTCACTCAATTAATTAAACATTACAGATATAATTGAACAGTATCTTTTTTTATGATAAATTTACCAGGTGAAATATAGGATTTGCATATCCTGGAATCTCCTTTTCACAAAGTTTATTCCATCTAATATGTTAATTTTCACTTTATTGCCAAAAGGGCGTCAAATGGGTATTCTTGATAAAATGCTCTAGGTACATAATTGTCTGAGCCAAAGATGGCTAATAATCAGCAAATGTGGAAGGCAATTCTAAACAGCAAAGGCAAGATGGTTAATGCTTTAATTCACTTGAAGCTAATCAACAGCTGTCCTGGGCACGAATTCTCTTGACTTTTCTTCTTTTTGAGAAAAATGCTTTTCTAAGCCCAGCCAAAGAGCAAAGGGAAAGAACCACATTACCTGTCAACACTAAGAGCGCAGAGGTTGAGGACGGTGATCCCCACCGAGGACTTCTGCAAAAAGGGGAACAGCTTGCAAAGAAATACGCCAAAGTCATTGTGATCAAAAGGCCAGCGCCCAGCCAGCAGCTGAAAGAAGGAGACACAGTGGTAAGAAATGGTAGAGCTGGCACGGAGCATGTGGGCACTTACAGTTTTAGTTATGCGTCCCAACTTCTAAATTTTATTCACAGTGCTTTTCAGTTAGCACTGTAGCAAAAGAGTATTAGAATTGTTATTTTTTTCTTTCGTATTTTAAAGCCTCAGCAATTTTTAGTCTGGAAAGATATACAGATATAATTTATTATTATTAATATGTAGTAACATGAATATATTGTGATATATATTTAATACATAAAAATCAATATAGTGTATTAATATAATACATATATATTAAATATATTATAGTTATATAATACAATTTAATAACAGAAGAGATGTGCCTTTGATCTCACATCAACTAGTCACGCTGCCTACTTTTCAAACAGTAGTAAAAGTTTGGGATTTTGGGAGACAGCTCAACTGAGAAGCCGACAGTGGTTTTTTATCTGTGCTTACTAAACCATGAGTAAAGCAAATAATTTCAACTACTGGAATTGGCAGATTATATTGTCTCTGAAATTAAGAATGAAAGGTTAGGGAGAATACTGGAAAAAAACAAAGTGGTGTAGAAGCTACTAATTTTGGCAGCTAGCTAACACCTAAAGCCACTTTGAACTTACATTTTCCTCTGTGCTTAAGGGGCTGACTCTGCTTCAGTAGATGTGATGTAAGTGGCTTTTCTCTATTTAGGCTCAAACTTCCCCTTACTATACAGAAAAATGTGGTTACCTTGATCTGTTGGTATCACATGCAGAAAAATCTGTTCTTCCATGTTGACAATTTCCAACCTTGTTTGCAAGGCAAGAGTGGACACCCTCTAGTGGCTGTGCTGGGTAGCAGACACATAACAATAGCTACCAGTACTCTGTATTTGTCTAATTAGGTATTATACTAGGAGCATGGGCTTAAATAATAGCTCAGCTACCTAAAAGGGGGAAGGAAGTTCCTGCTGAACATATGATGCCTTTTCAAGTGTGAAAATGGTATTGATTTCCTTTCTAATTTTTTGCTTAGTGACTCAATTTAAACTTAACTCACTAGGAAACAGTATCCTACTAACTTGACAAACTCCTTTTTCTTTTTTTTTTGAAAAGTTCTTTTTGCCATAGTAACTCTAAGCTAAGCTTTGAATTTCTTTTCTACTATTTCCAAAAGATGATGTGAGGTTTAATTCCATGGTCAGTGTGATCCATAACACGAGTCCTTTGAAAGAGTTTGGGAAACCAGTACCCCGTAGATAAAGAATGAGAACTTGGTTACACAGGGCAGTCTCTCACTCTGTGATTTTTGGCTAAGACCCTATAAAACTTCATTATAGAGGTTTTCTCTCTTTAGTTTTCGTGATTACTTCCTTTCTTCTAAATAGTTTTTGAAAATAACCTTTTTCTTTAATCCAATAGTGCCTCTGGTTTCTTCTTCATCTCACTATAAACAGTCTCGATTGGTGTCTTCTCAAAATTTCCTCATAAACTTTTGTCCAAGGACAACCACAAAACTCTTTGCACAAACACTGCCTTCATTTCTTATGGTTTTCATGAAGCTGACAAATAATTATGCCATTGCTGACTGCTGGTTATTAATGCTTGGTGCAAGTAAAGACATAAAACACTATTTCTGAGATGAATCACCCTATAAAAACAAGAAAACCTGAAAACTACTTTTTATAGAATAAGAATTTAGAATTCTGGCTCAGAATTATAATTCTTCAAAGACCACAGATATATGTAATTAAAACAGTGTAGGCACGGTTATGGGATATACTCTGGAACAGTTGAATTGTTTGTTTGTTCATTCCCGGAGATTAAGAGGACCCTGATAATCCACATGAATGGATTTCCCAATTCACACATCTAACAATGAAAGAAAAGAAAAAGATGTTCTTGCTTAATAAGGGAGACTCTGAAATCCTGTGAAGGTCTCAGTGGCAAGTGCTAAGAAAATGATCCAGAAAAACCACAAATGAACATGGATTCTCTCAGATTCTTCCAATCTCAATTACATTTTTTCCTTTTACATGCTTCCTTAAACTTTTAACTAGGATTAGGTTAGGGTTAGGCATAAAGAAGGACAGAGAGGAAAGACATCATGGAATCAGTGGGAAGCAAAAAAGATCATGGAATTGTCTTTCTTTGAGACAAATAGGTGTGGTGTTGGTGGTGGTGTTCTTTTTCCTTTTCCTAGGAGTGAGCATTGATTCTTCTTGGGAATTATAGATAAAGGGGAAGGAAAGAAATCATTGGAGAAAATTATTAGGTGTAATCACTGTGTAGACTTCCCTAACTTGTATGTCCTTCATTCTGAAAGGATGTATGGGTAGTAAGTGTCCAATGCTGCTAGGAGGAAATTAGGTCCCTGCCTGTAGGCAACGTCCCCCTCTTTTCCTTTTCCTCTCTGGTTCCATGTGGCTTCCTCAAAGAGGCCCTCATTAACTATCTAACCTCAAGTAGAACCCGCTTGTTAATCTCTTCCATGGAACCAGTGTTGGAGCAGTCCTACATTCAAAGTGTCCTTTCAGCTTGCTCTGCTGGAGCAAGAGCAGGAGCAGGAGTCCTCATGGAGGCAAACAGTGGGGCTCACTGGTTTTCTCTTATTTAGCAGAAGCACTTGGAGCTTCTGAAGGACTACTGGGAATGCATCCTGTTATTTACTAGCACTTAAAATTAAAAATATAATACATAAGATGGTAAAAATTAAGCTGTATAAAAGCTTATATAATGCAAAGTTAAGTCTCCCTTCCAGTCAAGGCCCCCAAACTCCCTGCCCAAAGGCAACCACTGTTAATTGCTAAGTGTGTTTTCTTCCAGAAAACATCCTATGTACATAGAAGCATATGCTTTTTTTTTTTACAAAAAGAAAACAAGTGGGAACATATGGAAATAATATCTTTTAGTACTCCATTATGATCTTTTTTTCCTGGAGTAATTTTCTGGAGAGCAATTCTATTGCTTAATCAAAAAGTTTTGATTTTTAAAAGCATGTTAATGAAATAGACTAGGAGAGGAATAAATAAGTAACTGTTTAAGAGAATACATCCTAGACCATGGCAAAGAACTCACTGATTTCACTAATGTTAACAAGCAACTGTCAATTCAATGAAAAAAACAAAACAAAACAAGACAAAACAAAACCCAAAAGAGTCTGACAAGCTGACGAGTCGTATTGGTTCAAAGGGTTAATCAGGCACCTCAGATCAGTCATAGCTTATTTTTGCTACAAGAGTCTATGTACCCTAATATTTATAATTTGCCACCCTCATATTTATAATTTCCAAGGACATTACACAGTACCTAGCACATAGTAGGTGCTGGATGAATGGATGACTCCAACTCATTAAATCAGATCATATTTTCATAGTTTGAAATGAGACAGTACCAATTTTGCCCTGAAAACACATTCACTTTGAAATTTATTTTCTATTTGAAAGTTGTTTATCAGTGTCTCAAAGTAGTGCTCCCACTCTTTATGTTGAAAGAAACCTACCATCGAGTTGTTTGAGGAAGTGGGAGAATACTGTGCTATTTAAGAGTCTAGGCTGAAGAGAGGCTGCCATTTACTCTTTGCTTGGAGACATCTCACTTTGGGCTGTGATGAGACTGCCCACCTTCCTAAGAGCTGCAGGGCAGGCCCTTGGAGGTGAGGCACATCCCATGGTCTAAATGTACATCATGTTCTCCTCTTCTCAAGCAGATCACAGAAGAACACCACAGAAAGAATCGTGGAGACACAGAAGGCAATCTGCTGGGCCAGGATTTTACATGTCTTTGTTCTAACTCAGGGAATTTTTCTATAGTTGAAATATAGTTAAAGCCCCTGATCCCCACCTGAAAATGAAAGCTCTTCTAAACAGCAGAGATTAATATAGGAATTTTGCATTTGTGTGGTTGATTTGGATTGTATCAAAATCAACATCATAGAATTGACAAGCTGCATGTTTTAACCCATTAAAAACAGATTTAGGGAAGAACTTGTACCATATGATACACTGATATGCACCCTGTTTGTAGAATGGATAGAGCCAGATGGAGGATGTACATTCACCACTATATTTAGTGCAATGCAAGATCTCATTGGTTGGGACCTCTTAAGTATGGGGAACATATCTGTTTACATTAGTTTTCTAGAACATACCTGACAACCAGAAAGTAAACAAAAATGTAAGGAGCCAAAAAGTTGTGAAATTTATGCCCTAAAGCTCATGTGTGTTAGTCCTCAGCAAACTGCCTGAGTCTCCACCACAGGGGGACTGATTCTCACTCTACACCCAGTGGTGTAAAGCTTAGCTCTTATTGTGCTCTGGCCCATTGCACATCCAGAGCTGTTCATTAATAGAGACTCTCCAGAGGCATAGTTCTCAGTGTTGCCTGTATATTAGAATGATTTTGGGAGCTCTTCCATATCCCAGTGCCTTGGCCATCACCCTAGGCCAGTGCTTATCAACCAGGGGACAATTTTGCCATCCCCCTTCCCCCCACCACCACAGGGAACACTTGGCAATGTCTGAGATATTTTTAGTTATTACAGCTGGGGGTGGGTGTGCTACTCGCATCTAGGGGTAGAGGCTTGGGATGCTGCTAAACATTTTGCAATGTACAGGACAGACAACCCCAACAAATAATCATCCCCCCACCCAAATATCACTGGTGCTGAGGTTAAAAAACTGTGTCCTAGACCAACAAAATTAGAATCTTTGGAGTTGGGACATAAGCATTAGTAGTCTTTAAGGGTCCCAGGGGATTCCCAAGGACAGCCAAGGTTGTGAATAGTTGCTGTGGAGCAGCAGCTCCCAAGACTTAGCAGCTGCAGAATCACCTGGAGGGCTCATTGAAACACAGATGGCTGGGCCCCATCCCCAGAGTTCCTGATTCAGTAGGTCTGGGGCAGGGCCTGAGAATTTGCATTTCTAGCAAGTTCTCAGGTGATGCTGATGCTGCTGGCTCACCAACCATACTTTGAGGATCACTGCTCTAGAGGTGCCATGGTCAGCAAAAATGACAGCTGACAGTCAAATGGAACAGGAGGAGCAGAAAAAGGTATAAAATATAGTCACAAGAAATAAAAAATCTTGGGCTGGGTGCAGTGGCTCACACCTGTAATCCCTGCACTTTGGGAGGGTGAGGTGGATTGATCACTTGAGGCCAGGAGTTCGAGACCAGCCTGGCCAACGTGGTGAAACCCTGTCTCTACTAAAAAGACAAGAATTAGCCAGGTGTGGTGGCACGCGCCTATAATCCCAGCTACTTGGGAGGCTGAGGCAGGAGAATCACTTGAACCTGGGAGGCAAAGTTTGCAGTGAGCCGAGATCATGCCATTGTATTCCAGCCTGGGCAACGAGAGTGAAACTCCGTCTCAAAAAAACAAAAAAGAAAAAGAAAAAGAAAAAATCGTGTTGGGGCCATGTAGCCTGCATCCCCTTACACTCTCACCCAAAGACAATAGTCCCTAAAGACATCAGCACATAAAGTCACAGTACAATAACAGATGTTCTACTGCCCCAGGCCTCACCAGCTTAGCACTACAAAATAAGGCTGTTCTCCCCTATATTCAGGATGGGTTGTGAACCTATAAGATTTAGGTTCAAGTACGAGATTGACCTGTTGCTAACTGTGTGACCTTGGGTAAGCCAGTTCCCCGTTGTAAGTCTGTGTTTCTGTATTTGTTAAATGGGGGTAGTTCTCATACCTGCCACAAGGATATGATGCTCATTTGGGGTGCTCAAATGGGTTAATGCATATGAAAGAATTCTGCAAACTGAACATATAACACACAAACGTTATTTTGAATTGCTATAATTTGTAATCGTAAACTGAAACGTACCATTTATGCACAACCATGAAAATATAAACGAACTTATGCCTCTTTATCCATTCCAGATGTTAATATCCCCTGCTACTTAATCCTATTACTTGTACATTATTTTTGTTGTTGTCATGGCATCTTAAAATGGTACAAATAAAACTAGTGGCATATTTTTCTTTGTGCTGATTTTCCTCTCACCCCATCCTGTGAGGCCGAAGGGTTCTTCTCCTCTCCTTCATCTCCTGTTTGTCCTAGACAGGAATGAGGGATTTACAAATACAGTCTGTAATAGCTGCAAACCTCAAAGCAAGGAAAACCTTCTCTTCCCTTCAATATGAATTATTATAGGGTCGCTTAGAATTGGACATGACTGACCAGGTATCAGGCTTTAAAAACTGAGGTTCTGAGGTTTTTCTTTCTTTCTGGGGAAGGGACTGGGATGTAAAAGTTGGTACATAGTTGACTCAGTAGCAAACAAAAACATCTTCCAACAGCACAGACTGAGATGATTATAAAGATTGTGATGCCCAGGACAGGCCATTTATGAGAACGTGCTCTCTGGCCACTGCAGATACTACGAAATAAGTCACTGTGTGTGACCAAGAATAGATTTTGTTCTTCTGTTATGCATTAATTGCTTCAGGATTGAGACAGAGCATTCATACAAATGTCATAAAAGCTATGGCCTCTCCCTATCCCCTATCCATACACTTTTTCCTTTGAACAGGCTTTTCTTGCCTCCTGACCAGTCCAAGAATTCAGGATGTATGACAAATGCAGAGTAGAGCAGAAATTCCATAAATGGTTTTGACTCTGGCCTTAGGTGCCCTCCCTGAGCTGGGGGGATGGAGAAGCCCTCCTTGTAATCAAGGCAGCTGGCTTGGCATAGTAGCTCAGAGCGTGGGCCCTGAAGCTGGATTCCTTGGGGGCAGACTGACCCCAAGCTCTGCTGTCTTCCTGATCTTTTGACATTGGCATGCTCGTTAACCTTTGTGCCTGTTAGTTTTCTCTTCTATAAAATGAAGATCGTTCTGGTAGCTACCACAGAGGATTACTGTGGGCCAGCGAAGAGAGAATCCAGAGGAAGGGCTTGGCAGAAGTCAGAATATGGAAGTGTGAGCCATAACTATTGATGGTTCATGGTTATGGTCACCCATGGTCCAGGTCACCAGGTGCAGGGTGGTGGCAGGCCACACAAGAACAAAAGACCCCACCAGAAGATAAGCAGAAATAACAGCTTCTCAAGAAGCTCTAAGCAATCTTCCCTGGGAGCTCCACAGAAGAAGAGGGTGGTGTGACCTAACAGTAAAGAGAACAGGCTCGGGTGACTTTGTCCCCTGGCGTGACTTAGACATGTTAACTGTTCCTCATGGAAAACTGCAGATAAAGAGAGTGCCCATGCATATGGTTGATGTATTAAATGGGTTCATACATGAAAAGCACTTACAGCAGGGCCTGATCTATAGCAAATCATAAATGTTAGTTCCCGTAGGAGATGGATTCTGAGGAACTGCTTCTTGCTAAACTGCATTTAGATGGAAAGAGATGGAATTGTTGCTACTCACTAACCACATCTTTCACTACTGAATATTCGGTGTTTCAGTCTCTGTTGAGGTCTTCACTTTTTAGAATCTGAAATACATAGATGTTAATAACAACAAGGTGGATGAGAGGAAACAAGGAGAAAGAGAACTTTTTAAAGCCAGAGTTCCAGAGCCATGAAGATTTTTTCCTTTGAGGATAGATTATTCACCCAAGATATGGGCTTATCACCCCTGAGAATCTCAGTCACCTGAAGCCTGGGAATCAAGAGGAATATCTCTTTTTAATAACTCTCTTTGCTGTAAGAGTACCAATCCAAAAGTGAGGGACTTGAGGCTTTTACTTATTTTGTAAGCATATGACCAAAGGATCATTGGATAGAGAAGAATGGAACTTTAGAGAAGAAAAATTAGAGAGCCTCAATATTGAAATTGCAAGGTTTGTGCTGATTGTGTGTGTCAATACTTTAAGGTTTAATTCATAATGGAGAGGAGATTCATGCTAGAAAGAAAGACCCTGGTTTTCATGGAATGGAGAAAAGATTTTCCATGTGTTGTGAGTGGAGCCCTACATCTTGTCATAAAAACATACAAGCACAGTTTTGGGCCTTATTGTGTGTCTGGGTCAGAGCTCCCATCATAGAAATGGGGTGCTTTGACCCGGACAGACAATAAGTCCCAAAACCTAATGGAAAAGTTTTATAGTTGATTTTAATCATCAGTCTCTATGGTCAGACATGCTAGTGCCTATTTAAAAGAAACAGGCAGGCAAAACCAAAGCAGAACAAAACAAGATAAAACAGAATAGCAGAGATCCCCACATACAGATTTAGGTAGTGGATCCCAAAATCTTATCAGTGATGTAGGTGATGATGAATAGGAAAAAGGGAAAACAAATGGCATATTTGAAAGTATGCAGCTGATTTAATGATCTAATGTATAAGTTCTGAAGAAACTTAAGTTCTTTATTGTAAAATGTGTCATGTGGTCACAATTATCCTGAGTGTAGATGGAAAAAATGAGCCAAAAAAGATATGGTATGCAGCATGAGCAAAATAATACCATATGTGTGTTTCGGGAAAAAAAGAATAAAGTAGAATAAAGTTGATGCTCTCACTGACTTGATAGTAAATAAGATTGAGGTGATTTTGAATATTTAACAACAGAAATTCATTAGAAAATAAAACTTCACAATTACTCATAATTGAGGCATTAAGCAAAATAGAAGACAAAGTCAGGATGGCTGGCTTACTAATCATATTATGAAACTTCAGATAAGAATGGCATACATTTTAATAATTCACTATAAAGTTTTAGAAGCCAGGCTGTCTTCTAGGGAAATGCAATTTGTGGTGTCGAGAGTATTAAAACCACAAAAGTTCTATTGAATGCAGAGATGGAAGGATGGAACATACTAAAGGAGAAGTTAGAAATGCTGGCTTCCAGTCTAGCTCTGTCAAAAATCTAGAAGATTTAGCTCCCTCCTCTGCCAAACAAGAAATGTTAGGCTAGAACTAGATACTCTCTGAATTCTCTACCAGCTCTGAAATTGTACATTATTTTCATATCAGAACTCTAGTCTGTAACTAGTTTATCTGAAACTATTATTAACTCCATTTATCTCTAAGCTAACCTGCACCCTTCCCTGTACTGTATATGATTAATTTTGCTTTCTCAATTTCTTTTCATTCTTCCCGTGAAAGAGTGCTTCAGTCCCTTTTTTTCTACCTAAAAAGATTAAGGATGTCAGAACTTGGAGAATCCCACATATTGAAGCCTTGAGACTATTTATTTGCCTTGAATATATGAACACTATTTCATTACTCTCAAAGGAAAAGCTAAAATGTATAGTAAATTTGCCCAGTGAGCTGTAAGCATCATATTGTATACATAATTTGAATTACATATAAAATGTAGAAAAAATATCAGTTAAGTGGAGATTTTAAGCTTCCAACCACGGGTCTGTTATAAACAATAATGTAAAATTAAAGCTACTTGAAAAAGTTGTAAAAATTAGTTTGATGTTACTTTATGTCTTATGGTCATTTGGAAATGAGATAACATTAGGTTGTACTAGCCTAGAATGATAGATTTTAACCTAGTTTTACTTCTAGTCTTGAAGTTTGATATATGTTGTATCTCTACTATAAGCATTTTGTTTATTTTTAGTAGAACAAAAAATATACAAATTTGAGGTCTAATACAATCAGCCTACAGTGACACTGGGTTCCTTTCCTAGACACCTGCAAACCCAGAGAGCCTTCTTTTGCCATTTTCTTGAGATTAGGACCAGTGTTCTATTTCCTTTCCATCTCTCTCAAAGGACTAGATACATTGTTCCACATGCAGCAATTGCCTAAGAAATATTGACTGCCAAGAAAACCAGCCATTTAAGTAAATGTTGTAAAGTCAAATCTGATCAACACTGTTCATCTTAGGTTTTAAAAATTATAGCATTTTACACTTGGATGGGAGCTTAGAGACCATCTAGATCAGCGGTCCCCAACCTTTTTGGTACCAGGGACTCGTTTTGTGGAAGACAATTTTTACATGGACCTGGCAGCGGGGGCAGGATGGTTTTGGGATGACTCAAGCATATTACATTTATTGTGCACTTTATTTCTATTATGATTACATTGCAATATATAATAAAATAATTATACAACTCACCATAATGTAAAATCAGTGGGAGCCCTCAGCTTGTTTTCCTGCAACTAGATGGTCCCATCTAGGGTTAATGGGAGACAGTGACAGATCATTAGGCGTTAGATTCTCATAAGGAATGCACAATCTAGATCCCTTGTGTGTGCAGTTCACAAAAGGGTTCATACTCCTTTGAGAATCTGATGCTGCTGCTGATCTGACAGGAGGCAAAGCTCATGAGGTAATGCGAGTGATGGGGAGCAGCTGTAAATACAGAGGAAGCTTCACTGCTTGCCTGCCACTCACCTCCTGCTGTGTGGCTGATTCCTAACAGGCCATGAACTGGTACTAGTCTGCAGCCTGGGGGTTGAGGACCCCTGATCTAGATCACTGGTTCTCTCAGTGTTGTATGCAGACCACTGGGGAACCCTGGGAACCTTCCTTGAGGTCTGCAAAATCAAAATAACACTCAGAGATTACTGCCTTTTTTCACTGGTTGACATTTGCACTGTTAGTACAAAAGCAATGGTAGGTAAACTGCTGGTGCTTTCGCATGAATCACGACCGTGGCACCAAACTACCTAAAGGTCATTGTACTCTTCACCATCACACATTCGCAGGAAGAAAGCTGATGCTGCAAAAGGAATAGAACTTGAACAAAGTCATAGGATCCAAGATCAATATGCAGAAAACAACTGCATTTCTGCATACTAGCCATGAAAAATCTAAAAAAATTAAAGAAAAATTCCATTCAAAACTGTACCAAAAAAGAATAAAATAGTTGAGAATACATATAACAAAAGAAGAATTGATATTATTAAGATGGCAATTCTCCCCAAATTCACCTAAAGGGTCAATGCAATTCCTATCCAAATCCAAGGAAACTAACAAATTCATCTTAAAATTTACATAAAAATATAAGGGATCTAGAATAGCCAAAACAATTCTGACAAAATGCAAAGTAGGAGAACTTATAGTACTTATTTAAAAACTTACTATTAATATAAAGCTCCAGTAATTAAGACAGGATGGTATTGGCATAACAATAGAACACAGGTCACTGGACCAGAAAGAAAGTCCAGATACAAGCTCTTATATTTATTGTCAATTGAGTTTTAATAAAGGTCCAAGGCAATTCAATGAGAATAGTCTTCAAAGAATGGTGTTGAAAAACTGAGTATCCATATGCAAAAAAATAACTTAGATGCCTGCCTCATATCATACACAAAAATTTAGCCAGAAAAGATTACAGAACTGAATGTAAGAGCTAAGCCTCTAAAACTGTTCAAAGAAAACATAGGAGAAATTCTTTGTGATCTTGGGTTAGGCAAAAATTTCACAGATAGGACACTAGGGCATGATCCATAGAAGAAAAATTTGATAAACCGGATTTGATCAAAATAAGAATTTTTGCTCTTCAGGCTGGGCATGGTGGCTCATGCCTGTAATCCCAGAGCTTTGGGAGGCCGAAGTGGGTGGATCACCTGAGGTCAGGGGTTTGAGACCAGCCTGGACAACATGGCGAAACCCCGTTTCTACTAAAAATACAAAAATTAGCCAGGCGTGGTGGTGCATGCCCGTAATCCCAGCTACTCTGGAAGCTGAGGCATGAGAATCGCTTGAACCCGGGAGGTGGAGGTTGCAGTGAGTGGAGATTGCCCCACTGCACTTCAGCCTGGGTGACAGAGCGAGACTCCATTTCAAACAAAAAAATAAATAAATAAAATAAAGAATTTTTGCTCTTCAAAAGACATGAAGAAAATAAAAACAAATCCGCTAACTGGGAAAAATATTTGCAAATCATACATCTGATGAAGGACTTCTGTCTAGAATCTATAAAGAACTCCTATAACTAAAATAAAATAAATACTTAATTAAAAATGTGCAAAGATTTAAGTGAACATTTCACCAAAGCAGATACATAAGTAGGTAAGGACATAGAAAATGCTCAACATCCTTAGCCATTAAGGAAATGCTAGTTAAAACCACCACGGGATACCACTATACACTATTAGAATGGCTGTAATGAAAAAGACTGACAATAATAAGTGTTGGGGTGAGGATGTGGAGAAATTAAAACCTTCATATAAAGCTGGTGGGAATGTGAAATGGCACAATTTTTTTGATGTTGATATAATCTACCAATATTATTTTATTTCCCCAGTTTCACATATACTAATTTGTGTGCATTTAGCTCTATGCAATTGAGTAACATGTGTAGGTTTGTGTATTTATCACCAGTCAAGATACAGAACAGGTTTATCACCGCAAGGATCCCTTTTGATGTCCTCTTCTACCCATATTTCCCTTCTCTCCCCTTCCCATTCCCAACCCCTGGCAACCATTAATCTGTTATCCATCTCTATAACTCTATCATTTCAAGAATGTTATATAAATGGAGTAATATAGTATGCAATCTTTTGAGATTGACTTTTTTTCACTTAGCACGGTTCTCCGGAGATTCACCCAGATGGTTGTGTGTAACAGTGACTTGTTTCCTTTCATGCTGAGTAGTAGTCTCTGGTATGGATGTACCATGGTTGGTTTGACCACTCACATTGAAGAACATCTGAGTTGTCTTCAGGGTTTGGCTATTACAGGTGAAACTACTGTGAGTGTTAATGTACAGGGTTTTTTTTTTTCCCCCCTCAAAATAAGGAACTTTGGCTTTTTATTCCTTTTAAGAATTTCTGTAGTTGACTGTTTTTTTCTTGCTATATTATTCTCTTTGATTCTGTACTACCTCAGCTCCTCAGAGATACAGCAAGGGCAGAGAGTCCTCATTTAAAAACCATTTCCTAATTTTACATGCTAAAAGCTAATATTTAAGAGAAATCCTCTTAATCCTCCAACCCTTATTCCCATTGTGAATAGCCTGGTTTAATACAAGTTAAGTCTATAAATAAATTTGTTCTTTCTCCTCAAAAAACACTGAAGAAACTTTACAACAGTTATAGGTTTAGAAAATTTACCGAGAGAAAGGAAAGTATTGCCACTTAGCCCCCATTAACATACGGTGTTCAAGCCTTCCAGTATCAATGCGTTTTGCTTAGCATCACTGTTGTTTCACTAACATGCTGGCTAGGAGCCATCTTAATCACTCATTTCTTCTCCTTGGTGATGTCTGTACTCTGGTTTCAGCTCCCACGTGTTTTTGTGGATCTCTTTTACATTCTGAAGACCAATTTAAGAGTTCCCTCAGGTATACCACAGGTTGTTTTGTGATGTCCACCAAGTCCTTAAGATGATAATATTGATATTTCTAAAGGCTGAAAATAGCATGTCTGAAACGTGTTGTTTATTAGCTGGAGCTTATTTTCCATCTGTTTTCTCTTTCCTTTCACATTCAGTATTGTATTGATTAGCAACAGGTTCAAAACTGGCTGTTACAACTTTGTCCAGTTGTTGTGATAGCCTTACAGGTTTGGAAGATTCCTCTATTTGCAATCTTTTTAATCTCATGTACTTTTCACTGGCAGTCTGTTGGCATTCAGTTCTTTGTACCACTATTCCTTCCGAAGACAGCTTATCTGATGAGCTCTCAGTAAATATTGTTCATATATGGCCTCCAATATTTTGCAAGACAAATGGATGTTCTTTATGAGCACTGACTGAAGCTGCTTTTCGGCCAATATCATGAATATTTGCAAGATCTTCATTCAAAGTAAATGACACCTCAGTCCTTCCTTGAGTCTTGGCAATCCACAGTTTCCCAACTTCACCTCTTCCAGGGGCTTTAGCTCATTGCTGTGACAAATATTCAGGAACCTGCCAGGATACTGGGAACCCAGGGAAAGAGCAATGTACAGGTTTTTGCATGAACAAAATTTTCACTTCTCTGGGATACATGCTCAAGAGTGCAACTGCTGGGTCTTATGGTAATTGCATATTTAGTTTTATAAGAAACTGCCGGCCGGGCGCGGTCACTCACGCCTGTAATCCTAGCACTTTGGGAGGCCAAGGCGGGCGGATCTCCTGGTCAGGAGATTGAGACCATCCTGGCTGACACGGTGAAACCCCGTCTCTACTAAGAATGCAAAAAATTAGCTGGGCATGGTGGCGGGCACCTGTGGTCCCAGCTACTCGGGAGGCTGAGGCAGGAGAATGACGTGAACCCAGGAGGCGGAGCTTGCAGTGAGCCGAGATGGCGCCACTGCACTCCAGTCTGGGCAACAGACTGAGACTCTGTCTAAAAAAAAAAAAAAAAAAAAACTGCCGGCGGGGCAGGGTGGCTTACGCCTGTAATCACAGCACTATGGGAGGCTGAGGTGGGTGGATCGCCTGAGGCCTGGGGTTCGAGACCAGCCTAACCAACATGGTGAAACCCCGTCTCTACTAAAAATACAAAAATTAGCTGGGCATGGTGTTGCACACCTGCAATCCTAGTTACTCAGGAGGCTGAGGCAGGAGAGACTTGCTTGAACCTGGGAGGCGGAGGTTGCAGTGAGCTTAGATCATGCCATTGCACTCCAGCCTGGGCAACAAGAGCGCAACTCCACCTCCAAAAAAAAAAAAAAAAAAAAAAAAAAAATGAAAAAAGAAACTGCCAAACTCTCTTACAGAGTGGCTCTACATTCCGTTTCCACCAGCAGTTTCTCTTCATCCATGACAGAATTAGATGTTGTCTCTCTCTCTCTCTCTCTTTTTTTTTTTTTTACATTTTAGCCATTCAGATAGGGTGTAGTGATATCTCACTGCGGTTTGACTTGCATTTCCCTAATGGCTAATGATATTGAACATCTTTTCATGTGCCTATCTGTCATCTGCATATACCCTTCAGTAAAATTTCTGTACATGTCTTTTGTCCATTTTCTATTTGGATTATTCATTTTTTTTACCATTGAGTTTTGAGAATTCTCTGTATATTCTAGATATGAATCCTTTTTTTTTTTTTTTTTTTTGAGACAGGGTCCCACTTTGTTGCCCAGGCTGGTATGCAGTGGTGCAATCTCGGCTCACTGCAACCTCTGCCTCCCAGGTTTAAGTGATTCTACAGCCTCAGCCTCCAGAGTAGCTGGGACCACAGGTGCATGCCACCATGCCTGGCTAACTTTTGTATTTTTTTTTGTAGAGATGGAGATTTGCCATGTTGCCCAGGCTGGTCCTTAACTCCTGAGCTCAAAGTAATCTGCCTGCCTTGGCCTCCCAAAGTGCTGGGATTACAGGCGTGAACCACCGCACCCGGCTGTTGTCTTTTCATCCTCTTAACAGGGTCTTTTGCAGAGTAAAAGTTTTTGATTTTGATAAGGTCCAATTTTTTTTCCTTATGGATCATGTTTCATGAGTTTCCCTTAAGATATCCCTGTTGAAGCAGCAGAGAAATTACAAATTTTTAATATATCTTGAGCTTAGGTACATGTCTTTTTAATATTCCACGTGACAAAGGATTGGTGGTGATATTAACGAATGTAGTTTTTTGATATTATGTAATTAAATAAGGCAACATTGAGAAGATCCTTATAATTGGTAAACTAGTAATTCGTAACGGCCAATATCTGATGTTGCAAAACCATGCTTATGTAAACGATCTATGCAAAGTACAAGAGAGACAACATATTTTAATGTAGTAGTGTCTGAAAAGTTCATTAATATGGTTTCACTTTACACATTGCAACTAATCTTTACAGAACTGCCAATGGGAGAGTTTTGATGTCGTATCAAAGAATATTCGCAATTATCTGAAAAGACGATGAAAATCCTCATCCTTTTTTAAACGACATTTTTTTTTGTGAGGCTAGAGTTTTTTCATATGCTTCAACCAAAACAACATAGTACAACAGATTGCAGAAGCTGATATGAGTTTTAGCTGTCTTCTATTAAGCCAGACGTTAAATAAACAGATTTGTAAAAATGTAAAACAATGCCATTTTTTCGCACTAAATAATTTTTTTGTTTTGGAAAATATAATTTTTTTCATAAAAATATATCATTTATGTTAACATTTAATGGGGTTATGTTCATGAAAATTAATAAATATTTTTTATAAAATGATCAGTTTTAACTTGTAACATCATAAATATCCATCAATATAACATACATGAAGAAAAATTTGGTGTCCTCAATGATTTTTCCGAGTATAAAGGGGTGCTGAGAACAAAAATTTGGAGAAACGCTGATCTAGATTAATACTGTGTTTTGACGACGAAACTCTGAAGGTCACATAGCTTGTCAGAAGCATCTTTATAATATTTTTAATATTTAATTTTCTTTGCTGGTATAGCAAAAAATTACAATCTGTATTTCTCTTCCTTTCAAAATTTTGGTAATCACTTTTTTGAAAGAGGTGGTTGCAATTTCTAATCGACTGCAACTTATAATGATTTCTATCTACAATGAACAATATAGTGGCAGGCATCAGTATGGTTCAATACAGAGGCAGCTGAGCATTTGTTTCTACACATGGGAACTAAAGGATCTTTTCCTGCTCTTTCCTGCTTCCTGTTCCCTGTGACTTCTGCTTGTCCTGGGAGCTCTGCCTAGATGCTGGAAGCTCAGTAGATTGAGAGTGTTGTCACTTAGCTCGCTCAGGACAAGACTTGCAACCAAGGTATTCATCCAGTTGAGTAGATTATGTATTACCTACATTAATTTAGAATTGGCTTTCTATTAATTTCTGCTAAAAAGAAGTGTGTGTGTATGATGAATTCAACAAAGTGAAGCCTCATATCTATAAATATTTTGTACAAAATAAATTTTAAAACGTATCTGAAAAAATATAATGGTGTTTTACAATTCTCCCAAATTTTAAAATGACATTTCTCTTTTTTATCCAAACTAAAGCTCTCAAAACAAACTCAAGGCTGAACAAAAGAAAATGTAAAAATATTATTTTATTTACTGGAAAGCCATTGTTTTCTTAAAAAAACTAAACCTACGAATTTAGGTACAAAATTTAAATGTCAATTTCAGGCTGAATTCATACTACATGAAGTTATAAACTAAATAAATGAAAAAAAGCAGTCATATCAGTCCTAAAAATATAAAGTATTTCAGCAATTAGGCTAAATACATATTTTTGAAGAGATACCTCCCATTCTATCATCCTAGATTATTTCCAAAAAAGCTACAGACATGTTATCACATGACATTAACAGTCAGTTGTCACCGTAAAGTTGTCATTCAGAACGTCTGTCTCAGTCCTCAACTACTGCCTGAACAGTGGAAAGGTCTGGAGTAAAGTTTGGATATTGGCTTCTAGGTTTTTCATTCTGATCTGTGTCAAAAAATGGGAGTTGGAAACTGGATGGAACTTAGCTACTTCAATTCATAAATTAGTTTTCAAAACTGTAATATTTGGAAAAAGTACAATTCTTCAGACTCAATGCACAGGCTTATCTTGGTTTCAACCTGAAATATCAAAAAGCTGTTCAAGTTGAAGATGGAAATAATTTGGTTCCATTATGAGTACTTTTTTGATATATAAATGACAGGGAAAAACTGGCACAAATGCTTCACAAATCCTTCTTCTAAATATCAATAATTTAATAATTAGAGTTTATATATTTGACAATTTTCAGGTGTATGAATTCTGAAATAATTTAGTGTATAGAATCCACTGACAATCAGTGATTGCTTCAGAGTAGAAAAAATATCTAATTTTCTATGATACTTTCTTGAATTAGTGTCCTCTTCATTATGGGTAAAAATGTATACTTTTGCAAGAGTAAATGACACATTAAATTATCACTGGGCATTTGATTCAGTGACCCAATACGTTTCCAAAATTAGTTTCCTATTTTTTCACCATTTTTTTATAGGCAATCTTAGCATATAGGAACAAAAAAAGACTTCCTCCCTGACATTTTCTATTTAAGATAATCCAAAGGAAAGAGAAATGCCTAATCTAAAAATATGTTTAGGCAATGGGGAAATAGGAACTCCTACGTTGCTAATGAGAGTGCAAGACAGCACAATTATTATGGAGGACAATTTGGCAATTTATATCAAAGTAATACAGACACTTGACCTATGGCACAGGAATCCTATGTGTGGGAATTTGTCATATAGGTGTACCCACAGATATAAACATGACATGCATATGGTTACAATTGTAGCATAGTCTGCAAAAACAAAAGATTGGAACAATTGATTATATAACCTATGGCACTCTCCCACAATGGGATACTATGAAACTATTTAAAAAATGAGGCAGCTTTTCATATATTGATATTCAGAGATCTCCAGGATGTACTGTCAATTGAAAAAAGCAATGTACAGAACATTGTATAATAAACAGGGGAGAGAACAGAAATATATATTTGGATTTTCTTATATTTGCATGAAGAAACACTGGAAAGATACAGAAGAATCTTTTAAAGGTGATTCGCTATAGAGGGTGGGAGTGGGGAAATTTGGTGATCAGGACTGGTCTAAGAGGAAGACTTCTCAATGTGTACCTTTTTCTACTTTCTTGATTTTTGATCCATTTGAATATATTCCCTATTCAAAACATGAAACATTAGGATTTTCTCTAATTTATACAAAGGCATAAATGTGTGAGACTGTACCTCCTACTAGTGTGGGAACTGCCCCTGCACAGGCATGTTTTTAGTAGAGAAGAGGTAGTCTGAACAGAATATGGCATGTACCAAGAATCACAACCTAAAAAGTAATTGAAGGACAAATATTGAGCCCTCAGGCACTTACTTTTCTCCACTCATTCATTTATCCAAAATTTCTGGCTAAGAAAAATATACTTCATTAGACATCTTCGGTTCTAATACCAGCTTTTTCTTCTGGGCCATTTCCACAAATAAACTAAATGTTTATCACTTCATGAGGGTTCACTGGAGCTACTGCAAACAAGTAAAGAATTTCAAAACCACAAGAGAGATGGGCTTTGGTGTAGATACTGAGAGGCTCTTACACCAGCCTGTTTGGAGGGCCAATCCAAATGAGTGCCTCTGCAAAAATCACGAATAGGTCAATGCTCTGGTTCTTCAAGCTGCTTTCACATAGTTGGAACTACATATTTTGACTCCTCACATTTTGAGAGTCCATGCTCCCTCCCTTTCTTCCTCAAATATATGAAATGTCACCTGGGTGCTGGCAGAATGACATGGTTGAGCCCTAAGGATGGGTCTCCACTACCCAACTCTGCTTTTTTTTTTTTTTTACCTCCATCCCCTGTAGCTCCCCTGTCCTTTCCTCCCAACATTTTTTTTTCCTTCCAAGCTGGAGTGCAGTGGGAGCAATCATGGCTCAGAAGCCTCGACCTGGGCTCAAGTGATTCTCCCACTTCAGCCTTCCAGTAGCTGGGACTGCAGGCATGTGCCACCACACTCAGCCAATTTTTGTATTTTTTGTAGCAATGGGGTTTCATCATGTTACTCTGGCTAGTCTCGAACTTATGGGCTCAAATGAGCCTCTGGCCTTGGCCTCCCAATGTGCTGGGATTACAGGTGTGAATCACCGCACCTGACTGCTAACAGTTTGGAAAAATCTAATGTAAACAGAGAACATCTGTGTCACAAAAAATAACATGTATGCATACACACATACACCTAATGTTAAAAAATGGAACATGAGATATTTCTTATCTTATCCCCCACTTTCCCCTTTGTCTAAGACATGGCCTTTCTGTCCATTATTAAAGAAATAGTCCCTGATTTTTACAGCATAGAGGTAAGAAAATTCATCTGTTTTTAGTTATGATCTTGTAATTCAATTGGTCCTTCCAAAGAAATATAAAGTGTTGTGATTTTCTGACTGAGTAACTTCAAGTATGTAAAGCTTTATCTTTAAGACTTTTAGAGGCTAGGTGTGGTGGCTCACACTCGTAATCCCAGCACTTTGGGAGGCTGAGGCGGGCAGACCACCTGAGATCAGGAGTTCGAGATCAGCCTGGCCAACACGGTGAAACCCCATCTCTACTAAAAATACAAAGATTAGCTGGGTGTGGTGGTGGGCACCTGTAATCCCTGCTACTCAGGAGGCTGAGGTAGGAGAATCGCTTGAACTCGGGAGGCGGAGTTTGCAGCAAGCCAAGATTGCATTACTGCACTCCAGCCTGGATGACAGAGTGAGACTCCGTCTCAAAAAAAAAAAAAAAAAAAAAAAAAGACTTTTAGAGAGTAACTATATTTTCATATGAAATTTCTCTAAAATAAATGAAAAATCTTCATCATCTCCTTTTCCTTTTTCTTTTTCTTAACTGAAACATAAATGGCTACCCAAAAATCTAGCCACCTGGCTTAGTGCTGCTTTTAATTACCCAAAGGACGATGTATTGAATATTTCTAAGTGTGTGACAAAGAGTTTAAAAATTGTTTAATTTTGATTAGAAAACATGTGAATTGTGGTTGCCAAGACCTCTCATGAGACCAAAGTTCTGATGTTTACTAACATAAATCGAGACAACGAAGAGACAATAGATCTTGGTTGTTGTAACTGATTTGGCTGTCAGCTTAGGAATAAGCCTACTTTATGTCATTATGCCTAGTGGGATACCATGAAATGGTCCCTTCATTATTTATTTTTTTCAAATACAAAATAATGACTTCAGGCTGGGCATGGTGGCTCACACCTACAATCCCAGCACTTTGTGAAGCAGAGGAAGGAGGATCACTTGAGTCCAAAAATTTGAGACCAGCCTGGGCAACATAATGAGACCCCATCTTTACAAAAATTCAAAAAATTAGATGGGCATGGTGGCATGTGCCTGTAGTCCCAGCCACTTGGGAGGCTTAGGTGGGAGGATTGCTTGGGCTCAGGAGCTTAAGGCAGCAGGGAGCTGTGGTTATGCCGCTGAACTCCAGACTGGGTGGTAGAGTGAGGCCCTTTCTCGAAAAAAGAAGAAAAAGAAAAAGAATGACTTGGGAGGTCAAGTGATTTATTCAAGATCAGTGACAAACCATTTTAAAAAATAAAACATATTTTGATTTCTTGAGATTATGCCCATTTACTTCTTGGGGTTAAGGCATTAGGCACTTAAAAATATCAAAGGTTATGAAGTGTCTGGTCGCAGTGGCTCATGCCTGTAATCCCAGTATTTTGGAAGGTTGAGGTAAGAGAATTGCTTGAGTTTAAGAGTTCAAGATAAGCCTGGGAAACAGTGAAACCCCATCTCTATTAAAAAGAGAAAAAGGTTATGAAGCCTTATTCACATTTCTGAAGTTCAGATCTTGGGCTTTGACTGCCTGTGGGTCCAAATGGAGGTAGATGAGAGCCAGGGATGAGAGGAAGGGGCAGGGCAGTTGGTGAGATGCCACCAGGCTTGACAAACTTTTTCCATAAATGGCCAGATAGTAAATATTTTAGGCTTTCTGGGCCATATGGTGTCTGTTGAAACTACTCAAAAGCTGCCATAGAAAATACGTAAGCAATAGGTATGGCTGTGTTCCAATAAAACTTCATTTACAAAAACAGGTGGTGGGCCAGATTTGGCTCACTAGCTGTAGTTTGCTGGGCCCTGGGTGAGCGAATCAAGCAGGAGCAAGCAGCAGTGCTTGAAAGTGGGCTCTGGACGGTCACCTTAGTGCATACCACTCCCTCTGGGTTGACTTCCTTTATGATGGTACAGGAGCTGGAGATGATTCTGAAGTCACTCCATACAATTAATGAAAATATTACCGTGAAGCTATTTCCCCAGAACAAAAAGCAGGAAAAGTGTCAATGACTCACATTTAAACTCTTATTCATGAGATTGCAAAAATGCAGTGCTCAGACATTTCACAGAGTTCTGAATGACTTCCTGGGAGTGTTTACATTGTAAGATGATTCCATTTCATATGTGGTCAGTGGGTTTTCATAAATAAAATTTCTTTTTGGGATGTTGCAAATGCAAATTTTGCTGATGATATTAAGATAAATTTTTCTTTTAGCTCTGTCTTCATGTGTTCCAATTTGGTAAATTTCTATGACAACCATCCCTACCCTGGCAATCTTGTATTAAGATGCCAATCTTTCTACTTTCAATGAACATTTTTAGAGGTATTTCACATTAAAAATAGTATCTTTGTGTTCTTTGGTCTCAAAAAGTCCGAGAGAGGCTGGGCGCGGTGGCTCAGGCCTGTAATCCCAGCACTTTGGAGGCCGAGGTGGGCGGATCACGAGGTCAGGAGATGCAGACCGTCCTGGCTAACACGGTGAAACCTCGTCTCTACTAAAAATACAAATAAATTAGCCAGGCTTGGTGGCGGGCACCTGTAGTCCCAGCTACTCGGGAGGCTGAGGCAGGAGAATGGTGTGAACCTGGGAGGCGGAGCTTGTAGTGAGCCAAGATCGCGCCACTGCACTCCAGCCTGGGCGACAGAGCGAGACTCCATCTCAAAAAAAAAAAGTCCAAGAAAATACTTGAGTATAAAACTCCGCTGGTATCCAGGCTAACTTTATTGGCTATTTGCTTGTATCCTCAAATAGAACGTCAGCAACTTGAAGGCACGGCTAGCCTAGATTCCTCTGTGTTTTCTACAGGTACTTAGTCAATGTGTGAGTTGATCTGGGAATTATCCATTATGAAGGCAGATAACAGATTTTCTTGAAAGGCAAATAATTATCATGGACCAAATTCATACACAGGCCACACAAGACTTAAAGCTTTTAGAATTAGAAAAGAATTCTGGGCCAGGCATGGTGGCTCATGCCTGTAATCCCAGCAATTTGGGAGGCTGAGATGAGAGGATTACTTGAAGCCAGGAGTTTGAAACCAGCCTGGGCAATAAAGCAAGACCCCATCTCTAAACAAAAAAAAAAAAAAAAAAAAAAAAAAGAAGAATTCTATTGCCTAGTTCTTAATTCTGTACCTTAACCTAGTGTAATTCTCCAACATTACTGAATAGTAAAATATAAAAGGTTATGATCAAGAAAAATTAAATAAGAAGTATATATTTAGATATACTTAGTATGCAGCTATCTATGTTGATACATAAATATGACAGATATCATTATGTACACAGCTATAGGTTTTTATATCTATATACTTACATATTCAACATATATATGCACCAAAAAGATGCATAGGAGAATGTCCACAGCTGCACTATTCAAAATAGCCCAAAACTAGAAACTACTTAATAATGCCCATCTTTAGTAGAATTGAGAAAGTGCGATATTCACACAGTGAAGTGCTATACAATAATGAGAATGACTGAACTACAACTGAATGCAACAATATGGATGACTCTCACAAACATAATGTTGAGTAAGACAAGCCAGACACAAAACAATACCTACAGGCATCATAGGATTCCATATGCTAGAAACACAAAAACAGGCAAGCAAATTCATGCTGTTAGAAGTCAGGAAAGTGAGTGGCTTAGGGGTTAGGATAGTGACTAGGAGACTTCAGGGTGCTGATAATGCTCTCTTTGTTGATCCTGGTTACACATGTGTTCATTTTGTGAAAATTAACAGAGCCAATGCTTAGGCACATTATTCTATGTGTATGCTACATTTCAATAACATATTTAAAAGTTTAAAAAGTATTATGACTGTTAAATGATATAACATAACCCTAATTTTCATAGATTTCACTTCTTTAAGCAAGTAAAATTTGTGGAAACAATGAAAATATGCAGAGAAATACCCATACTTATGACATCAATGACACCATTTTAAAAGAGAAACTTTGCTGTATTCTAGATATTTCTATTTGGTGAAAACTGAAATTTAAATCTTCTTTCAAACTAAAAGTTCACAGTAGTTAGAGATTTTTTTTTGTACAGACATTCTGCAGAATTACTTTTGTGGCATAAAACTTACGTGGGATGCAGTGTAATGTGTTATTCAATATTTTGTTAAGAAACGTGTATCCATTACCTTTCATATTTTGATAAGCAATATTTTGGACATTGAAAAAATGTTCAATAATGTTTCCTTTATTTGTTGCTTTTAAAATTAGGAATTAATAATGAAGTTCCTTATGCATTAGATTTAATGGAAAGGTTTCACAAAAGGTACGTTTTATATGCAAATCTTTAAAAATTGAGGATTGCTGGCATCTTTTTAATGATCAGTTTAGACATATCCACAAATGTCATCTGTTATGCTTCCACATCCTCCTTTTAACTCCTGTGCATCTGGTAAACCCCCAAGGAGAAAAGTCTAGAAAAGCAACCTCTAGCTTTATCAGTCAAGCCTGATGTTTCTAACCCAGCTGAAACTATGGGCTAGCCATAGACATTCATTCTTCTGTATCCTGTCCACAGACAAATTGCCTAGCCTTTCAAGTGATAACTAGATGAGCCATTCGTTTGGCAAAATGCATTTCTCTGAGCAGAGGTGTCGAGGCAATCAGTCCATCAAATAACTCAATCTTTCCTCTCAGTTTATTTATTTTTTATTTTCTGGCTCTCCTTCTGTCAGTTGACCTCACTGACATGACAATGAACATAGGCTACACAAATCCTGTTCACCAGATGTCCCAAGGCCATCTGCAAGACTTACAACATAGATGCTATTTTGGAGTGCAATCTATTGTACATTTTCTTTACAATGTGTTACTTCTGTCTTAAAGAAGGAACTAATGAAGCTGTTAGATTTAGTGGAGAAGATAAAGGAAATGATTTTCTTCTTTGAACAGTCTTTGAAAATCTATTTGTGTTAGGGATGACATTTTGGTAATGATAAGGTTTGTCTTACGAGGTGTGTGGAAGAACAGTACGGCAGGCTGGCTAACAGCACAGCCTCTGGGATCAGGCTGGATCCAAATCCTGGACCTGCCATTTCTAGCTGTGTGACTTTGAGGAAGTTACTTAACAGTCTGGGACTCACTTTTTTCATATTATCATTCAGGCAACAGTAGCATGTCATAGATTTGTTGGGAGGGTCATACGACTTAGCTTGGCATAGAGTAAACGCTACACTTTAGGTAATATTCTCATGTTATATATTAGTATATATAACATATTTTAAGATTGCATATTTTCCCTTCATTGATTTAGGAAATACTTTTCAACATAGCAGCCAACGCCTAGGCTCAAGCTATCCTCCCACCTCTGCCTCCCTAGGTGTTGGGATTACAAGCATGAGCCACTGTGCCTGGCCAGAATGTTCCTGTTAAAATGTAAACAAGTTCATGTCACTCATCTGGACATAACTTTCCAAAAACTTCCCATCTCATTCAGAGAAAAAAGCCAAAGACTTTTAAAGGTGTATAGGTTTTCCTTGTTTACCCAGGACAGTCCTGGTTTATGCCTATTGTCCTGACATAATAGTGTCTCCCTTCACTCTCAAAATTGTCCTGTTTGGACAATAGATGATATAGTCACCATGCTATCAGGCCCTATGTGCTCTACCTCTCCCCTACTCTTGCTCCACCCTCATATCCTTGTGATCTCATTTGCCACGACTCTCTCTCTCCCACTCAACCACGATGGCCTCCTTGCTCTTCCTTTAACCCTCCAGGCACATTCCTGCCACAGGGCCTTTGCACTTGATGTTTCCTCTAATGGAATGCTCTTACCTTACATAGTGGCATTGTTTGCTCCTTCATCCCTTCTTTTACTCAACTGTCACCTTGTATTGAGGTCACCCACTCAATATCTCTCTTCTTTCCACTCTCTTTTCCCATTGTACTTATCTACTTAGCACTTATCTTACATACTATGTATTTACTTACTTATTTCCCTTTTTGTCTTGCTCTTCTACCAGAATCCACAAGGGCAAGGATATCTATCTGTTTTGTTTGCTGCTATTTACCCAATGTCTTTATTGAATAAATGAAGAGCAGCTAGAGAATAAATACCTTATATTACTGAGTAAACAAGTGGTGAATGAGTTGCCATCTTTATTGCCTTCTAGTATAAATTTGATCTAAAATAACAGGAGTCTCATGTTTAGGGCAAGTATGAGATGCAAGATTTGACTTGCTTCCTCTCTTGGTACTAGTCTCCAAGGAAGTTGTTTTAAAAGTTAGAGTGTCAATAAAACTCTTAGAGGTGTTTAAGTTCTGAGAAGCGACCTCTAAATGTGCACAACCTAAAATAATATTAAGTCTTTCTGAGGGCACATTTGATTTTAGGCTCCTGAGCCCCAGAACATTGAAGGCTTCAAACCTTCCAAATTTATTTATTTAATTTTTTTCCAGGTTGCTCTTCTGCAAAAATGTACCAAATTTAAATAGATGCTTCAGAGCATGCAGTTTTACATAATATTTGATGTTCAAATTGAAACATAAGGCTACCAAAAATTAATGCTGAATGACACATTCAGTTTTATTATTAAATTTAATTTCAACTATTAACTTTTAATCTTAGGACAGTTTTTCCAATAAAAACTAGACCTAGTTAAGAATAAAATTGTAGCTATAGAAAGCAGTAGTTCTAACTCCCAAGAGAATGTGGTAGATCCAGAAGGCAGTTGTAGAATTTCTGGCAGTATATCAAATTTATTTTGATGGAATTTCTTAGAACAGCCTTTATTTAACCACTCCAGTCTCAAAATCAACTTCAGCGACAACACACTTGATTCCTCAGCCCCCTTCATTTTAGTTTGCACACTCTTTATACTAACTGTATATACTTTGTATAATAATCAAGCAACTCATAAGACTACCCTATAGAAATACTTCAGGATAAAATGGCCTGAACTTCTGCTTTTATTGATCAGAATGCTGGAACCAGAGCAACATTTACACACACACACAAGCACACACACGCATACACAATGTATCATGTGAAAATTATTTTCTTAAACCTAAAACTTTCCTGCATCATTATTTTATGTTAAATTTAGAATATAGCAAACTCTTCCTATGAGCTAAATGAACTCTTTGATGGGGGAACATCATCAGCCATGAATCTATTTACATCTCAACACGTTACTAACAAGAACAGGACTGAAACCATCTCTCCCTCCTCAGCCATGGGAACAGTCTTGCAGTGATGGACGGTTTCCATCCCCCATCACTGACGCGGGAATAACTGTGCTGTGAGCCAAATGCCGAGGGTTAGCAGAGTAACCTCACATGAGAATAATTACTTAACATGACCATGAGAGAAGGCAATGAGGTTCCCAGACACAGGAAACGAAAAGTCAGAAGGGGAGGTAGAGCTGGACAGGGTTCTGAAGCCTTTCCAGACAGCAACTTCCTTATAACAAACAGCAAATTGGCTAATAAATTTGTCACTCTGTCATTTTATATGTACATATATTCTTAAGCTAGCTAGTTAGCATAATGTTTTGCAATGTACATATATCATAGTAATGGCAGAAAAATCAACCTACTTCGTATTCTCTCAAGAGCAAAAAAAAAAAAAACTTCTGTGATATGAATGTTTATTTTGATATTCCAAATCACTTATAGGTTAATATTTCAATCAAAACTACAGTTACAACTATGCTTAAAGAATGCACAGAAATAGTTAACACAATGCCTGAACCATGAGACAAGAATTCTTGACCCCTAAAGACAAAAGGAAGGGGAAAATCATCTTGCTGTTATGTGCTGCTCTGCTTCCCACGAGTTTCTCACAGATTTATGGACCCTGAGATATTCTGATTTTCAGAAAAAAAGGTAGAAATTCAATAAACTCAATAAGCAGGTCTGCTTGTAGATCTGGAATTGCATGGGAGAAAAACATTCTAACAGAGGCAACTATAGTACATTTTCTTTTTTCACTCATTTACCTAATATTTTTAAAGCTGGGCACAGGAGATACAGTGATAAATGAGAATGATGGCAGCATGCCTGAAGGAACTTGCAGACAGGCCAAGGAGCTGGCAAATACAATAGAGTATGTTTTAAGTGCCAGTACAGGGTTAATAAAGGGGGTCTTGGGAGCGGCACTAACCCAGTTTGGATCATGGATACTTGCCAAAGAGATGATTAAGCTGAGATCCAAGGAATAAAGTGGAAGAAGCCAGAGAAGGCCTGAGGAAAAAATATTCCAGGTAGAAGGACCATATTCCAGGTAGAAGGACTCAGATAGATAGACCAGGTTAGCTGGAGTATAGAGAGGTAGCGGAAAAGCATGGAAAGAGAGGTGCTCACAGAGGAGGCAGCATCAGAGCTACCCTATGGGAAAACATCTAGCTGGAATACAATGCACCAGTGAGGAATAGAGATCTTGGTCAAGGGACACATTTTCTCTCTTAAAATTTAGAGAATGCAGTTTCTATAGCTAATTTTATGATGATAGCATGATTCTTGGAGTACATGAGAAAAGTGTGTTTTTATTTGCTTGATGATGCGGTAAAAGGGAAATATGCTTATCACATACGGAATTTGGTGGGTAACTTGACTAAGTTGGGGAATAGTATATGCATACCACTGATAATGTCTTCTGCCTTGTCTATAAATGAAGAATCCCTTTGACAAATCATCATCATCATCACCACCACCACCCCCACCTTCATCATCATTTTAATTTGAATATCTCAGATTAATCTGATTTGAAGTTAATTTAAGAGTGAAGGCCCTTATCAAATCAAATCATAACAACAAGCATTACTGAACATCTACTATGCTTGAGGTATCTAATCTGTAAGTTGTGACAATTTATTTTTAAGACACAATTTGCTGTGGTGATTTGATATGTCAAGAAGCAGCTTTTGTAAAGCTGCCCCAGAAGGATGGATCCCAGTTGCACAAGATGTCAAAGGCTGTGTGAACATGGAGATAACTGGCTCTATGTGGATGTCTCTCATTTCCACATTGTTCAGATCCTCTGCCAGAGCAACATATTGAGAGTCTTGACTTTTCATTGCAAAATATTCGTGGTAACTTCATGCAGAAATAAGATGTGTTTATTTTTCATTGTTGTCCTCAATAAGGGGTGGTTGCTTAGGGTAGACAAAATTAGTAATCAACAGAGTTACCGGCTTCTATCACTGTTGTTCTCACAGATCTGCTTTGTGCCACATGCTAAGTGGAGACGTGATTTACGTGGCATATTATCCACGGCATCAACTCCCTGCTATGCACGTCAAAAGCGTCTATGGCAAGCCATTGGACTGTACCTCTTACTTCTTTCCCTTACTCCATCTCTCTCATACATACATCTCCCTGCATTCTTGTTTCTGCTTAAGAGACGAGGTACAGTGATATATGGAAATGTCTGTGTGTGCATAATGGCGGAGCTGTTATCCTGAAGCTACATGGTGCCAAGCCTTGGCTCATGCACAAATATCACTTTTAGGGCTTCCACTCTGTTCAAAATTATAACCCATCTCCCTATGGACAACACTCTATGGCATACATGTAATCTCATGAATCATTAAATAATATAATTATTAAATTCTATACTTATCTATTTTGTCATCTAGTAATCAGGGGTTATTTTCAGTCTCCCAACATGGAGACAATGTTTTAACTATTTTGCCATTCTAACAAATGTAAATATCCTATGTACAGATTAATTTACTTGGCTAAGTTTTTGTTTTTCTTGAAAATTTAGGATATCAGATAATGTAATTTATTGACAAGAATGAATCCACCAGCAGTATGGGTTATAAGCTTGGGTATATGAAAAAATCTGCTAACTCCTTTCCCTTCCTCCTTCCTGCTTTTGTCAATCTTCTACTGCAATTAGTAATATTATCCTTATTTTGAACAACTAAAAATCAGTTATCCTTTGATAATCTTAGAAATAGTTTTTTCTTCAACATTAGCATTTGCAAGGCCATTGTGTTTCAAAACCAAGAAGGCAACTGGCATTCATTGGCTTGCCTTGGTTCCTTCTGCCTTGCATTTTACTTTCTTAGATTGCTGAGTTTCTTTTATCATCAGGTTGTGTGTGTGTGTGTGTGTGTGTGTGTGTGTGTGTGTGTGAGTGTATGTAAGCAAGGGCTATAGGAACTTCTTTTCATCTTTTGGGTTATTTCTGTTAGATGCAACATATATAATTCTAGGCCTAACTCATTTTTCAAACTAGGATCTGTAAATGCTTCAGCAGCAGCAATTCGGTGACTACATTCAGTCTCTCTGAGAATGTTATTTAGGGCAAAGTATGTTCCTTGGGGGTAGTGATAGCATTTTGACAGAGCTGAGCCATGCATTTTGGGAATTAGTAGGAAGGAGGTGAAGTATGGCCAAAGTGTGGAGGGCCTTGATTGCTAAACATGGGGGAAAAGGGGGACAGGTGGGAGCTCCTGGGTGCTTTTTTAGAAGCAGTGGCACTTGACAGATGGAAGCAAAGTCCCGGATATGTTATGGGGAAGAAGCTCTGAAGATAGGGAGATCAATTAAGAAATTAAGAAATTTCTGAAAATTTAGGGGTGGAATGACCCCATCCCACCTTCCATGCCACAGGCCATCCAGAGCCACCAAGCATCAGCTACACAGGTTAATGACATCCGAAACAGCCCAGCTGTTTGATACCTGTTATGTTACTTTTCAGTTGTGTTTTATATTACATTGCTCTATGAAACCGTTTCAGTACAATCTTTTTCAAAGTGAGAGAAAGGGAATAAAACGTTAATAGGAAGAATACTTTATAGTGCCTTCTTCTTCTTCTTGTAACATTATTACAGTCTTATCAGTAATTCTAGCTTGCCTCAGATATTAATACAATCTTTAAATAGTCTACTTCCACTTATGCTGACTCTGATATGACTCAAAGCAATGTTGTCTGTCTGGAGACACCTTAGAACTGAGCATAAAAGCAACTAAGAGTGGATGATGAGAAATTTCATAGTGGGTACAATGTATATTATTTTTGTGATGGATACCCTAAAAGCCTTGACTTCACCACTATGCAATATATACATGTAACAAAACTACACTTGCACCCCATAAATTTATACAAATTAAAAAAGAAAAGCAATTAATATAATTGTTAAACACAAAAATAGGTGTGATTCAAAACTCATCTTTCTTTGAAGAGCATATTAGATACTTTCAACTATTTATTCTTCTTTCAACCTAATCCTTCTAATAGGGAAATAAAGAAGGCTCACACATCCCTTTAACTGAATATTCTCCAATTGTATGCATTATTTTCATAGCTACATAAATGTAATGGTAAAGTGAGATGGACAGCTGCTACCTTGCCCTGCAATACAGAGGTAGTGAACTTGATATGGTTAGAGGAATCTATAGGTTTAATATGTGACAGACTCCCACAGAATTTTACTATGGGAGGCAGCTATGGGGGAAAGGGATGGGGGCCTGTGACTCACATTGCTTGGAAGGATCTCTTGAGTATCCTGCTTAGAAGTCAGAAGAATAGCAACATGTATGATCTCATGACCTAGAGAAGAGGATGACAGAAAGATGTGGCGATTGCTCCTAAATACTGTGAGCCTTTTTAGCACACTCCAGTGCTTTTTTCTCTTTTCCTCTGGAAAAAGATTGAAATAACTAAAGAGTATTTGTTTTTTTAGCCTAAAGGTTTACTTTCTAAAATTAATGATAGTTAAATGACTCATTACGAGTTTTGGAAAAACAGGAATTACACAAATGTACTCCTACCTATGATGTAAAAGTACCAGTCAAACTGTCCACATTATTTAGAACTACAGTAAGGTATACAAAGTATTGGATTCCCAGGAGGGGAGAACAATATGGTCAAATAAGAATATGTTAATTTTTATTCATTGCTAGGTGAATGTAAAGCAAAGTTTTATTTGCATTTTTACCAAATCTGGAGACATTCCAGATGGTCTGACTTAAAACGTTGCCATGGAATAGAAATGATGTTTAGTCTGGTGATTGGCAGTAGCACCGCAAAGAGATAAGCAGGTATCCTTCCCAGCAGTTGTGGATATTGATTGGCTAAGAAGCTGCTTTGCACATGGCAAGTCTACATAGTGTGCTTCAGGGTGAACAGCAGCAGGGAGTTATAAATGCAGAGATGGATAATTATTTTCTTGAGCCATGATGGGTTGGTTCACTAGTTCATAAGTTTGAATAATCAATGTTTGATACTCCACACTCTGATGGCTGAAGAGTCAAAATTTGAATTTTCCAATTTATCATTAAGGAGAAATGTCAGGAGAAAGTCAAGTGGTTGTGTGCACATAGTATATCATAAAGAGAAAACTTTTTAAAAGAAAAGATTAAAGTTATGTAGCATATGCTAAACATTTTAAATCAATTACACATTTTCAATTTTGCATCATAGTTTAGTTCTAAATTCCTATTTTAAGCTCTAATAGAAAACACATGTATTTATGCTATCCTGTGGAAAGAGATGGTAATTTTTTGATTGTTTGTTCTCTAATCTCTTCAATTTTGGAAACAGTGTACTGGTGTAATTTTGGGAAGTTTTTATTTGCAATGTCAAAATTGTAACCATTGTTTTCATCTATATTATCAGACCACTGATTTTTCTGCTAGGGTAATATAATTTAACCACAGCTTAAGTGTACTTATTGGAAACTGAGAGATTACTGTTTTACTTAAAATGTGTTGTATCTTCAATTGACAAAACTTGCCATTTAAAGTAATATTTCAGAATATTACCTCTTAGAATAGTTGCTTTCTATGCATAATACATAGAAGGAAAAAACAAGGCTGAGGAAAATACTCTTCTTGGGTTTAGAATAAACACATTTCATAAAATCTGGCATAGATCAGGCCATTTCATTTGAATTTTAGTATATCTGAATTCTTGCAGCAATTTTTCCCTCCCAACAACTAGACCAAATATGGAATATGTAATTCCTTCGGCTTTAGTTTGTTTTGGGTCTAAGTAGTCTCTGATATAGTTTGGATGTTTGTCCCCTCCAAATCTCATGTTGAAATGTAATCCCCAATGTTGGAGGTAGGAACTGGTGGGAGGTGTCTGGCTCATGGGGGCAGATCTCCCATGAATGGCTTGGTGCTGTCCTTGCATTAGTGAGTGATTCTCGAGACATCTGGTGGTTTGCAAGTGTGGTGCCTTGCCCCCTTCTCTCTTGCTCCTGCTCTTGCCATGTTACGTGCCTGCACCCCTTCTCCCTCTGCCATATTTGGAAGCTTCCTGAGGCCCTCACCAGAAGCAGATGCTGGAGCCATGCATGTACAGCCTACAGAGCTGTGAGCCAATCAAATCTCTTTTCTTTATAAATTACCCAGCCTTTTTTTTTTTTTTTTAATAGCAATGTAGAAATGGCCTAATACAGTCTGTAAGCAAGGTTAGTTATCTTCCTCTCACACTGAGGCACTGACTTTGTTGTGTTTCTTTTTGGTTCCTTACTGCCTAGCTCAGGGGTGGGCACACAGTGGGTGCTCAATAAATGCAGACTGAAGAAATGAAGGAGACCACAGTAAAGCAGGCAAATTTTAAGTGGTATTAGTTAGTAATGCTGCTCAGCAAGGTCAACAGTGGCCTGCTATCATGTGGACCCCATTATCTCTAAGTCACCCATATCACTGAGAAAAGCCAGGATGCCCTTTGGCTTTAATCATTAATCTAGACAGTCAAAATAAAATAAATACAATTCATTTCAAGCTGGACTGTAGATATCTGGCTTCTGAACAGCATCATATTCAACGGTAACTAAACTCAAGGATATGTTTGTTTCAAGTATTTTCTGGGCCTAGTAGCTCTCACTCTGGAAATTGCATTTCATAAAAATCCAGGGATCTTGCCAAGACAGCCTATCCAACCAGCAAGCCCAGGGGTGGCATGAGAATCCAAGTCATGAAACACCATGATTTTGAACCATCATCCCTGAAATACTATTTTGTTACAATTAAGGTAGAAACTAAGTGTAACATAAGACAGATAATAAAATTTGTAAATCTTAAAACTAGTAGTTAGAAGACAGCAGAAATAGCTCTCAGTAAAAACACAGATAAAATTCCAAAGGTCAGAAAAGTCTGCAGCAACTCTCCACGTGGAATCAGAGCATGGGTTTAAATTTGCAAATACATTTGTGGTTACTTCCTACCTTAAATACATTGATAGGGAGATCAATGACCACATAGATAAGGTCTCCAAGGGCAAGACTGGCTATCAGCGCGTTGGGGCCATTCCTCATACATTTGTTCTGGTAAATGATCCTGAGCAGAGTTGCATTCCCCACCATTCCCACGATGAAAATAGTACAAGATATCACAGTGTTAATGTATTTGAAAGCTGAAGTAATTTTAGTCTGCTGTGGGCAATAGTTGTGCATTGAGCCATTGCTGGGTAGGACCAAATTAGTGGGTTGATGAGTGGTAACCAGGAAGCTGAGCTCTGTGCCACGAAAAGTGGTGAAATCATCCACATGATTGCTTAGATTTGTGCTGTATCTCTCAGGATTATCACTGATTACACATCCAACCAGTGCCAGCCAAAAGGATGCCCTGAGGCAAAGGGTTTCCATCTTGAGGCAAATTTGAGGAAATATCTCTTATTGCACTTGTGCTGCTTTTACACCTTCACTTTTTTTTCACCTGAAACAAAAGGAAAAATAATTTTTGTTCCAAAACCCAGTTGCCAAAAAGATCATAGTCAATGATTATTTATTGATTCAATTAAAATGCAGGATATATTTGGTGATTAGATAAGATATATGTATATCAGGTTACCCTATGACAGAGCAAAACCAGAAAAAAACTGAAGCTCTATTAGGGCAAGCTCTATCTCCTCTATGTCAGTCTCCATCTCCATCTCCATCATCTCCATCATCTCTGTCATCTCCGTCTCTGTCTCTGTCTCCATTTCCGTCTCTATAGCTATCTATCTCTGTCTCTATTTCCATCTCTAGCTCTATCTCCATCTCCCTATCTCTCTAGCTTTGTCTCTCTCACTCATCTCTATACATAGCTATACTTATATCTACATCATAATATGGATGAGGCTATGTCAGTTTTTCCTTTAAGTAGTAGTTACTTCTTTCTCTACATTCAGGCTGATAAGAACCTGAATTACAAAAATCTTCAAGAGTTGAGATACAAACATATTTTTTAATGAAAGAGAAAAGGCATTATATGCTGAGTAAAGGGTACAGGGTATTGAGGCATAAAATAAAATTATCGAATGTAAAAATTGAATCTTCTAAAATGTGTGCTGTCTTGCATATGATAAATAATGAACATAGGGATGAAGTGCAGCACAGGTAGCCATCTAAAGTGTTATGAAATGTTAATGAGAACTCTGGTTAACACCATTAACACATCTAACAATTTTAGTTTCAATTAAGAATGAAATAATTGATAAAAACATTTGTTTTGAAAACCTTGATGATTAATGTGTAAAATCTAAATTTTTTACAGGAGTTTTTTTGCTTTTTCATTTCTCAGAAATTATCATCACAATACGGTATTTGCCGATGAATGAAATGGGAGTAATGAACTTTTCCAGGCTAGTCATAGTATTTTGGTTTCCAAGGGACACCTGTCCCCATGCTATCTTTTAACCATCCTATATAGCTACATTTATTTTATGCCAGTCACTGTACTCAGTACTATATGTGCATGATGCCCTGTAATCCATACAATGGTCCTGTGGGGTAGATCCACGGTTCAATTTTGAAGATAGGGAAACAGAGGCCCAGGAGGGTGAAGCAGCTTGTCAAGGCCACAGGTGATGGGTGGCAACACTGCGATTCTAAGGCAGGTCAGTCCAACTCTGAGCCGGAGCTGTTAACCACTAAACCATCCTGTCTCTCATTCTTGTGCTTTATTTGTATGTAAAATATTTTAAAGAAGTCTCCAGAGTTTAGATGAAGCAATAGACTCAGGAGGGTGGTTAGACATTTTCAAAGACCATCTGGTGTGGTTTATTTATTTATTTATTTATTTTTAAGTCACTTGCAGAGAGCAAGTGGTCCTTCCTGTCCAGGAAGTCTAGGAGACCTTAATAAGGAATAATCAAAGATAATTAAAAATAGCTCATCCTATTTCAATATTTTATATATTTCCTTTTCTGTAGGCTTTTATGAATCTTCAAATGAAGACATAATCTGATTTATGCGGTGGTGTGTGTACGTGTCTGTGATGTATATACCCAGGTCATAATTTAATCTTAAAAAAATTGAGTCCTGGTTGGGTGTGGTGGCTCATGTCTATAATCTCAGCACTTTGGGAGGCCAAAGCAGGAGGATCACTTGAGCCCAGGAGTTTGAAACTAGCCTGGGCAACTTAGTGAGACCCTGTCTTTACAAAACATAAAAAAGATTAGACAGGCATGGTGGCGTGTGCCTGTAGTCTCAGCTACTTGGGAGGCTGAGATGGGAGAATCACTTGAGTCCAGGAGGTTAAGGCTGCAGGGAGCTATGATCGAGTCACTGCACTCCATCCTGAGCAGCAGAGTGAGACCCTGTCTCAAAAAAAAAAAAATTAAATAAATAAAAAGTAAAAAATAAAATTGAATCCTTTTTCTGAGTGTATTCAAGGTTGATGTTAACCACTTTTAGGAATTTTGACAATTATCTTGGGAAATCAGTAAAGCTTAGGTTTGGCCAATACGTGGATAAAATAAGATTTATTCAAGTTGCATAGAAAGTATAGGGTATATATAAAGTGCGAGTATTGGATACTTTTGCCTTCCCCAGAGATTTCCCCCTGAACTCTGAAATAATAATAGTATTTACATATAGTAACTTATTATATATGTATCTGTTATCTGCCTTGAGCTTTACGACTCTAGGTAGGCAGGAGCAATATCTCCATTTTACTTATAAGGAAACCAGAGTCTTGAAGAAGTATTTAGGTCAAGGTTTCAAAGCCAAGAAATGGCAGGACACATAATTTTGCTTATAGGACTTGACTCACTCTGATTAAATGGGAAAAATATCAATTTTTCAAGGCTAGAGGCAGGCCATGTATTTGTCAGCTCTGACTAGACTTAATTATAAACAGTTTGCAGTTTTTTCCTGCTTCTTATAATCTGGAGTGAGTATCTGGCCAAAAATTGATAGACCTATGAAATGACACCATTTCCATTCCAAAGGGAACACCAGGACTCCAAGAGAAAAGCTTCTTGTCATCCTCCTTTTTGGATCACAGATACAGGGGGGAGAAGAAATACTTTCATATCTTGTGCTGTTTCGTGACTAACGTCTTCCAGCTTCCCAAATGAAAGGGAACCTTCAATAACAGCTTTCTTAAAAATGAGAGAGAGAAGGCCTTTGCAGAAATGGAATGGCTCTCTGCCGGTTACAGTCGGCTGGGAACTGACCTGTGAACTGACCTGGCTACGGTGGGTACTGCTCTACTCATCAGAGGTCCTGTGGTGCTTTGAACGTTAGCATGCTGGTCTGCTTGGTTAGCTGATTATGCCAGGAGGTAAGGCCAACGCTGTGGGTTCTTAAGGCATGAGAGCCAGCTATCATTAAAACCCCCTTCCTTCCTCCTCCAACAATGACACCACTACAGAAATCATTTCTGATGACTTCTCTATCAGCTCTCCACACATGTTAAGCTGCAAAACTAAGGGATACTTGGCAAAGGCCTGTGGATGTCATATTATCATTGGCTGAAAAGTACAAAACCAAATGAAAGAAGCCCCTCAACTGCAGGTTCTTCCAAGGTGGGTCTGTAGCTCATTTCCAGGAATCTGAGTCAGGCTGTGCTTTGAATCATCACTCATAATCAGTCATAGCGCTAGTGAAGCATCTCAGGTTCAGACCTGAAGGACATGGTCTATAGATTCAGCATTCTTCCTGTTTGGAATCTGAGAGTTTGGGGAGTGCAAAAACTATTATTAAGAAAGAGGACTGAATCCTTACGCTTACACTTTAACCATTTAACATATGAGACTCTCAGGATCAAAGTTCACCTGTAATTGGTAATTTGGAAATTCAGACCTTATCAAAATGGCATGAGTTTAGAGCATTCAATTTACATGAAATGACTGCCAAGGTGTTTCTCAATTAGCTAACACATAGACAACTACAGGTGGAGGAAAAAACAAGTAAAAGTAGGAACTTTTTACAAGTTTTCTGAGGTTTTGCTCTCTGGTTAAGAAATGAGCAACTCTCCTTAGAGACAACGCCTGAGTTTAATATGCCTCCCACCCCCAACTCTATCAGGGGAAAGCCATTAGGATGATGTAAACAGAGGGTGATTATCTAGAAGCAGCCCTTGTTTTCTGCACGTGAGAAGCAACAAGTGTCCTTTAAAGGCGAGCACAGAACAAAACGCCCAGACCTCCACAGGCAGGTTTCCAAAACTAGCTACACAGGGGGTTTCCCCAAACACCTCAGTCCCTCACACCGAGTGCCCTTGGCTACCCTTGGCATACCCAGACCCAGATGTGGGGGAGGAAAAGCAAGCCAGTAAGAAAAGGCTGTGGAGCCAACTTCACAAGAAGGCGCTGGAGCAAGCCACAGAGCTTGGCGTTCCTCAAAGTTCTTGCATGCCTGGGGAAAAGGGGTCACCCAGGGAAAACTATTGGGCTTCCTCTTCCTAAAACTCCGAATCCTAAACCCTAACGTGGAGAGGTGAAGTTCCCCGAACTCTACACGTGTCCGCAGCGCACCCCTCACGGAAGGCGCCCGCCTCCCCGCGCGCCCTGGGGCAAGTGGGTGCCAGCCCCTGCTGCGACGGGTCGCCCAAGCTGCAGGGCGGTCGGGCCAGAACGTTCCCAGCTCTCGTCTTCTCCCGACCGAGGGGCCCAGGCAGCGTCTCCGCCATCCCCGCACCCGCCCCAGTCCCAGTCCCCGATAAGAAAGACTTGCACCGACCGTGGAGCTCGGCGTGCGCAGACAGCTGCCGGGTCCGCGCGGCGCCTGGGCCAGAGGAAGCCGGAGCCGGCGAGGGTGGGTGGCGCGGAGGGTGGCCGGTGTCCCGGGCTCCGGCGCGGCGGCGGCTTCGGCTGCACAGCTTCCCCGGCTTCAGAAAACCTCCTGGGCACTGCTTCTCCCGGGGAGGTCTCGCTGGGACCCCAATCCCCGGCGACGACCGGGTGGGATGGATGAAGCCTCTCCACCGCCTCTCCACAATCGTCAGACCAGCGGGATGACTGTACGCGCGCGCGAGGGCTCGCACGAAAAAGAAAACTCCGGAGGAACACGCCTCCAGTCTGTCCTCCCCGTCTCCTCCCAAAGCTCCAGACCTTCCACTCCACTCTGGGACCGCAAGAGCGTCCTAACCTTCCAGCTATCCTGGGACGCGGCCACTAAAAAGCACAAAGCTGCCGCCCCCTTCCAGGCCCTGAAGGGCAGGAGTCTTTTTTAACTATTTCCTTCCTGAAAGAAAAGGTGGGGGATGTGGAGGAGAGAGGGTAGAGTTTGACAGACAAGACTCAGAATTCCGAAAGGCCTTGCAGAGGAACCCATCCTCTTAGTGCAGGCAGATTTGATCTGTGACGGAACAACTGGACACAGAGCCAGGGCCCACGGGTGGTTTCTTCTCCGTCTTCCCTGCCGCCTTTGCTTGGCTTGCGTGCTCCCTCTTAAGCTTAGAGGCCGTTGAGGAGCCGAAGTGGACAGCAGTTTACTGGATCAGGTGGTTTGCTTCTATCTTGTCCCTTGTAGCCAGCATCCCACGGCTACAGACCTCCAGCCCAGGGCAAAGAAGGAGCCTCAGGAGAGACTATGGAAGGTTCCAGCGCGTGGCTCCGTGAAACCTCAAGAAATTCAAACAATGAAGAAGCCGACCTTACAGAAAGTGGGTCTCAACGTCTTTATCACGGCAGATACTTTATCCTAAATTGGGGGTGGGAGAGGAGATGAGGGACAAAGGCCACTGCCTGTGACATGTGAGTAAAAACTGGGGTCTCCTCAGGGAAGGCCTGCCTTGGAGTCCTTCAGTGCACTGCTAGAGTCAGCACATGGTAGAAGTGTGAGGTTGGAGCACTGGTCATGTTATATCCCATGCTGTTCCGGCTATCTGCTGCAGCTAAACAAATTACTATAAAACGTAGTGGCTTAAAATAACAACACTCATTTACTCTGCTTATCAGTCTGCAGTTTGGGCAGAGCCTGTCTGGGACAGCTCGTTTTTGCTCCATGTAGCAGGGGCTGGAGGATCCACTTCCAAGACAGTTCACTTGCTTGGTGTTGAGTGTTAGTTTTTCTCCACGTGCGTCTCTCCACAAAGACTTGTGGAGACTTGTGGTTTGGGCTTCCTCACAGCATGGTGGCGGGGATCCAAGAGTGAATGTCCCCAGAGACAGAAAGTGGAAGCTGCCAGTTTCTTAAGGGCTGGGCCCAGAAACTGGCACCGTGTCATTTCTGCTTGATTCTATTAGTCAAGCAGTCACAAATCCCAGATTGAAGGTGAGGGTATATAGAGCCCAACCCTTAGTGTGAGGAGTGTCAAAGAATTTAGGGACCATTTTGTAAAACCATCAAAGAGATCTACAGAAAACCACCATTGAAAGAGGCCTTAATAGTCATCTAGTAGGGTTAGACTAGATATTACCCTGTTCACTAATCTTACAGCTTCTCTAGGAGGGAGAATCAGCCAACCAGAATAACTAATAGCTTTTATAAGTGCCATTGTTTATATTAAAAAAAGGTGACCCTTTGGGCATGTGGCTTGGCAAGCTGACAATATTTTCGGGAAAGAAAAACTTACTGCTTCCTCCCAAAAGAGGCAGTTCACATCTTGGCCCGTGAAACATGTGCTGGATTTCAGCCCTTATTCACTCTGTGGCCAGACACACTTGGACAGTGCATCACCTGCATATCTGAATATGTCAATCTGTCCAGTCTTTGCTAGAACACATTCATCATGACCCACCTATTGAGACAGCTGATCTCACTGTGGTGTAGGACTAGTTACTAAAAATTCTTCCTTCACACCTATTAGGATAGCCATTATAGTAAAACAAAAGCAAAAACAGCAAAGAACAAGTGTTGGCAAGAATGTTGAGAAATTGGAACCCTTGTGCATTGCCAGTCTGAATGTAAAATATAGTGTAGCAGTTGTGGAAAACAGCATGGCAGCCCTCCAAAAATTAAACATAAAATTACCCTATGATCCAGCAATTCTACTTTTTGGTACTTACCTAAATAATTGAAAGCAGAGTCTCAAACAGATATTTGTACACCCATATTCATAGCAGCATTATTCAGAAAAGCCAAAAGGTGAAAACTAGCCAAAAGATGGAAACAATCCAAATATCCATCAGTGGAAGAATGGATAAACAAAATGTGGTATATACATGTATGTATATGTATATAAATACATGTACATAACACAGAACATTATTCAGCTTTAAAAAAGAATGATATATGCTACCACATGGATGAACGTTTAAGATATTATGTTAAGTGAAATAAGCCAGACATAAAAGGAAAGATAGATATTTTATTATCCCACTTAGATGAGGTACCTAGAATAGTTAAATTCATAGACACCGAAGGTAGAATAGTGATTACCAGGGGCTTGGAGGTGCCGAGGGGAGAATGGGGACTTACTGTTTCATACGTTTCAGAGATTTAGTTTGGGATGATGAAAAAGTTCCAGTGACGGATGGTGATGAGGGTTGCACAACAATGTGAATGTACTTAATGCCAATGAACTGTACACTTTGAAATGGTTAAAATGGTAAATTTATGTTATGTATCTTTTACCGTAATCAATTCTTCCTGACATCAAAATGAAATCTGCCTCTATACGTTACCTGTTGATCTGCCCTCTAAATTCATAAAATGAGTTTACTGTCTCTTTTAAGATCTTTAAACATAAGTAAGTGTATTTATGTGAATAATCAGCATAGACCTGCCTTTGTAAGAGAATAGGATTGCCTCATTCTAGATGAGAACAACATAAATGTTCTTTAGCTGTTGGAGATTTATATCCTCATTTTCTCAGCTTTACTTGGGGCAAATGACTTCAGGGGACTCGAACCAGTTTTTAGTCAAGTTAACTTTACCTCCAGTTACCTTTCTCCCCATAGATAATACTTTATATACTTGCCCCAACTCTATATTCCATGCTTTTTACTTTCAAAGAACATATAATTAATATATTTGACTAAGCTTTTCAACTTGACTTCCAAAGGTTATTTCTTTCCCCTGGAAAGTGGGTTGGATGCAGATTTGCAGGTTTTCTGGGTTTCGGGGAAACTATCCTGATCACACTTGACTTCTGGTTCAAGTAGCTCACTAAGTGGAGGATTACTGTAATGAACTTATCTTGGCATCATGTTAGTATTGTATTGATTTCATGAACAAAAAGTGCTGAAGATTAAGAAGTACTCAATATAGCACTTAAAAAACCATTTTTTCATGTGTCCTTGGGGCAAATGTTCTTCTGAATTTAAGTTTCTTGATTTAAATTTGTAAATCCATTTCACAGTTGCTAACTCCCAAGATCCTCAAACTTGAAATGCAGTAGTGGTTTTGAGTCTCACAGTATTTGCTAGAGATGTGTTCATGGTTAAGGTCTCTAGGAGCAATGAAACCTGAAGTTTTCAGAGAAGAACCACAAAGACTGGTTGTGAGAGTAAAGGCAGAGAAATTGGGGAAATGTATGTCAGAGACCTGAAACTGTCACTACAGCCTTCTCATTGGTTAGTGCTGTGGCCAAGACTATTGGCAGCAAACACACCTGTCTGGAGATGAAAAGACAAGCCCTATTAGTTGAAGATCCATTTTTAATTAAAACTGACTAGAGGCAATTTGTTTTTGAGGTAAACACAGTCATGTGCCCCATAACATTTTGGTCAATGGCAGACCACACGTGGTCCCATAGGATTATAATACCTAAGTTGCAAGAGATTTGAGAAATATGCTTTTAAAAAAAAAGAAGAAAAAAGACTGTAATACTATATTTTTTTTACCATACCTTTTCTATGTTTAGATATGTTTGGATACACAAGTACCATTGTGTTACAACTGCCTACAATATTTAGTACAGTAACTTGCTGTACAAGTTTGTAGCCTATGAGTAATAGGCTATACCATATAGCTTAGATGTGTAGCAGGCTCTATCATCTAGTTTGTGTAAGTACACTCTATTATGTTCACACAACGATGAAACCACATTTCTCAAAACATATCTCCATCATGAAGACACATGACTGTACTCCAAAATTAGTCTATAGATGAGCTGCTGCTGGAGATTCTAAAGTGCTTATGCATTGCAACAATGTTGCACATGGTGGTTTAGACCAGGTTATCCCATTAAAATATATTTAATATATCAAGTAGCCCAAAGTTTTTTTTAAATTGCTGGTGGCCCCATTGGAGAGCTGAGAAATCAATCAATCTTAGTATTACTAATGATAGGGTAACCAGATAGTAAGTGTCCACTGATCATATATTCCATCCATTTAAAAATGTTTCAGTTGAATATAATCAGGTCTTCAGCTGTAACTTCCAGTTTCCAACAAAGATGGGAATAGATGAACAAGGTAAACAAATACCATGAGGATGCAAATAAACAAATCTGGAAGTTACAACATTTTACAGGGCAATTAACCTGTCTATTCAACAAGCCAAGCAATGAAAAGATGATTATCTTTTTCTAGGTTGAAAGAGATTTAAAGGAACGCAACATCCAGTTGTGCTGTTCTGGATTGGATCCTGGTTTGGCTAAAGCAACTATAAAGCTCATTTTTTTGTGGAGGCAGCTGAGAATACTTGGATTTAGACTAGGTGCTAGATGCTATTAAGGAATTATTAATTGTATTAAATGTGAAAATGTTATTTTGGATATATAGAAGAATGGTCTTATATCTTAGAGATTCTTTTAGGGGGAGATATAACATACTTTTAACTACCAAGGCACAAACAAACAAGGCACATGTGTCTTAATGATGGAGATATGTTTTGAGAAATGTGGTTTCATTGTTAACATGACATGAGTTAAAAAAAAAGTGAAAAGTACAATGAAATACAGTGGTGGACAGGCATAAGACAGATATTCTCATTCCAAAGGGAGACATAGGCAGGACCATAGGGCTATTCAGCTGCAAACGTGCATGGGTTATTCTTTAAGGAAAGGGAAGAATGGCCCCAAAGGTGATTCAGAGATCATCAGGGCTGCCACTCCACCCATGGGCCTGGGATCAAGGCTGTTTCCATCTCACTTTCAAAGGGTGGGATTGCCTCTTGGTTTCAGCAGGCCAGGATGGCACCTTCCAGTGCCTCAGGAGCAGGGTTGCCCCACAGAGCAACAGGGTGACATTTTCATCCCAACATGCCTGAAAGGCAGAGTATGGAACTAAAGAGGATTATTCTCCAGTCTTAAGATCTGGTGGGATTTTCCCTGCTAGGTTTTGAATTTGCTTGGGAGCTATCACTCCTTCCTATCTTCTGATTTCTCCCTTTTGGAATGAGAATGTCTATCCTCTGCCTGTCCACCACTGTATTTTGGAAGTATGTAATTGCGTGGTTTCATAGGCACACACACACAGAGAAATTTTGCTTCAGCACGAATTGTACCTTGAACCTCTCCCATATGTGATTTAGATGATTTTTAAAGACTTTGGACCTTCCACTTTAGAGTTGAAGCTGAAATGAGTTAAAACTTTGGGGCTGCTGGGGTGGAATGAATGCATTTTGCAGGTGAGAAGGACATGAATTGTGAGGGGCCAAAAATAACAAAAATGAATGTTATTTTTGTATCCTCCCAAATTCATATGTTGAAGCCCAAGCCTCCATTGTGATGCTGTTTGGAAATAGAGCCTTTTGAAGGCAATTAGCGTTAGATGAGGTCGTGAAAATGGGGCCGTCATGATGGGATTAGTGCCCTCATAAGAAGATACACCAGAAGGCTTGCTTTCTCTTCCTCTGCTATGTGAGGATCCAGTGAGAAGGCAGCAGAAAGAGACCCCTGAACAGAACCAGTCCTTGCTGGCACCCTGATTGTGGGCTTCCAGATTCCAGAATTGTGAGAAAATAAACTTCTGTTGTTTAAATTGCCTGGTATAAGGTATTTTGTTATGGCAACTGACTAAGACACCAATTTTGCTTCTATTCGTAAATTTATTTCAATGTTTCTGATTGCTTATATGCATGTGGGTTTATTGAATTTCCTTTGAACTTTTAGTGGGAATGTTCCCTATGGCCATATTTCTTCTACAGACAGAATTATTTAGTTAGAAGGCCTTTTCCTCATCTGGATAGTTGCCAAAACATAACAATGCCAGTAGAATGATCCCTTTAAAATAATAATAATAAACACTGTTTTTACATTTACCACATGCAAACATGGTGTTGAGTGCTTTGTATGTGTTATCTCATGTAATTCATACAACAGTACTACAAATTACCGTTTTGACTCCCAGTTTACAGAAAAGAAAACTGAAGCCTAAAAAGGTTAGTTGACTTGCCCAAGGTTATAAACTTAGTGCCATGGTTTGAATGTGTCCCCTACAAAATTCATGTTGAAACCTAATCCCAACTGTGGTGGTATTAAAAGGTGAGGTATTTTGGGAAGTGATTTGGTCACGAGGGCTCTACTTTAATGAATGGATTAGTATTCTTCTAAAAGAGGTCAGAGTCAACTAGCCACAGCCCTTTTTAGCCCCTCCATCCCTTCTGCCATGTGAGGACAGAGCATTCATCTCCTCCAGGAAGATGCAGCAACAAGGCATCATCTTGGACACAGAGAGCAAGCCCTCCCTCTTGGATTTCTCAGCCTCCAGAACTGTGAGAAGTAAATTTCAGTTCTTTATGAATTGCCTAGTCTCATGTATTTTGTTATAGCAGCCAAATGGACTAAAACATTTACTAAGTAGCAGACAGGTGGAAATGATGTTTTTGGGCTGGAATGAACCTTAGCAATCATCTATACCAACTCCCTCATATTATGGAGAGGGACAGAGTGTAAGTGGATTAAGTTTCCCAGTGATGGCAATGGTTGCTTAGTAATTAAGGTTCCTAATATCTGGCAAGTACTCTAATAGTCCACTAACAAAACATCATGGAAAGTTATTGTGTTGTCTCCAGTTGCAGTAAATTTTCCATTGTATCATATTTAATTGACTCCTACCTACATTTGCCATTAGTCTCTTTTCCCATGCCACTTACTGCTGCCTCTTTGCTATCTTTTATTATGCTCCCAGGAAACTTCATCTGTTAATTCCATCTGCATTAGTCCATGTTAACCAAAGAGTGGAAATCTCATTTTCCTTCATTTTGTAGGCATATATTGTAATTCTTGCTCTTTTGAAGCTTCAAAATCTTCCTGCTGTGATGGCAGTAAATCTTTGAGCAGCAAGAAACTTAAAAATCTACAGACAGCTTACATTCTTTTTCTTTGGAAATAAAACATAAAGTAGTATCTGTGGCTAGCAGAAAGGCTTTATTATAAAATTAATTGCTCCATTTCAATTAATAGAAAAGATAAGAGAGGTTTTGTCTAGACATAGAGAAAATGAAATCCAATTAAATACATTAAGAAAATTATGTAGACACAAAAAATAAGTATAAGTGAAGGGAAAGAAAAGTCTCCAGGCAAAAAAATATCCAACTCTTTGATGTGTATTTTGCTGTTATTGATAGTATCTGTGGCTGTTAAATTGATTACAGCATGACCAGAGTGGGGTCATTCATGAGTCTGAGCCCTAGAGAGCCTATTAAACTTGTCTTTGTCATTGTTCTGGAGTTATATTGGCAAATGTTTTTTGGAAAGGACTGGATGTTAAGTATTTTTGGCTTTGAGGGCCATATGGTCTCTGTTGCAATGACCGAACATTGCCTTTGTACTCAAAAGCAGCAATAGAAAATACGCAAACAAATGACCGTGGCTATGTTTCAATAATACTTTATTTATAAAAAACAGATGACTGGCTGAGTTTGATCCATGTACTGTAGTTTGATGACCCCTAATAGTAAGGATCAAATATTAGTGGGCTAGCTTGCAGATAGACAACATCACTAAGAAAAACAAAAAGCCATTTATAATGTTCTTTGTGCTTCCTCTTGGGTGATGGTGGTGGTAGCAGTAGTGAATTCTTGTCTCACCAAAAAAATTTTACAGGTAGTGCATAGATATATTGTCACTTCAAACGATACAGTAGTATATAAAGATATTGTCTCTTAAAAAGCCTAAAAAATACAGAAATATATAAAGTAAAACATAAAAGGGCTTCCCCATCATATTCTTTGATTTTACCCCCCTCTCTTCAGGTTGTAGCTTTTAACCATTTAGCGCTTATTCTTCCAATCCTTCTTCTACTAATTTAGAAATATACATACACACATCTTTATACCTACACACATATACACATATACTTTTTCACTTTTTTGTTTGCTTATTTTACATAAATGGGATAATATTATATCTTATGTAATGCAGTATGTGAATTGCTTTTCTATATAACTATATATCTTAGCAATTTTTTTATTTCACAGATACATAATTCTATTAAACAGTACTTTGTATTATAGATGTACCATAATTTGTTTAATCTATCCCCTGCTCATGGATGTTTAGGTTCTTTACAGTTTTTTCCTTTTATAAACATGGTTTTAATGAACAACTCTGTATATTTCTTACTGTAAAAGAATATACAGTGGTACGTTTGTATATTATGTGTAGGTTATTCCTCTAGGATTGCTAGTTTTGAGTGGCAGTTGCTGTCTTCAAAGAAGGAATGATTGATTCACCTTAGAAAATGGTAAGCTCTAAATACGAGATAACAGCTGACAGGATTCGGAGGTGAGACTGAAGATAAAACTTCTCACCATCATGGTGAGAAGCCCCTGTTCCAAATGAACACTGTCTGTGGCTATAACTTTTAAAGTAATGGAGAATCTGGTCTTCTAATGTAGGAGTCCATTCAGTAAGAAAAAGTTTTTTTTATAAGTGTTTATAGCATATCACAATTAAAAGAGAACTAGAATGAAAATTAGGGAATTCAAATTCTAGTTCACTCCTACTGTTAAGTAGCTGTGTAATCTCTGGCAAGTTCCTTTGACTTTTTGAGTCTCAGTTTCATCACATGTAAGGGGAATTTGTAAGATTAAATGAACTAAAAGCATTTTCATGATTTGTGATTTTACGGTTTATTTCTCATGGCAGTTCTCTTACAATGGTTTTAAGATCAAAGTAAATGTTTTGAATATAAAAATAGGCATTTAGGATATAAAATTGACTTTATATTTAGAAAATAAAATACCATTGCTTATCATTGATCAGGATGTGGTGAAAGAAAAGTTTTAGGATGATTAATTTGGCAGAAGTGTTTTATACACCTGAATAGAAGTTAGAGGTAAGGGTGGAGCCAAGATGGCCGAATAGGAACAGCTGCAGTCTACAGCTCCCAGCATGAGCGACACAGAAGACAGGTGATTTCTGCATTTCCAATTGAGGCACTGGGTTCATCTCACTGGGGAGTGCTGGACAGTGGGTGCAGGACAGTGGGTGCAGCGCACCATGCGTGAGCCGAAGCAGGGCAAGGCATCGCCTCACCCGGGAAGCACAAGGGGTCAGGGAATTCCCTTTCCTAGTCAAAGAAAGAAGTGACCCAATGGAAAATCGGGTCACTCCCACCCTAATACTGTGCTTTGCCAATGGGCTTAACAAACGGCACACCAGGAGATTATATCCCGTGCATGGCTTTGGAGGGTCCTAAGCCCATGGAGCCTCGCTCATTGCAAGCACAGCAGTCTGAGATCAAACTGCAAGGCGGCAGTGAGGCTGGGGGAGGGACGCCCGCCATTGCCGAGGCTTGAGTAGGTAAACAAAGTGGCCAGGAAGCTCGAACTGGGTGGAGCCTACCACAGCTCAAGGAGGCCTGCCTGCCTCTGTAGGCTCCACTTCTGGGGGGAGGGCACAGACAAACAAAAGGCAGCAGTAACCTCTGCAGACTTAAATGTCCCTGTCTGACAGCTTTGAAGAGAGTAGTGGTTCTCACAGCACGCAGCTTGAGATCTGAGAATGGGCAGACTGCCTCCACAAGTGGGTCCCTGACCCCCGAGTAGCCTAACTGGGAGGCACCCCCCAGCAGGGGCGGACTGACACCTCACATGGCTGGGTACCCCTCTGAGACAAAACTTCCAGAGGAATGATCAGGCAGCAGCATTTGCGGTTCACCAATATCCGCTGTTCTGCAGCCACCGCTGCTGATACCCAGGCAAACAGCGTCTGGAGTGGACCTCCAGCAAACTCCAACAGACCTGCAGCTGAGGGTCCTGACTGTTAGAAGGAAAACTAACAAACAGAAAGGACATCCACACCAAAACCCCATCTGTACGTCACCATCATCAAAGACCAAATGTAGATAAAACCACAAAGATGGGGAAAAAACAGAACAGAAAAACCAGAAACTCTAAAAATGAGAGCACCTCTTCTCCTCCAAAGGAATGCAGCTCCTCACAAGCAACGGAACAAAGCTGGATGGAGAATGACTTTGATGAGTTGAGAGAAGAAGGCTTCAGAAGATCAAACTACTCTGAGCTAAAGGAGGAAGTTCGAACCAATGGCAAAGAACTTAAAAACCTTGAAAAAAATTAGACGAATGGCTAACTAGAATAAACAATGCAGAGAAGTCCTTAAAGGACCTGACGGACATGAAAATCATGGCACGAGAACTACGTGAAGAATGCAGAAGCCTCAGTAGCCGATGCGATCAACTGGAAGAAAGGGTATCAGTTGATGGAAGACGAAATGAGTGAAATGAAGCGAGAAGAGAAGTTTAGAGAAAAAAGAATAAAAAAACGAACAAAGCCTCCAAGAAATATGGGACTATGTGAAAAGACCAAATCTACGTCTGATTGGTGTACCTGAAAGTGACAGGGAGAATGGAACCAAGTTGGAAAACACTCTGCAGGATATTATCTAGGAGAACTTCCCCAATCTAGCATGGCAGGACAACATTGAAATTCAGGAAATACAGAGAACACCACAAAGATACTCCTGAGAAGAGCAACTCCAAGACACATAATTGTCAGATTCACCAAAGTTGAAATGAAGGAAAAAATGTTAAGGGCAGCCAGAGAGAAAGGTCAGGTTACCCACAAAGGGAAGCCCATCAGACTAACAGCTGATCTCTCGGCAGAAACTCTACAAGTCAGAAGAGAGTGGGGGCCAATATTCAACATTCTTAAAGAAAAGAATTTTCAACCCAGAATTTCATATCCAGCCAAACTAAGCTTCATAAGTGAAGGAGAAATAAAATCCTTTACAGACAAGCAAATGCCGAGAGATTTTGTCACCACCAGGCCTGCCCTAAAAGAGCACATGAAGGAAGCACTACACATGGAAAGGAACAACCGGTACCAGCCACTGCAAATACATGCCAAATTGTAAAGACCGTCAAGGCTAGGAAGAAACTGCATTAATTAATGAGCAAAATAACCACCTAACATCATAATGACAGGATCAAATTCACACATAACAATATTAACCTTAAATGTAAATGGGCTAAATGCTCCAATTAAAAGACACAGACTGGCAAATTGGATAAAGAGTCAAGACCCATCAGTGTGCTATATTTAGGAAACCCATCTCATGTGCAGAGACACACATAGGCTCAAAATAAAGGGATGGAGGAAGATCTACCAAGCAAATGGAAAACAAAAAAAGGTAGGGGTTGCAATCCTAGTCTCAGATAAAACAGACTGTAAACCAACAAAGATCAAAAGAGACACAGAAGGCCATTACATAATGTTAAAGGGATCAATTCAATAAGAAGAGCTAACTATCCTAAATATATATGCACCCAATACAGGAGCATCCAGATTCATAAAGCAAGTCCTTAGTGACCTAGAAAGAAACTTAGACTCCCACACAATAATAATGGGAGACTTTAACACCCCACTGTCAACATTAGACAGATCAATGAGACAGAAAGTTAACAAGGATATCCAGGAATTCAACTCAGCTCTGCACCAAGCAGACCTAATAGACATCTACAGAACTCTCCACCCCAAATCAACAGAATATACATTCTTTTCAGCACCACACCACACCTATTCCAAAATTGACCGCATAGTTGGAAGTAAAGCACTCCTCAGCAAATGTAAAAGAACAGAAATTATACCAAACTTTCAGACCACAGTGCAATCAAACTAGGACTCAGGATTAAGAAAGTCACTCAAAAGACTGCTCAACTACATGGAAACTGAACAACCTGTTTCTGAATGACTACTGGGTACGTAGCAAAATGAAGGCAGAAATAAAGATGTTCTTTGAAACCAATGAGAACAAAGACACAACATACCAGAATCTCTGGGACACATTCAAAGTAGTGTGTAGAGGGAAATTTATAGCACTAAATGCCCACAAGAGTGAGCAGGAAAGATCTAAAATTGACACCCTAACATCACAATTAAAAGAACTAGAGAAGCAAGAGCAAACACATTCAAAAGCTAGCAGAAGGCAAGAAATAACTAAGATCAGAACAGAACTGAAGGAAATAGAGACACAAAAAACCCTTCAAAAAATCAGTGAATCCAGGAGCTGGTTTTTTGAAAAGATCAACAAAATTGATAGACTGCTAGCAAGACTAATAAAGAAATCTAGAAGAAATGGATAAATTCCTCGACACATACACTCTCCCAAGACTAAACCAGGAAAAAGTTGAATCTCTGAAAAGACCAGTAACAGGCTCTGAAATTGAGGCAATAATTAATAGCTTACCAACCAAAAAAAGTCCAGGACCAGATGGATTCACAGCCGAATTCTACCAGAGGTACAAGGAGGAACTGGTACCATTCCTTCTGAAACTATTCCAATCAATAGAAAAAGAGGGAATCCTCCCTAACTCATTTTATGAGGCCAGCATCATCCTGATACCAAAGCTGGGCAGAGACACAACCAAAAAAGAGAATTTTAGACCAATATCCTTGATGAACATTGATGCAAAAATCCTCAATAAAATACTGGCAAACCGAATCCAGCAGCACATCAAAAAGCTTATCCACCATGATCAAGTGGGCTTCATCCCTGGGATGCAAGGCTGGTTCAACATAAGCAAATCAATAAATGTAATCCAGCATATAAACAGAATGAAAGACAAAAACCACATGATTATCTCAATAGATGCAGAAAAGGCCTTTGACAAAATTCAACAATGCTTCATGCTAAAAATTCTCAATAAATTAGTCATTGATGGGACATATCTCAAAATAATAAGAGCTGTCTATGACAAACCCACAGCCAATATCATACTGAATGGACAAAAACTGGAAGCATTCCCTTTGAAAACTGGCACAAGACAGGGATGCCCTCTCTCACCACTCCTATTCAACATAGTGTTGGAAGTTCTGGCCAGGGCAATCAGGCAGGAGAAGGAAATAAAGGGCATTCAATTAGGAAAAGAGGAAGTCAAATTGTCCCTGTTTGCAGATGACATGATTGTATATCTAGAAAACCCCATCATCTCAGCCCAAAATCTCCTTAAGCTGATAAGCAACTTCAGCAAAGTCTCAGGATACAAAATCAACGTACAAAAATCACAAGCATTCTTATACACCAATAACAGACAAACAGAGAGCCAAATCATGAGTGAACTCTCATTCACAATTGCTTCAAAGAGAATAAAATACCTAGGAATCCAACTTACAAGGGATGTGAAGGACCACTTCAAGGAGAACTACAAATCACTGCTCAATGAAATAAAAGAGGATACAAACAAATGGAAGAACATTCCATGCTCATGGGTAGGAAGAATCAATATCGAGAAAATGGCCATACTTCCCAAGGTAATTTACAGATTCAATGCCATCCCCATCAAGCTACCAATGACTTTCTTCACAGAATTGGAAAAAACTACTTTAAAGTTCATATGGAACCAAAAAAGAGCCCGCATCACCAAGTCGGTCCTAAGCCAAAAGAACAAAGCTGGAGGCATCACGCTACCTGACTTCCAACTATACTACAAGGCTACAGTAACCAAAACAGCATGATACTGGTACCAAAACAGAGATATAGATCAATGGAACAGAACAGAGCCCTCAGAAATAATGCCACATATCTACAACTATCTGATCTTTGACAAACCTGAGAAAAACAAGCAATGGGGAAAGGATTCCCTATTTAATAAATGGTGCTGGGAAAACTGGCTAGCCATATGTAGAAAGCTGAAACTGGATCCCTTCCTTACACCTTATACAAAAATTAATTCAAGACGGATTAAAGACTTACATGTTAGACCTAAAACCATAAAAATCCTGGAAGGAAACCTAGGCAATACCATTCAGGACACAGGCATGGGCAAGGACTTCATGTCTAAAACACCAAAAGCAATGGCAACAGAAGACAAAATTGACAAATGGGATCTAATTAAACTAAAGAGCTTCTGCACAGCAAAAGAAACTACCATCAGAGTGAACAGGCAACTTACAAAATGGGAGAAAATTTTTGCAACCTACTTATCTGACAAAGGGCTAATATCCAGAATCTACAATGAACTCAAACAAATTTCCAAGAAAAAAACAAACAACCCCATCAAAAAGTGTGCGAAGGATATGAACAGACACTTCTCAAAAGAAGATATTTATGCAGCCAAAAAACACATGAAAAATTGCTCACCATCACTGGCCATCAGAGAAATGCAAATCAAAACCACAATGAGATACCATCTCACACCAGTTAGAATGGCAATCATTAAAAAGTCAGGAAACAACAGATGCTGGAGAGGATGTGGAGAAATAGGAACACTTATACACTGTTGGTGGGACTGTAAACTAGTTCCACCATTGTGGAAGTCAGTGTGGCCATTCCTCAGGGATCTAGAACTAGAAATACCATTTGACCCAGCCGTCCCATTACTGGGTATATACCCAAAGGATTATAAATCATGCTGCTATAAAGACACATGCACACATATGTTTATTGTGGCACTATTCACAATAGCAAAGACTTGGAACCAACCCAAATATCCAACAATGATAGACTGGATTAAGAAAATGTGGCACATATACACCATGGAATACTATGCAGCCATAAAAAATGATGAGTTCCTGTCCTTTGTAGGGACATGGATGAAGCTGGAAACCATCATTCTCAGCAAACTATCGCAAGGACAAAAAACCAAACACCGCATGTTCTTACTCATAGGTGGGAATTGAACAATGAGAACACATGGACACAGGAAGGGGAACATTACACACCGGGGACTGTTGTGGGGTGGGGGGAGGGGGGAGGGATAGCATAAGCAGATATACCTAATGTAAATGACGAGTTAATGGGTACAGCACACCAACATGGCACATGTATACATATGTAACAAACCTACACATTGTGCACATGTACCCTAAAATTTAAAGTATAATAATAATAAAAAAATAAAAAAAAGAAGTTAGAGGTAAAAAGATAAGTTGGTGAGTTATTCTAATATGGAGCATAAGGGTGAGGATAATGTGATGATGCATACTGCTTTAGTGGTTGGGGTAAAGTTTAAGGTACAAATCCTAAAGATGTTTATAATGAAGAAGATCAATGTAGCAGCTAGCCTATGCTGTATAACAACCCCCCACACCCCCAGAAATATTGGCTTAAAACAGCAATGGTTTATTAGCTCATGATTTTATGGGTGAATGATTTGGGCTAGGCTCAGCTAGGTGGTTTTTTGCTGGTCTTAGCTGGGCTCATTCATGCAATGAGGTTTCCTTATGTACTTGCAATCAGCTAGCATTTGATGGCTTCACTTATTTCTCTGGCTCTTGGCTAGCGTAGGGGAGTAACGGGGCAATGTATCTTTCATTATTCAGCAGGCTAGCTTGGCTCTTTCCCCTGGTGGCACCAGAGTTCCACATGCAGCAGGAGAGGTCAAGTTCCAGTGTTCACATACCCTTCAAATGTCTGAATGCATCTTATTTGCCATTATTCCATTGGCCAAAGCAAGCAACATGTTGAAGTCCAAAAACAGTATTGGAGGGCACTAAACAAGGACAGAGAGAGAGGCAATTATTGCAGCCATTTTTGCAAACGATCTAATGCAACAAATAATTTTTTTAGGGGGGCAGGTTGAACCTAGGGGATATAGTGAGAAGAGTCAAAAGATGACTCTAAAATTTCCTAGAGGGAGTTCAAAATAGTTCAAAATTCCTTGAGTAGATACTGTGTACCAGGCACTGTGCTAGGTATAGAAATAAAAAAAAAAGAGTAAGACTTGACCCTATTCTAAAGAAGCATAGAGTCTAATGGGGGAAAGACGTGTGAACTGCTTAAAAACAAATTACTAAATGTTAGCATAGAGTTGTCTGCTAGATAGGAGGTGAGAAAATATTTTCTGTAAAGGACTGTCTAGTAAATATTTTTGTCTTTGTATATCATCCAGTCTTTGTCAAAACTACTGTACTGTGCTGTCATAGCACAAAAGGAATCATAGACAATATGTAAAAAAGTGGCTGGGTAAGAAAAATGGACAGCAAAAGAAGTTTGAAAGGAAGCCAGATTTGGAAGGAGTGCAAAAGGGGTTTATGTGGGAAGGAGAGCAATTCAATTTTGAAGCCGTTTGAAAACATTCCAGTGGAGATGGCTGATATCTGATGGCATATGGCACTGTAGGCCTAGGTGAAGACTTCAGGTTTGAAATATGAGAGTGTAGTAATTAGTAACTGCAGCCAGGAGTTGGATGCATTTGATTTAGGGACAGAATCTGAAAAAGAAAAGGTCAAAGAGACCAGGACAAATCTCATAGAAGGCATGCAGTTAGGATAAGCAATGACTAGAAGCTTATCAAAAAGAGATGGAAACGTCAGAGAAAGAGTCAGGGAAGGGTAATGTCTGCAACACTAATAAAGAGGAGAGGCTCAGGAATGAATGGGTGGCCGGGAGAGGGCAAAGGTCACGAAGAGTGAGGACAGGCCATGGAGGGGCGATGAAGGGTATTGTTCTAAGGGTGTCAAGCCTCGCCTTTAGGCAAATTCTTCTTTCTGACACACATTGAAAACAACTTAGTAATTAGAAACAGTGCAAAAAACATGCAGAAACATTGCTTATCAGTGAGAATAACTCTTTCTGCTAAATTTTTTTTTAACTTATTTTATTGTGTAATAAGTGGACAATTTACAGTTGTATAAATTTATGGGATACAAGGTGATATTATCATTTATGAATGCAATGTGAAAGAATTAAATCAAGCTAGTTAGTGTATCTATCACCTCAAGTACTTAACATTTTTATGATGAGAACATTTGAAATGTAGTCTTAGCAATTTTGAAATATAAAATACTCTATTATTAACTATAGTCACCATGCTGTTCAATAGAACTCAAAAAATCTCCATATTCCTCCTCTTTAACTGAGACTTCGTATGCATTGACTGTCATCATTCCATTCCCCCCTAAGGCCCTAGCCTTTGTAACCACCATTCTACTCTCTGCTTCGATTGTTTTAGATTCCACATATAAGTAACAATGTTAGGTAGTTGTCTTTCTGTGCCTGGCTTATTTTACTTAGCATAATGTTCTCATTCCATCCATTTTGTTGCAAATGATAAAATTTCTTTTTTTTTTTTTTTTTGAGACAGAATCTTGCTCTGTCACCCAGGCTGGAGTGCAGTGGCACAATCTCGGCTCATTACAACCTCTGCCTCCCAGATTCAAGTGATTCTCCTGCCTCAGCCTCCCAAGTGGCTGGGATTACAGGTGCCCACCACGATGCCCGGCTAATTTTTGTAATTTTTAGTAGAGATGGGGTTTTACCATGTTGGCCAGGCTGGTCTTGAACTCCTGACCTCAAGTGATCTGCCTGCCTCCGCCTCCCAAAGTGCTGGGATTACAGATGTAAGCCACTGTGCCTGGCTATTTTCTTTGTAAGAGCTGAATAATATTTCTTTATGTTTATATACCACATATTCTTTATTTATGCGTTGATGGACACTGCAGTTTGTTGCATTTCTTGGCTGTTATGAATAGTGCTGCAATAAACATGGGAATGCAGACATCTCTCTGACCAACGGATTTCAAGTCTTTGGGTAAATACTCAGAAGTTGGGATTGCTGGGTCATACGGTAATTCTATTTTTAGTTTTTCTATTTGTGGAAGAAAAATCAACACCATCTATTGTTAGCATGTGCTACATTAGACTTTTTCAAGACTTCTTGGTAACTTCTGGAAAAGAAATTTTCTTAGGAAGCAATTCTAATTATATTTTTATATGGCGGTGAAAAAGAAAGCAGTAAAGTTGTGAGATAAAGCTTGAAGCAGTGCTTTTTTTCTAATTTCTAATTTATATTTTTAAAATTTGAAGATGTTTTTCATTACCTTAGCTGAATTCTGAGTTTAAAAAGCAATAATAGCCGGGCCTGGTGGCTCACGCCTGTAATTCCAGGCATGAGAGACCTTTGAGAGGCCAAGGTGGGAGAATCTCTTGAGCCCAGGAGTTGGAGACTAGCCTGGGAAACATAAGGAGACCCTATCTCTATAAAAAGTTTAAAAAATTAGCTGGGTATGGTGGCATGTACCTGTGGTCCCAGCTACTTGGGAGGGAGGATTGTTTAAGCTTAGGAGTTTGGGGCTGTAGTGAGCCATGATTGCACTACTGCACTCAAGCCTGGGTAACAGAGCAAGACCCTGTCTCAAAAAATAAAAATATTTTTAAAAATTTTAGAAAGGCTATAATTGAGACTTTCAGCTCTTAATGTAATTTTCAGTAATGTAAGTTTAAATAATGTCTAATGAAGAGTGTGTTCTGTAGCAAAGACTTACAATTTTTTTCATCATTGTCAACCAAGGCTTTAAGACTACAGTTCTGAAATAGATGGGTTTTGTGCTGTAGAGAATTTTGAATCAAGATTTCAGAATTGTGTTCTTATTGTACCATCTCCAGCAACTCAGCCATCTTCCATGGATATCCAGTGTTCTTCTCAGGCATTCTTTTTGTCCTTCAGTTGGAAGACTGAGAGGTAGCCTTGCCTAAAGGATGATGGATAGATTAGATGGTATCCCAAGGACCTTTGTCTACAGCTTTCTGACTGAATATATTCGGGAGGGCGTCTGTATTAGTATGCAAGGGCTGCTGTAACAAAATACCAGACTGGGTGGCTTGAACAACAGAAATTGATTGTCTCACAGTTCTGAAGGCTGGAAGTCTGAGACCAAGGTGTCCCCAAGTTTGGTTTCTTCTGAGGCCTTTCTCTGTGCCTTGCAGATGGTTGTCTTCTTCCTGTGTCCTCACATGGTCTTTTCTCTGTGAGCATGCATGTCTATCCTGTGAGTGTCTGCGTCCTAACCTCCTCTTCTTTGAAGGACACCAGTCATATTGGATAGGGCCCACTTATAGCCTCATTTTACCTCAGTTACCTCTTTAAAGGCCCTATTTCCAAATATGGTCACATTCTGAGGTCCTGGGGGTTAGGAATACAATATATAAATTTTGGGGGACATAATTCAGCCCTTAATAACATCTACACTTGCTTTCTATGGCTTGAAATGACATTTTGCAGACATTTTTGTACACACCGCTCTGCTCTGGGCTCCGTAGCTTTGTTCCAACTTGCTGCCTCATGAATTGCCCTTTGGGCTTGAAAGAATTAAAAAATGTTCACAGTTTGCTTTATATGCTTCATAAAGGTATATATTTCTGTGGAAGTACTGTAAAAATTATAGACATCATGACATTCACCCCTAAGTAGTTCATTATATATCTCTAAAATATAACAACATTTTCCTACTTAATTTATTTGTGATTCTATTCAATGTTTATTTCTTCTCAAACTGAATTCAATTTTGATATTTTCTGGAAGCATTTATTTTTTGCTCTTTCTTAATCAAATGTGCATAATATCTTCTAGGTTGGTGTTTTATCAACATTTTATAATTCCTAAAGCATTCTGCAGTTAAATCACATTAGGAAATGCTGATATGGGTGAGTCTTGAGGATGTGGTTATGCGTTACTACTCATCATTTTAGTGATGCTATGTTGATGTTAGTCACTCCAGGTAAGGTTTACTCATGCTACAGTTTGTAATTTCTGTCTGCATGAGACTTAAAAAAATCATGCCTTGAAGATACTAAAAAAGTATCATGTCTTGAAAATACTAAAGTTTTAGATGTTGTTTTAAACCAAATTATTGAAGATACTGAAGTTTTAGACATGGTTTTAAACAAAATTCTAAACTCTTTTATGTGAAGCCCTAACCTGCTTTATTTATTGGAGATGTTCTCTTTTTTTTTTTTTAGTTCTGGTTGTGGTAGTGTTTCTCAAGAATATTTATTTTCTTTATCCTTAATACCTCATAGGAATTAACTTGAAAGTTCATATGAGAGACTCTATTCCCATTCCCTCTTTCTATCTTTATTCAAAGCCAGTTCCAGAATTCATAGAGCCGCTATGATATTAGCTTCTTAGTCCATTTGGGTTGCTCTCACGAAGTACCATAAACTGGGTAACTTGTAAAAACAGAAATTTATTTTTCATAGTTTTAGAGGCTGGGAAGTTCATGATGAAGGCACTGGCAGATTTGGTGTCTGGTGAGGTGTTTGGTTCCTGGTTCACAGATGCTGCCTTCTCTCTGGGTCCTCACATGGCGGAAGGGACAGCCAAGCTCCCTCAGGCCTCTTTTATAAGGGTGCTAATCCCATTCGTGAGCAGTCCACTCTCATGACCTAATCACCTCCCAAAAGGCGCCCCCCACCCTCCGACTCCTAATACCATCACCTTGGGGTGAGAATTTCAACATATGAATTCTGGGGAGACACCAACATTCAGACTGTAATGGCTTGTATCTACACCCCCATTCCAGAACCCTGCAAGGATATTCACTTTCTTCCACCCTGAACTACATTAAACTAAAACTTCTGGTGGTATCATCTCTCCATCAGCATTGCAAATTGAAATTCTACTTGATTGTATTTATTATTTAATATAGGTAAGTCTCACCCTTGAGCCTGCATGCTCTTTGAGTTGAGTCAGAAAAATATATTTGATAGCTTTCATGCAAGTTTCACCCTCTCTTCCCTCCAAGCCTTCACATATTCCACTAGCTCTGACCAGAATACCCTCCCAATTCCTTTTCAGAAACACTCTCATTGTTATATCACAACCTGAGTCACCTCACTAGTGGGCTATCTTCAGATTTGGCTGGTTGAGTCCACTTACACTCATCTCTCTAGGGGTTAGACTATATCCATTCTCTCTCTTCTAGATTACTTAAATGATTGTCAAATTATGTTCTTTTTTATTTTCCTTATTTGGATTTTATAATGGAAACACATATTATAGGTATAATCTTTGGTCCCACAAATTTTAAAAGCCATGTATAGCATGCTGGCCACCTTAGGATAGAATATTCCGCAGTATGAACTGAATTTTTTTATAGTAGTTTGCATCTAGTTCACTTAATTTTTTCAAAATGCAATTATAGCCAACATTTTTAGTTTCATACTATTCCTGTGAGAAAGGTAGAAGAGGTATAGGCATATCCCATTTCCTTACCAGTTTCTCTGAAAAGTGCATCATAAAGTGAAACATTGTAAGGAGATCCTACTTTCCTGAAGGGTCAATGTTAATTTGAGAGCTATGTACTTTAGGAAAAGCTCCCACTTACCTTAGAGCTATTCTAAAACAACATAGTGGGTGCCCAATGACAAACCTGGCAAAATGCTTTCACATATTTCTTCTCATTGACAGTGTTCTTTAAAATAAAGGACCAACCCAAAGAGTGTTACCTTTATCCTCTCCAGCATCCTCAATTCATTCAAAGGTACAAAAGTAGTTGCCTAATAGCAGATAGATGGAAGATTCCTGTCCTTCAAAGATATTGGACCTCCAGACACTTTGTTGACAGATATCAGATACCAGAATTCCTCACACTCAATGATAACCTGTAAGTTGCATTACTAGGGTATAAGACCAGAGTTTTAAAATGAAACATTATTATAATAGTGCTACAATTGGAATAAGGTACTATCTTAATTTAAGAATATAGACAGTTTTTGCTTGTTTGTTGACAATGAATTGTCCCCTGAGTGCCTGCATGGAGCCCAGCACTTCCTAAAACATGAAGGCGTGCGCATCCCCGGGGAATACACTTCCTTCCTGGCTCCCATCTCCTCCTCCAAGCTGTACAATGAGGTCTGAGCCTGTAGGGAGAAGATCTGTGACCCTGAGGCCTAGTTTGAGATGCCTTATGTGGTACGACTGCACAACCTCCACCAGCTGTCTGCATCCCAGCCCTGTTTCACCTTCAGCCATCCCAACACAGATCCTACGATTGACAACAACTGCTACTGGACCTTGGAGTTTCCCGTGGAGGTGAATACAGTACTGCATGGCTTTGCAGGATACGTTAAGATGCTTTATCAGTACATCACTCTGAGTATCTGTCCAGACAGAGACTCACTCTCCTGGGATGTTCTCATGGTTTCCCATCCTCTTCCCTATTAAGCAGCCCATAATGGTGCGTGAAGGCCAGACCATCTGTGTGCATTTCTGGTGAGGCAGCAATTCTAAGAAGGTGTGGTATCAGTGGGCTATGACAGCACCAGTCTGTTCTGCTGTTCACAATCCCACAGCCTGCTTATATACCATTGGCCTCTAGCCCTGTGTGCAAGTGTCCAGAGCCTTGGAAGCAGCTTCAGGTTCTGCTTCTGTAGCACAGAAGATGTAGTACATTTATGGGCTGTGATTCCCCTTGCCCACCAAAGAGGAGCATTTCAATCTGCTTTCCTGCCTTATATCAAGGTGGGCAAGGGATTATAATTAATTGCAGGGCTCAAGCCACCAGTCTTTGAAGACCTCAGGCCAGGTGTTGAGGAATTAGTGCTGGATTTGAAGCTGTGCACTCAGCCTCAAGAGCTCCCTGGAATATGCCTGAGAACATGGGGTTTGAACAGATTTTCATCCCTTCTCTGTTCTTGTTTTGATGGTTTTGTGTAAGAGGAAATACAAATAAAGTTACAGCCCTTTCCTGCACTAAAAAAAAGAATATAGGCACAAAATTATTTATTTATTTAATTTTTTAAAATTTTACTTTAAGATCTGGGATACATGTGCAGAATGTGCAGGTTTGTTGCATAGGTATACAGGTGCCATGGTGGTTTGCTGCACCTATCAACCCATCATCTAGGTTTTAAGCATGGCATGATTAAGTATTTGTCCTAATACTCTCCGTCCCCTTGCCCCCACCCCCTGACAGGCCCCGGTGTGTGATGTTCCCTTCCCTGTGTCCATGTGTTCTCGATGTTCAACTCCCACTTATGAGTGAGAACATGCAGTGTTTGGTTTTCTGTTCCTGCTTTAGTTTGCTGAGGATGCTTTTTTCCAGCTTCATCCATGTCCCTGCAAAGGACATGAACTCAAAGAATATATACTTTGGATAGTGGCAAGTATGCATTACTAAAGGCTATAAAATTAATGCATGTGTTAATTATCATTGCTTGAATATATCATCAAAATCACTGATTTCATAAACTCAATTTTATTTTATTGAACTTCTGTAGGCCAGGCAGTGCACTGGGTAGCAGGCAGGAAGAATATATTTGCCTTTATGGAGCTTATATCCTAGAGGAGGAGAGAGATGATTGACAACTGGACAAAATACACATATAAAACAAAATTTTAGTGACACATGTAGTAAGAAATGTAAATCAGGGTAGGTAAAGATTCTGATGGGATGGGAGCTCTTTTAAAAGAATGATCTAGAAATGTCTCTCTGTAGTATGGCATTTGAGCAGAGACCTGACTGAAAAAGGGAGTAAACCATTTGAAGATTGAGAGTAGAGCATTCCAGGAGAGAAATCAGCATGCACAAAAGGCCTGTGCAAAACCACTTGGCAAGGGACAAATGAAGGGCAGTGCTGATAGAGCAGTGTTTGTAAGAAAGAGAGAAATAAAGACAAGATGGACAAGGTGTTCAGGAAGAAGATCACACAGAGCCTTGTGGATGTGCACATTGGTCTGGGCTATGCAAGCATCAGATATGAAGATGAGATTAAAAGTGGAAGCTACTCGGGAGGCTGAGGCAGGAGAATCACTTGAACCTGGGAGGTGGAGGTTGCAGTGAGCCAAGATTGCGCCACTGCACTCTCCAGCCTGGCAACAGAGCGAGACTCTGTCTAAAAAAAAAAAAAAAAAAAAAAAAAACAAGTGGAAGGATTTTATGAAGTGAATACCTGGGTGACAGAAAATAGGGAGAATTTAGTGAAGGCTAAGAGAGCCATGAGACTGTGATACTGTGATGTTAGTCTGCCGTGGGCAGAGGAGAGAGGAAGATTGGGTGGAAGTTTGTGGACTGCCGAGCAGTGTGAGGAAGGTGCAGCTAGATCATTGATGCTTCCTTGAGTTCTGGTTGGCCATCAGAAGAGTATTGTGATTCCCAGGAATTAGTTTGATTTAATATTAGTCACTGGCTGGGAGGAGTTCGTGGAAAACATGGCTTTGGTGCAAACACAGTGATGAATCAGAATGTCCTGAGAGGCAGGGACCTTTGGGTAATTATGGTCTCTATAGTCGGTGCGTTCTGTGGTAGCCATAGTGTGGTAAAGAATTTGGATTTTACTGTAAATAGGAGGGAAGCATTGGAGAGTTTTGAATAAGGGGAAAATATAATCTAATATGTATAAAAATGTCACTCTGACTCATTGCAGGACTTCAAATGGAAAGACAAGCACTCTGACTAGGATAGTAGCAACAGAGATTATGAGATGTGGTAAGATCATGGATGAATTTAGAGGCAGAGCTAAGGAGCTGCCAATGGATTGAATGTAGGTAGTGAAGAGTTAGGGATGACTTGTAAGTCTTGGGATGGAGGAAGTAGGTGTATATTCTCATTCACTGAGATGTAGAGCACTAGGGGAGGCAGGAGCTACATCAAGGGTTCAGCTTTATGTATACTAAGTTTGAAATACCGATTTCAAATTTAGACATCTAAATGGAGATATGTGGTTGGTAATTGGACATACGGGTCTGAACAGCAGAGGAATTGTCCTGGATAGAGATATAATTTTTTTTTTGGTGGGAGGGGGATCATCTGTGTTATTTAAAGCCATGAAACTGAATGAGGTCATCTAGAAAGAGTGTGGTAGTGAGGACAGGAAGCTGAGGACAGAGCCTGGGCCACTAGCTCTTGGAGTTCAGAAAGAGGTCCAAAAGAGGAAGAGCTGGGAAAGGAAACATCAAAGAAATAGCTACTGATGTGAGAGGAGAACTGGGGGATGTAGCATCCCAGAAAACATGGGAAGACAGTGTTTAATGAAAAAAATGACCAATTTTGGCATATGCTGCTAAGATATTGGTGGGGACTCTCAGCAGTTAGGCAAGATGAGGGTCTTGATGACTTTGATGCAAGTGGGTTCATTAGTAGGAAAAAAACCAGATGGCTCAGAGGATGGGTACTGATCAAATGCAGACAGTGAATGGAGAGAGTCCTTTGGAGGAAACTGCAATAAAGGGAACATAGAAGGGAGCTGTATCACAGCATTTTTGTATTTTGATGGGAATGATTCAGAGGAGAGAGAGAGAGAGAGAGAGAGAGAGAAATTGAAGATGCAGAGCAAGGGGCTATACTTGCAGGAACTAAACTTTCAGCCGGCTTCTGGAAAAGGGCTTCATAGCACAAGTGAATGATCTGGACTTACATAGGAACAGGGAGGGATTGGTCATTGTAACAGGAGGAAAAGTTGAATGTAGAGGTACTGGCACAAATGCTGGTGGATTCTGTGGTAGAACAAAGAGGAAGCTATTTTCAGATCACTTCTGTTTTCATAGTGAAATAGGAGGTAAAGTTACTAGTTGAAAATGAGGATTTAGGAGGAATTGATGGAAGTTTGAGAAAAAGAAGGGGTGAAATAATTGTCACTAGTCCCAGACTCCAGGAGAGTATGAGTGATTGACTAGGGTATAATATAAAAATATCTGGCAATATAGAGGGCCCATCTCAGATTTGTGTTACCAATATTGCATTGTGGCAATGTGCACCGTTGAATGTACTTTATCTTTCAATTGTTCATAGCAGTGGTTCTCAACTGCAGGCAATTTTATGCCAAGGGGACATTTTTGGTTGTCACAGCTGTGAAGTGGGGAGGGCAGTTCTACTCATATTAGGAGTTGAAGATTTGGGTGGCAGCCACAGCACCAGTAGAGAGTTTAGATTTATTGTAAATTCACAGAAAGTCATTGAAGGGTTTTGATACTATGCTTGATCTTAGCTGAAAGGCCGAGAAGCTATCATTGAAGGGTTTTGAATAAGAGAAAGAGATGATCTGATTTATTTATAAAAATGAGGCTAGGGATGTTGCTAACCATCCTGCAATGCACAGGGCAATCTCCTACAACTAAAAATTAGATGCTTTCAAATTCAGTAGTGTCAAAGCAAGTGTTTTCTTAGGTCCTGATACGAGGTCAAAATTCACGTGTGCCTGAAGAAAGCACACTGTGTCTGTTCCCTCATTAGAAATTTGATCTTTATGGATACTTTATGGATATGATCTTTATGGATATCATTTGATCTTTATGGATACTCCACAGTGTATTTAAAATGTTCTTAAATTGCACAGTCTCATCAGCTTCCAGGCTCTAGGGGTTACTCTGGCTGATCCTGATGCACTGAGGGTGCAAGGGTAAAGAAGGCTCTATTTATGTCCTGTCTCATAGATTTCCTTCACCATTGTTGATACTGGATATATCCTGGAGGAGCCTGTGTGTTTGTCTGTATGTATATCTGTATCTATATCCATGTGTACATCGATATAGCTATATTTTTAACATGGATTCTGTGTTTTAATTAGCATGGCATTATAGTTTGTTTTAATATTTGTTAGGGCAAATTTCTCATCTTTTCTTTATTTTTAAGCACTTCTTTTGGGGGTCAGATTTACTACTGCAAGTCAACTTTAGAATCAACTTTTCAAGTTCGTTTGAAAATAGTTTGGATTTTAGTCCGAATTGCATTGAATTTATAGATATCAATTTGGTCAAAATGAATACTGTTACCAATGGAATCTCCCTATACTCAAAGGAATAATGTATTTTGATGTTTATTAGGATTTTTTTACAAAAAATTTTCAAAAAATATTTAATAGTTTTCTTACACTTCTCATTTGATTATTCTTAAATACATTATATAAAAATTTTAATTGTTATTATAAATATGCAATTATATTGCATTTAATGGGCCATTGTTTTATAGTAATGGCATTATTTTGGTATACTTACCTTGTATCTTGATCCCTCAGGAAACTCTCTCATTAGCTCTAATAATTGTAAATTGAGTATCTTCAACTAGAACTCTGCTCCCTTTGTGTGTGTGTGTGTGTGTGTGTGTGTGGTGCATGTGAGAGAGAGACAGAGAAAGAGAGAGACAGAGTATGTGTGACAGAGAGAGAGAGAGAGAGAGAATGTGTGTGTGTGTGTGTGTGTGTGTGCATGAGCCAATTGTGGATGTCTGGAGTTACCTCAGAGTCTGCTGTGCTTCTGTTTCCTGCCTTATTTTAGCAGTCCTGCCCAGCTAGAGTCTCTAGAAGTGAATAGTCCAGCCAAAAGATATCCATAGACAGGGAGAAGAAGGGACACAGCTGGCTCGGTTGTTCTATAGGTATTTCTTTGTTTTCCTGATGATTTCATCATCCACTTTGCCCCGCCCATATTTGTGTATTTAGAGCTTGCAGTTTCTCTCTAGCAGAGTCTCATTCACAGATGTCATTCCCACACCTATTGTGTGTTGTAGTTTTCTCTGCCTTGAATTTTCCATCAGTTTAATACCATCTGCTTTTTATTTCCTCAAGATTTCTGGTCTACTGGTTATACTTTTTCTTGTTTCCAGTGCTGTTAGGGATTTATTCTTTAAGATGTATATTTTCTTTTTTTTTTTTTTTTAATTATACTTTAAGTTTTAGGGTACATGTGCACATTGTGCAGGTTAGTTACATATGTATACATGTGCCATGCTGGTGCGCTGCACCCACTAACTCGTCATCTAGCATTAGGTATATCTCCCAATGCTATCCCTCCCCCCTCCCCCCACCCCACCACAGTCCCCAGAGTGTGATATTCCCCTTCCTGTGTCCATGTGATCTCATTGTTCAATTCCCACCTATGAGTGAGAATATGCGGTGTTTGGTTTTTTGTTCTTGCGATAGTTTACTGAGAATGATGATTTCCAATTTCATCCATGTCCCTACAAAGGACATGAACTCATCATTTTTTATGGCTGCATAGTATTCCATGGTGTATATGTGCCACATTTTCTTAATCCAGTCTATCATTGTTGGACATTTGGGTTGGTTCCAAGTCTTTGCTATTGTGAATAATGCCACAATAAACATACGTGTGCGTGTGTCTTTATAGCAGCATGATTTATAGTCATATGGGTATATACTCAGTAATGGGATGGCTGGGTCAAATGGTATTTCTAGTTCTAGATCCCTGAGGAATGGCCACACTGACTTCCACAATGGTGGAACTAGTTTACAGTCCCACCAACAGTGTAAAAGTGTTCCTATTTCTCCACATCCTCTCCAGCACCTGTTGTTTCCTGACTTTTTAATGATTGCCATTCTAACTGGTGTGAGATGGTATCTCATTGTGGTTTTGATTTGCATTTCTCTGATGGCCAGTGATGATGAGCATTTTTTCATGTGTTTTTTGGCTGCATAAATGTCTTCTTTTGAGAAGTGTCTGTTCATGTCCTTCACCCACTTTTTGATGGGGTTGTTTGTTTTTTTCTTGTAAATTTGTTTGAGTTCATTGTAGATTCTGGATATTAGCCCTTTGTCAGATGAGTAGGTTGCGAAAATTTTCTCCCATTTTGTAGGTTGCCTGTTCACTCTGATGGTAGTTTCTTTTGCTGTGCAGAAGCTCTTTAGTTTAATTAGATCCCATTTGTCAATTTTGTCTTCTGTTGCCATTGCTTTTGGTGTTTTGGACATGAAGTCCTTGCCCATGCCTATGTCCTGAATGGTAATGCCTAGGTTTTCTTCTAGGGTTTTTATGGTTTTAGGTCTAACGTTTAAATCTTTAATCCATCTTGAATTGATTTTTGTATAAGGTGTAAGGAAGGGATCCAGTTTCAGCTTCCTACATATGGCTAGCCAGTTTTCCCAGCACCATTTATTAAATAGGGAATCCTTTCCCCATTGCTTGTTTTTCTCAGGTTTGTCAAAGATCAGATAGTTGTAGGTATGCGGCGTTATTTCTGAGGGCTCTGTTCTGTTCCATTGATCTATATCTCTGTTTTGGTACCAGTACCATGCTGTTTTGGTTACTGTAGCCTTGTAGTATAGTTTGAAGTCAGGTAGTGTGATTCCTCCAGCTTTGTTCTTTTGGCTTAGGATTGACTTGGCAATGTGGGCTCTTTTTTGGTTCCATATGAACTTTAAAGTAGTTTTTTCCAATTCTGTGAAGAAAGTCATTGGTAGCTTGATGCGGATGGCATTGAATCTGTAAATTACCTTGGGCAGTATGGCCATTTTCACGATATTGATTCTTCCACCCATGAGCATGGAATGTTCTTCCATTTGTTTGTATCCTCTTTTATTTCCTTGAGTAGTGATTTGTAGTTCTCCTTGAAGAGGTCCTTCACATCCCTTGTAAGTTGGATTCCTAGGTATTTTACTCTCTTTGAAGCAATTGTGAATGGGAGTTCAGTCATGATTTGGCTCTCTGTTTGTCTGTTGTTGGTGTATAAGAATGCTTGTGATTTTTGTACATCGATTTTGTATCCTGAGACTTTGCTGAAGTTGCTTATCAGCTTAAGGAGATTTTGGGCTGAGATGATGGGGTTTTCTAGATATACAATCATGTCGTCTGCAAACAGGGACAATTTGACTTCCTCTTTTCCTAATTGAATGCCCTTTATTTCTTTCTCCTGCCTAATTGCCCTGGCCAGAATTTCTAACACTATGTTGAATAGGTGTGGTGAGAGAGGGCATCCCTGTCTTGTGCCAGTTTTCAAAGGGAATGCTTCCAGTTTTTGCCCATTCAGTATGATATTGGCTGTGGGTTTGTCATAGATAGCTCTTATTATTTTGAAATACGTCCCATCAATACCTAATTTATTGAGAGTTTTTAGCATGAAGGGTTGTTGAATTTTGTCAAAGGCTTTTTCTGCATCTATTGGATAAAAAGTCAAGATCCATCAGTGTGCTGTATTCAGGAAACCCATCTCACATGCAGAGACACACATAGGCTCAAAATAAAAGGATGGAAGAAGATCTACCAAGCAAATGGAAAACAAAAAAAGGCAGGGATTGCAATCCTAGTCTCTGATAAAACAGACTTTAAACCAACAAAGATCAAAAGAGACAAAGAAGGCCATTACATAATGGTAAAGGGATCAATTCAACAAGAAGAGCTAACTATCCTAAATATATATGCACCCAATACGGGAGCACCCAGATTCATAAAGCAAGTCCTGAGTGACCTACAAAGAGACTTAGACTCCCACACATTAATAATGGGAGACTTTAACACCCCACTGTCAACATTAGACAGATCAACAAGACAGAAAGTCAACAAGGATACCCAGGAATTGAACTCAGCTCTGCACCAAGCGGACCTAATAGACATCTACAGAACTCTCCACCCCAGATCAACAGAATATACATTTTTTTTGGCACCACACCACACCTATTCCAAAATTGACCACATACTGGGAAGTAAAGCTCTCCTCAGCAAATGTAAAAGAACAGAAATTATAACAAACTATCTCTCAGACCACAGTGCAATCAAACTAGAACTCAGGATTAAGAATCCCACTCAAAGCCACTCAACTACATGGAAACTGAACAACCTGCTCCTGAATGACTACTGGGTACATAACGAAATGAAGGCAGAAATAAAGATGTTCTTTGAAACCAATGAGAACAAAGACACAACATACCAGAATCTCTGGGACGCATTCAAAGCAGTGTGTAGAGGGAAATTTATAGCACTAAATGCCCACAAGAGAAAGCAGGAAAGATCCAAAATTGACACCCTAACATCACAATTAAAGAACTAGAAAAGCAAGAGGAAACACATTCAAAAGCTAGCAGAAGGCAAGAAATAACTAAAATCAGAGCAGAACTGAAGGAAATAGAGACACAAAAAACCCTTCAAAAAATCAATGAATCCAGGAGCTGGTTTTTTGAAAGGATCAACAAAATTGATAGACCGCTAGCAAGACTAATAAAGAAAAAAAGAGGGAAGAATCAAATAGACACAATAAAAAATGATAAAGGGGATATCACCACCGATCCCACAGAAATACAAACTACCATCAGAGAATACTACAAGCACCTCTATGCAAATAAACTAGAAAATCTAGAAGAAATGGATAAATTCCTCGACACATACACTCTCCCAAGACTAAACCAGGAAGAAGTTGAATCTCTGAATAGACCAATAACAGGAGCTGAAATTGTGGCAATAATCAATAGTTTACCAACCACAAAGAGTCCAGGGCCAGATGGATTCACAGCCGAATTCTACCAGAGGTACAAGGAGGAACTGGTACCATTCCTTCTGAAACTATTCCAATCAATAGAAAAAGAGGGAATCCTCCCTAACTCATTTTATGAGGCCAGCATCATTCTGATACCAAAGCCGGGCAGAGACACAACCAAAAAAGAGAATTTTAGACCAATATCCTTGATGAACATTGATGCAAAAATCCTCAATAAAATACTGGCAAACTGAATCCAGCAGCACATCAAAAAGCTTATCCACCATGATCAAGTGGGCTTCATCCCTGGGATGCAAGGCTGGTTCAATATATGCAAAACAATAAATGTAATCCAGCATATAAACAGAGCCAAAGACAAGATGTATATTTTCATATTTTCAAGTGGGGTTTGGGAAGGAATAAGAAGTAAATATATGTGTTTAGTCTGTCACCTTAGACTGAAAGCTTTGTAAGCTCTGTATAGCAAATGCTGTTAGTTTATTAAACTCTTGCATGGTCTCTTTCCTACCAAACATATGCTTTTTCTCTTCTATTGTTGATGAATTAATATTAGAGATTTTAAAAAAATGTTTAACATTATGGTATTGACTATAAATATTTCTTTTTATCACTTCTAAATCTTTAGCGTCTTTATTATGTTAGAACCATTAACTTAGCCTGGCCAAGATGGTGAAACCCTGTCTCTACTAAAAATACAAAAATTAGCCGGGCATGGTGGTGTGCACCTGCAATCCCAGCTACTTGGGAGGCTGAGGCAGGAGAATTCCTTGAACCCAGGAAGTGGAGGTTGCAGTGAGCTGAGATCGCTCCATTGCACTCCAGCCTGGGTGACAAGAGTGAAACTCTGTCTCAAAAAAAAAAAAAAAAAAGAAAAAAGAAAAAGAAAAAAACTGTGGTCTTTATGATAACCCACTCAGTAAGACCAGTCTGGAATTCAATCACTAAATCAATTGGCAAAGGATTGGTATGTAACCCCTCAGAAAGGGATAGTATTGGGAGATCTACTGTCTTCTGCTTACTCAAATGGGACATTAAGTGGTGTCATGAAAGAACCATTGGGTTTGGAGTCTGGAGTCCAATAACTGGGTTTTGTCTTGGGCACTCATTGGCTGCGGGAACTTGAGCAAGTCCTTGAAATTTCTGAACTCACTTTCCTTATCTGCAAATGGCAATGATTATACCTGCCTTACCCTGTCTCCTACATTTCTTGTGACAATCAGATATGATAGTGAATGTGAAGGTCCTTTAAGAAACAAAAGTTAGGTAAATGTAAGTTAGTATTGAGTATTCTCATACCTTACCAATGATTATCTTCCAACAAAGATCCATATTTTTAAAATCAATAGAATTTTCGACCTCCTTAGAGATGACTCCTTGTATTCAAATATTTATTGTTTTTTATTGTTAAAAATGAGACTTTAATGTATGGGAAATGACAAACGCAGAATAAGAGGTTATTTGTTTAATGAAGTAGACCAATTCATTAAATCTGATGAAAAGTAGAGTTTGCATTAATGTTTCAAAATTATGGTTCCCAAAAGGAACTAATTTGGAGATGTTTTCACAGAAACAACTGGATAGTGGGTTAGAAAGTCTTAGAATGTGCTTGTCTAAGTATACCTAATGTATTTTGACTGGGTAAGCCTTTTTTCCTAGAATTCTAGATATTTAGTAGTCACCTTCCCTTGGTTAGTTCCTTATAACTAGTATCACCTGAAGAGACTCACTTTTTTCATCAGAATGCCAAATCAGGAAGTCAGATTTGAGTGTGTGAGTCAGTCTTCAACTTGAGAATTCTGCCAGGCAGGGAATTGTAAAAGAAAAATTTTTGAAGTCAGACCATGAAAAAAACTGTGACTGGCTAATTTGCCAGGGAAAATAACCTTGGGGCATATTTATTGCAGAAGAAAATTAAACATTCTAATCAGGATTAAGGCTTCGGGAAAAGAGAAGGACTCATTATCAAAACAATCCCTCTCTCCTATCCAAACTTCTTGTGACCTGAAGCTGTGGAAACAGAATACTCGGCAGAACAAAACCTGTTGAAAGTTTGTTTGTGGTGGTTGAAGGGGAATGGCATTCCATAGAAGTGGAACAGAATAACAGATGTGGAATAGAAGGCCTAAGACAGCCCTGTTTTCCAGTGGCTAAAACTCTAGACATTTAAAAACTGATTATATTGGTCTAAATATACTTCCTAATTTACCAAACTCTTTGGGATGATAAATAGATTGCATATGTGCACATTCAAATGTAGAACATAGCGGAATAAGAATGTGAATTAATTTAAAACACCTTAATGTTTTTGAGCATCATAAGCTCTCTCTCTCCATCTTTTTTTTTTTTTTTTTTGTAATACAGTTGACGCATGCTGGTCCAGTTAGGCAGGGATTTTTTCAAGAAATATGGTCAGTACAGTAGTCCCTCCCTATCTGCAGGTTCTACATTTGCAACCAAATGCAGCTTAAAAACAGAATACACAGGATGTGAAAGCTGACTTTGGGACTTGAATAAGCATGGATTTTGGTATCCAAATAGAGGTCCTAGAACCATTCCTCTGCAGTTACTGGAGGATGACTGTACTTTCAATGTATTGGGGAGACTTTTTTTTTTTTTTTGAGACAGGGTCTTGCTCTGTTGCCCAGGCTGGAGTGCAGTGGTGATAACAGCTCACTGCAGTACTCAACCTCCCAGGCTCAAGCAATCCTCCTGTGTCAGCCTACTGAGTAGCTGAGACTACAGGTGTGCATACCACTCTCAGCTAATTTTTACATTTTTTGTAAAGATGAGGTCTCCCTATGTTGCTTAGGCTGGTCTTGAACTCCTGGGCTCAAGAGATCCTCCCACCTTGACTTCCCAAAGTGCTGGGATTATAAGCGTGAGTCACCACAGCTGGCTGAATATTTATTTAAAAAGAAAAAATATAGGAGGATTACTTACTGAGTACTTGGAAAGAATGAAATAATCTTTCTTGACTTTGTTTTCCCCTTCAGCTAAAGCCCTATTTCTCTGGTCTCCTTTACAGAATCTCTTAAAAGAATTGTCTGTACTCATTTTCTTTTCCCATTCTCTCTTCCAATCCACTTAATGTGAACTGGCCCAGACCGGTTTGGTCATGTATGACTCTTAGGTTCTAACCTATAAAGAGAAGCACATGGAGGCTTGCCATTCATTGACCACCTCATTACCAGGTCATAATAAAAGCAATTTTCAGAGCAAATTCTTAAATATGTACAACTTTTATTTACAGCAAGCAGGCACCAAAAAGGTATAAAAGTCTCAAATCTTTGTGTTTTAGGTGTTCTGGCCATAACTTGTTTGAAAATGTCATTAAGGCTAACATGACTGTATTTTAGAGGCACAGTCCAGACAAGTGTCCCTTGAATTCAAAGCTGGATACAGGAGCAATTCAAGGTGCTGGGGTGCCACTGTGAAGTGCGCAGGCTACAGAGCATGCCAGAGACTTACAGCATCTTCATGCAAAGTGGGGGCAAAATATTTTGGGCAATATACATTATCACGACTATCACTAACTTCATCTATGAAAACCCATTCAAACATGCATAATGATTGTAAGCAAGATCTCTGGTGTTAATCACAGATGAAAATTGGAGATGAAATGATTTTAGTAGCTTCCTTTGTAGTGTGGACTTTATAGTTTTAACTGCACCAGAATTACCTGGAGGACTTGTTAAAACACAGGTTGCTGGATGCCACCCCAAGTTTCTAGTTTAGAAGGTATGGGTGGGCTCTGAGAAGGTGCATTTCTAACAAGTTCCCAAGTATTACTACTGTCTCTGGTCTGGATCCATCTTTCAGAACTATATTTATAAGTCAATTCAGGTTTAGTATTTCTTCTTGAGTTAATTTTTATAGATTTAGAAAATGGCAGATTTCATCTATGTTTGCAATCTTAATCCATTTATTTTTAATTCTGATCTTTTCTAATGTACATATTTAAGATTATAATTGCCCCTTTAAGCATCATTTTATTTACATTGTACAAATTTGATATGTAGCATGTTTGTCAACAGTCAGTTCTAAGTATTTTGTAATTTCCAGTATGATTTTTATCTCCTTGATGAATTATTTAAAATCGTGGTTTTTAGTTTCTAATTTTATTTTTTTACAGATTTTTGTTATTGATTTCTAACTTTATTGCATTGCTGTCAGGAATAGCATCTGTATGATATCAATTCTTTAGTGTTAGATGAAAGTTCCTTTGTGGCATAGAACACGGTTAATTTGTAAGAATTCTCTGTGATCACTTTGGGAGGCCGAGGCGGGCGGATCACGAGGTCAGCAGATCGAGACCATCCTGGCTAACACGGTGAAACTCCATCTCTACTAAAAATACAAAAAATTAGCCAGGCGTGGTGGCGGGCATCTGTAGTCTCAGCTACTGGGGAGGCTGAGGCAGGAGAATGCCGTGAACCCGGGAGGCAGAGGTTGCAGTGAGCCGAGATCGCGCCACTGCACTCCAGCCTGGGCGACAGAGCGAGACTCCGTCTCAAAAAAAAAAAAAAAAAATGAATTCTCTGTGATCCTGGAAGCAATTTGAGCACTTCAGATATCCTACGCTCTACTTAGGTCCTTTCCTTCTGTCCATGCTTAGGGATTCTAGACCAGTGGTTCTTGAATATTAGCATGCATCATTACCACCTGCAACACTTGTTAAAACACATATTGCTGGGCCTCACCACCAGTTTTGGATTCATAGGCCAGGTACGGTCCAGGACTTTTACATTTCTAAATTTCCAGGTGACGCTGAAACTGCTAGTTTAGGGATCACACTTGCAAAACTGTTGTTCTAAGCTATAACACCTCCTATATTTCTTATGGCCTTTTTGTCCAATATCCCTGCATTTGACTGGGCAACCCATATCTAATCTTTTGTTTCCTTTACATATTTCCTGAGGTTGTTGCATCCAAGAGCTGAGCTCTGTTCTGCAACCTAACTCCAACTTCTGATTGTTCTATTTGCTTTTTCCAGACCTTGAGCTGTAGCTCTATTGATCGTCTCATCACAGGTCAGTGATTCGCAACCCTCATTTTACAATAGAAAGACTCACGAAGGTTTTTAAACATATACATTCATGACCTTCCGCTAGAGATTCTCGAGTATGGCTGGGCATGTGTGAATTTTAAATGCCTTATAGTTTTTTTCTAATGGATTGCCATGATCAAGATCTACTGAGCATATGGGTTAGCAGTAAAGCGCCTTGTAGTCTTCCTCACTTGGTGTGCCATGACTTCACTTATTCGAGAATATGTTAATATAAAATGGCGGATGTGTCTTAAAGTGGCAGCCTTAGCACACCAGAGTAGATAGTGACTCTGAAGATAGGCTAAGGTTGGATATAGATATAGAATTAAGGAATTATGAACACAGAAGTGAACATTGAAGCACGAGAATGATACATTGTCTGCAGGGTAAAGAATGGAAAAGAAGAAAAGAGGGCCAAGGGCTAAGCTTTGGGAAATACCAACTTGGATTTTTGGAGACTCATGTTATACAAGGAAGAGTCATTTGTGTAGGAGAACCAATGATTTCAGGGAAACGATCAACTTAATTCATCATTGTCTTTGTAGAACCAGCTTTCCAATTTCTGTCAAGAGTAACGTCATATTCCAATTTGTCCACGTTTAATTCAAAACCATATGTAAGTCTTCTTTTTTCTAATCCCTTAGGTTCATTCAGTGGATGAGATCTGACACTTCTCTTTGTACTATTTCCCATTTATCGTTTTCTTCTCATTACCACTTGTTCAAGTCTTTATATCTACAAATCTGGCTTATCATGAAGATCTGCTAACTAGTCCTCCAGTCATTTGATCTATCTTGCACATTCTTGGCAGATTGATCTTTTTAAAACTTTATTTTCTACCATATGTTCTTCTACATTGTCGGGATATTTTAAATGAGCAGGTGTTGACTTTATAACAAAAACTGATATTTACAAATAAACAGCATAGAACAGAAAAAAATGTCATTTTGACTTGTCTATTTTTTGCTTAAAAGTTTCAGTGGTTTTTTTTGTTTATTTGTTTTGGTTACCAGTAAAAGGTACCAGCTTATCTTTCCAATCTTATATTTTTTTCTACTCCAGGCAGACTGGAGTAGACTCTTTACCTTTTTCTTTTTGCTTCATACTTTTTGCCACCAATCTCCTTTGCATTTAGTGAAATCTTATTCATCCTTCAAGACTCAGATCAAACTTTGATTTTCTTGAGCCTCCTTTGGGTTTAGATACCTAAGCTATGTCTGGATTCAATCTCTAATTTGCTACTTACTAGTTGTGTGACCCTGGACAAGTCACTTAACCTTTCTGAGCTTCAGTTGCCTAATCTGTAGGTGAGGATAACATGACCTATCTCACAGGCTGTTGTAAAAATTAAATGAGTTAATGTATGTAAAGTGTTTAAGGTAGCCTGTGAAGGTGATGGTCATGATGATGATGATGATGATGATGATGATGATGATAGTGTAAGTCTTCCTTTATCATCTTACATCCCTCTTCTTATTTCAGCATTTACTGACTAAATTACTTAATAATTTACTCATTAAATAAGACAGGATGACACCTTTTCTTGAGTTAGTAATTACCTCAAACTATTTAAGTAGTATCTCCTTATTTAGATGTTGAGCTTCTTGGTGAAGCTAGGGGAATCTGACACTTCTCTGGAAAGATGGAAAGGGACTAAAAACATCTAGTTAGTGAGAAATGTGGTTAAAAAGTAAAACCAAGTACCTTTGACATTATCCTAAGATGAAATCAACCTGAGTATATCTAGTTGTATATGCTGATGAAAAAATAAACAAAAACTAAAATCACATTCCAAGTACTTTTTTTTAGTGATTTGAAGTTCGCAACAATAAAAGAAAGAACTGAAACGTATGCTTATACTCTCTACTAAGAAACACATTCAACAATATGCTTTATTGGCTGGAACAGAATTTATTTTCCTCGTTAAAAAAATCTTTTTTTTTTCCTTTGAGAAATACTCTTTTTGGCTACAATTTAAAAATGACAACCCAGTTATAGAACATTGAAAAGAATCTCTGTGATTATAGCTACCAGGATTTGGCTAGAATAGAGGAAAAGCTATCAAGAAGCCATGGTTGCCAAAAACTAATGATTCCGGTATTAATTGACAAGTCTGGACTAAATTGTTTTCAGAGGCAGCGGTTAAAGTAACAAAGGGGGTAATAATTACTTACTCCAAAGAGCTACATGCCCAGTCTTGGCAGTCTTATAATGAACAAAATATTCAATAGATCCTTCAGATTTATAGTTACATTTAATTAGAATATGAAACACTATCCATTAAATTTAGGAAACAGTCTTTAAGTGACTAGGCCAAAAGCAGGTAAAAAATTCAGATAATAAGTTTTGAAAATTTAGACCATCCAGGGCTAACACTCATCCCTTATATAGGGCCACAGATAAACCACCCAACCTTACCTAACATTGATTTTGTTTTCTAAAATAATGATGATAGGCTTTTTATCTACCGAAAACTTGCAGTGTGACCTTGAGCTAGTACCACTTCGAGCTTCAGTTTAATTATCTACAAAATGGGAGTTGAATTCAATAATCTCTTAGGGTCATTTCCACTCTAAGACTTCTAATGGTATATAACAGCATGGGCTTTCTCCTCTATCTTATTTGGCTGTCTATACTTTTTCTTTTTCTTATTCTTATTTTTTTCAAACAGGGTCTCACTCTATTGCTCAGGCTGAGTGCAGTGGTGCTATCATGGCTCACTGCAGCCTGGGCCTCCCTGGCTCTATATTTCTTTATAGGCTCCCTAAGTAGAGATTCCAGGGATCCTTTTCCTTCTCTTCCCTTCCTTCCTCTCTCTCCCACCCTGCCTTCAGTGCTCTATAAATGCATCAATAATCTTCCTTATGGAATACACTGTTAGGTATTTTTCACATTGTTCCTTTTCACTTTCCTCGTAATTCTGGAAACTGAGGCTGGAAGTTTTATAACTTGTCTCCTATTACAGAACTAGTGAGTGGCAAAAAAGGGATTCACATCCAAGTGAGTCTAACTCCAAATTCATGCTCATTTTATCTACGGTGCTGCTTTTCACCATCTATGTCTTATCTTTCCTTATTTCTGTATTGAATTATCCACGGTGCTGCTTTTCACCATCTCTGTCTTATCTTTCCTTATTTCTGTACTGAATTACCTACAGGATTCCTTTTCTTCCTACTTTATTTGACTGTGGTAGCAATACTCCCAAGGCTTCCTCATGTGGGTGTAATTACTCCTGTTCTCACATAATATAAACATGATATATATTCTACCATTATGCACCTTTCCTTAGACCCTAAGTAACCCCTTGAATCTCCCAGAATTCCTGTAGTCTCTGTAAGTTGTTTTTCTGTTTGTTCTTTAGTACTGTTTTTAAAGCAGGATTTTCAGCAATTTTCATCATTTCTTTCTAAAATCCATCTTTTCCTTGAAAATCTGCCAGTATCTCTTTCCTGCGTCCTTCCTAAGTGTCTGTTGGCAGCCTTTTGTTGATATCTGCATGTTCTTGTTCTGTCTTTTGGTAAAGGCCTTTATCTTTCACTCCTTAATCTTTTCTATAATCTTTCCCCAAGTACCAATGTTCACTTTTGTAGAGACATTTCTCTCTATCATTCTATGAAACAAGAACAAACCCATTCCCCTACATTTGGCATTAAAATGGAAATAAGCCCACTATACCCCCACCCAAGACTTTGGACTATAGTAAAATATCAAAGCTACATTAAAATCCCATTGTCACGATGATTCTTTTGGAATGCTCGCTTACTTGTGAAGATAGTGACAGTTCCTTATATCCCTTGGTAGATTTGAAGGTGAAAAACAATTCTATTGGATGCCACCAAGGACTGGCATCAGACTTCGATTAAATTGTAAAGTTTGCTTATAAATAACTGGGAGAAAGTAAGATTTTAGCATATTGTCCGTGTTCTTATACATTTTTTCACAACAATACAATTATACCATTACTAGCATACATATTGGCTTCTCATAAGTTAGAGTTGAATAATAAATTTCAGTCAAGATAAAATGTAGTAATCTTTAAGAAATACAAATACAAGCAACTCCTTCCATAAGACCTCAACTGTTATCAGTTATTGTTTAATTTGGCAGTGAATGCTTTTTGGAAAATTTATTACCAGAAACAAAGGTTTTCTCCTTTGAAGCGTTTGTATGCTTTCTTGCACTGATATTATATAACTCGCTGTGTTTTCCTTTTGCTCTTGACTGCCAAGAAGCTTGGGGCCATGTGTAGAGCTCAATCACAGTAACTGAATTATCCTTTGTGGTCAGAATATTTGTTTCTTTCTTCTTTTCTGGTTTGAACTTCTATTTCAACAGTATTATTTTATACCTGATTTTAACAGAAAAGTATAACAAATTTTTTTTCTTTTTTAAAGAGTCAAGAAGTAATAATAAATAAAAATAGATTTACTTCTCTGGATAAAATACAATTCACTTTGACTTCTTTTCGGTCAAAAATTTGCTTCTAGGTTCTACTTGTCTGGCTTAGAACTTAATTTAACTTTGCATTAAAACACATACATGTGCACACATACTCAATATATAATAGACCCTTTAGGTAAGTCTTTAATTTCTTCCCCTTTATCAGAAAGGAGGTGGTGGTTTTTCTATTGGGTTGTTTTATTTATTTATTTATTTTTATTATTATTATACTTTAAGTTTTAGGGTACATGTGCACAATGTGCAGGTTAGTTACAAATGTATACATGTGCCATGCTGGTGTGCTGTACCCATTAACTCGTCATTTAGCATTAGGTATATCTCCTAATGCTATCCCTCCCCCCTCCCCCCACCCCACGACAGTCCCCGGAGTGTGATATTCCCCTTCCTGTGTCCATGTGTTCTCATTGTTCAATTCCACCTATGAGTGAGAACATGTGGTGTTTGGTTTTTTGTCCTTGTGATAGTTTACTGAGAATGATGATTTCCAATTTCATCCATGTCCCTACAAAGGACATGAACTCATCATTTTTTATGGCTGCATAGTATTCCACGGTGTATATGTGCCACCTTTTCTTAATCCAGTCTATCATTGTTGGACATTTGGGTTGGTTCCAAGTCTTTGCTATTGTGAATAGTGCCGCAATAAACATACGTGTGCATGTGTCTTTAAAGCAGAATGATATATAGTCCTTTGGGTACATACCCAGTAATGGGATGGCTGGGTCAAATGGTATTTCTAGTTCTAGATCCCTGAGGAATGGCCACACTGACTTCCACAATGGTGGAACTAGTTTACAGTCCCACCAACAGTGTAAAAGTGTTCCTATTTCTCCACATCCTCTCCAGCACCTGTTGTTTCCTGACTTTTTAATGATTGCCATTCTAACTGGTGTGAGATGGTATCTCATTGTGGTTTTGATTTGCATTTCTCTGATGGCCAGTGATGGTGAGCATTTTTTCATGTGTTTTTTGGCTGCGTAAATGTCTTCTTTTGAGAAGTGTCTGTTCATGTCCTTCACCCACTTTTTGATGGGGCTGTTTGTTTTTTTCTTGTAAATTTGTTTGAGTTCATTGTAGATTCTGGATATTAGCCCTTTGTCAGATGAGTAGGTTGCGAAAATTTTCTCCCATTTTGTAGGTTGCCTGTTCACTCTGATGGTAGTTTCTTTTGCTGTGCAGAAGCTCTTTAGTTTAATTAGATCCCGTTTGTCAATTTTGGCTTTTGTTGCCATTGCTTTTGGTGTTTTAGACATGAAGTCCTTGCCCATGCCTGTGTCCTGAATGGTAATGCCTAGGTTTTCTTCTAGGATTTTTATGGTTTTAGGTCTAACATTTAAGTCTTTAATCCATCTTGAATTAATTTTTGTATAAGGTGTAAGGAAGGGATCCAGTTTCAGCTTTCTACATATGGCTAGCCAGTTTTCCCAGCACCATTTATTAAATAGGGAATCCTTTCCCCATTGCTTATTTTTCTCAGGTTTGTCAAAGATCAGATAGTTGTAGATATGTGGCATTATTTCTGAGCGCTCTGTTCTGTTCCATTGATCTATATCTCTGTTTTGGTACTAGTACCATGCTGTTTTGGTTACTGTAGCCTTGTAGTATAGTTTGAAGTCAGGTAGCATGATGCCTCCAGCTTTGTTCTTTTGGCTTAGGGTCGACTTGGCGATGCGGGCTCTTTTTTGGTTCCATATGAACTTTAAAGTAGTTTTTTCCAATTCTGTGAAGAAAGTCATTGGTAGCTTGATGGGGATGGCATTGAATCTATAAATTACCTTGGGCAGTATGGCCATTTTCATGATATTGATTCTTCCTACCCATGAGCATGGAATGTTCTTCCATTTGTTTGTATCCTCTTTTATTGCATTGAGCAGTGGTTTGTAGTTCTCCTTGAAGTGGTCTTTCACATCCCTTGTAAGTTGGATTCCTAGGTATGTTATTCTCTTTGAAGCAATTGTGAATGGGAGTTCACTCATGATTTAGCTCTCTGTTTGTCTGTTATTGGTGTGTAAGAATGCTTGTGACTTTTGTACATCGATTTTGTATCCTGAGACTTTGCTGAAGTTGCTTATGAGCTTAAGGAGATTTTGGGCTGAGACAATAGGGTTTTCTAGATATACAATCATGTCATCTGCAAACAGGGACAATTTGACTTCCTCTTTTCCTAATTGAATGCCCTTTATTTCCTTCTCCTGCCTAATAGCCGTGGCCAGAACTTCCAACACTATGTTGAATAGGAGTGGTGAGAGAGGACATCCCTGTCTTGTGCCAGTTTTCAAAGGGAATGCTTCCAGTTTTTGCCCATTCAGTATGATATTGGCTGTGGGTTTGTCATAGATAGCTCTTATTATTTTGAGGTACGTCCCATCAATACCTAATTTACTGAGAGTTTTTAGCATGAATGGTTGTTGAATTTTGTCAAAGGCCTTTTCTGCATCTATTGAGATAATCATGTGGTTTTTGTCTTTCGTTCTGTTTATATACTGGATTACATTTATTGATTTGCATATATTGAACCAGCCTTGCATCCCAGGGATGAAGCCCACTTGATCATGGTGGATAAGCTTTTTGATGTGCTGTTGGATTCAGTTTGCCAGTATTTTATTGAGGATTTTTGCATTAATATTCATCAAGGATATCGGTCTAAAATTCTCTTTTTTTGGTTGTGTCTCTCCCCAGCTTTGGTATCAGGATGATGCTGGCCTCATAAAATGAGTTAGGGAGGATTCCTTCTTTTTCTATTGATTGGAATAGTTTCAGAAGGAATGGTACCAGTTCCTCCTTGTACCTCTGGTAAAATTCGGCTGTGAATCCATCTGGTCCTGGACTCTTTGTGGTTGGTAAGCTATTGATTATTGCCACAATTTCAGAGCCTGTTATTGGTCTATTCAGAGATTCAACTTCTTTCTGGTTTAGTCTTGGGAGGGTGTATGTGTCGAGGAATTTATCCATTTCTTCTAGATTTTCTAGTTTATTTGCATAGAGATGTTTATAGTATTCTCTGATGGTAGTTTGTATTTCTGTGGGATCAGTGGTGATGATATCCCCTTTATCATTTTTTATTGCATCTATTTGATTCTTCTCTCTTTTCTTCTTTATTAGTCTTGCTAGTGGTCTATCAATTTTGTTGATCTTTTCAAAAAACCAGCTCCTGGATTCACTGATTTTTTGAAGGGTTTTTTGTGTCTCTATTTCCTTCAGTTCTGCTCTGATTTTAGTTATTTCTTGCCTTCTGCTAGCTTTTGAATGTGTTTGCTCTTGCTTCTCTAGTTCTTTTAATTGTGATGTTAGGGTGACAATTTTGGATCTTTCCTGCTTTCTCTTGTGGGCATTTAGTGCTATAAATTTCTCTCTGCACACTGCTTTGAATGTGTCCCAGAGATTCTGGTATGTTGTGTCTTTGTTCTCGTTGGTTTCAAAGAACATCTTTATTTCTGCCTTCATTTCGTTATGTACTCAGTAGTCATTTAGGAGCAGGTTGTTCCGTTTCCATGTAGTTGAGCGGTTTTGAGTGACTTTCTTAATCCTGAGTTCTAGTTTGATTGCACTGTGGTCTGAGAGACAGTTTGTTATAATTTCTGTTCTTTTACATTTGCCGAGGAGAGCTTTACTTCCAACTATATGGTCAATTTTGGAATAGGTGTGGTGTGGTGCCGAAAAAAATGTATATTCTGTTGATCTGGGGTGGAGAATTCTGTAGATGTCTATTAGGTCTGCTTGGTGCAGAGCTGAGTTGAATTCCTGGATATCCTTGTTAACTTTCTGTCTCATTGATCTGTCTAATATTGACAGTGGGGTGTTAAAGTCTCCCATTATTGTTGTGTGGGAGTCTAAGTCTCTTTGTAGGTCACTCAGGACTTGCTTTATGAAACTGGGTGCTCCTGTATTGGGTGCATATATATTTAGGATAGTTAGCTCTTGTTGTTGAATTGATCCCTTTACCATTATGTAATGGCCTTCTTTGTCTCTTTTGATCTTTGTTGGTTTAAAGTCTGTTTTGTCAGAGACTAGGATTGCAACCCCTACCTTTTTTTGTTTTCCATTTGCTTGGCAGATCTTCCCCCATCCTTTTATTTTGAGCCTATATGTGTCTCTGCACGTGAGATGGGTTTCCTGAATACAGCACACTGATGGGTCTTGACTCTTTATCCAATTCGCCAGTCTGTGTCTTTTAATTGGAGCATTTAGTGCATTTACATTTGAAGTTAATATTGTTATGTGTGAGTTTGATCCTGTCATTATGATGTTAGCTGGTTATTTTGCTCGTTAGTTGATGCAGTTTCTTCCTAGTCTCGATGGTCTTTACAATTTGGCATGATTTTGCAATGGCTGGTACCGGTTTTGCCTTTCCATGTTTAGTGCCTCCTTCAGGAGCTCTTTTAGGGCAGGCCTGGTGGTGACAAAATCTCTCAGCATTTGCTTTACTGTAAAGTATTTTATTTCTCCTTCACTTATGAAGCTTAGTTTGGCTGGATATGAAATTCTGGGTTGAAAATTCTTTTCTTTAAGAATGTTGAATATTGGCCCCCACTCTCTTCTGGCTTGTAGAGTTTCTGCCGAGAGATCTGCTGTTAGTCTGATGGGCTTCCCTTTGTGGGTAACCCGACCTTTCTCTCTGGCTGCCCTTAACATTTTTTCCTTCATTTCAACTTTGGTGAATCTGACAATTATGTGTCTTGGAGTTGCTCTTCTCGAGGAGTATCTTTGTGGCGTTTTCTGTATTTCCTGAATCTGAACATTGGCCTGCCTTTCTAGATTGGGGAAGTTCTCCCGGATAATATCCTGCAGAGTGTTTTCCAACTTGGTTCCATTCTCCCTGTCACTTTCAGGTACACCAATCAGACGTAGATTGGGTCTTTTCACATAGTCCCATATTTCTTGGAGGCTTTGTTCGTTTCTTTTTATTCTTTTTTCTCTAAACTTCCCTTCTCGCTTCATTTCATTCATTTCATCTTCCATCACTGATACCCTTTCTTCCAGTTGATCGCATTGGCTCCTGCGGCTTCTGCATTCTTCATGCAGTTCTTGAGCCTTGGCTTTCAGCTCCATCAGCTCCTTTAAGCACTTCTCTGTATTGGTTATTCTAGTTATCCATTCATCTAAATTTTTTTCAAAGTTTTTAACTTCTTTGCCTTTGGTTTGAATTTCCTCCTGTAGCTCAGAGTAGTTTGATCGTCTGAAGCCTTCTTCTCTCAACTCATCAAAGTCATTCTCCGTCCAGCTTTGTTCCATTGCTGGTGAGGAGCTGCGTTCCTTTGGAGGAGGAGAGGCACTCTGCTTTTTAGAGTTTCCAGTTTTTCTGCTCTGTTTTTTCCCCATCTTTGTGGTTTTATCTACTTTTGGTCTTTGATGATGGTGATGTACAGATGGGTTTTTGGTGTGGATGTCCTTTCTGTTTGTTAGTTTTCCTTCTAACAGACAGGACCCTCAGCTGCAGGTCTGTTGGAGTTTGCTAGAGGTCCACTCCAGACCCTGTTTGCCTGGGTAACAGCAGCAGTGGCTGCAGAACAGTGGATTTTCATGAACCGCGAATGCTGCTGTCTGATCGTTCCTCTGGAAGTTTTGTCTCAAAGGAGTACCCAGCCTTGTGAGGTGTCAGTCTGCCCCTACTGGGGGGTGCCTCCCAGTTAGGCTGCTCAGGGGTCAGGGGTCAGGGACCCACTTGAGGAGGCAGTCTGCCTGTTCTCAAATCTCCAGCTGCGTGCTGGGAGAACCACTGCTCTCTTCAAAGCTGTCAGACAGGGCTGGGTTGTTTTAATTAGTCATGACCTATGACTTTCCAAATGCCCCTCTTCAGAATTGAAGGGCTTGGCTTGGCTCTTTCTTACTTTACTTCCTAATGACTAACATCTGAGGGTGGCAGGGATGGGGGTGGGTGAAGACAAGGTGCCACTTTTAATAGCTCCCTGCATCTGTTTTTTTGGACCAGTCAGGAGATAATCCTTACAGTGACCCAGTTATCCTTCCCAACAATTTCTTTCTTTAGCCAAATTATTATTCTGTTTAGCCTAGTGAACCTAAAGTTCACAACCTACTGAAGATCTCTAGGTCTCTGCCAGTGCTCTTAAAGAAAAGTATATGAGTATATACTTTTATATATAATTATATTACACATAATATATGAATATAATTATATATAAAGGCCATTTATGAAAAACCCACAGCTAACATATTAATTAATGGGATTTTCCTTTGAGATTTGGTAAAAGGCAAAGTTGCCTACCCTTACCACTTCTATTCAACATGGTGGTGGAACTACTATCAGGAGCAACCAGATAAGACAGAGAAATAAAAGGTATCCAGATTGGAAAGGAAGAAGTAAAACTGTCTCAATTTGCAGATGAAATGATCCTATGTATAGAAAACTTCAAAACTTCACCAAACAAACCTGTTAGAACTAATAAATGCATTCAGTAAAGCTACAGGATGCAGAATCAACATATAAAAATTCATGGCATTTCTACATAAATAATAACCTACCTGAAGAAGAAATCAAGAAAATAATCCCGTTTATGATAAGTGTCAAAAAAACTTGGAAATAAATTTACCCAGGAGGTGAAAAACCTATGCACTTAATACTATCAAACATCAATCAAAGAAATTGAAGAGGATACAAATAAATGGAAAGATATTTTATGTTCATGGATTGGAAGAATTAATATTGTTAAAATGTTCACATTACCTAAAGCAATATACAAATTCAGTCCATCCCTATGAAAATTCCAGTGGCATTCTTCACAGAAATAGAAAAAATAATCCTAACATTCTTTTTTCTTTATTATTATTATTGTTTTTAAAGGGTCTTGCTCTGCCACCCAGGCTGGAGTGCAGTGGCATGATTACAGCTCACTGCAACCTTTAACTCCTGTGCTCAAGTGATCTCTCTACTCCAGCCTTCCGAGTAGCTGGGACTACAGGTGTGTGCTACCATACCTGGCTTTAAAATTCTTATGAAACCACAAAATACCTCAAATCATCGGTCAAAGTAATTCTAAGAAATAAAAACAAAGTTGGAGGCATCACATTTCCTGATCAAATTATATTACAAAGCTATAGTAATCAAAACAGTATGGTACTGGCATAAAAACAGACACATACATCAGTGGAACAGAAAAAAGAGCCCAAAAGTAAATCTGAACACATATGATCAACTACGTTTTGAAATAGGAAGTATTAATGTTTGTAATTTATTGAAATGGTGGGACTATAAATAATTTTTAAGATTCAACAGTTATAATATTTTTAATAATATATATGTGTGAATATATTTATGTGTTGACAAGAAGAAAGTGTCCACAACGGGGAAAAGATAGTCTCTTCAATAAGTAATGCTAGGAAAACTGAATTTTCTCATGCAAAAGAATGAAATTGGACCCTTATCTTACATAAAAATAAACTCAATATAGGTAAAAGACCTGCATTCAAGATTTGAAGGCATAAAACTTCTAGAAGAAAACATAGGGGAAAAGATCCTTGACACTGGCCTTGGCAATGATTTATTGGACATCAAACTGAAAGCCCAGTCCACAAAAGCAAAAATAAATAAATGGGACTACATTAAACTGAAAAGCTTCTGCTTAGCCAACAAAACAACTGACGAAGTGAAAAGGCAACGTATGGATTGGAGAAAAATATTTGAAAACCGTATATCTGATAAGGGGTTAATATTAAAAAATAAAGGACTCACACAACCCAATAGCAAGAAAATAACCTGTTTATATAGATAAAACATATAACCTGTTATATATTGAATAGACATTTCTCCAAAGACAACATAAAAATGGCCAGCAGGTATATGAAAAATTTCTAAACATCATTAATTATGAGAGAAATGCAAATACAAACCACTGTGAGATACTGCCTCAAACCCATGACAATAGCTATTACAAAAAAGACAAGAGACAAATGTTGGTGAGGGTGTGGAGAAAAGGGAACCCTTGTACACTGTTGGTGGGAATGCAGAGTGGTATAGCCATTATGGAAAACAGTATGGAGGTTCCTAAGTAAATTAAAAATAGAATAACCATATGACCTAGTAATTCATTTTCTGGGTATGTACCCAAAGGAAATGAAATCAGCACCTCATAAAGATATCTGCAGTTTAATGTTCATTGCAGCATTATTCACAATAGCCAATCTATGGAAAAAACCTAGGTGCCCATTAATGAACGGGTGGATAAAGAAACTGTGGTATGTACATGCAATGGAATATTATTCAGCCTAAAAAAAGGGGGAGATTCTTCCATTTGCCACAACATAGATGGACCTGAAGGACATTATGCTAAGGGAAATAAACCAGACACAAAAAGAAAAATATTGCATGATCTTGCTTCGATGTGGAATCTAAAACAAAAAAGGTCAAATATACAGATACAGAATAAAACAGTGGTTACCAGGGTTGGGGTTGGAAGAGCAAAAATGGGAAAATGTAGGTCAAAGGATACATAGAAGCAGATATATAGGATGAACAGTTATGAAGATCTAAAGCACAACATGAGCATTACAGTTACTAATACTGTATTGTAGTCAGGATTTTTTCTGAATGAGTAGAATATTGCTGCTCTTGCCACAGTGGGGGAAATGGGTAACTATGTGAGAAGATAAATATGCTAATTTGTTTTGCTATAGTAGGCATTTTACTCTATGTATCTCATAACATCATGTTGTATACCTTAAATATACACAATAAAATTTATTAAATAGTAAAATGTATATTATATATACTTATATATAAATATATGTGTATTATATAAATATATAGAGACACACACACATAAATATATTCACACATAAATATCCCAAACAATATTAGAACTATTTAATCTTAAAAATTATCTATAGTCCCAACATTCCAATAAATTACATATTTTATTAAGATTTCCTATTTCAAAAGCCATACTTTTTTGTACTTTTTGTTTTTGATACAGTGTCACTTTGTTGCCCACTCTGAGTGCAGTGGCATGATCATGGCTCACTGCAGCCTCCCCAGGCTCACGCAATCCTGAGGAGCTGGGACTACAGGTGTGTGTTACCACGCCTGACTAATTTTTTATTTTTTGTAGAGACGAGGTCTCACTATGTTGCCTAGGCTGGTCTTGAACTCCTGGGCCCAGGCAATCCTCCTACCTCAGCCTCCCAAACTGCTAGGATTACAGGTGTGAGCAACTGCACTCGGCCTGCATTTTAAACCCACCGAAGCAAAAAGGAATAATACTTAATATAAAACAAAATTATGAAATGGTATTTGTCTTCATTAGTTCCAGTTGCTATTAACAAACAAAATACTTCACACTAGGTAATTTACAAAACACAGAAATTTGTTGCTGACGGTCCTAGACCCTGGGAAGTCCAAGATCAAAGTACCAGGAGATTTGGTGTCTGGTGAGGACCCATTCCTCACAGACAGCACCTTCTATGTGTCCTCACATGGTAGAAGGGGTGAACAAGCTTTTTCAGGCTACTTTTATAAGGGCACTAATTCTATTCATGAAGGTGGAGCCCTTATGACCTCATGACCTCCCCCAAACCCCACCTTTTAAACCACTATATTTCAGATAATGTTTTAACATATGAATTTGGTGGGGGACACACTCAGACCATAGCAGTACTCTTACAACTTAGGTTAAACAGTAAAGATCTTTCTATGATGAGCAGGTATTTATATTAGCAGAGCCTTGCTGTTTTTCCTCCCCTCTCAATATTCATTCATCTCTTGACATCACTTTGTTTACTTTTTTCTTTTTCCCTCAAACTATAGATTTCTTGGGCTCTTCTTCGAGTTCATTTTTAGTTTTTGACTTTTTCTTCACCTACTCACTTTGATGACCTATTTAGCATTTAGTAAATTTTATGTGCAAATAACAAGTATTTTCTCTCTCATTTTCAAATGTATTATTTACATCTGTTACCTGTTTGCCTAATATACATACTCCTCCCCCTACACCTGCCTTTTCATACCAAATGCCAAAGAGTCAAAAAGTTTTTATGAACAGCCTGGCCTTCTATTTTGGAACATCCTTCCTATCCAGCCTACCATCATATCGCCACAGGAGTTGGGCAATTCCCATAATGTGTCACAACATTGAATTAAGCATGCTTGTCAGCAAGCCTTGTTCATAAAAAGTCGTTGCTGTCTGTGGCTGGACATCCTGGATTTTAGTCAAGAGACAGCACTTTCTCTCAAGGTCAAATGTCTTGAGGTTACCTATTTTGAGACCTCAAAGGACCCTGACATTTTCTTTCTTCCTGAGAAGTGGACAGTCCCTTCTCCGCCCTCACTGAAACAGTGACCTCTGAATGGTTTCCAGGAGCTCTCTCATTCCTGCACCCCAGCATAGAGTCCTTCGCTTTTACTTGACTTGGCTAGTTCTCATTATTGGTGATCTTTGAAGGTTTGTCTTAAAAGAGCAAAGTTTCTGCTTCTAGAGGAAAAGATTCTGTGCTTCTACAGGAATCCGAATTTGCTAGTCACAATAAATCCAACACCTAGGGCTCGTCCCTTTGCTGCCTCCTCCCTCTCCTTGCCTCACCTGAACTGTCCCTGCTTCCACATCAGGAGCTCCTTGCTGCCCTCCCCATCCCAGCCCAAACTGGAGTAGGAATAGTAAATGGTAGACATAGCTTGGAAGTCTCACTCCTACCACAGTTGCAGTGTAGTCGGCACCTCCAGTTTTGAAATAGGAGTTAAAGAGACCCGAATTACAGTTTCAGATTTGCCTTAAACTATAAGCCTATGTGGCCTTAGGAAAATTAATCTCCGAGACTGTCTTTCTTCATTTATAAAATTAAAAAAATACCCTACCCTGCCTGTCTAACCATGTACCTAAGAATGGAATGTGGTAATATATATGGAAGAACTTTGAACATGACTTATACTTTTATTATAGTATATGTGGTGGGGGATAATCATGGTTTACCACTTTACATTCAACTAGGGCAGCTACAGTGGCAGAGTTGTAGATTCTTTATGCAAGAATGGGGTATTTGAGGGAATTCTGGAAGAGTGAGTACTTCCTTGTTCTTGCTAGAGTGTCTCTTAACTGGATCCCACATCCTTTTCTACTTCTCTATTTCATTTCTCTAGGGACAGTTTCTCCCCATTTTTGGGGTTCTGTGGGCTTGAGACATTGCGCTATATTGTAGACAGCCTTTGGAAAAGCTGCGTTATTAATAGTTTAACCTGGGCCTGTAGAACTGCCCCTCTTGGAAGCTACATCCCATCTCATTTTGAACATTTATTTGGGCATGTGGTGTGTTAGATGCTAGGAGAGAAAGAAAAATGACACACAGTAAATTTTTGAGTCAGAGTCACAAATAATGAGAAAGAAATATAAGTAACCCCACCCTGATACGTGATAAAACCTCTAATTCTGGTATGGACAATACATTTTGAAAGTGCAAAAGAGGAGAGATTAATTCTAAGTGATTGACTCTAGAAAGGCTTTGGAAGACATGGGATTTGAGTTGTAAATATCTAGCAGCTAGGGCTTTAGTTGGGTCTATACAGGCATACCTTGATGCTATTGTGGGTTTAGTTACAGACCGTTGCATTAAGGCAAATATTGCAATAAAGTGAGTCACACAAATGATTTGGTTTCCCAGTGCATTTAGAAGTTATGTTTACGCTATACTGTAGTATATTGTGTGCAATAGCATTATATGTAAAAAAGTATATATATCTTCATTAAAAAATACTTTATTGCTAAAAAAAATGCTAAAGATCATCCGAGCTTTCAGTGAGTCATAATCTTTTTGCCAGTGGAGACTCTTCTCTCAATGTTGACGGCTGCTGACTGATCAGGGTGGTGGTTCAGGTGCTGTGGCATTTTCTTAATATAAGACAAAAATGAGGTTTGCTGCATTGATTGACTCTTGCTTTCACGAAAGATTTCTCTGTGGCATGAGATGCTGTTTGATAGCATTTTACCCAGAGGATAACTTCTTTCAAAATTCTTCAAAATTGGGATAGATCCTCTCAAACTCTGTTACTGCTTTATCAACTTTTGTAATGTTTTAAAGCCTCGGCTGTCATTTCAACACTGTTCAGAGCATCCTCCCCAGGAGTAGATCCATCTTAAGAAAGCACTTTCTTTAGTCATCCACAGGAAGTAACTCCTCATCTGTTTAAGTTTTATCATGAGATTGTAGCAATTCAGTCACATCTTTAGGCTCCACTTCTAATTCTAGTTCTCTTGCTATTTTCACCACATTTGCTGTTACTTCCTCCACTGACATCTTAAACCCCTCAAAGTCATTAATGAGGATTAGATTCAACTTTTTCCTAACTCCTGCTAATGTTGCTATTTTGACCTCCTCCCATGAATCACAAATGTTCTTAATGACATTTAGAATGGTGAGTCCTTTCCAGATAGTTATCAATTTACTTTGCCCAGATCCATTAGAGGAATCACTATCTATGGCAGCTATAGCCTTACAAAATGTATTTCTTAAATAGTAAGACTTGAGAGTCAAAATTACTCCTTGATCTGTAAGCTGAAGAACAGGTGTTGTGTTAACAAGCGTGAAAACAACACAGATCTCCTTGTACATCTCCACCAGAGCTCTTGAGTGACTAGGTGCACTGTTAATAAGCAAGAATATTTTGAAAGATATCTTTTTTTTCTATGCAGTAGGTCTCCAATGATGGGACTAAAATATTTAATAAACTGGCCGGGCGCTGTGGCTCACACCTGTAATCCCAGCATTTTGGGAGGCTGAGGCTGGTGGATCATGAGGTCAGGAGATTGAGACCATTCTGGCTACCATGGTGAAACCCCATCTCTACTTAAAAAAAAAAAAAATAGCCAGGTGTGGCAGCATGCGCCTGTAGTCCCAGCTACTCAGGAAGCTGAGGCAGGAGAATGGCATGAACCTGGGAGGCAGAGCTTGCAGTGAGCTGAGATCATGCCACTGCACTCCAGCCTGGGCGACAGAGCGAGACTCTGTCTCAAAAAAAAAAAAAAAAAAAAAATTTAACAAACCATGCTGTAAATTTGTTGTTTTGTTTATAGAGCACAGGCAGAGTAGATATAGCATAATTCTTAGGGGCCCTAAGATTTTCAGAATGGTAAATGAGCACTTGGCTTCAACTTAAGGTCACTAGAGGCATTTTCCCCTATAAAAGGGTCAGCCTGTCCTTTGAAGCTTTGAAACCAGGCATTGACTTCTTCTCTCTATAAAATTCCTAGATGGCACCTTCTTCCAATAGAAGGCTGTTTTGTCCACACTGAAAATCTGTTGTTTAGTGTATCTTCTGGGTACTCGAAGCTTCTGGGTACTTGAAGCTTTTCTATTAGCATTTGCTGCTTTACCTTGTACTTTAATGTTATGCAGATGAGTTCTTTCCTTTAACCTCAAGAACCAACCTCTACTAGCTTCAAACTTTTCTTCTGCAGCTTCCTTGCCTCTCTCAGCCTTCGTAGAATTGAAGAGAGTTAGGGTCTTGCTCTGGCTTAGGCTTTGGCTTAAGGAACTATTATGGTTGGTTTGATCTTCTATCCAGACCACTCAAACTTTCTCCGTATCAGCAATAAGGCTGTTTTGTTTTCTTCTCATTCATGTGTTCACTGGAGTAGTGCTTTTAATTTCCTTCAAGAACTTTTCCTTTGCATTTACAACTTGGCCAACTGTTTGGTACAGGAGGCCTAAACTTCCCATCTATCTCAGCCTTTGACAGGTCTTTCTCACTAAGCTCAATCATTTCTGCTTTTGATTTAAAGTGACAGAAGTGTGACTCTTCTTTCACTTAAACACTTAGAGGCCATTATAAGGTAATTAATTGGCCTAATTTAAGTGTTGTTGTGTCTCAGGGAATAGGGAGGCCCAAGGAGAGGGAGAGAGATGAAAGAACGGCAGGCAGGTGGGTGGAGCAGTCAGAACACATATTATTTATCAATTACATTTGCTGTCTTCTATGGGCACAGTTTGTGGTTCCCCCAAACAATTAAAAGAGTAACACCAAAGATCACTGATCACAGATCACCCTAACAGATATAATAATAAGAAAAATTTGGGACCCAGCAGAATGGCTCCCGCAAAGAAAGGTGGTGAGAAGAAAAAGGGCCATTCTGCCATCAATGCGGTGGTGACCTGAGAATACACCATCAACATTCACAAGTGCATCCATGGAGTGGGCTTCAAGAAGCGTGCCCCTCAGGCACTCAAAGAGATTCGGAAATTTTCCATGAAGGAGATGGGAACTCCAGATATGTGCATTGATACCAGGCTCAACAAAGCTGTCTGGGCCAAAGGAATAAGGGATGTCCCATATTGTATCCATGTGTGCTTGTCCAGAAAATGTAATGAGGATAAAGATTCACCAAATAAGCTCTATCCTTTGGCTACTTATGTACCTGTTACCACTTTCAAAAGTCTACAGACAGTCGATGTGGATGAGAACTAACTGCTGATCATCAAATACATCCAATAAAGTTATAAAATTGCCTTTAGAAAGAAAAATTTAAAAGATACTGTGAGAATTACCAAAATGTGGCACAGAAACATGAAGCGAACATGTGCTATTGGAAAAATGGTGCCTATGGACTTGCTTGGTACAGGGTTGCCACAAACCTTCAATTTGTTAAAAAAAAAAAAAAAGCATTCTCTGTGAAGCACAAAAATACAAAGCACAATAAAATGAGGTATGCCTTTAAATAGGAATGGGTGAGATTAATTGAAGGGGAGAGACGAATTTGAGAAGGTGGAATGCAAGACGGGGTAGGTGAGGGTGGCAGGAGAGAAATCTAGAGTGCAGAAGAGTAGAGAGGGGCCCAACTGTAGGAAGGGCATATTGCATTCTGTTTTCTTCAGCCCATGTGAATGAATTTACTAGTTTTATTTCCTGAATTTTTATTGAGTATTGGAAATTAAACCACTTCAATTATATATAATTCTTATGCTTCATGTTATATCTGGTTATGATGATATTTGATCCATGGAATCTTTTGAAGTCTGCATCAAGAGTGAAAAGAAATCAATACCTTTATGAATTTAAATAATTGCACTTTTGATTATCTTTTTTTTATATTGTCAAGAGCTAAGAATAGCTGGTGATCATCAAGTTTACCTTGTGAAATGAACAGATGCAGAGAATGTGGCATATACTATTACAAATGGGCCTATGTCTCAGACTAAAGGCTTTTAAAAAGTGCTCCAAGGACTATGTTGAGGTGAAGGAAAAACCGCAGTTGGATTGCAAGTAAGATATTAGTGCCTGAGTCATAAAGTGTATAGTTAGACTTTGAAAAAAGTGGTGAGAGAAGAAAATCAATCCAGAAATCTGCTACCTGAAAATTTAATATCATTGTGGAGACTTCAGAGGAAGGATTAATAACCTAATTTCTTCTTGCTCAGATGGCGCCACTGTAAGCTATATATTAATCAGTTTTGAATGTCTAATTAGGAATAACTAAAGGCAGAAGGAACTCTCTAGTGTAAGTATAAACTTCTATCTTTCAGAAAATTTCAAGTATACCATACAGTATTATCAACTATAATTACCATGCTGTACATTAGATCCCCAGGATTTATTCGTTTTGTTAACTGAAAGTTGGTTCTCTGAAAATAGACCCTAAGCATTCTCATCGCAAAGACACACAGAAAATGGTAACTACATGAAATGCTAGATGTGTTAATTAACTTGATTGTGGCAATTATTTTGCAATGTGCATCAAAAAATCACAGTGCATACATTAAATATATATATTTTTATTTGCCATTTATGCCTCAAGAAAGCTGGAGAAAATATCTCCTTCATAAACCATAAAGGCAAGAGTCTGAAAGAATTATTATTTTTCTAGAAGGTGAACACATTTCCTTCTCCTTCTATATAACAAACCCAGAGAAAATTCTAATTGGTTTTAAAAGCCTAGAAGGACTCTTTTAATGAATACCCTCCCTGCACCAGTAGCACTTTTTTTTTTTGAGATGCCTAGGTATTTAACAAGATCTCATTTACGTTTCCAAATTTTCTAAGTGGTCACATGATCAATAAGAAGCATTTCCAGTTTTCAGTATCTTGGGCAGGATTTGGGAGAGGGGAGTTTGGGGAAAATAGAGAGACAAATATTCTCTACTGTCCCCTTGTCCCAGAGCAATGTTAGTGTTGATATTAGGCATCCCATTCTGAAAGCTCATGGAGACTGTGTGACTGTCAACAAACTTCTAAATGGGACAGGTGGCAGGCAGCCTCTATGGCTAAATTTGCTGTGATTACAGCCATCACTACCATTAGTCTCCACTGGTGTTGCTACTGAGGTTTGAGGACAGAAGCAAGAAAGGGGAGCTGGAAGGGAGGCCCCAAATACTAGGGACCTGGAACCTTTATCCTTCTGCAATGGTTAATTACATGTGTTCACTTAACTAGGGTATGGCATCCAGTTGTTTGTTGAGACAGCAGTCTAGATACTGCTGTGAAAGTATTTTTTAGTTATGGTTAAGATTCAAATCAGTAGACTGAGTAAAACAGATTACACTCCATAATGTGAGTGGGCCTCATCCAATCAGTTAAAGGCCTTAGGAGAAAAAAAAAAGACTGAGGTCCTCTGAAAATGAAAGAATTTTACCTCTATATTGTCTTCAGACTCAAGACTACAATATCAACTCTTCCCTGGGTCACCATCCTGCTGGCCTGTCCTGTGCACTCAGACTTGCCAGCCCCCACAATCACATGAGTCAATTCCTTAAAATAAATATTGTTCTTTTAATATATACATTCTATTGATTCTGTTTCTTTGCAGAACCCGAATACATCCCTTTTTGGTGTTTGTTTGTTTGTTTGTTGCGGCTTGTAGTGAAAAGTCAGAGTTGAGTATTCCAGATAGGATTAGACGTCAAGGGTGCACCATGTTGCCTGTACTTTTTTCTCATCAGTATTCATTTCTACATCAGGTCAACAGACTGACTGATAAGAGTAAAGGGAAATGAAATGGCTTTGGCTTGAAGTGTGCAGAGCACGGTGCTGGGTCTGTTTAGCTTCAGGGGCTCTCTGTTCTCCATCTTTCCTTTTAGCCCATTAATGTCACGTTCCATTTGAGGTTGAGCTGTGCTGCACTTTGCTAGGAAGAAGGAATGTAAGCTGCTTTTATTAATGGGTATCATGTTGTCCTGACCTTTCCTTCTTTTTTATTTTTTTCTTTCTGAGGAAAGATGGCTAGAATTTTATAGATGCTGGTTCAAGTTTTTACTTTTTGATTTGTTTCAAAGTGGAATAAGCCTTATATTCTTTAAAGTTTTGTTTGATAACCAAATCATCTTCAGTTTAGCACTGTTCAATAGAACTTTCTATGATAATGGAAATGTTCTTCCATGCTGTCTAATATGGTAGCCATGTGTGGCTATTGAGCTCTTAAAATGCGGCTAATGTAACTGAGCAACTGAATTTTAAATTTTATTTGATTTTAAATCATTTAAATTTAAATAGCCACACAAGGCTAGAAGTTATGTTGCACAGCACAAATCCAAGTGAGTCTCCAAACATCAGTTTCCAGTTTTTGTTTGTTTGTTTTTTTATTTAAAGATGGAGTTTTGCTCTTGTTGCCCAGGCTGGAGGGCAGTGGCGCAATCTCAGCTCACTGCAACCTCTGCCTCCTGGGTTCAGGCGATTCTCCTGCCTCAGCCTCCCGAGTAGCTGGGATTACAGGCATGTGCCACCATGCCCCGCTAATTTTTTGTAATTTTAGTAGAGATGGGGTTTCACCCTGTTGGCCAGGCTGGTCTTGAACTCCTGACCTCAGGTTATCCACTCGCCTTGGCCTCCCAAAATGCTGGGTTTACAGGCATAAGCCACCACGCCCTGCTCCAGTTTATTTTTAACAAGTAAAAGCAAGTCTCTTTTCATACAGTGACTTAATGCTAAAAAATATAAATCTTGACTACTCATAAATGAGGTCCTTGGACCAGCCCCACCAACCTCCTCTCTGAGTTTCTTACACATGTAGAATCTCAGGTCCTACTCTAGATCTATTGAATCAGAATTTGCATTTTAACAAGATCCTTGGTTTATGTGCTCATTAAAGTCTGAGAATTACTGATATAAACTATCCATACAAAGACTCTTAGTTGACACACAGAGGTGGGGAAAAGCAGTGAGGATTTTTTCTGAATTGCTTGCATGGCTTCTTCTGTGTAGCCCCCGTGTATGGGCAAAGGGCTACTACCATCCTGGTCCTGGCATGACCTTTTTAGGGCAAGTATTAGAATCTCTCTATGCATGCTTTTGGTTTTTCAAAATGTTGCATCTCTTCACAAACTTGTGATATTTTTTTCTTGTTAAAAAAATAGGGCAGAATGTTTGAATCTTAGGGATTTCTTAAAGTGAAAAATCACTGCTCCTGAATAAGTAGCCAGTTGTGCTGTGTGATATATGTGATGTGGTTCATTGATAAAATAATTTTCCAAGGTACACATGAACATCTTCGTTGATTTTCTATTTATTATCAAATCAATTCTAACTTATTGATAACATTAAATATAATCAATGTTTAATATTATATATATATTTGTGACTCCCACATACCTGATACTGTTCTGTCATTATTTTGGGGAGTGAACATTGCAGTGTATAATAGAGACTGGAGGTGGCTTACTAGTCCACAATCTACAGACACATTCGTTAGTTTCCAAAATCAATTCTGAACTTCTAAATTTTTCTGACACTATGGTGGGTGTCACATAAAGCAACTTATAACGAAGTCATCCTAGCTTTTTAGGGCATAACCACATAATAGGCAGTAGATTATATTCACTTGCAGTTTTATTGAAACAACTCTAAAATGCTATAGAAATTGGTAAAATAATGAATAGAAAGTGCACAGAAGGATGTCATGGTATGTGATTTTGTGTTAGCCTCTATCCTAGCACCTTTTTGTGTCTCTACCACTGTGTTCACTTCCCCTTCCTTCCTTCCTTCCTTCCTCCCTGTCTTCCTTCCTTCCTTCCTCCCTGTCTTCCTTCCTTCCTTCCTCCCTGTCTTCCTTCCTTCCTTCCTCCCTGTCTTCCTTCCTTCCTTCCTCCCTGTCTTCCTTCCTTCCTTCCTCCCTGTCTTCCTTCCTTCCTTCCTCCCTGTCTTCCTTCCTTCCTTCCTTCCTTCCTTCCTTCCTTCCTTCCTTCCTTCCTTCCTTCCTTCCTTTCTTTCTTTCTTTCTTTCTTTCTTTCTTTCTTTCTTTCTTTCTTTCTTTCTTTCTTTCTTTCATTCTTTCTTTTCAGGTCTTCCTCTGTCACCCAGGCTGGAGTACAGTGACTCCATCATAGCTCACGATAACCTTGAACTCTCTGACTTAAGCAATCCCGTATCAGCCTTCCAAGTAGCTAGGACTACAGGTGCGCACCACCGTGCCTAGCGAATTTTTTTATATTTGTTTGGTAGAGATGGGGTCCCACTGTGTTGCCCAGGCATGTCTTGAATTCTTGGCCTTCAGTAATCCTCCTGCCTTAGCCTCCCAGTGTGCTGGGATTACTGGCATGAGCCACTGTGCCTGGTCCACTTTTCTTTTTGAACTACTTCTAGTTCATATTATGTTGCTACACTTTATACAGGGTACTTTGTGGTAACAAAGTGGGGCTATACATTTAAAAATAAGAGTTTGCATCAAAAATATGGATTTAGGCCAAGTGCAGTGGCTCATTCTTGTAATCTCAGCTCTTTGGGAGCCTGAGGCAGAAGGATTGCTTGAGCCCAGGAGTTTGAGATCAGCCTGGGCCACATCACCAGACTCCATCTCTACCAAAAAAAAAAAAAAAAAAATTAGCTGGGCATGGTGGCACACACCTGTAGTCCCAGACACTTGGGAGACCTAGACAGGAGGATTCTGTGAGCTCAGGAATTTGAGGTTACAGTGAGCTATGATTGCATCACTGTGCTCCAGCCTGGGTGACAGGGACCCTGTCTTGAATAAAAAAGGATTTACTCAGTTTCAATCAAACTTAGGAATTGCTATCAGATCTAAGGTCCAAGGTCCATCCATTCTGATACTTAGTTAAGCATACATTATATACAATATTAGTACAATGTTTTCCTTCATATTCTCAACAGGGAGTAGAGCGGGAGAAGGCAGAATTCTTCACATTCAGAGGTCACAGATTACAGTTTAAAATTTAGGCTGGGTTTTTTGGTCTGATGGATTTAAGTCCTGGCCGGTTCACTTATTTGTATAGAGGTGATAACAATACTTACCTCAGATGTAGCTCTAACTCTCTCAGAAAGCAACTGAGGTTTTCTATGCTTTTTTCAGGAGATGGCCTTGGCAGATTAGAAGTATCTGGAATATAAGATTTTGATTACTGAAGCCACATCCAAGGTGTGGTGTTATGATTTTGGGGAGATCTGGCCCCAGATGTTTTATACAAACACATATTGGTTGCAGACACTGTGGTTGATGTTCTTTAATAGGTCCAATTCCAAAAGAATCTACATGCCGAAGAAGCTGAAAAAGACTTTCGTGTGCTCTGACTGGGGACTCAGTGTGTATCTGACTTCCCTGAAGTATCTACACCTTCATGAGACCCTCTTCTAGAGAATTTTAGGGGTACAAGTCCTTCAACTCTACTGTGGTTCTAATCATACTTAGCAGAACTTCCCTCGGCAGCTGTATCTACGCTGGCCTTCAGTGTGCTGTGATGCAAATGCACAGTAGCTGCCCAGACCAAGAATTGGTCCAGAGATCCTGACCTTGAACTCCTGCTAACCCTTGATGCCTCTTAGTATCAACTGATTTCAATGGGAATTGTCCCAGGTGCTTGAAAATATTCAGCAGAAAATTGGAGTTATCTGAAATGCCACTGCTCAGCGATAATAGTTTAGATTTTCATGTATTTAATTTCAGGGTTTTTTAAAAAATGAGGGCACATTTACATGTATGTATATAAATATTTACTTACATATGAATTACATTGGTTTTAACCATATTATATTCTGCTCTTTAAACAATATGAACAATCAAGACAGGTGCTGTGGCTTATGCCTGTAATCCCAGCATTTTGAGAGGCTGAGGCAGGAGGATTGCTCGAACCCAGGAATTTGAGACCAGCCTAGGCAACATAGTGAGCCCTTGTCTCTATAAAATTTTTTTTTTTAAATTAGGCATGGTGGCACGTGCCTGTGATCTCAGCTTCTTGAGAGGCTGAGGTGGGAGACGTGCTTGAGCCTGGGAGGTTGAGGCTGCAATGGGTCGTGATCATGATGCCACTGCCCTCCAGCCTTGGTGACAGAGTGAGACCTCATCTCTAAAAAAGCAAACAAAACCTAAACAATATAAGAAATCACATATCATGGGGGAAAATGCATGTTATTAAATATTTTCCAAGAATAAGATTTTTAACGGCGATATTCTTTTGTTACGTGGGTGTTGCGTTATCTATTTAACCATTGACTTATTGTTTGACTTTGGGTTTTAAAAATTAGTTGACATTATAAAGAGCACTTTATTGCTACTGTTTCATATGGTGTGACTTCTTTCTTGAAACATATTGCTAAATTCAATTCCAGAGAGTCTGTGTCACTTATGTTCCCAGTAGCAGTAGCTGAAAATATGTGTCTCTTAGGATGCCAGCAAGCTCTGAGAATTAACATTTAAATGATGCCTATTTGATGAGATCAACTAATTGTTTTAACTAATTAATTATTTTAATGAGTTGTTTCAATGTGTATGTGGTCATGTGAAACTTTACATTTATTCTGTAAAATTTAAAATTTATTTTATCATTTAAAAAATATTGGAGTGTTGAAGGTTTTTCCCCCTAGAACAGTCCTAATATTTTTGACGATCAAAGTAGTAAATTTTCATTGCAAAAAATTCAGAAAATGCAGAAACATATAGAGAAGAAAATAAATGTCACTGATAATTCTATCACTCAAAAGTCACTGCTGTTGACACTTGTGTGTGTAGAAGTCTGTTTGTATTTTCTGGGCCACATAGCACATGCCACACAACTATTCATATGTTCTTTCCTGGAACCAGAATGGAATCACATATTGTTTTTGTAACCTAATCTTTCTCAACTAAAAATATATTGTGGGAAAAGCAGTGTAATGTTTTAGTTAGGAACATGGTCTTGGAAGTTGAACTCCCTAGGTTGGCATCTAAGCTTTGCCAATTATTAGCTACATGACCTTGAGAAAGTTGTTTACTTACTATGGACTCTTCTTTCTAATTTGTAATACAGAGGAATGGGAAAAATTGGGAATAATAATAAATGGGAATGATTTATAATCTATCCACAGAGTTGTGAACAGCAAAAGAAATAAAGCATGTAAAACACCCAGAACAGTGCCTGGCAGATAGTAACACTCCATAAAAGTGAACTTTTATTATCTTCTCATATTCATAACAGATATATATTGCTGGGAGTATAATTGTATTTTATTCTGTCGTTAGGGGTATTCTGTTGTATCATAGATTTTGTATTTGCTTGTATTAGAATTTACTGAAACAATCCCCCTTTGAGGTTGGTAATTTTCAGTTGTTTGTAATTTCTCAGTTTTAGATTTTCCTAAGATGGATGATGAGTAAGGTAGTTCAGAGTTTCAGAATACAAATACTGGCTGTTAAAATTACTAGCTATGTCCCTATGAATTCTGGCTCTGCCACTTACTAGACAAGGTACTTAACTAAGTCTTATATTTCTCATGTATAAATTAGATATAAGAAAATTCTTATAAGGTTATTATCTGTTGTTGTAAAACAAAACTTAATGGTTTAAAACCATTTTATTTGCTCATGATTCTGTGAGCCACCATTTTGGGTGAGGCTCAGCTTGGTGAATCTTCTGCTTCTCTCACCTGGGATCACTCATGGGGCTGCAATCATCTTAGCATGCAACAGTAGCTGAGTTGTCTGAGTTGGCCTCCCTGACATGTCTGGTGCTTGGTGCTGGTTGTTGACTGACCATGAGTCTTCAGTAGGCAAGCTAGGGCTTCTTAACATGGTGGCAAGATTTCAAAAGTAGAAAGAGACGAGGAAATCCTCATTTGTGACATTTGCGTGCATCTCATTGACCAAAACAAGTGACATGGGAAAACCTAGAGTCAGTGTAGGAGGAAACTAAGCAAGGACATAGATACAAGGAGGCATGTTTCACTGGAGGAGATCATTATGTAATAATATATTCTAGGCATTATAAAAATTATAATTAAAATAGAGATGATAATAACAGTATCTACCTCGTAGAATTATCATAAAATTATATGATCCAATGCATGTGTACTGTTTTTCACAGTGCTGGGAACATAGTAAGGGTTCAATAAAAGTTCGTTATATTGAGTACTGGCTTGATTATATTCTTGGGAAATGTATTGAGATATGTACTTGATAAAGGCATTAGATAACATTGGCAAATTACATATTTTCACACGTCTTTTTGAAAACATTGGATATTATCACTTTTGAAAATCATTGTCTCATGGACGAATAAAAATAACTCATTATAATTTATTTTTTTGATTACTCATGTCTTTGTACACAATTTCCATGGATTTATGACTACATGCATTGCTTTAGTGAACTGCCTATTCATGCTCTTTGCCCATTTCTTAAAAAAATCTTTTAATTTTTGAAGTTTCAGATTTACAGAAAAGTTGCAAAGATAATACAGAAAGTTCCTTTATATCCCCTGTAACATCTTATGTTGCCATGGTACATCTGTCATCACTAAAAAGCAAACATTGGTGTATTACTGTTAACTAAACTCCGCACTTTATTCAGATTTTACTAGTATTTTCACAAATGTACTTTTTTGTGTGCCAGGGTCTGATCCAGGGTACCATATTGCATTTAATTTTACAATTTTTTAGTCTCCTGTGGTGTGTGACAGTTTTTCAGTATTTCTTTGCTTTTTGTGATGATGACAATTTTGAAGAGTACTGGTCAGATATTGTATAGAATATCGCTCAATATAAGTTTGTCTAATGTTTTCTCATGATTTGACTGGGATTATGAGTATTTGGGAAGAATGCCACAGAGGTGAAATGCCCCTTCTATCACATCATATCAGCAGTCACATGCTGTCAACATGACTTTTCACTGGTGGAATTAAACTTGGTCACTTTGTTTTGGTAGTGGTTGCCAGTTTTTTCCAGTGTAAAGCCATTATTTTTCACTTTCTATACTTTATTCTTTGGAATTATTCTTTGAAAGCAAGTCACTAAGTTCAGCCCACACTCAAGATGGGAGTCTGGGGGTTTAAGCTCCACCTCTGCAAAGAGAAATGTATTAGTTTGTGAAGGCTGCCACAACAAAATATCACAGACTAGGATACTTAAGCAACAAGAATTTATTTTCCTACAGTTCTGGAGGCTGGAAGTCTGAGATCAAAGTGTCAGCAGGGTTGGTTTAATCTGAGGCCTCTCCCTCTGGTGTGTACCTGTCTGGTGTCATTTTCTGTCCGTGCTTATAAGAACACTGGTCAGATTGGATTAGGACCCATCTTAACAACTCAATTTTAATTTAAATACCCCTTTAAAGGTACTATCTCCAAATACAGTTACATTTTGAAGTACTGGGGGTTACAGCTTCAACATATGAATTTTCAGCAGACACAGTTCAACTCATTAACAGGGAGAGTAGCTATATATATGTATTATTTGAAAATTTTCTGCACAGATTTGTCTCTTTCCTGCCATTTATTTTTATATTCAACCATTATTTACATCAATATGGAATCATGTTTATTGTATACTTTGGATTATATCTAATATCATGTCAATAACTTAGTTGGTCAAATTCTTCTAGCTTGGCCATTGGGAATTCTTTTAGAATGGCTTGTGCCCCTTTGAAATGCTTCCATCCTTTAGTTTTTTGAAGACTTTCTTATTTTATGGTGCTACAAGATGATCCAGGTTCATCTTATCTATTTTTTTTGTGTGCCCCAGCCCTGGAGTCAGCCATTTCTCCAAGCAACTCTGGTTCTTTTTACTGGAGAGTGACATTAAAAAGCCAAGATCTGGGCATCAGGTGTGCCAATTTTTTCTATGGGAATGAAATAATATTCTTGGCCAAATTAGGTGGCTCACACCTGTAGTCCCAGCACTTTGGGAGGCTGAGGTAGGAGGATTGCTTGAGATCAGGAGTTTGAGACCAGCCTGGACAACACAGTGAGGCCCCACATCTCAAAAAAAAATTAAAAATTACCTTAGTGTGGTGGTGCATATCTGTAGTCCCAGCTACTTAAGAGGTTGAGGTGGGAGGATCACTTGAGTCTTGCAGGTGGAGGCTGCAGTGAACAGTAACCATGCCACTTCACACCAGACTGGGCAACAGAGTGAGACCCTGTCTCAAAACAACAGCAAAAGAAATAGTGTTCTTATTTATTGGAACAACTCTTTCTATTAGAGATACAGTATTAACCTTTTGCCTGTCTTATATGTTTCAAATGTTTCTTCTAATCAGCAAATATTTAGTATGTGCTTACTTTGTCTCTGGCATTGTTCAATATGTTGGAGATACTGCACTGAATACAACAAAATCCCACCTTCATGCGGTTTATATTCTAGAGAAGGCAATTAGTCAAATAACAAATAGAGAAGAGGAAACAATAACATGTCATAGCATAAGACCCATGAAGAAAAATAAAGCAATGTAAGTATTAGAGAGACTGAAGGGAGGACTATCCTAGGCCAGCCAGGGAAGGCTTTTTGGAGGAGGTAACATTTGAGCAGACACCCGAATGAAGAGAGGAAACAAGCCAGGCAGATAGCTGAGGGTAGAGCATCTAGGCAGAGAAAACAGGAAGAGCAAAGACTGAGGTGATTGCTTACTGGCTGTACTATAGGAACAGCAAGGAGGCCAGTGCAGCTGCAGCAGGATAAATAAAGGAGGCAGTAATAAAAGATGACAGCAGAGATTGTGAGGGGATGGATCACACAGAACCTTATAGGTCATGGTAAGAGATTTGGCCTTTACTCTGAGTATGATAGGAAGCCATTGGAGAATTCTGAGCAGAGGTGTGACATGATCATGTTTATATTTTAAAAGATGTAAAGCTCAATATCACTGATCATTAGAGAAGCAAATCAAAACCACAATGAGATACCATCTCACACCAGTCAGAATGGCGATTATTAAAAAGTGAAAAAATAACAAATGCCAGTGAGGTTGTGGAGAAAAAGGAATGCTTTTAAACTGTTGGTGGAAGTGTAAATTACTTTAACTATTGTGGAAGACAGTGTGGCAACTCCTCAGAAACCTAAAGACAGACATACCATTTGACCCAGCAATCCCATTACTAGATATATACCCAAAGGAATATAAATTATTCTATTATAAAGACACATGCATGCAAATGTTCACTGTAGCACTATTCACAATAGCAAAGACAGGGAATCAACCTAAATATCCATCAATGATAGACTAGATAAAGAAAATATGGTACATATACACTATGGAATACTATACAGCCATAAAAAAGAATGCGATCATATGATTATGTCCTTTGCAGGGACATGGATGGAACTAGAAGCCATTATCCTTAGCAAACTAACATAGGAACAGAAAACAGAATACTGCATGTTCTCACTTATAAGTGGGAGCTAAATGATGATAACACATGGAGACATAGAGGGGAACCACACACACTGGGGCCTCTTGGAGGGTGGAGGGTAGGAGGAGAGAGAGATCAGGAAAAATAACTAACGGGTACTAGGCTTAATGCATGAGTGATAAATAATCTGTACAATAAACCCCATGACACATGGTTACCTATGTAACAAACCTCCACATATACCACTGAACTTAAAATAAAAGTTAAAAAAATCTGTTAGTGGGAATGTAAATTCGTGTAACAATTTTGCAGAACTACTTGGTGTTGTCTAATAAGTTGTAGAAGTGCATATCCTTTGACTAAGGAATTGCACGCCTCTGCATAAACCTACAAAAACTCTAGCATTTATGCTAGAGTACAAGGTTAAGGAGATGACAGCTCCATGTGTGTTATTGCCCTGAAGACCTTCCCCTGAGACAAGATGTGGTGGTGAAAGACAGTCATATTGATGATCCTGACCCTGTGTAGGCGTAGGCTAATGAGTGTGTTTATGTCGTAGTTTTTAACAAAAAAGATTAAAAAGTAAAAAAAAAAAAATTAAAAAAGTAAAAAAAACTAAATAATTTTTTAAATAGAAAAAAAAGCATACAGAATAAGGACATAAAGAAGGAAAATATTTTTGTACAGCTGTAAAATGTGTTTGTGTTTTAAACTATTATTACAAAAGAGTCAAAATGTTTTAGAACATTAAAAAGTTTACAAAGTAAAAAAAAATACCATAGGCCAGGCATGGAGCTGTCATCTCCTGTGGTAACAAGTAGAAGGAGTACACCCTAAAATGATGATAAAAAGTGTAGTTTAGTAAATACATAAACCAGTAACATAGTTGTTTATTATGAAGTATTATGTACTGTACATAAATGTGTGTGCTATGCTTTCATCTGACTGGCAGCATGGTAGGCTTGTTTACACCAGCATCACCACAAACACATGAGTAATGCATTGCACTACAATATGATTATGGCTACAATATCGCTAGGCAATAGGAATTTTTCAGCTCTATCATTATCTTATAGGACTACAATTGTATATGCAGTCCATTGTTGACTAAAACATTGATATGTCACACATGATTGGATTTGTGAAAAGCATAAATGAATTGTACATACAGTTGATTCTCATTAGTCATGGTAGCTATGGTCTATAAAGTTGCTGAGAGGAGTGAATTATTGAATAGTGAATGATTGCTCTTAGGGGAAGTACGAGGTTAGGTTCCTGTGAGCCTCTGTTCACAGCATTTTCATCAATCAATTAACACATAACCTTGTTTTATGCATATATCTGTCTAATATATTATTGTTAATTTATTAACATTGAATTAATGGCCAATAGCACTATAATTTGTGCCTAAGTGAAGCTTATCTGACACACAGATATTCTCTGGAAGCCACCTCACAGCCTTCTTGGACTGGGGAACACTAGACGTAACTTCAGCACTAGGAAGGGAGGCCTTTTAACATAGCAAAACACCAACAAGGAGTATAAAAATATGAAAAATATGGCACCAAATAGATGGTGAAAAGACACTTGTTTATAGTATGAGAGCTGACTTGAGAAGTCAGAGTGTTGCCTTGTTCAACCTTAGCTGGGAATGTGCAGTTGGGGCCTCATACATTTTTCTGTTCCATGTATATTTGTGAATGACCATGAAAGTACAGGGATTATTGATGTGAGGGGTTACAAATACATTTTAGCTAGTAGGCAAATCCATAAATATGGAATTCATGAAAAATGAAGATCAACTGTAATCTTCACTTGCACTGTGTGAAGTAAGAGTTATCCTTATATCACAAATTAAACACACACACACACACACACACAATCCAATCCTGAGGTTCTAAGATGCTGTCAGTTAGTGGGGTGGAGAAAAGGTAAACCATGTTCCTTTAATTTCAAAGGCAGTGCTTGCACCTTTGCACTTTATATCTTGCTGCATTTGAGAAAGCTAAATTATTGACAGGTTCTGGAGTCAGCCAGGTGCTGCTCTCCTACCTATGTAAAGTTGTGATAAGTGAGCCATCAACACTTAGATGTTTGTCCCTAGATTGGCCTCAGACAGGAGTTAAAGTCTGTTTAATAAATGCATCTCCTTCTGAAACATGTATTTTATTTCAAATAGTCCCAGTGCTTGGATCTTTCTTATAGGAGCTACAAGTCAGTACGCTAAGAGAATGGTTGTTGTATCATCTTTATTAATATGGCCCCCTCATCTCAGAGGCTTTTTCCTAAAAAGTTTATCTCTATTCATTTCAAAAGTAATCTGTCTTAGTCCATGTTGTGGACTGAATACCAGTTGCTATAACTGAATACGACAGACTGGGTAATTTATGAGAATAGAGGTTTTTTTAGCTCATGAATCTAGAGGCTGGAAAGTCCAGGTAGAGGAGTCAGCATCTTGTGAGGGCCTTCCTGATGCATTATAACATGGTAGGGGGCATCACAAGTCCCATCATGGGGCTCCCACCTTCATAACCTTGTCCAATCCTAATTGCCTCCAAAGGCTCCACCTCCAATTAATATATAAATTTGGGGATTAAGTTTTCAACATATGAAATTTGAGGGGCACATTCAAACCATAGGATAATCTATACTATTTTAGTAAATTTTGAAAATATAGATAAGCTCAAAGAATGAAATATAACTCACTCATATTTCTTAACACCAAGAAATCATTATTATTAACACTATGTGACTTCTTTCCATTATTCCCCTTTTGTTTTCTATATGTATATATGTTTGAACAGACATATATACATATATTAGGAATTGCAGTTATCCTCTATATGATAGTTTTAGCTTTTTTATGTAAGAATATATTTTGGAGATATTTAAATGTTATCATGTACGATATACCATACTTTATTGAACTATTTATACTGCTTTCCATTTTTGGCTGTTTCAAATATATTTTTAATTTCACATTGTTTAAGAAGAATATTACCACACATTCCTAATTATTATGTGGAAATAAAATTGTTGCATCCAAGCTTATGAACATTTTCAGAGTTTTTTTTTGTTTTTTTGTTTTTTTGAGATGGAGTCTTGCTCTTATTGCCCAGGCTGGAGTGCAATGGCAGGATCTTGGCTCACCACAACCTCCGCCTCCTAGCTTCAAGTGATTCTCCTGCCTCAGCCTCCTGAGTAGCTGGGATTACAGGCATGCGCCACCATGCCCAACTAATTTTGTATTTTTAATAGAGATGGAGTTTCTCCATGTTGGTCAGGCTGGTCTCGAACTCCCAACCTCAGGTGATCTGCCTGCCTCGGCTTCCCAAAGTGCTGGGATTACAGGTGTGAGCCACTGCGCCTGGCTGCTAGTTTTTAAAATCTAGTAATAATTATTGCTAGAGCTCTTCCAGGAAGCTTATGTCAATTTACTTTCCCACTGGCTGTGTCCACCTGCCTTCATGCAAACAGGGTATATTCTAGGAGTTTTAACTTATATTACTTTCTTTTGGGCATGTGATATGGTTTGTTCATATTGAATTATAGAGCCCATAATTTCCCCCTGTTGCGGGAGGGGCCGGATGGGAGATAATTGAATGATGAGGGCAGTTTCCCCCATACTGTTCTTGTGGTAGTGAATAAGTCTCACGAGATCTGATGGTTTTATAAGGGGTTTCCCCTTTTGCTTTGCTCTCATTATCTCTTTTCCCGTCACCATATAAGATGTTCCTTTGCTCTTCATTCATCTTCCACCATGATTATGAGGCCTACCAGCCATGTGGAACTGTGAGTCCATTAAACCTCTTCCTTTTATAAATTACCCAGTCTCAGATATGTCTTTATTAGCAGCATGAGAGCAGACTAATACAGCATGTAAACGCCTTTGCAATTACATGAGTGTATACTTTTTTTAAAAAAAAGATTTAACTTTTTTGAAAGCTCTCTAACTGAAATGAACTATAGTTTCAGTATCCTCTGATAGTAAGCATCATGTGCCATGTGGTTATCTATACCATAGAGTGAGAGGAAGGGGCATGGATGTGGGCATCCCAGGGAACAACCACAAGATAAAGGAAGAGGGCGGGAAAGATGAACCCATGAAGGAGACAGAGACAGAGAAGCCAGAAAGATGCCCAGAGAAGCTGGGGAACAGGATGTCATGAGGACAAGAATGAGGCAGTTTCCATGAAGCTGTGTGGACAATGGTGGGTGTGAGTGCTTCAGAAATTATTCAGAAAGTCAAATAAGACATCTAAAAATGTCTATTTAATTGAGCAACAAAGGAGGACAGAAATCTGGATGACTGTGGGCTGAGGTGCATGCGTCAGAGACCTGTTTTTGGCAAGTTCCTGTTTCTGTTTAGTTCCTGTCGGAATTTTTTGGAGTGTGTGTGGGGAGTGAATGTACAAACATGGATTATTCTGGAAATAGCTGGCACAGTTTGCTTCAGGCCACCTGCTTTAGGGGAGCAACAATTCCATAAATGCAAAGAAGCAAATAATTGCAGATATTATCTGTCTGCTTTTGAATGGCCATGAAAGGACAATTCCAATTTTGTTCTAAAAATGGGCAAAAGTTTTCAACTGACCCATTGTTGATGAGGTATTTTGAAGATGAATTTTCCTCCAGTCAGTAGCAGTGCAGCAGGAGGGAGCCAGCTATCCCAGCAATCAGTTGGTGGTGTTTCATTTCAGTACCACCCTTCACCTGACACCAGTTGAAATGGCACTTTTAGTGAGTGGCATGAATTTACTTTTGGGATTGAATCCTATTTTCACAAGCCTATTTAGAAATAACTACAAGGGTTTGTGTGTTTATAACTATACAACAGAAATTGCTAAGGTTAAGAGCAACACATTGAACCCTGGTGTCCACTCAGATGCTTCCTGGGGTGAGAGACACTTCTGGGTGAAAGGAATGACACACTCTAAAGTATCTCTTGGACTAAGCTGGGAAGAGCTGATTTAGATCTGAGAGAGCTTAGGAGTTCTTTCCATTCTGAAGTTTTTTTGTTTTGTTTTGTTTTGTTTTACTTTGCCTAAGAAGAGAATGTGAGATAATGAAACAATAATAACGATAATGATGCTATTAGTAGCTAATACTCATTGAGTAATTACTCTGTTTAGGCTATGTACAAAGCAATTAATTGACAAGGTTACACAATGCAATCTTCACCATGAGCTTTATAAGGTATGAAGCATTATGAACCATTTTACAGATGAGCAAAGTGAGGTGTGGAGCAGTTAAGTAACTTGCCTGAAGTCTCTCAGCTGATAACTTGAGAGTCAAACCTTGGCCCCTCTGATTCCAGGCCCTACTCTCACCTATGGCTACTTCTTAGGTCTGTAATGTGCCTGACACATAGTAGGCACCCACCAGATGTTAGTTTCCTTCTTTTCTGAGCAGTAGTTGGCCTGAATGGCAGGCCTGTTATCTCTTGTCCAGTGGGATGGACACACACCAAGAACACAGCCTGCACCCTGGTCAGCCTAGGCTGGAATGACAGGCATGAGGGGGGCAAAGGTTGCAGAGCTCTCTGGACCCTCTGGGGGATTTGAGAACATTATATAATGTTCTGAGTCATTCTTTGGTCATTTTTCAGTATTTCTTTCTTATATCCTTAGCAGTGGCTCATTATTTTTATTATTAACTATTTTTCTTTCTTTTTTCTTTTTTTTTTTTGAGAGACAGGGTCTTGCTCTGTCACCCAGGCTGGAGTGCAGGCATGGATCATAGCTCACTACAGCCATGAACTCCTGGGCTCATGCAATCCTCCTGCCTCTGCCTCCTGAGTAGCTGGGACTACAGGCATTCGCTACCATGCCTGGCTAATTAAAAAAAACCTTTTTTTAAAATTAGAGACAGGGTCTTGCTACTTTGCCCTGGCTGGTCTCCAATTCCTGGCCTCAAGGGATCTCCTGCTTTGGCCTCTCAAAGTGCTGGGATTACAGGCATTTACCATCATGCTTGACATGTTATTAACTAATTCTTTAAAAATATTTTTAAAAACTGTGGTTTTTCTTACCAATTGAAGGTTGTTTACTGTGGTTTAGGAGGTGGGGAGGCATTTGAAAGGAATGTTCTTTTTATCTGAAACCGTAAAATATGGTGTGAGGTTAATGGAGAGGAGGTTCTTCCTATTAGCTGGGAGCTGAATCAGTTCGATTAGGGAGTCAGCTTCAGGTTGCAGAGGTAGAGGAGATACTGACTCTTTTTCTCTAAATGAGCAGGTGTTTACACAGAAAATAAAATTTCGTTGCTGCTTACAGTGCTCTGAAGGCATGCAGGAAAATGGAGAGTATGGAGAGTGTCCAAAGAAGAAAGCTAAGGGTGATAGTTTCTTACCATCCTGGTCAGATTTTGCTTCTTAGGAAGGAGTTAGGTAGTGAGCTTCAGAGAGCTGTCAGAGCCAAGCCCTTAACGGATGATGGGGGCAGAATGGCGCCTCCTACAGGCCTCCAAGGGAGCAGCAGGAAGCCACCTCAGGCTTTTCCTAGGTCTTGACAATCAGGCCTTCTCCTTGTGGGTCCAGCTAAGATAAGCATATGCATCCTTACTGAGAATAAAAATGCATTCAGGGGCACCTATAATTTAACAGTCCTTTCAAAACAAAAAGTGAAAAGCTCAGTTACTTATCTATCTATACACACACATATATTTCATTATTTATTTTTATCTAAAACATTTTTTAAGAGACAGGGTATAGTGTGCCATGAATGTCAATTTATTTAAGTTGGTCAAATCTGTATATCTTCACTAAATTTTTTTATTTTTATCAATTATTGAAACATAGGCAATCAAATCTTCAACTACGAATGTGATTTTTTTTGTATTTCTTCCTTTGGTCCTGTCAATTTTTCATTCATTTACTTTGATGCTTTATTATTACAATGTACAACTTTAGGGTCGTCACTTTTTTTTTTTTTGAGATAGAGTTTCACTCTTGTTGCCCAGCCTGCAGTGCAATGGCATGATCTTGGCTCACCCCGCAACCTCTGCCTTCTGGGTTCAAGTGATTCTCCTGCCTCAGCCTCCTGAGTAGCTGGGATTACAGGCATGCACCACCATGCCAAGCTAATTTTGTATTTTTTTAGTAGAGACAGGGTTTCTCCATGTTGTTCAGGCTGGTCTCAAACTCCCGACCTCAGGTGATCCGCCCGCCTTGGCCTCCCAAAGTTCTGGGATTACAGGCATGAGCCACCACACCCGGCCAGGGTTTTCACATATTTATCTTTGGTAATACTCCTTGTCAAAACATCTACTTTGTCTATTGTCATTATAGCTACACTAACTCTCTTATTTGTAGTGCTTGCATTGTATATCTTTTCTCATCTTTTCATTTCAAACATTTTGTGTCTTTATATTTAATGTTTCTTTTTCAAACAGCATATAGCTGGGTCATTCTCCCTCCCCTCTCATTCATCCAGTCTAACACTTTTTGCCTTTTAATTGGAGTCCATTTACATGTGATGTTACAAGAGTGGGTTGAAGTTTACCATGTTGCTACTTATTTCTTCTTTGTTCCTTTGTTCCTCTTTCCCTGTCTTCTTTCATGTTAACTGAGAATATTTTATTTTTCTATCAAATATCTTCAGTTATTAGGAGATAGAGACAAAACAAACCCTCCAAAAAACAAAGAATCCTGGAGGTGGTTTTTTGAAAAACAATGAACAAAATAGACCACTAGATAGGTTAATAAAGAAGAAAAGAAAAGCATCAAACAGACACAATAAAAAATGGTAAAGGGGATATCACCACTGACCCCACAGAAATACAAACTACCATCAGAGAATACTATAAACACTACTATGCAAATAAACTAGAAAATCTAGAAGAAACGGATAAATTCCTGGACTCATACACCCTACCAAGACAAAACCAGGAAGAAGTTGAATCTCTGAATAGACCAATAACAAGCTGTGAAATTGAGGCAGTAATTAATAGCCTACCAACCAAAAAAAGCCTAAGACCAGATAGATTCACAGCTGAATTCTACCAGAAATACAAAGAGGAGCTGGTACCACTCCTTCTGAAACAATTCCAAACAATTGAAAAGGAAAGACTCTTCCCTAACTGATTTTATGAAGCTAGCATCATCCTGATACTAAAACTGGTAAGAGACACAACAAAAAAAAGAAAACTTCAGGCCAATATCTCTGATGAACATCGATGCAAAAATCCTCAGTAAAATACTGGCAAACTGAATCCAGCAGCACATCAAAAAGCTTATCCACCAAGACCAAGTTGGCTTCATCCCTGGGATGCAAGGCTGGTTCAACATATGCAAATCAATAAACATAATCCATCACATAAACAGAAGCAAAGACAAAAACCACATGATTATCTCAATAGATGCAGAAAAGGCCTTTGATAAAATTCAACATCACTTAGTGTTAAAAACTCTCCATAAACTAGGTATTGATGGAACATATCTCAAAATAATGAGAGCTATTGATGACAAACCCACAGCCAATAGCATACTGAATAGGCAAAAGCTGGAAGCATTCCCTTTGAAAACCAGTATAAGATAAGGATGCCCTCTCTCACCACCCTTAGTCAACATAGTATTGGAAGTTCTGGCCAGGGCAATCAGGCAAGAGAGAGAAATAAAGTGTATTCAAATAGGAAGAGAGGAAGTCAAGTTGTCTCTGTTTGCAGATGACATAATTTTATATTTAGAAAACCCCATCATCTCAGCCCAAAAACTTCTTGACCTGATAAGCAACTTCAGCAAAGTCTCAGTATACAAAATCAATGTGCAAAAATCACAAGCATTCCTATATGCCAATAATAGGCAAGCAGAGAGCCAAATCACGAATGAACTTCCATTCACAATTGCTCCAAAAAGGATAAAATACATAGGAATACAGCTAACAAGGGATGTGAAAGACCTTTTCAAGGAGAATTACAAACCACTGCTCAAGGAAATAAGAGAGGACAGAAACAAAAGGAAAAACATTCCATGCTCATGGATAGGAAGAATCAATATTGTGAAAATGGCCATACTACCCAAAGTAATTTATAGATTCAATGCTATTCCCATCAAACTACCATTGCCATTCTTCACAGAATTCGAAAAAACTATTTTATATTTCATATGGAATCAAAGAAGACCCCATATAGCCAAGACAATCCTAAGCAAAAAAAAAAAAAAAAAAAAAAAGCTGGAGACATCATGCTACTTGACTTCAAACTATACTACAAAGCTGCAGTAACCAAAACAGCATGGTACTGGTACCAAAACAGATATATAGACCAATGGAGTAGAACAGAGACCTCAGAAATAACACCACATATCTACAACCATCTGACGCCTGACAAAAATAAGCAATGGGGAAATGATCTCCTATTCAGTAAATGGTGCTGGGAAAACTGGCTAGCCATATGCAGAAAACTGAAACTGGACCCTTTCCTTACACCTTATACAAAAAAATTAACTCAAGATGGATTAAAGACTTAAATGTAAAACCCCAAACCATAAAAACCCTAGAAGAAAACCTAGGCAATACCATTCAGGACACAGGCATAGGCAAAGACCTCATGACAAAAACACCAAAAGCAATTGCAACAAAAGCCAAAATTGACAAATGAGACCTAATTAAAGAGCTTCTGCACAGCAAAAGGAACTATCGTCAGAGTGAACAGGCAACCTACAGAATGGGAGAAAATTTTTGCAATCTACCCTTCTGACAAAGGCCTAATATCTGCAATTTACAAGAAACTTAAACATATTTGTGAGAAAAAAACAAACAATCCCATCAAAAAGTGGGCAGAGGATATGAACAGACACTTTGCAAAAGAAGACATTTACATGGCCAACAAACATATGAAAAAAAGCTCAACATCACTGATCTTCAAAGAAATACAAATCAAAACCACAATGAGATACCATCTCATGCCAGTCAGAATGGTTATTATTAAAAAGTCAGGAAACAATAGATGCTGTCGAGGTTGTGGAGAAACAGGAATGCTTTTACACTGTTGGTGGAATGTAAATTAGTTCAACCATTGTGGAAGACAGTATGGTGATTCCTCAAGGATCTGGAACCAGAAATACCATTTGACCCAGCAATCCCAGTACTGGGTATATACACAAAGGAATATAAATTATTCTACTATAGAGACACATGCACATGTATGTTTTTTGCAGCACTATTTACAATAGCAAAGGCATGAAACCAACCCAAATGTCCATCAATGATAGACTGGATAAAGAAAATGTGGCACATATACACCATGGAATACTATACAGCCATAAAAAGGAATGAGATCATGTCCTTTGCAGGGACATGGATGAAGCTGGAAACCATCATCCTCAGCAAACTAACACAGGAACAGAAAACCAAACACCACATGTTCTCACTCATAAGTGGGAGTTGAACATTGAGCATACATGGACACAGAGGGGAACAACACACACCAGGGCCTGTTCTGGGGTAGGGGTTGAGGGGAGGGAACTTAGAAGATGGGTCGATAGGTGCAGCAAACCACCACGGCACACGTATACCTATGTAACAAACCTGCACGTATTTTTTCTTTAGAAGAAATAAAGGAAAAACAATTAAAACATAAAAATAAAATATAAAATAATTAACAGAGTATAATTGGATCGTTTTTAACACAAAGGATACATGCTTGAAGTGATGAAGACCTAATTTACCCTGATGTGATCATTATGCATTGCATGCCTGCATCAAAACATTCCAAATGCCTCATAAATACATACAACTACTATGTATTCATAAAAATTAAAAATAAATTAAAATTTTTTTCAAATAAATAGATATTTTTGAAAAAAATTCAGTTTTTGACACTATACTTCTTTATTAAATTTAGAGTTTGCCCTAATGATTAAAATGTCATATTATCTTGTCAGTCTCCCTTGAAATGATATCATAATTAAGTAATTATTATACTTAAAACAATATAAAGTGAGTGAAGATATTTGCAAAACATATTCCCAATAAAGGTCTTATATTTAGTATACTCAAAGAACTACAAATCAATAAGAAAAACATAAACAATTTAGTATAAAAAGATTTGAAAAGATAATTAAAAAAAGAAGTTTAGATGGCCAATAAACATCTAAAAAAGTGATCACCTCATTAGTAATCAGGGAAATGCCAGTTAAAATCACAATGAGATAGCACTATATACCCAATATGACTGAAATTTAAAAAACAAAGACCTTTCAAACAGAGCTGGTGGGTGCGTAATCAGTACAACCATTTTGCAAGAACAAATTGACATTGTCTTCTAAACTTGAGGATATGGTGGTCTCTATGATTTAGAAATTCCACTTCTGTTGAAATGCATGCACATATGCTTCTAAACAGAAGTCCAAGAATACTCATAGCAGCTTAATTTATTATACTCCCAACAAGGAATATGCCAAGTTTCCACTAACAGAGAAATGGACACATGAATAGCACATATATGTAGAATGAAACATTATTCATTAGAGAAAATGAAGGAACTACAGCTAAAGGGACAACATAAACAAATTACACCAATATAATATTGAACCAAAGGATCCATTCTCACAAAAAATTACATACGATGTGATACCATCTTTATAATGTTCAAGAATAGGCAACACTAAACTGTGGTGTTTAAGGATGTACTTAGATGATAAGACTATAAAGAAAAGCAAATAAATAATTAACAAAATCAGAAAAATGTTTCATTTAGGTTGGGTAATGGGATTGATTGGGAATGGTACATATATATTTGTTTTATGCAATTTTCTTTATGTGTATTGTATTTCACAATATTAAAGTAAAACAAAACCGTTGGTTAGACTCTTCTCTGAAGACAGTGAAACTTTTTACCCCTATTGAGCAGGACTCCTTACTTTGTAAACTCATGGTCAATGAATATAACATAGACTTTCCAGTTTATCTTAAAGAGATGTATTTTGAAGCCCAGGAAATGGACCTTCATTCAGACATAATGCTTATTTGAATAATTCTTTGGGGTTTATCACAATGTTAAAAATTTTGTTTTCTGGATAAATGAATTAATGAATGGAAAGGTACCCAGTGTAAGAATATAGTATGGACACAAGAAAGACAGCAGAATGTGTAATGAGTTGCTAATACTTTGTTTCTTTCAATGGGGACAATTGGAATTCCATGCTGTCTACTTCAATTTTTTTCTACTCTGTATTTACAAAAGAAGGTATAAAAATTTGAAAAGAGTTGAATGGACTCTTAAGGGTCATTTGATCCTTCTAATACTAATAGACAACCCATGCCAGATGGCTGTGCACCTTATGAACAGTGCCTTTGAGGCTGTCTATTTCTTCTCTGGATAGCTTTAGGTATTTCCATCTTTTTTTTGGCATAAAGCTGCATTCTATCCCTGGGTTTTTAACCGAAAGTGTCTTTGAAGATATGAGGAAGAAACACCCTTACAATGAGGACATTTTTGGGAAAAGGCTTAATGCTTTTCTTTTAGCATTATTTATGTAGAAGCCCTGTGAGCATAAGGTCCTTGAATAGCTTGTTCACAACTATGTGAATTACTCAAAATATCAGATGCTCCGTAGAGTTGAATGACCGAATTTTTAACTTCGGTGGGAATATAGACTATCACATTGATGTGTACCTTCCCATTCTAATCGTTCTGATGTTTAATAAAAGCTATATGATTCAGCAGGGTGTTCACCTGAAAGGCAGGGTAGGTTTTGTATTTAGTCACAAATACACACACATATAAAGAGGTGACAGGGAACCAAACACATTCTTCTAGGTTTAGTGGAAGTCCTCTCTGTAGAAAAATTCGGCCAAGTATACAGAGGCTCCTGTCCTATTGCTCATTTGGTTTCAGTTCAAGACAGAGCAGGAGAGTTATTATTTGACCTCCCAAATCCCTAGTAATACACACACACAAAACGTAATTACATATACCCCTCCCAATGCAGTGTGCTGTCTAAAACTGTAACACTATGAGTGGTCATCTAAATTAATGAGCATTTTTGTGATGACCACTCATGAAGTTGGCCTGCTAGTGAGGGAGAACAGCTGTCAGTTACTCTTCTCTTTTCTTAACAGTATATTAAGCGAAATGTAATTAACTTCCAAAGAACAAAGTTTCATAAAGTATTGAAAATATTTTTGATATCAATTTTATAGGTCATATCTGTTTAATCTAGACTCTGAGTTTTCCCTTTAAAATATGTATATATACACACATTTATACATATATATGCACAATACTTTTAAAACTTCGTTTTATTTGTTACACAGTAGTTCTACGCTCTTTTATTACATGTTCTCTCCCTCTTATCGAGATAAATTTGTAGTAAACTCTGAGTCCTGACATTAATAAAGAGAAAGTTTTATTGTGAAAAACTCAGTTATTTGAAATATGTTCTGTTAATATGTTTTTGTTGAAGTGATAGCCAGGAACTTACACATTATTGTTAAATTTAAATTATCCACAAGCCTTGATTCTGCTTTAAGAGAAGCTTTTTGTTCTCTTTCTCTTCTCTTCAACCATAAAAGTTAATATCTTAAAAATTTTCTGTAGCCTACAGAAAGACACATATTGCATTTTCTCATTTAAATGAAGCAGGGGGTAAAATGTTGGTTGGTTTCTACCTCTTTCTACAGTGTATACATATATCAAACATCATATTGTACCCTATAAATAAATACAATGATTATTTGTCAATTAAAAAAAAAAGGAGCAGTTACCTCTGAGTAGAGGGAGAGTATTGGCTAGGAAGGTACATGAGGAAAGCTTGTAGGTTGACGAGAATGTTCTGTATCTTGAGCTGGGTGGTTACTAGGCTATATGTGTACATAAAAATTCATCAATCCGTATGCTAAGATTCGTGCTCTTTACTATATGTGTATTATACATTCCTTTTAAATAAATTGGTAGATTAAAAAGTAAAAATAAAAATCTCCCTAGCCTAGAGCCAAAAGCAGTTTCAAGGTTTTTGACTCTCTAATTTTCCTTTCCAGTGTCCTCCTTTATGCAAATTTCCAGAGAAACATATATCAACTAACTCCTTTTTTAGCATATGTAAAAGACACCACTGTAAAGGGGAAAAGCATAGACAAGTTACAGGCTTACATGAGGTGGAAATTTCATTACAGCCAGAACTAGGCCTCATTTGACATGTTGTTAGGCTAAGCTTTTACCAGCTAAAGGTTAAGGGTATTAGAAGATAATTTAGGTCACCAAACTACCTCATTTCACCTGAATATTAGCTTACAGACAGGTAATAGCATTAGTCTCTAAATGGGGGCATGAGGCATGTTGAAGCTGGAGAAATCCATTCTGTAGAGGAACGATGCTAGATAATTAACATGTTTGACTCCTAGCCTACAATATAATGTATTTTAAATCCATATACTGCCTAAACGTTTTTCTGTGAGGAGGCAATCTGTCAAATTTGCCTAAATGTGATGACATTTAAATAGAAATGATATCTTTTAAATTTACTTTAGTAGGGTCATTACTATTTTTATATGCCAGTTGTTAAATCCTGAATGTTTTGCATTCTAAATAAAGAGAAATTTTAGTTTTTACATGATAATTTTATGTATGTGAACAGGCATTTTAGATAAATGGTAAATATTTAAATTTTCCTCTTCATAAAGTAGTAAAATGTATTATATATATGTATGCAACAATTTGAATGATAATGGTTTTCAACAAAAATTATAATTGGTTTTAAATAGGAGGGCATGTTTTGGCTTATTAAATTTCTATATGCAGTATTCAGTAAAGTAGAAATATTTTTGTCTCCATAAATTAAAAAAAGTCAGAGAGCCACTGTGAGTGGCTTTTCCTTAGGTAACAGGGATATCTTTCTAATTCAGTTTTCAGACATATTCGTTATATAACATGCTAATTTTCTTTGTTATCCTGACTGCAGATATGGCTTAGGAGAGGCCCATGCTATGGCCCAAACATCTTTACTTTTTCCCCTTAACTTCAGGTGTATTTGTCATAGACAGACAGACAGACAGACAGACACACACACACACACACACAGAGAAAGAGAGAGAGAGCATGCAAATGAGGAATTTACAGAAATTAATTGAGATTAAATAGAACCAAAGAATGTGAACGTGGGCCAAATGTAACATAAGTCTTAGCACATCTTGCTCAAGAATGTTGGAAAATCTGTAACTTCATTGTGTGATTAATATTTTGGTGATGGAGTTGCCATTAAACCTTTGAGGCTAATGAAAAATGGACAACAGCCCAGCGAACTGAGTGTGGGAATGTCCTCAGAAAGCAGGTTCTCCCTAAGAGAAGTTCAGAGGAGAATCTGAGATCAGCCTAGTGTGAGCTGTGTAATTGGTCAATGTTCTAAGCTGAGGACTGATCAGGGGATAGGCTTTGGGAGACAGTAGAAGTACTTCATGTTTATATAAAATCTTTTTGACTGCAAAGCTTAGAGATCAAGCTGTGACTTGTTGGAATGTGATGTGAAGTTTCATCTTTGTTTTCCTCAAAGTAACCGTGTGCTCACCTCTTTTCTTTTTCCCTCCCTCCCTCCCTCCCTCCCTCCCTTCCTTCCTTCCTTCCTTCCTTCCTTCCTTCCTCCCTTCTTTCCTCCCTCTCTCTTTCTTCCCTTCTTTCTTTTCCTTTCTTTCTTTGGAGACAGAGGCTGGAGTGAAGTGGCGCCTCCTCGGCTCACTGCAACCTCTGCCTCCCGGGTTCAAGTGATTCTCTGCCTCAGCCTCCCAAGTAGCTGGGACTACAGGTGCACACCACCATGCCTAGCTATTTCTTTTTTTTGAGATAGGGGTTTTGTCATGTTGGCCAGGCTGGTCTCAAACTCCTGACCTCAGGTGATCCACCTGCCTCAGCCTCCAAAAGTGCTGGGATTACAGGCATGATCCACCATCCCAGCCTCAACTCTTTTGTTTCTCAATGACTATTTGTGAAAAATACAGGGAGTCTCTAGGGTTTAGTAAAATGACATATTTCATAGTTTGAAACAGTCAAAAATAGTCTTTTCCTAATATTCTTAGAGTTGTTCTATTTAGTTCTTCAGCACTTGATCAAGAAATATTTAAGTGACAATGGTTTGCCCAGAGTAACTTTTCTCAATTTTCTAAATTTTAAGTTTCAAGGATTTGATGTGTTTCTCAGACAGTATTTATAGAAAATTATTCTTTGATGCTATTTGAGGTATTAGTTATACTTTTGCCATCTTATATATTTAATTCAGATTACAATCATTTGTCAACAGCATCCTTTGATTAATCTTTTGGGCGATGGGTATAATTGAAATTTCTAAGGTCAATTCTTTGTAAGCTTGAGTCACTTAACCTTTTTTCTTTGTTGTTTACTCATTGTCATTATTTTTATTAGGCAGTCCCTGAACCAGAATAGGTTCAGAAATCTCCCATTTACTTGTTTTTAATTGTCAGGTAAAAATTATATATGTTTATTGCATACAACTAAAATTTATATATGTTTATTGTGTACAACCAAATGTTTTGAGATATGTATTCATCGTGAAATTACTAAATTGAGCTAATTGACATATGTATTACCTCACATACTTGTCATTTTTTTGTGATGAGAACACTTAAAATCTGCTTTCTTAGCAATTTCCAAGAATACATTTCTTTGTTATTAACTATAGTCATCATGTTGTACAATAGATTTCTTGAACTTATTCTTTTTATGTAACTGAAACTTTGTACCCTTTGACCAACATCTCTTCAACCCATCCCTTCCCCTCAGCCTTGGGTTACCACCATTTACTCTCCACTTCTATGAGTGAGATCATGAAGCATTTGTCCTTCTGTGCCTGGCTTGTTTCACTTAGCATATTTCATCCATGTTGTCCCAAATGACAAGATTTCCTTCTTTGTTAAGGTTGGAGTCACTTAACATTTACTGAGTGCTCCCTGAGTATTTTAAACCTACCTAAGTTAAATTTAGAAAGCTGGACAACTGAAAGACTCTTGTTTTGAGTGGAACCAAAAGATTTCCTCACCTCAAAAATGAGACCGTGGACTTTGGTCTCGTACCCCTTCTCCTCTCCAGTTTACAAGGCATGTTTTTCTACATTAACTGTGGTGGAAAGTTTTCTAGTGAACTTTATCTGTGTAACTGGTAGAAAGTGCAAAGATAAGAAACAAAGCCAAAACACTCTTTCCCCATGGAAAAATCCTCCTCCAGCATTACCTTGTTTGTGAAACACTGCTTTACAAGGTATTGAATTAAGAGCTCGCTGGGCTACAGTTCAACACAGCACACTGCATGATGGCCATGTTCCATGTGAGACATTTTGGTGGAATCTTCCTTATGGGAAGACAGCATGGGATGGTGTCAAGTACACAGGCCTTACTATCTCTGTGACCTCAGACAAACTACTCACTTGCTAAGGAGCCTCCATTTTGACATTGGTGTATAATAATCAGGGTTCTCCAGAGAAACAGAATCAATAGGATATATAAAATAGGAAATTTATTATGGGAATTGGCTCAAATGATCATGGGAGCGGAGAAGTCCCATGACTTACCATCTGCAGGCTGGAGAATGGGAAAGCCAGTTGTGTAATTCAGTCTGAGTTTGAATGCCTGAGAACCAGGAAGCCAATGATCTAACTCCAAGTCTGAAGGACTGACAACACCAGGTGGGCTGGGAGGGTGTACACTGTGTCAGTTCCAAAGTCCAAAGGCCTGAGAACTAGTAGCTCCAATGTCCAAGGTCAGGAAGAGATGGATGTCTCAGCTCAATAAGAGAGAATTTATTTTTCCTACACCTTTTTGTTCTGTTAGGAAAAATGATGTTCATACACATTTGGTAAGGGCAGATCTTCTTTACTCAGTCTACTGATTCAAATACTAGTCTTTTCTGGAAACACCCTCATAGATGCACAGAGAAATAATGTTTTACCAGCTATTTGGGCATCCCTTAGCCCAGTGAAGTTTACACATAAAATAAAATTAACCATTACAATTGGTAAAATGACAATAATACCTACCTGACAGTTTTTGTGAGTTTAAACTATATTATGTATGTATAGTGTCTGGTAAATAGGAACCACTTATAAAAGGCAGCTGTTAGTGTCATTCTATGGAAACTTAATTTAATTAATTGACAGTATTACTGACTAAAATCATAAGGTTTTCGGTAGGAAAAGATAGCTTTCTCTCTCCATTCTCTTTTTCTCATTCTAAGGTATCATCTCTCTGCTTCTGTCTCCTTTACAAAATATTTCACATTTTTTTATTTTTAAGCAGATAATAAAAAATATTATATATAATATATGTATTATAGTGATGATGTATTATAGTGATGATGATAACTGCAACAAATATACTTTTATTATTTATTTTTATTTCAGTAGGTTTTTGGGGAACAGGTGGTGTTTGGATACATGAATAAGTTCTTTAGTTGTGAGTTCTGAGATTTTGGTGCACCTATTACCTGAACAGTGTACACTGTACCCATGTGTAGTCTTTCATCCTTCACCCACCTCCCACCCTTTCCCCTGAGTCCCCCAAGTCCACTGTATCATTCTTATGCCTTTGGGTCCTCATAGGTTATAAGTGAGAACATACGATGTTTGTTTTTCCATTTCTGAGTTATTTAATACTTCACTTAGAATAATGGTCTCCAATTCCATCCAGGTTGCTGCAAATGCCATTATTTCATTCCTTTTCATAGCTGAGTAGTATTCCATGGTGTGTATATATATATATATATATATATATATATATATATATATATATATATATATATACCACATTTTCTTTATCTATTAGTTGATTGGTGGGCATTTGGGCTGGTTCCATATTTTTGCAATTGTGAACTGTGCTGCTATAAACATGTATGTGCAAGTATCTTTTCCATATAATGACTTCTTTTCCTCTGGGCAAATACCCAGGAGTGGGATTGCTGGATCAAATGGTAGATCTACTTTTAGTTCTTTACGGAATCTCCACACTGTTTTCCATAGTGGTTGTACTAGTTTACATTCCCATTAACAGTGTAAAAGTGTTCCCTTTTCACCACATCCACGCCAACATCTATTATGTTTTAGTTTTTTGTTTATGACCATTCTTGCAGGAGTAAGGTGGTATTGCATTGTGGTTTTGATTTCCATTTCCCTGATAATTAGTGATGTTGAGCATTTTTTCATGTTTGTTGGCCATTTGTACAACTTCTTTTGAGAATTCTCTATTCATATCCTTAGCCCCCTTTTTGATGGGATTGTTTGTTTTATCTTGCTGATTTGCTTGAGTTCCTTGTAGATTCTAGATATTAGTCTTTTGTTGGATGTATAGATTACAAAGGTTTTCTCCCACTCTATGGGTTGTTTTTTTTACTCTACTGATTATTTCTTTTGCTATGGAGAAAGTTTTTCATTTAATTACGTCCCATCTATTTATCTTTGTTTTTGTTGCATTTGCTTTTGGGTTCTTGGTCATGAAGTCTTTGCCTAAGCCAATGTCTAGAAGGGACTTTTCAATGTTATCTTCTAGAATTTTTATGGTTTCAGGTCTTAGATTTAAGTCTTTGATCCATCTTGAGTGTTTTTTGGTATAAGGTGAGAAATGAGGATCCAGGTTGGTTCTTCTACCTGTAGCTTACCAATTATCCCAGCACCATTTGTTGAATAAGAGGTCCTTTCCCCACTTTATATTTTTGTTTGCTTTGTCAAAGATCAGTTGACTGTAAGTATTTGGTTTTATTTCTGGGTTCCATTGGTCAATATGCTTGTTTTTATACCAGTATCATGCTGTTTTGGTAACTACGGCCTTATAGTATAGTTTGAAGTCAGGTAATGTAATTCCTCCAGATTTGTTCCTTTTTCTTAGTCTTACTTTTGCTATCCAGGCTCTTTTTTGATTCCATATGAATTTTAAAATTGCTTTTTGTAGTTCTGTGAAGAATGGTGGTGATATTTTGATGAGAATTACATTGAATTTGTATGAAGTCATTATCACTCTAATACCAAAACCAGGAAAGGACATAACAAAAAAAGAAAACTACCGATCAATGCCTTTAATGAACATAGATACAAGAATCCTTAACAAAATACTAGCTAACCAAATCCAACAGCATATCAAAAAGATAACCCGCCATGATCAAGTGGATTTCATACCAGGGATGCAGAGATGGTTTACCATCCACAAGTCAATAAAATGTGATACACCACATAAACAGAATTAAAAACAAAAATCACATGATCATCTCATTAGATGCAGAAAAAGCATTTGACGAAATCCAGCATCTCTTTATGATTAAAACCCTCCACAAAATAGGCATAGAAGGGATATACCTTAAGGTAATGAAAACCATCTATTACAAACTCACAGCCAACATTACACTGAACGGGGAAAAGTTGAAAGCATTCCCCCTGATAACTATAACAAGACAAGGATGCCCACTTTTACCACTTCTATTCAACTTAGTACTGGAAGTCCTAGCCAGAGCAATCAGACAAGATAAAGAAATAAAGGGCATCCAGAGGAAGTCAAACTGTTGCTGTTTGCTGATGGTATGATCATATACTTAGAAAACCCTAAAGAATCATCCAAAAAGCTCCTAGAACTGGTAAATGAATTCAGCAATGTAGGAATAAACTTAATCAAGGAGGTGAAAGACCTCTGCAAAGAAAACTACAAAACACTGCTGAAAGAAATCAAAGACAACACAAACAAATGGAAACACATCCCATGCTCATGGATGGGTAGGATCAATACTGTGAAAATGACCATACTGCCAAAAGCAATCTACAAATTCAATACAAAATATTTCACATTTTAAATGGTGAGCTTTAGGCATATCTAACTTCTCATTAGGGTGGAGTTTTCAATCTAGTACAAACCAGTCAAAGTTTTTCTTAAAAATTGACCACATAATTGACTGGCATTCGGTTTTATCACTTCTAACCTTGGTATGTAAAGATAGAAGTGATAATTATTTACACATAGTTTTCAGAAGACTTACATTTAAAAATCCTATCTTACAGCTAGAAGTGATGCAGAAGAACTGGGAAGCATTTTTCTTTTTGGGCCCGGGGTTAATTTTCTCAGTCAAATGTGTGAAGCTCTTCTTTCATTTTGAGAGATTATTGCAGTTCTCTATGTTAAATTTATCAGATGAGCAACCAGCTAAAACTGTTGACACTTTATAGCAAAGGGAGCCTTTTCTCCATTGTTCGATAACTTGTCTTTTCTGTCTGAGACTTCAACAGAATGGCCTTTAAATGTTCATATTTCTATCAACATTACATACATGATTATTTATGCGTTCTCTGAGAAGACAGAGGCTTTTTCTGCAGCTCTCCACTTTTCTTTCTGAAATCTCACCAGAATCATATAAAACATCCCATCCTAGCAATATCAGCTTCTTCTAGCATGCACCTCAAAACCCTTCCAGTCTCTACCCTTTACCCAGCTCCAAAGCTGCCTCCACATGTTCTGGTTTGTTAAGGCAGCACCACACTTCTTGTTACCAAGTTCTTTCATAGTCAGTCTGGGCTATTACAACAAATCACCATAGTCTGGGTGGCTTAACAACAAATGTTTATTTCTCACCATTCTGGAGGCTGTGAAGTTTGAGATCAGGGTGACAGCATGTAGTGTTCTGATGAGGGCCCTCTTTCTAGTTTCCTGACATGGTTGAGAAGCGGGGTGGGTAGTTGTATTAGTCTGTTCTCGCACTGCTATAAAAAACTACCTGAGACTAGATAATTTATGAAGAAAAGAAGTTTAATTGACTGACAGTTCCTCAGGCTGTATAGGAAGCATGGCTGGGAGGCCTCAGGAAACTTACAATCATGGTGGAAGGCCAAGGGGAAGCAAGGCACATCTCATGGTGGAGCAGAGAGAGTGAGTGAAGGGGGAAGTGCCACACACTTGGAAACCATGAGATCTCATGAGAACTCACTCACTATCGCGAGAATATCAAGGGAGAAATCTGCTCCCATGATCCAATCACCCCCCACCAGGTGTCTCTCCCAACACTGGGGATTATAATTTAACATGAGATTCGGGTGTGAACACAGAGCCAAATCATATCAGTAGTCAAACAAGCTCTCTCTTGTCTTTTTATTTAATAGCATTAATCTCATTCATGGGGCCCCCTCTTGAGCCAATTACTTCCCAAAGGCCCTGTCTCCAAATGCCATCACACTGGAGATTAGGGTTGAACATGTGTGTAGGGGGAACACGAACATTCGGTTTATAGCACTTCCCATTTGGAATATAGATCCTGCTCCTTCCCTTTGTATTTGCTGTTTCCCCTGGAAAGTTTACCATTTGCTTTCTGCCCTCAATTGCATTTATTCTAATCATCTTTCAAAACTATATTCAAGTGATTTCTCAATTGAAATGAAATCCCTGTAATAGTACAAGGCACCTCTCTTCTTCCCAGTACTTTCCCCTGTTGTAGTTTTGCCCGTAATTGTGGCTTGTGTATTTCTCCTCTCCACTCTAAGCACCTAGACAGCAAGAGCAGTAGCCGAATTTATCTCAGTGCCTGGCACGTAAAAGTCACTCAATAAATACTTGTTTTAAGACTATAAGCTCTATGAGGGCAGAGGCAATGTCTATATTTTTCACATTTGTATATTCAGTGTCCTGATGCAATAAATATTTTTCGGATGAAAAAATTTCCAAAGCACTTGCCCATTTATTATCATATTTGAGCCTTCCAATGCTCTCTGAGATAAAGATGTAAGTTAACTTCTCCAGTTCCCACCTTTATGACTTGGTGGAGTTTGACTTTGAACACAATACTTCCCTAAATCTAGTCCTTATTTATTACCTTGTTCTCCATCAAATTCTGATTTCCTGTATTTCAGTTCATTCCGATACTTTACTATTATTCCTAAGTACAAGTATTTTAGTTATCCATTTAAAATTTATTCATTATAAAATGTGGGATAAAGATCCCACATTTCATTAAGAAGTTATAGGTTTACATCATTCATCTTGTTAAGTGAAAATGTCTGTTAACACTAGACACACTAAGTGGAGTGTTCCATTGAACAGGTAAAAGCTTTGTGATACACATGGCAAAATATTGTCTGTATAATTTACCAAACCATATGGCCTTTCTTATGCTAACTCATTTTTCCTAAGACTGTAGTTTTAGCTGGTTGCTCATCTGATGTTTAACATATAGAACTGCTGTTATCTTTCAAAATCAAGAAGGTTCTCACCCATCTGTCTGTGAAAATCAGCTCCAGGCCCAGAGAGATAAATGTTTCTAGATTCTTTTGCATCACGTCTAGATGTGAGAGAATGAGTATCTAGGCTTCAGGTTTTGTTTTTGTTTTTTTCATTTACCAGGGAATATTAATACCCATCCCATAGGATTATGTTGAGAATTAAAATAAATAAAATTAATGAAGTAAATATGTGAGACTACTTCCCACCCATAAAATAGTTTACAAATTTAAGCTATTACTTTATAAATATAAGCTATTATTTCATGGGTAGATGTGGAGATTGGCTAAAATTTGCCTTGTGGGTAAATCTTATAAAGTAGAAGTTCATCTCAAACTTTTCCCAAATTTTTGTCTTTTTTCACTCTCCCTTCTTCCCTTTATTCTTATTGTTATTCCCAATGCCTGCTTCTTAGATTATTTCAATAACTCTGTAGCTCTGCCCACTACATTCTCTCTCCTATGCTCTCTGATGTCTGCTTTCTACTTCCAAAGTAATTCTTCTCAGAACTTTTGTGCTCTTTCCTTTGGATAAATCTTCCTTAAGGCCAATGACATTGTTGCATTCTTTTCTGTGTCCATCTCTAGTTCCTGGAAAAAAGTAACTGCTCAATGATGCTTATTTTTAGTTTGTTTAAGAATAAAATCTGGTGATCTAAAGCACAGTAGTCTCCCAATTCAGACCCACCATCCTGGTGATGTTTAAGACCATCCATTGGTATGTGAAAAGAAAATATTAGGAATTCTATTTCTAATTAGCTTTCAGATCATACTTTTCAAGTTTTAAATAGCATATATTGGAAATGCATGCTCAAAAGTTTTTCTTATTGTAATGAATAGCTTTTTGCTGCACTAATGCTATGGAACAAGAATTCCCACAATATCAGTGGATTACAGTAGTAAACCCTTACTTCTTGCTGGATAGGCAGGGGGTTGGCTGTGGATCACCTCTGGTTGTCAGTTGTCTGAGCTCAGCAACAGGGTCTGCCTTGGATTTTAGGTCTACTTGATGTCTCTCCTTATTCTGAGACTGGGAGCTAATCAAAAAAGACTCTTATGGTGAAGCATGTGGTTGCAAAAGGCCTGGCAGAATCTGAGCCTGCTACTAAATTCTCTGCTGGAACTGGCACCGTCACATTCTATTGGTCAAAGCAAGGCACCTGCCCAGACACCATGCCAGTGGGGTAGGATCACATATTTATGTCTGAAAGGAGAGGGAAGAGTGAAAATTTGCTGAATAATAATCCAACCTACTACACCGCTAAAAAGCATGCAATAAAAACCGTGTAGCCATTGTACTTCCTAGAGGATAAAGGGCATATATCATGGAATGGCACTCCTGGCCCAAGCCTGTGTTTCCAGTCCATCTTCCAGTGATGCTCTTCATACATATTATAAGCTTGGGATCTAGTCCAGCGAAGTGCTTTTCTTCAAAAGCCCTGTCGAAGTTTCCACCTCTGCCATTTTTGGACAGTGATTCTGATTATGAAGCGGGTTGCTGCTGGCGGAGAAAGGAAGTCAAGCCACCGCTTCCAAAGTTTGTAGCAAGAAGTAGTCTGGGTTTAGCTGGAATCAGATCCAGTAGTAGCAGTGAGGGGTGATTTGGAAGGGGCAGCTCTCAGTTTCATTGAGTTTGGAATTATTGATCAAGTAAGTCCAGGATGTCCATGCAAGGAATTCCAAAGTCAGGGTTCAGCTCTTTGGCTGAGTATAGTACCTAGTATCTGATGGACCCTCAAAAATTATTTATTGTGAGATTTATGTATTCACATATGAGCACCTCAGACCAACTCCATAGCTGCCACCTTGTTCTGAGCCACTATTATCTTGTACCCAGATTTTTGACATAGTTGCCTGACTGGCTTTTCTGTTTTTTCTTTGCTTCTGTTGAGTCTTATTCCCAGACCATGTCACCCTATTCCTCAAAACCTTTACTTGCTTTCCTTCTCAGTGGGAGCCAAAGTTCCCACAGTGGTTGATATGGTTTGGCTCTGTGTCCCCACCTAAATCTCATTTTGAATTTTAATCACCATGTGTTGAGGGAGGGACCTGGTGGGAGGTGATTGGAGCATGGGGGCAGTTTCTGCCATGCTGTTCTCATGATAGCGAGGGAATTCTCACGAGATCTGATGAAAAGTGTGTGTCTTTCTTCACTCTCTCTCTCTCTCGCTTGCTGCCATGTAAGATGTGCCTTGCTTTCCCTCCTGCCATGATTGTAAGTTTCTGAGGCCTTCCCAGCCATGCAGAGCTGTGAGTCAATTAAACCTTCCTTTCTTCATAAATTACCCAGTCTCAGGTAGTTCTTTATGGCAGTGTGAAAACAGACTAATACAGTGGGCTACAAGGCCCTGCATGATCTGGCTCCTTTTTTTCTCTCTTTTTATGTCTCCTATAACTCAACTTTTTCTCTCTACCACAGCCACTCTGACCTTCACATTATTCTTTGAATACAGAATTCCTCCAGCTTACCAGTCATACTCTTGTGCAGACAGCTCCCTCAACATGAATGATATTCACACGAGTCACATGACTTATTCCTTTGGTTCCCCCAGGGCTTTGCTGAAACATTGCTTCCTCAGGAGGCCTTCTTGACTATCCTGTCTAAAGTTGCACTTCTCCAACACAGCTGCCATCCTCTGCCATGATGACATATAGATATATGTAATACTACATATAGATATATGTAATATTGATTACATATTTCTCCATGGTGCTTCTGTTTGACAGATGTCTTAATTTTTATTTGTTTATGGTCTGGTTCCTTTGGTAGAGTGTAATTTCCCTGAGGGTAATTATTTTTGTTCTTTTGTTCACTTTAGCACTAAGAATCATTCCCGCACACACTAGTAGGTCCTCAATCAATATTTGGTCAACCAATTAATGAAACATTCACTGTATTTACTAGTAAAAGTGCTATCTTTATCCTTTATTTTGCCATAGCACATTATTTGTACCCATTTTATAGTATATGTCATGTTCTAACAGTATAGAATTAATCCGTATATTGCTTATCTCTCCCACCAAGGTGGGTACCCAGAGCTGAGTTTTGTATGTATTTAATAAATTTTTTATGAACTGGATTTATACTCTTGGAGACATTTCATTATCCTTTTACTTTCTTCTGGTGAACCACTACTGTCTCACATTCCAATTGATCACTTCTTAGACACCTAGTAGTTGGACTCTCACTGTTTGTGCGGACAGCCCATTCAGATATAGGTTTATTACATTTATTCAATCTTCCATATTTTTAAAAGTTACTCTTTCTTTGGGCTTGGATGTTCTTCTTACTAAGAAGCATGAAATTCTTGGCATTGCCAGAACAATCTCAACTTTCAATAATGATTTAGGTTAAATTAAGAGTCTGAGGCTCCAGGTTTTATGCCAGAATATTTAAAAGTGATTGCACCATGAAAAAGAAACAGAAATAGGGAAGAGGTTGGGGAGAGGAAAGAGAAAAAAATAAAAGTTAGGCTCAGAAGAGGATCTAGTGGCACTCATTCAAAAATTATTGTTGGCCTGCTCCAGCAATGGGCACTGCAGACACTAAAGAATGTTTCCAGGTTACCCCCTATAAATAGCTGCTGTATACATTGTTTAGGTTTTGTACTGCACAAGGGTACATTATCAATAAGGGTTGCATTCATACATATAGACATACTTATCATATTAAAATTTTACAATAGTTCTGTCCTAATTGTTGACTCCTAAGAGGGATAATCTGAATATTTGTTATGACAGCTTTCTGGCTGGTGACAGTAAGGAGTTTGCGCTTCCAAAATCAGCATAGTGTGACAAATTTCCAACAGATAGATATTTTGTGTCTTATTATGACAGAGAAGATCTGTGTCATTCTGCTTTACCTTAAAGAAGAGGGATTAGTTTAATAATAATAATAATAAAACCTTGTTGATATAATAACCTGTCTTTTTTTTAAATCCATTTCCTTAGAATTTTTTTTTCTTATTTATTTACATTTATTTATTTTTATTTATTTATTTATTTTTTACTTTAAGTTCTAGAGTACATGTGCACAACGTGCAGGTTTGTTACATGTGTATACATGTGCCATGTTGGTGTGCTGCACCCATTAACTCATCATTTACATTAGGTATATCTCCTAATGCTATCCCTCCCCCCTCCCCTGACCCCATGATAGGCCCCAGTGTGTGATGTTCCCCTTCCTGTGTCCAGGTGTTCTCATTGTTCAATTTCCACCTATGAGTGAGAACATGCGGTAATAACCTCAGTCTTTAAACAGGTAGCTTCTTATTTATTTTGGTGAATATCTTTAAAAAATCCCCTGGCTGGGCCCGGTGGCTCACACCTGTAATCCCAGCACTTTGGGAGGATGAGGCAGGCGGATCATGAGGTCAGGAGATTGAGACCATCCTGGCTAACAAGGTAAAACCCCGTCTCTACTAAAAATACAAAAAATTAGCTGGGCGTGGTGGTGGGCGCCTGTAGTCCCAGTTACTCGGGAGGCTGAGGCAGGAGAATGGCATGAACCCGGGAGGCAGAGCTTGCAGTGAGCCGAGATCATGCCACTGCACTCCAGCCTGGGTGACAGAGCGAGACTCTGTCTCAAAAAAAAAAAAAAAAAAAAAAAAAAAAATCCCCCATTGGTTTTAGTAGTGTCTTAGCTGGGTGTTTTATCCTATAGTTTATACCATCTGCTATGTGTTTCCTGGACTAGAATTGAATAACTAAGTAACCAATGAATCTATAAATTCTAACATTATGATACAAATTACTATATAATGATCCAATTTCCATTCATGATCCAGAAAGTATATTTTAGATAGAAATAAATCAGAGATTACCATGTAACAATTTGTTAATTATGTTATAGCATTGGCTTTTTAACTATTTAAAATTTGGAGATATGTATATAATATTATTTGAAAATGTTACAAACTTCTGGAAAAGATGCCATTTCCTCTCAGATGTTCCAAAGAAAATTTAAATAAATTATCAGCATTAGAAAGGAAATAATTGGGAAACTGCTAGAAAAAAAATTAAGAAAAACTTTGGCTGGTTAAATAAGTTTTCTGGAGAAATAGGTGCAATGACAGAAAAAAAGAGGAAAAAGTTTCGAGCTACACTTTTCAGCAGAATATAGCATAGATATGTCATTAATGAAGCAGGATGTGAATTTTCCTTAGATCTATATGTCAACTCTAAATTAAAAAATGTAAAGAATAATTTGAAGGGGAAGTGCCACCTGCCTTCAAATTCATTCAACTTAGCATCCTTTTTTTTTTTTGGATCCAGATTCATGACCATCTAATTAGATTATCAGACACTTGCCTCCACCTCCAAATTCATTCAACTGAGCATCCTTTTTTTTTTTTGGATCCAGATTCATGGCCATCTAATTAGATTATCAGACAAAATAACAGGACATTTTTGTTGAAAATTATCCAATTCTTGTGAGAAAGTATAATATTCCAAACGAAATTCTAGGTAAGAATATTTCGGAAATGATCACACACAAATTCTCCCTCATGTTGAAAAATGGTTAGATTATGGTTATTCTACCTCGAAAGATTATTTTATCATTACAAACACTTTGGGGATAGAAAGATTCACTAATGAATAAGGAAGTTTGCTCTACTGTTAACATTTATTACCTATTTCTTGGTAAATATGATAAAAGTGAAATGTACATCAATAGTAATGTAAGTATCCCACATTGAAATCTTGAAATCTTATAGAAAAATTTTATAACTGTTAATGCTAGCAGAAATTATATGAAAAAGAGAAAAATGTTGGCATTGACCTCCTAGTATATGATTCGGTTTTTGGCAAGGATATATCTAGCGTGGAGAGGATTGTTCAAAAAAAATTTGAGAGAGATAATAATGATTTACTATATTTTGCATAAATGATAGCAGAATGTTACAATATCATGGAAGATGTTTGCACAGAATACAAACACTGGCAACATAACATATTTCTTAGGGGTGGAATACAAAACCAAAATTGTAACATTATGACAGAATCATTCAGGTAAAATTATGTATAAAATATAATTTAATTATTTTAGATACAATCTCTGATGTATGCCAAGTAGACAGCAATTATTATAAGATTTGTGGATTATAAAAATGCATATATTTCCACATGCAAACTCTTGGGGTGGAATTTTGCCCTGTAAATTAAATATCTAAAGAAGAATTACATATATGTCTTGTGGAAAAACAACTTGAAAAACAATAATAAAGGCAAAAATAATTTGACAGGCCAGGCATATGACAACTACAGATAGAAAATATAAGATTGCACAAAAGAGCCTTTTTTCATTAATCTGTACATTTTTTAAACTTGGTAGTTATAAGTTCAACAGATCTATTGTACAACATGACGACTATGGTTAATAATTATGTAATGTATTATATTCTTGAAAATCACCAAGAAAACAGATTTTAAGAGTTCTTACCATGAATAATAAATATGTGAGGTAATATATATGTTAATTAGTTCAATTTGGCCATTCCACAGTGTATATTCATATTTCAAAAGATCATGTACATGATAAATACAGTTTTTGTCAATTAAAAATAAATTTAAAAATTTCATGCCAACATAAACCAATAATAACCTGAAAAAAATTAATAGTTAACAATGCAGTATAAAAATATTTTTTGACATTCAAATTTTGTCTTTTTTAAAACTTTTATTTTAGAATCAGAAGGTACATGTGCAGGTTTGTGGCCTGAGTATATTGCATAATGCTGAGGTTTAGGGTACGACTGATCCTGTCAATCATGTACTGAGCATAGTACCCAATAATTAGTTTTATTTAGTACCCTGCCTTCTTCCCAGTGGTCCCCAATTTCTGTTGTGACTATCTTTAGGTCCATGAGTACCCAATGTTTAGCTCTCACTTACTAGTGAGAACATGTGGTATTTGGTTTTCTGTTTTTGTGTTAATTTGTTTAGGATAATGGCCTCCAGCTGCATCCATGTCCCTGCAAAATACATGACCTTGTTCTTTTTTTATGGCTGCAGAGTATTCCATGGTGTATATGTATCATATTTCCTTTTTCCAGTCTGCCATTGATGGGCACCAAGGTTGATCATGTCTTTGCCATAGTGAACAGTGCTGTGATGAACATGTGAGTACATGTGTCTTCTTGATAGAACAATGCTTTCTTTTCGATATATACTCAGTAATGGGATTGCTGGGTCGAATGGTAGTTCTAAGTTCTTTGAGAAATCTAAATTCCACAGTGGCTGAACTAATTACATTCCTCCTAACATTGTAAGTGTTACCTTTTATCCACAGCTTTGCCAGCATCTGTTGTTTTTTGATGTTTTAATAATTGCCATTCTGACTGGAGTGAGATGGTATCTCATTGTGATTTTGATTTGCATTTCTCTGATGATTAGTGATGTTGAGCATTTTTTCATGTTTGCTGGCTTGTATGTCTTCTTCTGAGAAGTGTCTGTTCATCTCCTTTGCCTGTTTTTTAATAAAGTCATTTTGCGCTTGTTGAAATTGTTTAAGTTCCTTATAGATTCTGGATCTTAGACCTTTGTTGGATATGTAGTTTGTGAATATTTTCTCCCATTCTGTAAGTCTTCTGTTTACTCTTTTGATAGTTATTTTGCTGTGCAGAAGCTCTTTAGTTTAATTAGGTCCCACTTGTTGCTTTTTATTTTTGTTACAGCTGCTTTGGAAGACTTAGTCATATTCTTTCTCAAGGCTGCTGTCCAGAATGTTGTTTCCTAGATTTTGTATTTCCATGGGATCAATTGTAATACCATCTTTGTCAATTCTGATTGTGCTTATTTGGATCTTTTCTCTCTCTCTCTCTCTCGTTTTAATCTGGATGTCTACTTCTCTAGCAAGATTAGGGAAATTTTCTTGACTTATTCTCTCAAATATGTTTTCCAGGATGTTTCCTTTTTCTCCTTCTCTCTAAGGAATGCCAATAATTTGTAGGTTTGTTTGCTTTGCATAATCTCATATATTTTGAAGACTTTTTAAAATTCTTTTTTTCTTTATTTTTGCCTGACTAGGTTAGTTCAAAAGACCTGTCTTCAACCTCTGAAATTCTTTCTTCTGCTTGGTCTAGTCTATTAATAAAGCTTTCAATTATATTTTGAAATTCCTTATGTGAGTTTTTCAGTTCCAGACACTCTGATTGATTTCTTTTTAAGATATTTATCTCTTCCTTCATTGCATGGATTGCTTTACAAGTTTCTTTATGTTGATTTTAAACCGTGTCTTGGATCTCACTGAGCTTCCTTGCAATCCGTGCTTTGAATTCTTTATCTGTCATTTCTGAGTTTTTGTATTGGTTAGGGACCATTGCTGGAGAGCTAGTGCATTCCTTTGGTGGTGTCACTACATTCAGATTTTTCATGGTACCAGAATTTTCACACTGCTTTCCTCTCATCTGGAGATCCTGGGATTTATAATATTTATAATTATGTTCAAGCAGGTAAGATTTTTTCTTTTTCTTTCTTTCCCCAAAATATTAATGTTGTTCTGTTTTTCTCTTTTCCTTTCTCCATCTCTGTAGACGGTGTGACTATAGAAAATGCTAGGTAGGGTCTTTTGGCTTTACCTCTGTAGCCCTATGCACTTCTTTCAGTAGGTTTTATATTGGGCTGTGTGGCTCAACCTACAGCCCATAGATGGCATTTATAGGTAAGAGCTGGCTGTGACCAACATGACTGTGTATGTACTTGATCTTTGTTTACTGGCAGAAGCTCTCTGTTGCCTCAGGCAATGGGCTGATTCATGGAATGCACAGTGCTCTGAACTCCCTGCTCAGTCCTGTGGGGTAGGGGCCATGATGGGCAGGGCCAGGCCAGGCAGTTTCTCCTATAGGTCCCCTGATGGCAGGCATAAGCACTAGCGTGGAGGAAGAATCAAGAGGGTGTCCACCAAGCACCTAGGGGTGTGCCTATGCATGGGGGCTGAGAAACCTCTTCAGCTCCAAGTTCTCTGCTTGTTGGTCAGGGAGTGACCTTAATTCTTAATCCAGGAGAGTGGACGCTTCAGCTGCCTGGAGATCTGCCTGAGTGTGGAGTGAAGAGGGCCTTGCTGCACCGGGATCTCTGCACAGGATGGGTGGGGTGGGTTAGGCTGCTGATCCAGGTGCGTGAGTGCCCCAAAAATCTGAATTTCTGCCTAGGGGTAGAGTGGAGATTGTCTTTTAAGAACGAACAAACTACTTTTGAGTTTAACTAAACATTGGATTCTGTTTAAAATGTGTTTACTAAGTATAAAAAAATTTAAAATCCTTGTCATTTATGTGATGGAGAAGCCAGTTGATATCATTATATTACTAAGTTAGAAGTGTGTGCCATTGTCTTTCAGAAATTGCTGATGATGTGGTTAAAGCTACCTAAATATGTGGAATATTAGCAATATACACCAATAAAGCATAATAATATGCACTAATTAATACACTAATAGCTATATTATAATAATATACAATGACATAATAATATAATATCACTGTTACTATTAATACATAATAATGATACAAGTCTCATTTAAAAACTTTTTTAATATTAAAAGACAGTCATGACCTTTTCAGAGTTCTAGATCAGGGGTTGGCAAACTTTTTCTGTAAGGGGCCAGCTATTAAATATTTTCGGCTCTGTGGGCCATATGGTCTCTCTTGCAATTTTTCAACTCTGCCATTATGGTGCAAAAATAGTTACAGACAATAATAAGCAAATAAATATGGCTGTGTTCTAATAAAATTTTATTTATGTACACTGAAATTTAAATTTTATATAAGTTTCATGTCCTACAATATTATTCTTTTCAAAATGTAAAAGCAATTTGTTGGCTGTACAAAAATAGAAGGAGGGTCAGATTCAGCTTGTGAGCCATTATTTGCTGACCGCTATTGTAGATTGCATATCAACTTTGAAAAATTATAGAATGAATTACTGCAATTACACAAAGATTTGCAATTGAAATGAACTGGTATACACAGTGAGGAATAACATTAGATGGGATATAATCATACAACCTGAATTTACTGCACACAGTTTCAAATACTTATCTGGCTCTCGGCTTGTATTTAATTTTGTGAATATCAGTAACCTGTGGAAAATGTTTTTTCAAATTGAAAATTTATTAAACATGACTTAAGGACTAGAATATCATAAGATATGTAGTCTAACCCAGTGGTCATTTCTATAGAATGAGACACAGTTACAAATAAATATTGAAATTGTTGTAATAAATTTATTTGCCAAGGAAGCATGATATGTAATTATTTTATAACACATTACTATATTGTAGTTAGCTGATATTCTTAATTATTGTGATTACAATTTTGAATTTTGTATTATTTTATGTTCAATAATTTGATTTATGAATTTTATGAAAAATGACTTTATATTTGTTGTAGTTTTTATAATTGAGAAATAAATACAATACTAACTTAAAAATTTTACATGAGGAAGAAATGCCTTTTTCTAATTTGTATGGAGGCTCTGAACGGACAAGTAGAAGCTGGTCCTTGTTGACAGGGGTGGAGATCCACGTATCATGATAGTCCTAAGGAAGAGGGAATACGAAGATGAACGAGATGTGGCTCCTTCCTTTAAGGAGCTTCTAGCCTCATGTAGGATTTTGCAGTCTAATGTTGATTGTATTGCAATGCTTTCCTGTTATTGTGCTTTTCAAGTTGTGTGGCAGTCACTTAATGCCCAGAATTTTACTTTAAAAGAAAAACAGCAACATAACACTATTCTACCTTACAGCAATTAAGCAAAAGAAGATGAAAAATGGAAACCACTCAGTATGCTGTTGAGTATAAAATGTACGTTGTATAAGTTTTTGATTGTTTATTCTACCTCATGTCTTTAACAACACACAGGTAGAGCCAATAATCTTCACAGACCATGCTGGGTGAAATGGTTTGGCTGTGCCCACACCCAAATCTCATCTTGAATTGTAGCTCCCATAATTCCCATGTGTTGTGGGAGGGACCTGGTGGGAGGTAATTGAATCATAGAAGCAGTTTTCCCCATACTGTTCTCATGGTAGTGAATAAATCTCACAAGATCTGATGGTTTTATAAGGGAAAACTTCTTTCACTTGGCTTTCAATTTCTCTTGCCTGCCACCATGTAGGACATGCGTTTTGCCTTCTACCATGATTGTGAGGCCTCCCCAGCCACGTGGAACTGTGAGTCCATAGAATATCTTTTTAAAAATAAATTACACAGTCTCGGGTATGACTTTATCAGCAGTGTCAAAACGGACTAATACACTGGGATTAGCCTCATGTCTTAAAGACAAATATTAGTCAGGTTGACAGCTTATTATTTTTGATAGGACCTGTCAGCTCTATAATCAACAAAAACATAAACTTCAGCTCTGTAATCCTCAGCTCTATAATCTGACAGGACCTGTCAGCTCTGTAATCAACAAAAATGTAAACTTCAGGTACAAAAATAAATTCCTCCAAACCAAAGCTTACTAGCTTTTAGACAAAAATGCAAAACCCTCTAGAATTATACAAACACAATTTATTTTTATTTTTTTACAAGTAAACTTTGAAACACATTGAAGATAAAAGAAGAGTTGTTTATGAGCCAATGATGAAAGTGTATAAAGGGGCACAGGTATTTTGCAATATCCATCTGGAGATCTCATTAAAATTTGAAAGCACCTTGAAGAGAACAGCTTTAAAATAAGAAGGATTGGCTGAGCTTGAGTGAGGTGAGTCACACCTGGAAGCAAGGATCTGCTGTTTTTCTTTTCCCCAGGTGGTGGTGTATAGACTGATAGGAGTCAGAAGGTTGCATCATGTCGATCCAGTTATCGATTCTTATTATAAGCCCTTTGAAAGCATACTCATGCTTTCATATATAATCATTCCTTTAAAAATCTTTCACACAAGCTCTACATATCCCTTACATTTGAAAGGATTTTTTTTTTCTGTCCCAGAATCAGAAGGTTAAATAGGTCAGTGGTAGAATATCCAGTCTGATAATTGTTTGTTGACTTGTGGGATAACTTAGCCCCATCTTGGGTAATTTCATTTTTATATAGTATCATGGATTTGTTGACATTTATAGGAGTAAAGGCCAGGCTTTACTAAGCATATTAGATGTTATTTGGCTTCCTTTTTATAGAAATAGCATAAGCTATCCTTAAAATAGGATCTTCTATAAAAATTCTATGTAGTTGAAAATGAAGATGCTGAAATAAAACTAAGAGCAGGAATAAACAAAATGTAAAATGAATAAAACAACACTGGAGATCAAAGTTTGTTCTTCAAAATAATGAATAAGTAAATTACTGAAATGATTTATTTAAAAACTTGTTTTAATTGATAAAAAGAAAGTAAATATTAGTAAAATCATGAATGCATAAAAGATCATTGATGACACAAACATTTTAAATAATGTCTGTATCTTTATTCCCAGTTTGTATTAATACATTTGGTTATCAAGTTAAGTAATTATGAAATTTATACAAGTAAACACAAGACTTAAGAAACATACATTTGCTGTTAAGAGAGGAAGAAATAGCAAAAGTTACTATGCAATTTAAAAATGGACAGTTCTTGAATGTTTATATAACTGTGAAATTCCAAATTTCTAAAATTTCTAAAAATACGTTCCTTGGAAGATATACTATAATATGTTGGTCAATTCACTTAGTAGGGAAAATATAATTCTAAATTCAAATTTGAAACTACTACCAAATTATAAAAGTTTAAAAAAGTACATTTATAGGCAAGTTAAAAAGTTTTACAGTAGATAAACAATATGCTCTAATCATATAGGGGTACTTCAGCAAAGTGGTGCTTCTATGTCACAAAAATACCACTCATTAGATTAATATGAAAGAAAACAAAAGCCCACAAAGTAAGCTCAATAAATTCTGGGAAGATGTTCAATAAAATTTGCCATTGATTAAACTACTAAAGTGTACAAGATGGTTCTTAATAGTCTACATGTAGAATGGAGAAGTATTACATTTACTTCAGAAACCTGAGAATTATTTTCTTAAACTAGAAGTAGGATAAACATATGCCTGATCACTGTTGCTATTTAATATAACACTTGAAATGCTGGCAATGGCTATTTGATGTAACAACAAAACCAGATAATAAAAAGAAGGATGGGAATATTTTAGAAATAATTTTATTATAAAAATACACAAAAATAAATTAGAAAAGTCAAGGAAATTATGTAAATAACTAACACTATTAGAATTAACAAATTAATTTGCAGATTTTTAGAATATAAGATAAAGTCCCAAAACTATTGCACATAAGTTACTATTTATCTATTACTGATTTTCATATATAAAGTTAAAAAGATTAAGTATGTGGGTATTAATCTTGGGACCTAAAGAGTTATTCAAAGAAAAACTGTAAGCACCAAATGAGGAAAATAGAGTCTAAATGAATAGTTTAAAGACCAGCTGGCTCAAGTGGCTTGTAGTCCTATCTCCTGAAACCCATTCACATGTGACTTCAGACCTTCCTTTTCTTTAAATGGACTCTCCAGAGATTTCAGCTTTTGATTCTGGGTTTCTGTTATAAATTGAAACTTGTGGATCTTAGCTAAATAAAACTTTTTGGAAATTATAAGCAATGTTCTTATCTCCCTTTACTCTTTTCTCTGAAGAAAAATGGTAAGGATTTGACTCTAAATCAGTTCTACAGCCTTTTGGGGGCATAGGCTACTGAAAGATGGTAATTTTGTTCATAAAGAAAGAAATTTTATTTTTTTGTAATGGTTAATTTTAGATGTCAACTTGCCTGAGTTAAGGAATACCCAGAGAACTGGTAAAGCATTGCTTCTGGGTGCGTCTGTGTGATATTTCCAGAGGAGACTGGAAGTTGGTAGACTTAGGAAGATCCATCCTCAATGTGGGCAGGGAACATCCAATTGGTTTCCAACAAAAAAGGCAAAGGCAGGTGATTTCCTCTGCCTCTCTCTTCTGAAACTGAGACACTCTTCTCCTCCTGGCTTTGGACATCAGAAATCCAGATTCTTACACCAGTGGCATTTCTCCTATCCCAGCCCCGTCTAGCTACTGTCACATGAGGGAAGGGAAAAAGATAAGAAACATTTGTGAAAGTCATAGCTTAAGGACAGAAGCCCACTAAAAGACTGTGATTTAATTTTAAGATCATAGATTACTTCTCCCTTATACCTTGCAACTATACCAATAGGACTCCAGAATAATAACGGCGCATTACTGAACAATGAGGTAAAAGACACAGACTCTGTCTGAGGAGGTGTTCTTAGGGGAAGCTCAAAGACAACAGGTAAAACCAAAAGAGGGACACTAGAAGAATTTGACATCTACAGCTAGAGAAAGCATTGCACATGGCCCAGTTCCTAAGCAGATGAACATAAAAATCATACTAAAGGCCTACTTATCTCTCCTTCCGTTACCTGATAAATCATGTCTGACTTTCAACCAAAAAATTACAAGTCGTACAAAAGGCAAGCAGATAAACTCTGAAGAGACAAAGTAAGGATCCAAGCACCAGAATCAGACTCAGATATGGCAGAGATTTTGGAATTAATAGATGGAGACTTTTAAATTACTATGATTAGTATATCAAGGGCTCTAATGGAAAAAGTAGACAACATGGCAAGAACAGATGAATAATGTAAGCAAAGAGGTAAAAACACTAAGAAATAATTTTTAAAATGCTAGAAATACATAATGGTCTTCATTGGCTCATCACTAGGCTGGACACAGTCAAGAAAAGAATCAGTGAGCTGGAAGACAGGTCAATAGAAACTTTCTGAACTGAAATGCAAAGAGAAAAAAAAGACTGAAAAAAACAAACAAAAAGACCAGCCCCCCCTCCAAAGAAAAAATAAAACCAAACAGAGCATCCAAGAACTATAGGTCAATTTCAAAGGGTGTGACATATCTGTAATTGGAATACTGAGGAGAAGAAAGACACAGTGGAGCAGAAGAAATATTTGACGTACAGCAAACTATCACAAGAACAAAAAACCAAACACCACATGTTCTCACTTATAGGTGGGAATTAAACAACGAGAACACCTGGACACAGGAAGGGGAACATCACACACTGGGGCCTGTTGTGGGATGAGGGGAGGGGGGAGGGAAAGCATTAGGAGATATACCCAATGTAAATGACGAGTTAATGGGTACAGCACACAAACATGGCACATGTATACATATGTAACAAACCTGTACATTGTGCCCATGTACCCTAGAACTTAACGTATAATAAAGAAATATTTGAAGTAATAATAGCTGAGAATTTTCCAAAATTGATTAAACAACAGATCTAGGAAGCTCAGAGAATGTCAATCAGGATAAATATGAAAACAGCAGCAACAACAACATATAGGCTTATCATGTTCAAATTGCAGAAAACCAAAGACAAAGATTAAATCTTGAAAGAAGACAGAGAAAAAGAACAGCGCTATCAAGGAGCAAGGATAAGAATTATGTTGGGCTTCTCATCAGAAACTATGCAAACTTGAAGACAGTTGATTTAAATATTTAATGTGTTGAGAGGAAAAATATCACCAATCTAGAATTCTAAATCCAGCAAAATTATCCTTCGAACATGAAGAAGAAATAAAGAGTTTCTCACAGCAACAAAAACTGGGGGAATTCCTTACCAGTAAACCTACTTTACAAGAAATGGTAAAAGAAGTTTTTCAGGGACAAGGAAAATCATACATGTTAAAGCAATCTCAATTCATATCCCAGAAAGCTATTTTACTGAGACTGAAACACTGATTTTAAAGTTTAAATGGAAAGGGAATACTTCTAGAATAGCCAAAACAATACTGAAGAAGAAGAATAAAATTTGAGGACTCAGGTTATCCAATTTCAAGACTTACTTTAAAGCTATAGTGATCAAGACATAAAATAGTGTTGATTAAAGAATGCACACAAATTTCAATGGAATAGGATAGGGAGCCCAGAAATAGTCCCACAAAATACAGTCTACTTATTTTTGGTAAAGGAGCAAAGACAATTCAATGGAGAAAGGCTAGTCTTTTCAACTAATGGTGCTGGTAGAACAACTGGTTGTTTATATGGTAAATAAATAAATAATAAAATAACCTAGATATAGACTTTAGACTTTTCACAAAAATTAACTCAAAATGGATCATAGACCTAAGTATAAAATGCAAAAGGATAAAACTAAAAGAAAACATAGGAGAAAATCTAGGTGACCTTGGGTTTAGTGAGGAGTTTTTAGATGTAACACCAAAAGCATAATCCATGAAAGAAAAATATTAGATGAATAAGATTTTATTAGAATTCAAATCATTAGCTCTGTGAAAGATACTGTTAAGAGAATCAAAAGATAAACCATGGATGGAAAGAAATTATTAACAAAACATATATCTGATAAAGTACCTGTGTCCAAAATATACAAAGAACTCTTAAAACTCAACAATAAAAACCAGATAACCCAATTAAAACATAGGCAAAAGATCTGAACAGACCTTTCACTAAAGAAAATATGTAGATGGCAAATAAGCATAAGAAAAGACCATTCTTTGTAATCAGGGAATTGCAAATGAAAACAATGATGAGATACAACTGTATGCCTATTAGAACGGCTAAACTCCCCAAACTGACAATACAAATTGTTGATGAAGATGCAGAGCAACAGGAACTCTTATTCGTTGTTGGTGGGAATGCAAAATGGTACAACCACTTTGGAAGACACTTTGGTATTTTTAAAGAAAGCTAAACTTAGTCTTAACCATGCAATCCAGCAATTATGCTCCTAGGTATTTACCCAACTGCTTCAAAATCTTTTGTCCACCAAAAACCTGCATGCAAACCTTTAGAGAAGCTTTACTCATAGTTGCCAAAAATGTCCTTCAACAAGAGAATGAATAAATAAACTGTAGCATGTACAAACAATGGAATAATATTCAGTGATTAAAAAAATTAACAAACCACAAAAAACTTGAGTGAATCTTAAATGTATGTTACTAAGTGAAAGAAGCCAGTTGAAAAGCCTATATACTATATGATTTCCATTATATTTTCACTGGAAAATGCAAAACTATTGTGAAGGTTAAAAGATCAGTGGTTGCTGAGGGTATAGGAGAAGACAGAGAAGGCTGAATAGCATAGGGGATTCTTATGGAAGTGAAACTATTCTGGATGATGCTGTAATTGGGAATACATGACATTATACATTTGTCAAAACCCACTGAATTTAGAGAGTAAACTTTAATATAGAAAAATTAAAAATTTATTTAGGATGTTGAGGAATCCCAGGATGGAATTGCAGAATGTGACAAAACAATCTAATGGTATTACAAATGTATGAATAAAACCTCATTAAAAGGATAGGGGGAAAAGTTTCCAACCTAAGTATCTTTGGAAATGAGTGCAGTCTGTAAGACTAAAAGCAGAAGAAAATGTACATAAGTACTATACTCTAGGTGGTAAAGTTATTTCTTATGGGTTATTGGTTAAAAATTCTGATACTGCTATACATGTACACTGGAATTGGTCAATTATTTAAATGTATGGTTGGAGGAAATAGGTTCTCACTGTTGGAGTAGGAGTACATTGATAAGCAAGGAGAAGAAGCTAGAATGATCCATGTGGTAATGGATTAGAGTTGGCAACATCAGTATGAAAGCTCATGTTTAGCTTCCTATTGATACAGATGGTTACATTTAAGAATATTTATAGCTATGTATATATGTGGATTAGTTTACATAGAAATATTTTCTTGCTCTGTCTGATGAGAGAACCCTGAAACAATGACATCGCAGAAATAGTGAGCACACCTATTGCCCAGATCTTGGTTTCTAATACCATTCTCCAATAAAAGAAACTATGCCTCTTTAGAGAAGTGGTTTATTCTAGGGCTGGGGAAGGAAATCTGTAAGTTGAGCCTAAAGTATCTAGTAATGCCATAAATGAAAGAAGTGCTCAGATGAAACAGACCAATATAACCCACAGTGATAGCAGTATGTTAATTGAGGTATGCCAAAGGAGTCAACTGAGAGAGCTCTCAGTGGTGAAAGCTGGAATGATTTGAGCAACAAAATGAAGTAGTATTGAATTATAAACCAAATGATAAAATAGATATCCATGAGTTCATGCTGACATAAATAAATAATCGAATAAATACATAAATACAGGAGAAGAGGCAAATCCCCTATACAGTAGAATTCCAAATAATCCATGTAGTTACTCTGTCCTCAAAGAGGTAGAACAGAACTCCCCTCTTTAAGTGTGGGCTGTGCGTGGTGACTTCTTCCCAAAAGGTACAATGTGGAACGAGGGGAGCAGATAAACTTGCTGAGAGGAAACCTGAGAAACACTGCCTCATCCAGGTGATCAAGGTCAACATCAATAGCAATAAGTCATGTCAATCAATATGTGATTAAAATGGGGTTTTACCTCTGTGGTATTCCTCTCCAAAACTTAAAATCCCAGTCTAATCATAAGAAAACAAACATTAGAGAAATCCCAATTGAGTGATGAATTGAGTGATGGTTGGCTTCTGGCGAGGGCTTTCTTCCTTGCTTGCAGGTAGTTTTCTCACTGTGGTGGAGAGAGCTAGGGCACCAACACTACAGGATTAGGACCCTACCCTTAGGCTCTCATTTAACCTTTATCGTCTCCTTACTGGACGTATCTCCAAATAAGTCACACTGGGGGATAGGCCTTCAACGTAGAAATTTTGGAAGGACACAATTCAGTACATAGGAAGCACATTCTACAGAATACCTGACCAATACTTTTCAAAAGTATTAATGTCATAAAAAACAAGGTAAGTCTGAGAAACTGTCATGGTCAAGAGGAGCCTAAAGGGACATGATGATTCAATGTAGTGTGATGTACTGGATGGGATCCAGAACAGGAAGAAGCAGTTAGGGGAAAACAAAGGAGATCTGAAGAAAGTATGGACTTTGGTTAATCATAGTGAATCAACAGTGATTCATTAATGTGGCAAATGTGCCATACTAATGTAATAGTTTAATAGCAGAGGAAACAATTTTCAGAGTATGTCTCTATATATCTCCCTAATTTTTCTGTAAATCTAAAACTGTTCTAAAAACAAAGTGGATTATAAAAAATGATGTTATGGGATTAAAAAGAGAAAATGCAATTACAATGAGCTTTCAGAAGTATTTACAAACCATTTTAAGATAATGGAAGTTGACAGATCAGAAACACCATAACAATAGAGAATGGCAGGGACATTGCAGGGACAAACTAAATATTTCAGGAACAACTGTCAATCGGTACAAAGAAGGACTGAATTAGTAACAAATATACCACATATAACAATAAAGAATTCCAGATTTATCAAAAAGAAAAGCCTAAAAACCAAGAAGGACACTTACCCTGACTCGCTTTAAGCATAAACAGTCATGCACCCCAAAATGACGTTTTGGTCAATGATGGACTGCATATACAACGGTGGTCCTGTAAGATTCTTAGACTGTATTTTTACTGTACCTTTTCTCTGTTTAGTTATGTTTATATACACAAATACTTACCATTGTATTATAGTTGTCTACAATATTCAGTACAGTAACATGCTGTACAGGTGTGTAGCTTAGGAGCAATAGGCTACACCATACGGCCTAGGGGTGTGGCAGGCGATATCACCTTGGTTTAAGTACACTCTGTGATGTTTGCACAAGGGTGAAATCTCCTAACAGTGCATTTCTCAAAACATATCTGTGTTGTTAAGCTACACATGACTGTGTATCTGTCCTCTTCTTTTGCCTGAACTTGACATTCTACTTCTGTTTATATTTTCCCTTGACCTAATTTCCTAATTCTACTTTGATATTATTGTGTGTATATTATATTGTGTGAATCCTCTGTAAGCTCTTTCTACTACTTTTTGGAACAAGATAAGACATTTGCAATTGGAAAATAAATTCCCAACCACTGAAGAAACAGGATATCATCACAGATAAGGTAGAAGGTTCTCAGAGGTTTCTCCCTTTTTTTCTGCCCTATTCTAAGCTTTTTTTTTTTTTCTTAAGAAAACACATAATAGCCCACACAGAGGTAAGAACTAGTGACTAATTCATCTCAAACTGGCCCAGACTAGTCTCAATTTGATCCACCTCTGAGTTTTCAAGAGCTCTCTGGCCTCTGGTGGCCTCTAGCCCTTCCGGTTTTGCACCCTTATTGGCTTCTCTGGCTCAAACCGTCTCACTAGGAGCAAAGTATCTCTCAGACTCCATGTCAGGGGCTGTGTGTGGAGCTCTCTGTCTGGTCTCTTCTGCCTGGCCCAGGGATCCTGCCAGAGAACTGTCCCTGCGGGCTGTGATCCACTCTCCTAGGCTCTGCCTGCATCCTTGGGTCTGGGCCTCAGCTTTAAATACATAAAGCTGAAAAAGTTCTGTGTAACAAATAATAGGACAAAATTTTAAAGAAAACAACAGAATGACAAAACAATGGATAAAATTTGTTCCCAAAATACATACGCTGGCTGGGTGCAGTGGCTCATACCTATAATCCCAGTACTTTGGGAGGCTAAGGTGGGGAGATCACTTGAGGCCAGGAATTTGAGGCCAGCCTGAGCAACATAGTGAGACCCCGTCTTTACAAAAAATAAAATATTAGCCGGGGTGTGGTGGTGCATGCCATCTGTAGTCCTAGGTACTCAGGAGGCTAAGGCAGGAGTATTGCTTGAGTGCAGGAGTTTGAGGCTGCAGTGAGCTATGATGGCACCACCACGCTTCAGCCTGGGCAACAGAGTGAGACTCTGTCTCTAAAAATAAAAATATATGCTATGTATAAGAAGAATGCAATGCAAAATAATAAAAAAAATTATAGACATGTTACATAAATGTTTATGTAAGTGTGTCATTCCAATACTAAGAGCCATTTCAATGTTGAGATGAGACAGTATGTGTACTCACAAGAAAATTGAGAGAAAACATCAGCATGTGACAAAATGCATGGCTTTGCTCAAAATGAGGGTTTGTATATTGAAACAGCATTTTGGCAACATTTTATGCCTGTTTAAATATCATCACTGTGCAATTTTAGTAAAACACAATGGCAGTGGGCTTTGGTGAAGGCACAATTATACAGAGTGGCCGGCACTGTAAATTGCTATAGTCCTTTGGAGAGTAGGGTGGCAAAATTTAAGCACACATGCAATATTTACTACTGTTCCTCCATTTTGATGTGGTCTCAGTTCTGTTACTCTACCCATGGCAGTGATGTTCTGACCAGGCTCTAAGGAGTGCTAGAGGGAATGGGGGGTAAAGTTAGAGTTTATTTAGTTTTCTTCATTTGCCACAGCTTGTGTGTGTGTGTGTGTGTGTGTTTTAGTCAAGCTCTCAATTAAAATTTGCTTAAACACAAGTTTAGAAGAATCTAACATTTAGTTGAAGCTGTGCTCTCTGAAGGTATCCCTAAATAGAAAAATGTAAATTATATGAAGATATTAAAAATAACTCAGTTTAAAATAGTAGAAGATAGAATACAACTCTGAATGCAAAAACAAAATGCAAACAGCAATAGCATCATGAAGGAGCACCACATAACTATTCTATGACACAAACCAGTCAAGCATGGGGCCTATTTAAGTACAAAGGATTATTAAATAAAATGAAGACAAAGCAGAATACAAAACAGAACCCTTGCATGATACAATAACATAAAAATGTACTTATGCATGTACAGTGACAGAATTTGGAAGATAATTTAGAGAAATATAAACAGAGCTTAATGTTCTTCAGTTCCCTTTTTCTACAAAAATATTTAAGTGCACATTAAAAAATATTCTGTACCTATATAGGAGAATAAGGATTATTTGGATCAAACTTACTTAGATGAATGATTCCATTAAAATTATCATAATTTATTCATGTGTAAGTGTAATATACATGCTTTTGTAAATTTCTGTAAAATTAATAAATGGCCTCTCAGCACGTTGGTTGAATTAGCTTGCTATTGTAAACCAGGTTCTCCAGACATTTGCAAGCATACGTTTGTGTACTCAGATGCATAAACAACAAAATGATGGATCTTTTTTCACGTGGGAGTGTTTTAGCATTTCAAAGTCAACATCCAAAGAAATACACAGATGTATATGCAGCTGGGGAAGAGTCTTATTTTCCTTTCCCATTCCAGTAATGATATTTTAATTCTTAGTTTTTGTCTGGATTGGGTTGTTGATTCCGGCATGGTCTTGATGAACAATGATTTTAAGGTCTCCAGAAGGGCATGCAAGGTGACAAGTTAATCTGACATTTGAAAATGATGAGATGTAGTGGAAGAAAAAAACCCTGAAGATAAACTAGTGAAAATTCTGAGAAGAAAACAGAATAATAATGGTGGAGTGTGAGGTGAGGTCAAGGGCTTTTTCAAACTGAAAGAGGCCAAAAACTGCAAGAGGACAAGATGATATGACAAGTGTCCAGGTTGAGAGACTAATCCAGATTGCTTCATAGAAAGAAACAAATATAGTCTGAGGACTTCATTTCCTTATCCAGGAGAACACCTGATGCAGAAGGGAAGAATTAGGCAAGAACTGCTGGCAGACACTGGACTCTGGGTTGAGAAGGAAGAGAGAAATGTTCATTCATTCATTTACTTTCTACCTCTGTGATCCATGACTATTTACTTAACTTCTCTCTTCCTTGGTTTTCCCATTTGTAAGTGGGCCAGATGACTGCATCTACCTCCCAGGGCTGTTGAAGGATCAAAAGAGACTGCACATGCCAGGCAGAGTATGTTAGCTATTGTTATTATTGGCAGCAATGGGGACTGCCAGACTTCTCTGAAGACTGGAAAATACCACTGTAAAATTGACATCTCTCCAGATAATCTGGGGTACAGAAAATCTCAAAGCCTTTTGAGTGAGTGCTACATTTCTACATATTAGGGTGTCCAAGAGATATGTGAACAACAAAACTGTTTAACTGAATTGCAGGGGGTGCAGATACCGAGGTGCAAAGTCAGGCTGCAGGCTTATGTCACTGTGTGTAGCATTTGAAAATGTTTCTTTATTGTGTTTTGATCATGGTTCTCACCCCAGTGACTTGCCATAAAAATGGACACAAAGCACAAGGCTGGTCATTAGATCAACTGATATGTTGTTTTCCTAATGCTTGGAAAACTACTTCTATGCAGGAGGCGAGCAATCCTTTCTTTCTTGACTTCAGAAAGAAAGTCTATTTATTCAGAAGTCTAGAAAGTAAGATAAGTGGCATGGTGTCATGTGTACAGAAATATAGAAAGTCAATCACTTCTCTCTATTCTGCTAGTCTGAGCCCCATCCTCTCTTACTAGAACACCATGAGCATCTCTCACTGTCCTGGTTTCCTGGCTTCCATCATTGCCTGCCTCAAACTTCCATCGTTGCCTGCCTGCAGTGTCTAATTATATTTACTATAATATAAGGCAGAGTAAGCAAAACAAATCAAGATATGTGTCCAAAGGTAAAAAAATATCAAATTAAAAAAAGAAGCCCTTCAAGTGGAAAAAATCAATTTTTGGCTGACAATTTTAACTTTATTCCTGTTTCTGCCCACCTCCTAATCTTGGAAAATGAATTTGATGATTGGAAGCTACATAGACAGACCAGTGGTCAAGGTGTTGGCTAAGTGCAGTGTTTATTTCTCTTGTCTTCTTTTCTTGTTACCATCTTTATTTGGAGTTCTCTGCGTGGCAGTGTTAAGACCCTCCTTAATTTGGTTTTGAGTAACCTTTTCACCCTTATTTCTCATGGTTTCATTATTCCTTTTTCCATGCTGTGTGCTCCAGCTAAACTTAAAAAAGTATTGTTTTTCTTATTTACATGGAAATGTTCTGTCTCCATGCCTTTTTTTCCACTTCTGGAAATATCCAGCCCCTCTGCCTCATCCTGAAATATCCAAATATGAATGATCCTACATCTCTCACCTTCTCCATGGAGGCTTCAGCACACCACCTCCTCACCCTTCCCCAAGCTAAGAGCAGTAACTGCCCTCCTCTGGACTTCCTAGAGCAACCGAATCAGCTTGTGGCATTGGCCACTTTCTTATGTGTGCTTTATTTCTTTATGTTCGTCTATTCTGTCTCAGCACTTGGTTAACCAATCTGAGGGTAGGGGCCATATCTTGATTATCAAGATTCAATGAATGAATAAATCTTTACCCACAGCAATGCTGAATTATACTTACTGTACAAGGTAGTGTAAGCTATAGAATAACAGAGATTTTATGATTGAGGAGAAATGCATCTCATACTGATTTTATTAATGTACATAAGGACAAAATAATATGTATTTCGATTTCAATTTTCCATTTATAGTTTTTCTTTATTCAGAAGAAGATGGGGAAGCTGCAGCATGCCTCACACTTCTGCCATGAACTTGTTGCGTAATCTTGGGTAAATGATAATAAGAGCTAAAATGTATTCAGTGGTATAGAAAATAGAATGACTTCTCTCCACTGTGCTGGTCTGAGCCCCACCTGCTCTTACTGGAACACTGTGGGCACCTCCTGCTGTGCAGCTCTCCTGGCTCCCACTATTCCTGCCTATGCGCTATCTCTAAAACAGGAGCTGGCAAATCAGATCATATCAGCCTGCTCAAGTCCCTGCAACCTGTTTTGTCAAGTCCTGGCTCCCTGTTTTGCTCTAAGTAAAATTCAGTATCCTGCTCGTGTCTTCAAGGCTCTTCTTGCTCTCTCTGGTGCCCCGTTCCCCTTTGACCTTGTCTCCTGCTACTTTTCCTTCACTTGGCTCCATCCACACCAGCTTTGTGACTCTTTCCCAAACAGGCCATGCACATGGCCACCTTAGAGGCTTCGAGTTACCTATTCCTCTGCCTACAAATGCTCCTCCCAAATATTTCACTTGTTGGTCCCTTAGCTCCTTCAAGTCTTTGCTCAAATGTTGCTTTCTCACCAGGCCTTTTCTTGACCAATGTAGGTAAAATTTGCAGGCACTACCTGCCTCCCCTTGCCAGCAATCTGATATCCCTTTCCCTGATCTTTTCACTCCATAGCATGCATCACTGGCCATTTTTCAATGTACTGTATCATTCACTTAGTATTATGTTGATTGTTTCTTGTCTATCTCTCCCCATTAATTTCTACTAAGTTCCATGAGGACAGAAATACTTTATATTCACTGATAAATCCCAAATGCTTGCAGCTGTGCCTGATGCATAGACGACATCCTCAATATTTGTTGGACGAAAGGAAGAATGCTTATAATATGCCAGGCACTGCTAATCGCTTCCTAGTCCTTTTACCATTTAAACATCAAAGCAACTCTCTGATGTAAATATTTTTACAACCCCCATTTGAAGTTGAGGGAGCAGAGGTTTATAGGGGTTAAAATACTCAAGGTCATATAATTAGTCAGGGACAAAACCAGGATGTGAATTAAGGTGATCTAACTTCAGACACCATGTCTTAACCACCCTCCTGTTTATTAGCAGGGCTGGGCCTCAGTCTCCTCTGCTTATTTTAGTCAATATTATAATTGTCCATACATTTAGGAGTCAAAAAGCTCTAAAACTTAGTAATGAAAAACAATACTTTCATGTCGCTTTGCCTCCCTGTCTTTCTGCAGAAGCAAATACTTATAACTCCTAGGTGATTTTTGATGTTTGCATTTTATTCCATATTTCTGAATAATATCTCACTATTTATTTGTTTATTTGTTTGTTTGCTTTTGAGGTAGAGTGTCGCTCTGTCACCTGGGCTGGGATGCAGTGGTGTAATCTCAGCTCACTGCAACCTCTGCCTCCTGGGCTCAAGCAATTCCCCTGCCTCAGCCTCTCGAGTAGCTGGGATTACAGGTGTGTGCCACCATGCCACGTTGGCCAGGCTGGTCTTGAACTGCTGACCTCAAGTGATCCACCTACCTCAGCCTCCCAAAAGGCTGGGATTACAGGTGTGAGCCACCACGCCTGGGCCCCATATCTTACTATTTCTATTCCTCAATATCTTTCCCTCCAGTTTTAGACATTATCTATTGACTTCCCACATTGGAAGATGATGATTTCAGCTCTTTTCCTCCTCTTTCTGCACAACACACACACACGCACACACACACATACACACATACACTCACACACACACACACTCATCCCAAATACCTCACAATCCTTCTTCCTATTCCCCTGACCTCTTGTAACTTTGGTTAGACCAGTAGACAGGTTTATGTTATTATTACCTCTGTACCTTATTCACAGATGAACCATGCACATGTATATATTTTTTTCCTTCCCCACATAACTTTCTGTATTCCCTGGGGTTGTCTTATTTTAAATTTGCTTATTTATAATTGTACTTTTCACTGTTTGAGCCTGAAGACCTTCATCACTTTAGCAAATTTTTTTGAGCCCTTGAATATCTGAAAATAGCTGTATTTTGCTTTGACACTTGAATAATGGTGTGGCTGTTTATAGAAACTTAGATTGAAAATAATTTCCCTTCAGAATTTTGAAGGCATTACTCTATTAATTTCTAGTTTTCTGTTGTTTTTTGTATCTTTAGAAGTTATTTCACTTTCTGGTTCCTCTGCATACGATTTTCCCCCCTCTCTCTGGAACTGTGTTTGTTTTTCCCTTTACCCCTAGTGTTCTGAAATTTCTCAGTGATGTGCCTGGGTGTGACTCTGTTTCCATCCATCTTGACGTTCTGACCAATGTTCTTCAGTTCTAGGAAATTCTCTTAAATTTTTTAATTGATGATTTCCTCCCTCAATGTTTTTTGTCCTCTTTTTCATGAAACTTGCTTGTTCAGATATTATATTCTCGGTACTGGTCCTTCAAGTTTCTTTTCTTTTCTCTTGTATTTTTCATTTTTTTCTACTTTCATAGATTTCCACAATTTTCTTTGCCAATCTTTCGATTGAGTTTTCAATTTCTAACCAGGTCAGAAAACAGGTTCTTCAACTTATCTGGGAAAGAAGTTCAGAATCTTTTCTAACAGGAAGTGGACTAGTGGCTTCCTGAAGGAAATGTTTGAACCACAGTGTCCAGCTTTGAGGTGGGCACATAGCAGGTTCATGATAAAACACAAAGAGGGCACTGGCCACAAGAGCAGGGCAAAGGCAAAGTAAATATAATGAAACTAAAAGCAAAAGCATGTCTAGGAATAAGATTACCTAGAAGATAAATCTACCTGAGATACGCAACTGATTTCTTCTGGTTAATGTTTATATGGCATCCAGATCCTGAGGGTTGGTGGGGTGTGGGTCAACCCAAAAAGGGGATCAATGGCCCTGACTTTAAATAGAAGAGGCTGGCGGATCCTTAGGATGTTAAATTCTCTTACACAGACATGCCACTTCAGAATCAGGCATTGTGGATTAAAGGTCTGCACTGAAGCCCCTCCAGTTTCAGAGGCATTGGTGGATAAACCTTGACTTGAACATCTCTATTTTCCAAGTTGTTTTGAGTTTTTTTTTCACTTATTTCTGATAAAATACACTGGCACGCTGAAATCATAAAGTCTGTCTGCCAATAAAATGTCACAGGTCTGTAGACTCCAAGGAAGTAGCTAGGTAAATATTTACATACACAATTGAATTTTCTAAGTGTCCTGTGTCCCTGATCTTTGTGGATGCTGCAACTACTTGCTAACAGATAATTTAGTATGTTGCAGAGACGTGAAAACAGGCAGATGCTTAGTTCCTAAGAGGGAGCCTCGCTGCTGGGCTTCCTGCCAGTTATGTGCCTGATGGGTCATGTCTCAACCTCTGGATTTCAGTCCCATGTCTAGCTTTTATTTTTTCCCCCTGCTTTCTGAAAGCCTTAGGGATTTGGACTGCTTCCATTCCCTGGTTCTTTTCCTCCTACGACTGACTACTGAGTAAAATGCTGTCTTCCCATCTCCCTCTTTGCTTGCTGTCACCAAAAATGAGCACTTAGGCTCTTTTTATTTAAGGATTTTGTGGATGATCTCTTCTTGTCTTGGGAATCAGCCTGTCCAGCCAATTTGTGAAAAACTCAGTGGCTTACTTCTGGTTAGAAGATTAATAAGCGCATGTGGATTCATGTTTGCTAAGTGAACGAAAGTGTTTATAAAATTGACAATTGTTACATGATTCCTAAAGGTTTTTCCCAGAGGCTTCCTAGCAGTCATTTGTTACACCTTTTCTTAAAACCTCCTTGGCTTGAGCCCCTGAAAATCTGATTGTTACCCTGGTCCATGTCTTCCTGTCCTCTTGGGTTTGCTAGGAACACTTTCTCTAAAGCAGTGTTTTTCAAACTTGAGCCTGCAAAAGAATCACCTGGTGAGCTGGTAGAACCACAGATTCTTGGGCCCTACTCCAGAGATCCAGATTTAGAGGGTCTGAGATGATATCGATACAGTTGGGCCAAGGACCACACTTTGAATAGCACTAGGCTAGACCATGAAGAAGAGTGGCTGTCATGTTGGATAGACCTGGGCTCCTTCACCAAATGTTCTTTCTGAGCTATGGTTTGGGCCCAGTCTTCCCAAAGTCCACATGGTTTCAGTGGAGTCTGTTTGTGGTACAACTCTTCTCTCCAACAGTATAGCCAGACCTCCAATTCCCTTAGCCAAGAGGAAGGAAGGCAACTATTCCTTATGGAAGATATAATCTATGCAGGTGATGGGCTATGTACATTTATGTATTTACTTCATTGAATGGTCCAAACAACCTAATGGTATGGCTGATGTAATTTCATAGAGAAGTTCAGTAACTTAACCCAGTATCATCAAGCTGTTATTCATCAGGGAACCTAGGCTTTGTACTTATCACTGAAAAGTGCAGCTCTCCTGCCCCAGAGAGCACTTGCCTGATGTCAAACCTTTCTAAAAGGCTCACTTTCAGTTCTGGGAAACACTCCCAATGACAGCAATAGCTGATATGCCCGAAACCTAAGGAACAACTGAACTTTTCCTTATTCAGACAAAGAGCTCTGCTTTCCTCCCAGAGTCTCTATGACTCACAGTTGCCCTCTGCCCTCATGAAAGTGCTCTGTAGAATTGCAGATCAGCAATGTTGGAAATAGCTCATAACAAAAAGTAATTAGACAGTTTCTGCCAATGGAAGGATGTCATTTTCTAATAGGCCTAAAGAGAAATTAGGTCAGATCTCCAGAAAATCAGGAGAATGGTTTAATGAAATGTAACGTACTGTATTTCTTCCTTGCAATTCTTTAAAAAAATTTCCTTTATAGTAGATGACCCTTTAAGGGCAAATGTATATTTATATATCAAATATAAATGCATACAACTAGGATTCTTATTTTAATATAAGAGAATAATACACAAGTGTAAGAGATTATGGTAACTGTTTAAGGCTGGCATGGGTCATGATTGATTTTGGGCTTGTCCTTATCCTAATACAGTAAGCTTTAGGTTCTCATTTTCCAGGCGCTGAGTGTGGAGGTGTTGGGATTTCTATTACCCTGCTTCCTTAGCTGCCAGCAGGGCTGTGCTACTTTTGATTCAGGAAGGCATGTAATATTCTTTACAATATTCTCTGTTTCAACCATTGCAGGGAGCCTGAATAAAGATGCTATTTGATCCTCTTATTCTTCCTCATCCCTTCCAAATCCATTTTTTCCCACCTCCCCAGTGTCTTTGAATCATGTATAAGTTTCAGAAGATTCACATCATCATAAATTATTGGCACATCCTGAAGTAAAATAGGGCCCTGTTTCCACAGTCTGATGACCTGGGTCCTTCTATTCCTAGTTTTGCCATATATTTAGCTATGGGAACTTGGGAAAGTCACTTCTATTCACTGGCTCCTACTTTTATTTTCTATAAGATTAGGGTGTTTCATTAAATTTTTTAAGATTTAAAGTTCCATGAAATTAGAATTGCTATAAAGAAATTTAATCTTCATTTTGAATAAACCATCCATTCAAACTGTGACAACTTCCAGCTAAATGCCTGAAAGAATTTTTCTTAGACTGTCAGCAGCTCATGGACTCTTTAAACCTAACTTAAAAACAAACAACAAAAAAAACCTTTTATGTAATTAACTGAAGCCTTCTGGCCTGTCCCTTAATTGTTAAGTGTTTGGGCAGGATAATGGAATGATGGACAAATTGATTCTTATATTTTTCACTTACGAAACATTGCTTTTCACTCAGTGAAAACTTTGCCATTTGCCAGCGGTGAGAAAAAGATATCAGTGCTTTCAAGCAATTTCTTCAAATCAGAATTTAAAGTATCAGAGAGTCAGACCACAGTACAACTCAGTGACTCAGCAGTGCCTTTCAAAACTGCTTCCTACAGAGATTCTGCAGATGAAGGCAAATAGAGCTCTGAATGTGGGGTGGAGAAAATTGGGAAAAGCTGAAGAACCCAAGAAAACCACATGTCTGACTTCTATCTTTCCATGACATCATATAAGCTCTTAGGTCTTTTTCTTTTTCTAAGCCATTCCAAACTTGGACATTAAATAAACAATCACTATATGAAGCGGTGCTTCCAGGGCCTACATGAATATCACGGGAAGCTGGGGACATCCCTGATGCTGGGGTACCAGATAGTACTGCTATGAACTCCCTGCCTTCTGTTCCATCTCCCTATAACATCTATCCTGATCAGGGGCAGTGTGACTCAGCCCAAATGGAAAACCGTATACTATGTAGGTCAGTGTAATGCCCAAGAAGCTTTTGGGTATTCCCTTGTGTAGGTCTCCATATGTTTCCCAGCATCTCATTTAAATACAAGTGGCTGTCACAAGATCAAGCCAAGTCTTCTTTGCTTGAAGAGTGTGGCCTGAGGTCCGTCAGAGTCCCCACCTTGGTTCTAACCTAGCATTTCTGGGAGGAGACTGACACTCCACTTGACAAAGTCCAGGAGTGTGCTGATCAAGGATGCCAAAATGTGTTCAGGTGTCAGACTTTGCATGAGACCCAGGAGGCAGGGTCAGTGATCAGTGGACATTCGAACAGGGGGACTGGGTGTTACTTTAAGGAGAGCCAGAAATTCAAAGCAAAGTTAGTGAACTGATGGAGAAACACAACTCCAAGTCCATGGGCTGAAAGCAGAGAGGGAAACAGAAATTCAACAAACATCACTGCCAAAGAAAGAGCAGGGTAAGGCAAAGGCGATTCATCTTAAGGCTCCCTCTCACTTGGATTTTATTGACCCATCCATATATTGAGCAGCTCTAGGAAACTAAACCTCTGAGAGGATATTTTTAAAAAAGTGTTATGGGGATGATATGGTCAGACTTTGTGTTCCCACCCAAATCTCATCTTGAACTGTAGTTCCTATAATCCCCATGTGTTGGGGGAGGTAACCCGGTGGGAGATAATTGAATCGTGAGGGTGGTTACCCACATACTGTCCTTATGATAGTGAGTGAGTCTCACAAGATCTGATGGTTTTATAAGGGGCTTCCCCCTTTGCTCGTCACTTCTCTCTCCTGCCGCCATGTGAAAAAGGATGTGTTTGACTCCCTTTCTGTCATGATTGTAAGTTTCCTGAGGCCTCCCCAGCCATCCGGAACTGTAAGTCAATTAAACCTCTTTTCTTTATAAATTACCCAGGCTCAGGTATTTCTTCATAGCAGTATTAGAACAGACTAATACAGGAGACATAATTTATATGCTATACATGTCACTCATTTAATGTATATAATTCAATGCTTTTTATTATATGCACAGAATTTTGCACTATTGCTAAAATCTAAGTTTAGAATATTTCATCACTTAAAAAAGATACCTCATACCCATTAGCAGTCACTTCCTATTGTCCCCTATTCTTCCCACTTTCCACCCCCAGCCCTTGCCAACTACTAATCTACTTTTTTGCCTCTGTGGATTTACCTAGTCTGGACATTTCACATAAATAGAAATATACAACATATGGTCTCTCGTGACTGGCTTGTTGATAGGGTTGTTGAAAATCTATTTTCTTTCTTTTTTTTTTTTTTTATTGATCATTCTTGGGTGTTTCTCGCAGACGGGGATTTGGCAGGGTCATAGGACAATAGTGGAGGGAAGGTCAGCAGATAAACAAGTGAACAAAGGTCTCTGGTTTTCCTAGGCAGAGTGTTTGTGTCCCTGGGTACTTGAGATTAGGGAGTGGTGATGACTCTTAACGAGCATGCTGCCTTCAAGCATTTGTTTAACAAAGCACATCTTGCACTGCCCTTAATCCATTTAACCCTGAGTGGACACAGCACATGTTTCAGAGAGCACAGGGTTGGGGGTAAGGTCATAGATCAACAGGATCCCAAGGCAGAAGAATTTTTCTTAGTACAGAACAAAATGAAAAGTCTCCCATGTCTACTTCTTTCTACACAGACACAGCAACCATCCGATTTCTCAATCTTTTCCCCACCTTTCCCCCTTTTCTATTCCACAAAGCCGCCATTGTCATCATGGCCCGTTCTCAATGAGCTGTTGGGTACACCTCCCAGACGGGGTGGTGGCTGGGCAGAGGGGCTCCTCACTTCCCAGTAGGGGTGGCTGGGCAGAGGCGCCCCTCACCTCCCGGACGGGGCGGCTGGCCGGGTGGGGGGCTGACCCCCCCACCTCCCTCCCGGACGGGGCGGCTGGCCGGGCGGGGGGCTGACTCCCCCACCTCCCTCCCGGACGGGGCGGCTGGCCGGGCAGAGGGGCTCCTCACTTCCCAGTAGGGGCGGCCGGGCAGAGGCGCCCCTCACCTCCCAGACGGGGTGGCTGGCCGGGTGGGGGGCTGACCCCCCACCTCCCTCCCGGACGGGGCGGCTGGCCTGGCGGGGGCTGACCCCCCACCTCCCTCCCAGACAGGGTGGCTGCCAGGCGGAGGGTCTCCTCACTTCTCAGACAGGGCGGCCGGGCAGAGACGCTCCTCACCTCCCAGACAGGGTCGCGGCTGGGCTGAGGCGTTCCTCACATCCCAGACGGGGCGGCGGGGCAGAGGCGCTCCCCACATCTCAGACGATGGGTGGCCGGGCAGAGACGCTCCTCACTTCCTAGATGGGATGGCGGCCGGGAAGAGGCGCTCCTCACTTCCTAGGTGGGATGGCGGCCGGGCAGAGACGCTCCTCACTTTCCAGACTGGGCAGCCAGGCAGAGGGGCTCCTCACATCCCAGACGATGGGCGGACAGGCAGAGATGCTCCTCACTTCCCAGACGGGGTAGCGGCCAGGCAGAGGCTGCAATCTCGGCACTTTGGGGGGCCAAGGCAGGCGGCTGGGAGGTGGAGGTTGTAGCCAGCCGAGATCACGCCACTGCACTCCAGCCTGGGCACCATTGAGCACTGAGTTAACGAGACTCCGTCTGCAATCCTGGCACCTCGGGAGGCCGAGGCTGGCGGATCACTCGCGGTTAGGAGCTGGAGACCAGCCCGGCCATCACAGCGAAACCCCGTCTCCACCAAAAAAATACGAAAACCAGTCAGGCGTGGCGGCGCGCGCCTGCAATTGCAGGCACTAGGCAGGCTGAGGCAGGAGAATCAGGCAGGGAGGTTGCAGTGAGCCAAGATGGCAGCAGCACAGTCCAGCTTTGGCTCGGCATGAGAGGGAGACCATGGAAAGAGAGGGAGAGGGAGACCGTGGAAAGAGGGGAGAGGGTCATGGAAAGAGAGGGAGAGGGAGACTGTGGAAAGAGGGGAGAGGGAGAGGGAGAGGGAGAGCGAGAGCGAGAGCGAGAGCGAGAGCTGAAAATCTATTTGCGGGAGAGGGAGAGCTGAAAATCTATTTTCTTTACAAGATCTACTTACCTGTTAAAACTATTCTGTGGGTGTGTTATGACTGCATTTAGACTACTTTTCCCAAGTATGAAATATGTGCATACATTGAAGTGTCCTGGTTAAGAAAATGTTGTGGTTAATTAACAGTTACATAGATTTCCAGTTAAAAAATTAAATAAAATATAGTACATGCAACATTAAAACTAATTTGACCTTCTTTTGATGGCTTATGCCATGAAGAGCCACAATATAATTATGAGTAAACATACATGCTGTGGTTGAGTATTGTGGGTGTATAAAATGGAGACAACAGGTCTAAGGTGTGTGATCCTATTACCTACTGTAAAGAGTAGAAAAACAACACAACTACAATAACAAACCCAATTCTCTGATCTCCATTTGTTTGTTTTGTTTCTCCTTTTTTTTTCACTGAGGTAAAATGTACAAAAAAATTTAGTAAAACCTGAACTTTTTTACTGTTTACATTCCAGAAAGACGGGTGTTACAGTAACTTAGGAAAGGGAATCTGATAATGACTTGTAAAAGAAGAGACAAAAATATTGGCCTATCAACTGAATCTTTGGGCGTGGATTTTTTGGAGTTGGGTGGATTATACTTCTTGTTTCCTACATTCATTTGCCTTCTCAAGCAGAAACTCTCTTCTTTCTTTTTGAAATGAACATGAAAGGGAAGGTGAGATTGGGAATTGTGCTTCAGAAAAATTATTCAGCATGCTTGGAAACATGGCTTACCCCATGCAAATTAGTACACGTTCAAGAAAACAAATATACAGTCAAATACAATGAATCTTGTTCTGGCAGAAAATGTTTACTTCATAAATTAAAGCAATTTAATTAATGAAGTTCTAGCTAAAGGAAACACTACGCTGAAAAAGTGAAGTAACAGGATAGTGATGGGGCATTTCACACCAGAATGACCCTGAGATATGTTTTGGTACCAGAATGCATAAAACAGAAGCTAGAAATGGTGGGAAAGTCATTGTCCCATGGGATCAATCTCATCTGTATAAGTCATAACTTTCTCAGTTTTGCCTTTCATTCCTTTACATCCTTGAGAGATAAATCATAGTTTTGTTGTTAACAAGAGCAGCTGGACTCCTCTGACTAAGGGGTCAGCTTTCAGGAAACATTGTTGATATTGGACTATCATTTCCTGCAGAGAGAAGAGTGGCTTATGTGGTGAATCTTCTTTCCTACATACATTTGCTAAAATGCTTCCCGCACATGCATTTTGCAGGATTCTCATGAGAAAAGTTTAATGTGGCATTTTGGTTATTCTGCAGCTTCTGGCCATGAACCTTTGCATATTATTCTCTCCTACCGACAACTGCCTAGGGTGAGCTGCTTGACACAGAGGAAAAATAACAAGTTTAGAATGGGTCAAGAATGACAATATAATCTGGAATACATTGTTCTTTAATTTTGTTAGTTAAATTTCCTAAAAGACTTTTTAGATTTTTTTACGAACAATGCTTATAACTTGACTGCCATTGTCCAGGAGGAAATATTTCATTTTTTTAAATGGAAGAATTAGCTATGTTGCATCTCTCACAATTTCAGTAATGCTGAAACAGAAAATGTCCGCTCTGAACTCTCTGGAATTCTTAAGCCACTGTGTTTTCTATATCTACTTTGTTCACATTACCATATACAAGTCAGCTGCCAGATGCTGACTTGCCCAGGGTCCTGGGAACATACCCCTCGTGTTTTGATCTCTTTATTAACTGCTTATACAATTTCCTTTCAAACTCGAGTTTAATGAACCTTTCTCTTTCCTGGCTTTATGATCTCCTTTTCCCCATTCCCCCACTACTCTTGTCCCTCACTCAGACTGCTTATCTAGCTGGAATTTATTTGATTTCTCTTTCCCCTCCCTCTGTCCTATGGGAAAACTCAAGGCTAGGTTTCCTTAAACATTTATGACCTTAGTTTATGCTTTGGAGTTCCTTTGGATTATTCAGGCTTGACCCACCACACATCTTTTAAACAGAACTTGCTTTGAGTGTCCCAGTGTTGAGCCTGTAACATACTCTTTAGATTGCAGGACCATGAATTATGATCAAGATGCAGAACAAAGGAACAAAGGAATGAACATATGGACCACATCTTGCATGCTTAAAAGTCTAAGGGAAAAAAGAATCAGTATATTCTAGTGATACCCCAACAGTGAATGTGATTTGATTATAATTCACATCATCATTAGTTAACACTATCCCTCAGTTTTCAATCCAGAGAAGAATGGGGGGGGAGAAAAAAGTGAAAGAAAAGGAGAAGCAAGGGAAAACAGCTCGTGGTTCTTGCTATTGAAATACCATATGAACTTCAGTTTGGAGTTTAATCAATAACTCCTAAGACACCTGTGCCTTTTATATTACAAATTTGATTCCCAGGTATTTAGGAGCATATTGCGTTTATTTGGTTACACATCTTGGTTTTCTCTGAAACTGCTGATACTCATTCTCTTGGATTATGTACTGCTTTTTGTGATTGATCACAATTTATCTTGGCAGTGGTAGGAAGCTCTTTGTTATGGGTTCAATTTTTTTTTCTTAACAGTGAAGGCAATGAAGAATGAGCCTCTAATGCTGCTGAGTATTTAGGGCTGGGGTGGGGAATAAAGGGGAGAGTTTATAAAAGGCTAGTTAGTTCTAGACATGCAGAGTGCAGAGGCGGGAAAGGGGAAGAAAGTTTCCTATTTCATAGAGAAATTTTGGACAGAGTTTGAACAGGGAATAAGAAAAAATACCCAAATGTAATTTTATAGCCAACTTCCCATGTCTTCATGTCTGCAGGATAACTTGAGATCTTTTTATTATACTTCCCTTGCAATTCAGTTTGCTGATGTTCCAAGAGAAATAGGAGGAGGGCTGGGAACATTCCTTTTGATGGTCGGAATACACAAGGTCTGTTATTATGCCTTTTAAAATTGCAGTTCATTTACACAACAGTGATTATCCATTATATTTTTTGATGACATTATTTGGGGAAATGAACCATAAGATCACAAGCAGAATTTCTGCTAAACCAGGCATGTTCACGATAGAGCCTCCCGGTAAGCAGTTCTGTTCACAGTTGACATCAGATGGGCATATTCCTGTGGTGTAAACTCCCTGAGTTAGAATTACTTTCCCTGCCACTTCTCTACCCCATGAGACAGAGCAAGATGGGAGTGGGTAGAGAGAATTAAAAGTCAATTGTCTTGGCCCATTGGAAGTGAGTAAATGAGGACGAGCATAAAAGTTAGCAAAGTGCACATATGCACCTTCTCTCCTGCGTGCTACTCTCACCTCTTGCTGCCCTCAGATTCTGGCACCTCTTCTGCTTCCTCTAACCATGGTCTTAGTGCACTGAGGGTATCCTCTGGTTTGTTTCCCTTCCACCCTACGATAAAGCTCCCAGGCCTACCCTAACTCCGTAGTCTTCACATTGATGATGACCGTGTGTTTCTAAGGATCAATCAGGATGCAAACTGTGACAAATAAAAATGTGCCTGTTGGCAGGTAAAGATGGGATTGAAGCCATGTGGAGACAGGATTTAATGAAAGTCTACATTTTAACTGGGAGACTCCCCTGACTTCTTTTCCTGTTCTGTTTCCGGGACACTGGCAGGAGAGTGGGGGAGAGATCTGTGGGCACCGAATGGCCACATCCCTGCCATGTCCCTACCAAGCATCCTACAGTGGAGCCTGTCCCTTGGCAAACCATGCACACAGAGCTTCCAGTAAGGATTTTGGTGGCTGACCTTTAAATATGAAGGGTTCACCAAGAGGAAGGTTGTAATGTGAAGACAAAAACCAAAATAAAAAAAAAATCAGAAGAGAAAGTTTAGTGCAGGGATCCCCAAAATTGTAAAAGAAACAGGGGGATGGGGGAGAGAAAGATAATAATATCCTTAGAGAGAGAAGGCAATTTATATATATAAAACAAAAATAAGAGTCTTATCAAAATATTTATTAAAGGACTAAAAGCATTTATTAAGGAATGAAAGCTCATGAAAAATAAAAATATAGTAGCAGATGTAAACAGTTCAATAGAAGGTTTAGAAGATAAGTTTTAGGATGTGTTTTTTTTATTTTAGTTTTTTTTTTTAACATACAAGGTCTTGCTATGTTGCTCAGGCTGGCCTTGAACTCCTGGGCTCAAGTAATCCTCATGCTTTGACCTCCCAAGTAGCTGGGACTTACAAGCATGAGCCACCAAACCTGGATCAGTTTGAGGACTTCTAGAAAGTAGATCAAAAGTCAGGAGTGAAAAATGGGAGAGAAATATAAGGAAACTAGAAGGTAATATAATTTTAACATCCAAATAATATGTAATTCAGAAAGAGAGAATAGAGAAAATAGAGGAGAAATACTATCAAAGATTTATACCAAAAAATTTTCAGAATTGAAAGACATGAGTTTTTAGATACAAAAGGGCGCTGAGTACCTAATACAATGATGACTGAAAATAAAGTTGTTCCAGGTCTTGTTGAATTTCATGATATTTCAGAAATATGGCTACAAAGAGGAGTTCCCATAGAGAAAACAACAGAATTAAGCCACATACAGGGATCCAAACTAAGAACGTCATCCAGTCTCTCAAATGCAAGACGGGAAGCTAGAAGGCACTGGTGTAATGCTTCAAATTTCCGAGAAGAATTATTTCCAACTTAGAAATGTATACTTCAAGAGATGACCAAACCAGTGTGAAATTAAGATAAAGACATTTCAAGCAGACATGGTCTCTTTATTATTTTTAGATCTCCCACACACTCTTCTCAGTAAGCTATTGAAGGATGTATCCTACAAAACAAGGGATTAAATCAAGAAAGAGGAAGACAGGGAATCCAGGACATCAGGGATTCAGAATGAGAAAGAGAAGGGAAATCCTGCAGGCCGACAGCATCACGTACAGGATAATGGCAGGCTTGGGAAAAATGTTTCCAGGAAAAAAAAATGGAACTGATACATAAATACGATAGTTTTGCCCATGTAGAAAATTAAATGGAAAGTTATCGAAGAGTATAGGAAGATTTAGGCAGGGCCTCAAAGAAAGAAATGTAGGTAAAAAAGAAGCTATTTATTTTACAAATAACACAAAATTATTTTAAAGAGGGAATGCTAAGGTGTGAATGTGTGTTTCCCTCACAAATTTAAATGCTGAAATTCTCACCCCCAAGGTGATGGTATAGAAGGTGGGGTCTTTGGGAATGAAAATGGCATGGGGGCAGAGCCCTCATGAATGAGATGAGTGCCCTTATAAAAGAGGCTCAAGAGAGACCCCTTGTCTCTTGCACAATATGAGGTTATAGTGAAAAGAGCTGTCTACGAACCAGGAGGCAGGCAGGCCTTCACCAGACATCCAATCTGCCAGCACCTTGATCTTGGACTTCTGATCCTCCAGAACTGTGAGAAATACATTTCTGTTGTTTATAAATTACCCAGTTTATGATATTTTGTTATAGCAGCGCAAATGAACTAAGACAGGGAAATGCAATCATAATACACTATTTGACTCAATGATGAATCATAGTTACAGTCATAATAAAAACATGATATACTGATTTATTCAGAAGTAATAAAACTGTGTTCCAAGATGAGGAAGGAAAATACCTGTATGAAGCATAGTTTAGGGAGCTAAATTTGCATTGCCTATAGTAGAAAAAAATAGATATTATATAAAATAGAAAAAAAGAAACACAATTTAGAAATATAGAGGCAAATACTTTAGGAAGCAACTAAAATAGTAAAAGATGGTTGCTTCATAGGAATGAAGATAGTATTAGAGAGAGATGGGGAAGAGGACTGATGACTTTTCATGATAAAACCTGCAGTTGTGCAACAACTATGAGCAGGGCCGAAGGGTGAGACACTGTGGAGGAGTCTCATTTGAAGGTTTGAGAAACCGTGTCTGAGCTGCCTTAGTCCGCAGACATTTCTGATGCCCACAGTATTGCAGGCGCATTGGCTATATAATAGTAGAGTTTGTGGCCATCTGCAGGAATCTTGGAGATGTTATCAGATTAGATAATAGGCAGGAAGGGAGCAATAAACATTGCTGTCCTAGAGGCCTGTACCCTGAAGATGCCCATCCTTAGCAGGTGGCAATGTGGTAGACGGGACTTACCACTTGTGGCTGGACAAGTGAACAGGGAGGATCCCAAATTCTTTCTTTGTCTCTTCCTTCCCTGTCTCCTTCCTTCCCTTCCCTCCTTCCCTTCCTTCTTATCCCTCTTCCCTTCCCTTCCCTTCTTTCCCCCTTCCCTTTCCTTCCCTCCCCTCCCTCTTCTCTCCCCCTCCCCCTCCTCCTGCCTTCCTGCCCTTCCTTCCTTCCTGCCCTTCCTTCCTTCCTTCCTTTCTTTCTTTCTCTCTTTCTTTCTCTTTCTTTCTTTCTTTCTTTCTTTCTTTCTTTCTTTCTCTTTCTTTCTTTCCTTCTTTCTTTCTTTCTTTCTTTCTTTCTTTTTCTTTCTTCTTTTCTTTCTTTCTCTTTATTTCCTTCTTTCTTTCCTTCCTTCTTTCTTTCTTTCTCTTTCTTCTTTCTTTCTTTCTCTTTCTTCCTTCTTTCTTTCCTTCCTTCTTTCTTTCTTTCTCTTTCTTCTTTCTTTTCTTTTTCTTTCTCCTTTCTTCCTCCCTCCATCCCTTTCTTTTTTTTCTTTTCTTTCTTTCTTTGTTTCTTTCTTTCTTTTCTTTCTTTCTCTTTATTTCCTTCTTTCTTTCTTTTTCTTTCTTCTTTCTTTTCTTTTTCTTTCTCCTTCCTTCCTCCCTCCCTCCATCCATCCCTTTCTTTTTTTTCTTTTCTTTCTTTCTTTGTTTCTTTGTTTCTTTGTTTCTTTCTTTCCTTCCTTCCTTCTTTCTCTTTCTCCTTCCTCCCTCCCTCCCTCCCTTCCTTCTTTCCTTCCTTCCTTCTCTCCTTTTTCTCCTTCTCTCCCTTCTTTCCTTCTTCTCTCCTTACTTCTTCTTTACTTTCCTCCCTCTCTTTTTTTCCTGAATGAGTTCTATCTATGATAAATCTTCTATCGTCTAACCTATTCTGAAAGAGTATGAATATACACATATATATCTTGAAAGAAGAAAAGCATAGATATGCATTACTATCAAATGCTGTGGTGAATTGTATTCTGCACAAAAGACCTTTAGGAATTTTTCCCAGGGGCTCTACCAGTGCCGCTCCTGATGAGGTTGGTGGGCTGGCAGTATCAGTATCCTCCTAGGAGCTTGTTTGAAATGTGCATATTCAGGCCCCACTCAGACCTACTGAACTAAAGTCTCTGAGGATGGGCTTACGAATCTGCACTTTGACAAGCTATATTTTTTTTTTTTTTTTTTTTTTGAGATAGAGTTTCGCTCTTGTTGCCCAGACTGGAGCGCAGTGGCGTGATCTCGGCTCACAGCAACTTCTGCCTCCCAAGTTCAAGCGATTCTCCTGCTTCAGCCCCCCAAGTAGCTGGGACTACAGGCGCGTGGCACCACGCCCAGCTAATTTTGTATTTTTAGTAGAGACAGGGTTTCTCCATGTTTGTCAGGCTGGTCTTGAACTCCTGACCTCAGGTGATCCACCCACCTTGGGCTCCCAAAATGCTGGGATTACAGGCTTGAGCCACTGTGCCCAGCCTTGACAAGCTTTTTAGGTGATTCTGCTTCGTGACTTCTGTGACAGGACGAAGAAATATCACAGCATTTTCTCTTCTGTGTTTGCTCAGGAGAACACTGACTTCACCAGCTTAGTTTCTGGGCCTTCGTAATGCAGAACTGGGTCATGAAAAGGACAAAAATGAGCTTGATTGATTAAGGTTAGGCCAAATAGTTCCTCAGAATGAAAAAGATTAAGAGACTGAAGGACATGAAAGAAAAAACTAGAGTGGGCCAGGTTTCAGAGAAAATTCTGGGAAGTGGTAGAGACAGAAAGGAGGCTGGGGACAGTTGCAGTACCTGGTTTTGTGGATTTTTGAGAGCAAAAAGAGGTTTTGAAGTGTTTTGAGGATGAAATCTCCCAGGGACATTTTGTGAATGTTTACTGAAAAGATTTCAATACCTTTTCGGTTTTTCTTTTTGATTGATGTTGGATGGATGCTCATCTGAATGTGGCATCATGTCAAGGCTAGAGTGCAAGAGTACACTTCTTTGTGGGAACTGTGAGGATCTGGGCACCAAGATATGCCTGTTTTATATTATGTAATGGTGGTTGTTTTGATTAACAGTAATGCATCATTTAATGATGGGCATACATTCTGAGAAATGCATCATTATGTGATTTTTTTCATTGTGTGAACATCATAGAGTGTAATTCCACAAACCAAGATGGTATAGCCTACTACACAACTAGGCTATATGGTGTAGCCTATTGCTTCTAGGCTACAAACCTGTACAGCATGTTACTATAGTGAATACTGTAGGCAATTATAACATAATGGTAAGTATTTATGTACCTAAACATCTCTAGACATCAAAAAAGACACAGTAAAAATGAGGTAAAAGATAAAAATGGTCCACCTCTATAGGGCACTTACCATGAATGGAACTTTCAGCAGGACTGGAAGTTGCTCTGGGTGAGTCAGTGAGTAAGTGGTAAATGAACGTGAAGGCCCAGGACTGTACATTACTGTAGCCTTCACCAACACTGTACTCTTAGGCCACACTACATTTATAAAAAATATTTTTCTTTCTTTGATATTAACTTAACCTCAACTTACTAAAAATTTTTTCTTTGTAAACTCTTTAAAAACTTTTTGCCTCCTGTTATAACACTTAGCTTAAAAATGCAAGTCCATTTTACAGTTGTACAAACTATTTTTTTCTTGATATCTGTGATGGTTAATATTGAGTGTCAACTTGATTGGATTTAAGGATGCAAATATTGTTCCTGGCTGTGTCTGTAAGGGTGTTGCCAAAGATTAACATTTGAGTCAGTGGACTGGGAAAGGCAGACCCACCCTCAATCTGGGTGGGCACCATCTAATCAGCTGCCAGTACGGCTGGAATAAAAGCTGACAGGAAAATGTGGAAAGTATAGACTGGTTTAGTCTTCTAGCCTACATCTTTCTCCCATGCTGGATGTGTCCTGCCCTTGAACATCAGACTCCAAGTTCTTCAGCTTTGGGACTCAGACCGGCTCTCCTTTCTCCTCAGCTTGTAGACGGCTTATGGTGGGACCTCCCTTTGTGACTGTGTGAGTCAATAGTTCTTATTAAACTCCCCTTTATATATAAATCTATCCTATTAGTTCTGTCCCTCTAGAGAACCCTGACTAATACAATATCCTTATCCTATTTGCCTTTTTCTATGAAAATTTAAAATGACAATACAAACACCCCTATTAGCCTAGGCCTGCACAGGGTCAGGATCATTGATATCACTGTCTTCCACCTCAACATCTTGTCCCACAGGAAGGTCCCCAGGGGCAGTAACACCCACGGAGCTGTCATCTCCTATGACAACAATGCCTTCTTCTGGAATACTTCCTGAAAGACCTACCTGAGACGGTTTTACAGTTAACTTATTTTTTTTTAACAAGTAGAAGGAGTATACCCTAAAATAATGATAAAATGTATAGTATAGTAAATACATAAACCAGCAACATAGTCATTTATGATCCAGTACTATATGGGGTATATAATTGCATGTGCTACACTTTTATATGACTGACGGCACAGTAGGTTTGTTTACACCGGCATCATCACAAACACGTGAGTAATGCGTTGTACTATATTAGGATGGCTATGATGTCACTAGGTGATAGGAATTCTTCAGCTCCATAATAATTTTATGGGTCCACTGTCATATATGCGGTCCATCGTGGACTGAAAATTTGTTATGTGGTACATGACTGTATTTGTTTTCCGGTGGTGGTTACTGGGAAGATCTGTAGAGAGATTGCTGTTTGGTTACAGGATTGTGTCAAATGGACAAAACAGGACACAGCTGATCGTTTGTGTCATCATGGTCACTGCTGATGTAAGAGTCACAAGATTATCAATATACCTTATACAAAGTTTTCATTTTTCATTTAACAGCATGGTTTCCTAATTTTCACTCTCTCTTTTTAAATTTTTTTTGGTGCTGTCCACGCTTCTGTGGACATGCCTTGGATCTTGTTAAATCCAGAAATTGCATCACCTCTGAAATCTCAAATCTATTTCATTTTGTTATCCTCATAGCTCATTTGCTCAAGAATATTCTCTGCAGGACATCTATCTGTCAGCAAGTCTTGCTGGTTCTTCCTTCAAGTCATGTCCCCAACCCAGCCACTGCTCACTGTCTTCACTGTTAACATACTACCTCAGGCCACCATCATGTCTAGTTTATAATAACTTGGCTTTCCACACATTACTTCTCACTGCAGCCAAAGTAATTTTTATAATGTAACTCAGATTTTTTACATCCCTATTAAAAAAATTCCCATAGTTTCCAAAGCCACTGGAATTAATCCAAAGCTCTTACTATGGATCCTATAAAGCTCTAACTGATTTGACACTTGATTTCTTTAACTTCACTATCCTCTGCTAGCCCCTTTGCCCACTACACTTAATATTCCCATTTTAATTTTTCATCTGCATTCCAGGCCCATCTATCTAACTATATACTTGACATGTATACTTGGATGTCTCACAAGCATCTCAAACTTAACCTGCCTACACACACACACACACACACACACACACACACACACACACACACACACCTTGTGCCTTTACCACCCACTTAATTGTTCAGAGCAGAATTAGTGGTTACTCGTTTCTTTTCTCTGTGAGGCCTGTCATTTTTATTTCAAAGAAAACCTTGAAGTCATCCCTTCTCCCCAGTTCCATTGCCAACACTCTAGTTCAAGTCACCATCATCACTAGGTTGGACTAATAGATTAGACATATTTTTTGGTCTCCCATTTCTATTTTTGCCACAGTCCACGTGAGTCTTATCTTCAATACCAGTGACAGCACGTCCTTCAATGTGCATGCTTTGTTGATCTGCATGCATTAAAAGAATAACATGCTTTTGTGAAAAGTTGGGGGGTGTTGTCCATCTGGCGAGAATACAGATCAGGCTTTGAAAATGCCTTAAGAAAATGCCTAACTTGCCAATTATACTTTTGGTATTCAAAATATATAGATATAGCATCTGTATTAGTTAGTTTTTATGCTGCTGATACATACCAGAGACTGGGTAATTTATATAGGAGAAAGGGTTTAATGGACTTACAGTTCCACATGGCTGGGGATGCCTCACAGTCATGGTGGAAGGCAAGGAGGAACAAGTCACATCATGCATGAATGGCAGCAGGCAAAGACAGAGAACTTGTGCAGAGAAAATCCCCCTTATAAAACCATCAGATCTGTGAGACTTATTCACTGTCTTGAGAACAGCACAGGAAAGACCTGCCCCCATGATTCAATGACCTCCTACTGGGTCCCTTCCACAACACGTGGGAATTCAAGATGAGATTTGAGTGGGGACACAGCCAAACCATAGCTTCTATATTGTTCCAACTCCAAATCAGAAGATTAGGCCTAATAATGCATAGATTGATGATGACAACTCAGGACTATCCTGGAAAATTCAGGCCAAAAAGTTAGGAACATATTGACTGCAATAGGAAATAGAAAATATGTGGGCTGTTGCTAGGAATTCTTTCCTTTAACTAAAATCTATCTTTTTAAAAGTCAGAAGAGCAAGTATTGTAAAAAAAAGTAAGTTTACACTTATTCTACCCAAGGGGTAAAAACATGTAGCTAAGTAAATTCTTCATCTCCCTTTTCTCAGAACTCCTTAAAGAACTTAGGGAAATGTGATGTGAGCAACCATAGTTCCCTAGATTACTCCACTTTTTTTCTGTTATTAAATAAGGAAATTTTATACCTTGAATCTTATATCAACAGTTGCTATATAAAAACCACCCTAAAGCTCAATGGCTTAAAACAATAATTTATTTAGCTTATGATTCTGGTGGTTACCAGTTTGAGTTGTTTGCAGCTGGGCAGTTCTTCTGCTGGCTTCTCCTGGGATCACTCATGCAGCTGTAGTTATCTGGTATCTCGACTGGAGTGAGATGGCCTAAAGAAGCTTTCTTCAACTGTCTGGCAGGTGGTGCTGACCATCAGCTGGGCTTCTCTCTGAGGGTGGTTGTTATCCTCAAGAGGGCTAGCATGTGCTTTTATCCATAAGAGGGCTAGCCTGGACTAGAGTGTGAGAGCAGAAGCTGCAAGGCCTCTTGAAGCCCAGGCTAGGAAGCCATACAAAGTCATTTCTATTGGCCAAAGCTGGCCACAGAGACAGCTCAGATGCAAGGGGAAGAGAACTATACTCTACCACTTGACAAGGGAGTGACAAAATCACATTACCAAGTGTTAGCACGCAGGGATGAAAAGAATTGGGGCCATCATTGCCAGCAATCTACACAACTTCATTACCCCTTTAGAGAAACACTTTCTCTGAGTTATTAGATTAGTGCAAAAGTAATTGCAGTTTTTGCATTACGTTCTATGGCAAAACTGTAATTACTTTTGTACCAACATAATACTTCATATATGTATATCTGTATGTATGGTTATGTACATGTGTGTATATAGATTACATGCTGTAACTCAGAAATATACATGTATGCACACATAGCATACTTGTGCATAAATAAATTATTTACTAATATGTAGGTATGCATTAGTGAACCTATAAACATTTGGACAGGAGTTGTTTGTGGTTGTCTATTATGTTGTCTAAATGCATTTGTAAAAGGATCCATGCAATAAATGCATAAATATGTCTTAGAAGATGTGTAACTCTTAAATAAATAATTCTTTTGTTCAGATAAACAATGCATAATTCATCACTGGCCCTTATTTTGGCATCTAGAAAGCTCAGAGTTAAATGTAATGTCATTGTCCATTCTTGATATTAGCTTAGATATAATTGTCTTTCACTTAGAATTAGTTTCCAATTGCAATTATTTACTTGCTTATTGTTTATGTGTATTTATTATAAGCTACTTCAATCATTTTCAAAATGAGATGAAATATAAGCAAAACATTAAAAAACATAACAATGTGTCTTTTGAAGTATCAGATGTATTTTCATTTTAGAGAATGATAATAATGCACTCTAGAAACTCTGGAGAACCAGTTCACTTTGGCAATGTTTTTAGTCTTAGCTTATGAAATAAAGATAGTTCAAATAGTGGAGAAGAGTGCCCCAGAGAACTACTGGGCTCAAATGCTTATAGTTTAATTCGTTCTATTTCTTCCACTTCACAATCAATCATCTAGAAAAGCCATGATGACTCATCCTTAAAAAAGAGTCATTGATTTTATATCTCCATTTTCAATCTGCTCTTCAATTCACCTCTTTCTCCTTCTAATTCAGAAAGGAGTCTTCATGGAGAAACAAATAATTAATTTGGTTATTGGCCAATATCAGGTTATTCTCTCACATGTGAGAGATATCTAAAAATAAAGCTACTTTTTTCACTTTCGGTTCTTGTCATTATTTTTAGTAAATTTCTGAATTATAAACTCCCAATTCATACCATGCATAATATTTTTCTTTGATTTTCCTTTTCTCTCCAAAAGAATCCAAATATTTCTCCACAACACAATTGCATTTGTCTTGCCCTTTTTAGACTAGAAGTGCAAAGAATGCAAATGGGTATGGAGGCTATACCATTTTAGTCATTTAATTGTTCAATCACACTTCACTGATTCAGGGATGGCTTATCTGGCAAACTCTACCACCCAGGGCACAGTCACCAACCTGTAATAAGCAAAGAATTGCCAGGAAAATGTTATATTACATTCAAGTTGTCAATTTTAAAAGACATGGGAAGATTTCCACCGAAATTGTTTTTTTTTTTTTTTTTTTTTTTTTGAGACGGAGTCTCGCTCTGTCGCCCAGGCTGGAGTGCAGTGGCACCATCTCGGCTCACTGCAAGCTCCGCCTCCCGGGTTCACGCCATTCTCCTGCCTCAGCCTCCCAAGTAGCTGGGACCACAGGCGCCCGCCACTACGCCCGGCTAATTTTTTGTATTTTTAGTAGAGACGGGGTTTCACCGTTTTAGCCGGGATGGTCTCGATCTCCTGACCTCGTGATCCGCCCGCCTCGGCCTCCCAAAGTGCTGGGACTACAGGCGTGAGCCACCGCGCCCGGCCCCGAAATTGTTATTGTTGATGTTCTTATTAGTTTCTGTGCTTTAAAGAGTTATGTTCAATTACTGGGAAATTAATTGATTGCAGGACTCATTCACCATTCTTTGCACAGTTTTTTGTTTGTTTGTTTGTTTTCTTTTTTTTTGAGACGGAGTCTCACTCTGTCGCCCAGGTTGGAGTGCAGTGGCGCGATTCGGCTCACCGCAAGCTCCACCCCTCGGGTTCACGCCATTCTCCTGCCTCAGCGTCTCTAGTAGCTGGGACTACAGGCGCCCGCCACCACGCCCGGCTAATTTTTCTAGTTTTTTTTAAGTAGAGACGGGGTTTCACCGTGTTAGTTAGGATGGTCTCGATCTCCTGACCTTGTGATCCCCCTGCCTCGGCCTCCCAAAGTGCTGGGATTACAGGCGTGAGCCACCGCGCCCGGCCTGCACACAGTTTGATGGAGCGGGCACTACACATCAGGCACTGACTAGGAGCTGGATCCTCTGTAGTGATGAACAAAACAAACACCACTGCCGCCTTGATGGAGCTTGCAGGATTGCAGTGGAGATGGACAGTTACTAAGAAAAAAAAAAAGTAGAACATGGGGGTATAATAGAGAACCCCGAGTGGGAGTGAGGAGATAGAGAGCATGATTATTTATTTAGAGTAATCAGGTAGGGCCAGAAGCCCCCAAAGAGGATGGAGCCAGCAATGTGAAAAGGGGAAGAAGGGTGCAATAGCAGAAACAACGACCAAAGGATTTGAGGTAGGAAAGAGATTGGCAATGCAGAGGTGCTGCAAGGAGGCTGGTGTGATCAGAATATGGGTTAGAGGGAGAACAGAATGATTTGGGATTGAGGAAGAAATTGCTGGATCATGGAGGGTTCTGCAGAATACAGTAAGGAGTCTGGATTTTATTCAAAGTATCATAGGAAGCCTTTGAAGGATTTCAAGCATAGTCACTGGGTAACCAGCTTGAAGTGTTTTGTTGCTCTTTGTGTTTGGTTATATTTGTTAAAAAACAAAACAAAACAAAAAAGCAATGCAGGAATGCTTCTGCAAATGTGTGGTGAAGAAATGAATACATATTTTAAAGACCCTAAATCTTAAACAATTGAGGGAGGATTATATAAGAAAAATAACTGAAAACTACAAATATAAAATGAGGAACAGAGTTGTCCTGGGAGGGCAGAGCTTAAGCTTCATCGTGTCATAATATATCCACTTATTTCTGGTATTGTGGAAAGGGTTGTATTGATATCTCTGGCTTTAGGTGGGAACCAAAGTTGATTTTTAATTTTGAGAATTGCTTGAAGCACTTTCTCCACCATTCATCAGAAGCTCTGGCATTTTTTTCTTTTTCTTTTTCAACCTTTCTTGTATCTCACTATTCAATGCCCCCTGACTCAGAGAGCCCAGGTTAAACACTCATTTTTGTTTTGGCACTTGTCTTCAAATTGATTTGGAGATTTTCTGTTCCACACAAATGTATACATCCTTTGTAGCAATGTATCTCAGAGGGTTAGCATGAGTGCATCTGAAAAGGTATGGGACCGGGAGATGAAATCAAAAAACATGATGAGATTTCTGCATGTCCACATGTTTTTGAGATTCCTTTCTCTCAGGAAACAACAAAACTGGAAATATTCCAGAAGACTGTTACAGTGGTATTCCAAAGCTTCATTTTTTAAGATCAAAGACCCTGGAATGTTCAAGGTGCTTTATTGAGTTGGAGCCTCTGCTTCTTTTTGTTCAACATTCCTGTCTCCGTTGAAATCTCATTGAACACAGTTGCGTATCTCTTACCCTACTTCTGAAGCTGTTTTTCCATAGGAAATGGTGTCTATCCTGTGAATTGCATTCTCTAAAGAAATAGTGCTTTAAAGATCAGCCGCCTAATTTATTCCATTCTCAGGGCTTTGGAACAGAAGTTGAAATGAATGAAAATAATTGAGTTTGTAGGCCTGGTCTGCAGATATGAAAAATGTCTGGAAACTGTTGAGTATGGAATGGCTTTAATTTACTCTGTGGATTGCAGCCCGTGATCTGCCTGTTTGTTGTTAACTTTCATAAAAGAGAAAGAAATGCAGAGAGCAAAAGCTTTCAGAATGACTGTAGTTGGAAGGAACTAGTACTTGAAGCTCTACAATTGTTATTTACATTGAACAATGGGGGTATTGTTCTGGAGGAGTCGAAGAGGAGGACAGAACCTGGGAGAGTCAGACAGACATCCTCATTAGTGAGATCTCAAATGGTTTATAGCCATTGAATGGCTTCCTTCCCACATTAGCAGGTGGGCCTGCAGATGCTGTGGAATGATCAAAGCTAGGACTTGGTGTGACTAATAGGAGGTCTTGAGAACATAGCTTCTCCCTCTACACTGAGAATATTGTCTCTCGACTTTCTGCATGTGACTCAAATGCCAAAGTACTTGATATTGACTAAAGCATGACAAACGTTCCTTTTTTTTTTCATGTTTCTACTCCAATACTTAGGGTTCATTAAATGATTATATTAGGGCCCTCTGGTAATACTACATGGGTACAGGTGGAGAATATCCTTTAACATACCTTTCTTTGTTTTTGGGTTTTCACATTTTGCTTTAATTGCACAGCCCTGTGCTACTGAGAACTGTAACCCCAGGCTCCTCGCAAAGCAGTTGAGTTCAGCATCCTGGATGACTTACAGCAACACTGAGTCATCAGGCCTTTGGTTCTCATGTCTTCTAAATAAGAAGTAGAAGAAAGCAGTCCTTGCTTCCATCCCATAGAGAGGACAGAAGGTTTTTCATGTCTCATTATCATACCCTAAATTTCCCTCCTCCCCTTTTAAAAGGTAGTATTGAAACCATCTGGGCTGCTTTGAAGTAAGTTTATTTTACTAAATTAAACTTTCTCAGATTGTGCCTTTAGAAAAAGCACTATACCGTGTAACATTTGATTAATTCTGGCCCAAGTATGCCTGTGTTTATAAATCTGACAACTTAGTTTGTGGACAAAGAAAGCTAGAGTCAGAAATTTGTGTCAAATTAAGTCTACTGGTAGGCTCCACTGTTTTTTTTTCTTTTTGATATTATTTTGGATTAAATGTTTCCCTGTGTGGATAAATATCTTTGGTTTTCAGGATTAGGTTATTTAGAGACAGTATAGTACAGTAATAAAGCATAGAACTTAGAGAGAGCCAGGTTCAAATCTTTTTTTTTTTGAGACGGAGTCTCACTCTGTCACCTGGCTGGAGTGCAGTGGCGCGATCTCGGCTCACTGCAACCTCTGCCTCCTGGGTTCAAGCGGTTCTCCTGCCTCAGCCTCCTGAGTAGCTGGGACTACAGGTGCACGCCACCACACCCAGCTAATTTTTGTATTTTTAGTAGAGATGGGGTTTCACCATGTTGGCCACGATAGGCTCGATCTCTTGACCTTGTGATCTGCCCACCTCGGTCTCCCAAAGTGTTGGGATTATGGGCGTGAGGCAACGTGCCTGGCCCCAGGTTCAAATCTTAAGTCTACATCTTACTGTATAAGCTTGGGGAACTTGCTTTGCTTCCCTGGGCCCCACTAACCTCAATTGTTAAATGATGATTGTGGTGGCCAGCTTCCAAGATGGCCTTTGATCCTACCTCCTGGTCTATAGGCCTGTGTGTAGTCTCCTCTCATATTCATTAGGCCTGACTTACGTAACCCATGGGTTATTGTAAAAACGAGGGTGTGTGATATATGAGGTTAGATAATCCAAACCATGTGGCTTTTGCCTTGCCCTTTCTCTTCAATTGCTCAGTGTGGGAGAAACCAGCAGCCACTGGTAAGCAGTAAGGATAGACAAGCAGCATGAGGAATGGCCCATACGGGAGGTACTAAGGTTTCCTGCCAGCAACCAGCACCATGTTAATGAGCCATCTTGGAAGCACAACCTCCAGCCCCAGCGATGCATTCAGATGTCTGCAACTCTGGCTGATGTCTTGATTGCAACTGCATAAGATACCTTGAGCTAGAACCTCCCAATTATGTACCTCCCAAATTCCTGACCTACAGGAAGGAGATGAAATAATAAATGTTTCTTGTTGTTTTGAGCTGTTGAGTTTGGGATAATTTGCCATGCAGCAATAGATAACCAAAATAATTATAATGATTTTACTCCCTCCTGTGATTGTTAGGAGGATTAAATGTGGCAATGTAAGGGCTTTGCACAGAATCCAGCACATGATAAGTGTTATTCAGAAAGACAAAAGCATTAATTGTGGATGGCACTTGACACCAGAGGACCAGCTCTTCTCTCCAGCACCTGCACTCCAAATGCTTTACCTGGGTTTTGCATTAGTGGCTGAATAATTCCAGATTTACTCCAGAGTGAATGGTAAATGGGGTGTCATGTCAATATGTCCTTTCTCCTTCCTCACATCTTAATTTCAGCCTTGCTCTTAATTTCAGCCTTGCTCTTGCATCCAGCTTCAGGGTAGTATTAGTCTGATAACACTCACTTCAGCTGTACCAGGAGTCTCTTGCTCAATCCTGGGGCTTCTCTATTGCTGTCTTGGGGTATATCAGCATGGATCGTTTTCACCATTTGGATGCATGTGCCAACATGGACTTGCAGTGGAGTTGCCACCAGGACCCACTGGGAATGGGAGGTGGTGGATAAATACTCCCCTTTTCCATCCCTTGCCTGGATGATTCTAAGGCACCTTCTATGTGGCTCCTTGGAGTGTCCCTAATAGGCTGGAGACCTGCTGCTCACAGCGATCTGCTCAATAGTGCCCCTCCGAATCGACTTTCCCTCCTTTTCTGTCTCACTCTTCCCCAGCCCCTTCTCTTGTTCTTTGGGTTTACAGGCTAAAACAAACTACCTGCATGCCAGCCCTGCATGTCTCTGGTTCTGCTTCTTGGGTGTTAACTTAGGCTGAGACAGGTGGCTCTAAGAATTGACCAAGTGCTGCATGCTTACTGTAAGTTCACGAAACCACTAATACGATACTGGATTTACCCCTTTCAATGGTTTTCCACCGTTCTATGGATAACATCTCAAACATCTTATTTCCATGGTGGTAGGGGCTTCTCCAAGCTGAGACCTGCTCATATCTCCATCCTCCTCTTCCAAATTGCTGCCCATCTCTTCTGTACCTTGATCTTCCTGGGCTTGGTCCGATTCTTTTCACATGACAGTCTCTTGCCTTTGGATCAAGAGCATGCTGTTTCTTCTCACTGTGCTTGGCAAATTGTCACTCGTTGTTCAGGTCTCAACCTAAATACCACATCCCCAGGATGGCCTTGCAAATATCACTTTATTCCTCTATCAAATTGAATGCCTCTTTTCTTGATACCTGTTGCACTTGCATTTTCTTAATGTTTATGTTTCAGTCCTGAGTGTAAACTTTATGAGTGCAGGCATGGTGACTATCTTGTTTTCTGTTGCTTAATGCTTGGCTTAGAGAACATTTTAATAAATATTTATTGAATGAAAGAAAATTTATCTGAGCAAAGTTTCACCTGGCTGATAATTTTCTGTGTTCTTAAATGCCTTAATGTATCCCTTTAAAATATGAACAATATTCAAAAGGGTCTCCCTGAGCTGCTAAAACAAGACATCATTTTAATAAGATAAACAATAAATTTGTTGTTAGTGAAAGGATTTATATTTTTCAGCAGCCTACAAAAAGACAAAGACAAAAGCAAAGGCAAAGGCAAAAAGGTAAAAAGGCAATATTATAGAATCACATCAACTGATGAACTTCCCAGTATTAAGTATAGTATTGTTATAATCAGTTTATAAAATTTGATTGACAACTTTTAGAAATCATCTCTATTGGATAGAGTCTGTCTCTGCATGGTTAGGTAAAATTTGTAGTTTCAATTCTTATAATCTAAGTTCTACTTAAATAGAAAGTACTTTTAGCTTCCAAATAAGTAGAAAGAGAACTCTATTGATGGGTTAATAGAAAACAAGGGGTGCCCATCCTAGAAACTCTACTAGCCATTTTAGACACAGCAAAATTATTCAAATGGCTATACCATGGATTCTGCTTGTATATTTAAGGATAGAAAGTCTTTTATAACTGGGCTCATGCATCAAAAAACATTAAGATGAAGTTTAGGGCCACCCTGTATTAACTGGCATCAAATAGTCTAAATTTATAAACTAATACTGAAAATCTGGAATTGCATCAGAACTGTATTATGGTATAGGCAAGAAACCTCTGAATTAATGCTGTCCTTAAACAAGTTTCATTGATGAATGTGTTTGCAAATGGAAGTCAACTCTGGTCAATAATTAGAAAGATAACTCTTGATATTTTACAGAGTAACTGTTAACTAAGTTTATTATGTCTTAATAATTATAAAGATCACATGAAGTGCAAGAAAACATTCATTCATTCAACAAATATTTATTATTGAGTGCCTACTATGTTCCAGGCACTTCTCCAGGTCAATGAAATGCAGCAAGAACAAACTATATCTTAGCATGTTCTCTTTAAGAACAAATTGTACGATGGCAAAGGGCTGTGCAAAATCTCATTAAGAAGAAGTGACTGACATCATTGGGAATTAGTGTTGGTCTGGCTACAGGAAATTGTGAACAGATTGCTCATGGTGTTTTCTGAACAACTAGGAGCTTCAAAAAGGGGAAGCAGTGTCACGTATTTAATCTAGATTCAGCTGTTATAGCAGTTTACTTCAAGGCTGGAAATGTTCTTTTTCTCTAAGGAAATTGGGATGCACTGAACTAGGCTAATTGAACTCACTTCTCACTCAGCCACAGGTGTTCCCTTTGGTGGAACTGACCTCTCTCTTCTTTTCTCTCCGTAGGATCAGGGGAGACTTAGCCAGGCATAGTGAGTTGTTATTAATAAGACCAGAGAATAATTATATACAGAATTGACAAAGGCTATTGGCAGTCTTAGAAATTAAGGAAAAACTACATTTCAATCAGATTTGATAAGGCAAGATACAGTAAAAATTAATTTCTGGGACAAAATGGAAGGGATTTTGGATGTGCAATCTAGATCAGTGGTTCTAAAACTTGGATGGGCATCTATATCACCTGTTGAACTCACTAGATTGTAGGTGCTTCAACTCAACCACTGTGATTCCAATGCACACCGGTTTGAGAAACATGCGCCCAGGTATTAAAATCCATTTGGTGATGAACTCCCCACCATACTTTCTCAAGGATTTCTAGAGTCATTGGGTGAGACAACGATGTTTTTTTTAATGGTGCCTGTAGTAGATTCCTAATTTCTAAAAACCCATATAACAAATAAAAGCAAAAATAATCACAAAATTACAACATGGTAAATTCTTACTGGTTAGTAGATTATATTATCTAAGGAAGTCATCTATGACTACAGGGGCTATGGTTCAATCCTAGATCAAGTATTCCTTTGATTAATTGGGAAACACTGTAAAATTTGTCTTTTTATTGTTTTCCAAGCACTACAATTTAGTGTCTGGGGCCTGAACCTTTGCATCATTGACTATGGGGATAGAGATCTTTAAAACTTAAAAGAGCTTTTACTTAAAATGTATACCAACAGTGTATGAAATCAAGTGAATCAACTAACAGTGTGGAGATGTGAACTGGGTTAATGGGGTTGTTACCGCTATTTGGTAAAGAATGACTTTAAGACTGAAATCCAAAGACAGTCTTGTGGGTTTTTTTGTCTCTCCTTTGAGTGTTACTCAATTTAATGTATTTCCTGACAAAACCAAATCCCATTAAGAATGCTATATTATATAAACCCTTGGTTAGACATGGTTGCAAAGATTTCTTTCTGAAAGATGGTAGAAACAATTTTTCCTTTGATGTTGTCTCTCAGCATTCTGAATTTGATTTGTGAAGGTATTTTGTGCAGCACATCAATCTTTGCTAAAATTCTTCAAGTTTCTCTTTGCAAAAACCAGCAGAAATTTACCAGAGTAAATTATGAAACATTGCTGCAGTTGACTCCAACAAACCAGAGTTCCACAACAAAATGAATGTACAATACAAAAAATAAAATTTAGTGGGCCTTGTTATTGTTTTACATATAGTTTGGCCTGAAGGAAAAGTGAAACTAAGTTATAAATTAAGTTGTATATCATCTAATAGAATGAGGTTTTGAAGTAGTAATAGAATTTTGAAACTCTCTGAATTCTTGTCTAAAACAAAAATCATCCCTTCTTTTTGCTGTATTCTCTTGAATCAGAAGCCTATGTTTACCAGCTGCTCTAAGTCACTCTTTCCTTTATTGCAGTGTTTGACACTATAATACCTTAAAGTGGGGGTTGCTTATCTTGGGAGTGGTGGTAAATGTTGAGTGAATGTGGGAAGGAATTATAGATGTTTAACAACTGTTTGCAAAGGTTCCAGGGTTCTTGGGAGGGAACAGGAAATATTAATTTTATACTAGCTCCCAAAGCCAAAAGGAAGAAGAAAAAAAAGAAGCTTCTTAATCTGTTTAGATTACCTCTAAGGAGATGAGTCATGAGTGAAATTCAGGATTAATATACAAGAAGAGCTCCTAAGAGACCGTCTAGACTACAGGCCATCTTTCTCTTTCACAGAACTCCTCCTGAATTTTTTTTTTAAGAGAGGAAGTTCTCTGCCATATTTTAAATACTTAGAAGAAAAGGGAATTAAGGAACTGAGTAATCAGCCCAGTATCTAATAGACTTCATCATCAAAATAATGTTCTTTGATTTGTTTTAACTTCTCTGATGGCAATTTGCATTTTCTTAGGATGTGTACACTCAGATATATTACAATTGGATTTATATAGTTTATTTTTCTGCCTATTTAAAAAATTTGGTCAAAAGTCATTTTTAATTGTAAACCTTTGCAAAATCACTATTCTATGTCTTAACACTTCAAGGCCTATGTTAATTTAGCTATGGTAGTTCTCTAAGTCATCAACACAGATATCCCTTTCTATTGTCATTGATACATTTTAAACTACTATTGGGAATTTTTCTTAGCAATATGATTTTATGTCTTCCATATATCTTTTAGGGTAGTTATGAAAAATGTAAACATATAATTCAGCTAAGATGGCCCAGTTAGTGAGGGATGAATCCTCTGTATATTCCCCCAACTCCAGTGCTACTTAAAAGAAAGGAAAATAGTTAAAAAATTTTGTTTATGCAACTTCTACAAATAATATAAATGAATGCATTGCAGACCCAGCAATTTCATAATATGAGCAATTATGAAAATTTTCTTATGGATATACTGGGACTGGAAGCCGATTGTATTTCCTTTTCCTTATGACTCCCGCTCTACAGGGGATGGCTCACTCACCTCACTGCATTGCAGTGCTTTGGGACAGTAGAATTTGTCCTCAACCAAATTGGCCCCTTAACTCCTGCTACTTTGGAAGCCATTTTCTGCTGTTGTAGAAAATCAGATTTTCCTTGATGAGCACTTTTGCCTGGCTGGAAAGTAGGCGGGACTTCTCCTGGGAATAAGCATTTGTTCTGAGTTGCTTGCTGGGAGGCATGCTTCCTTTGGCTGTCAGATCTCCACCCAGGCATGGGATGAGGCCTTTCCATGGAATGCTTGTTTGCCCCTATTCTGAAGAGGTGCCTGGTAGCTGGGAGGTTCCTGGCTGCTGCTCCTCTTTGCTACAATATTTGATCTCCAAGTAATGCAATCCCCACCCTCACTCTTTGACGAAAGCTTTATGTTCTTTATACACAAAAATGTAAATTGTTTAACAATTTACCACATGAAATACTCACCTATGGAAAACAGCTCTGTAAATTCCAGTATATATATATATATATATATATATATACATTTGTTGAACAATATGCAATCATGAAAAATACTGAGTTTGTAGTAACATGGAAACATGCTTATGTTAGATGAGAAAAGCAGGATGCAAAATTGTATATGCGTTATGCTCACAACTAAGTAAAAAAGGAGGCCTGGTTCCTTCTGAAAAATAAATGCCTAGAAAAAGTCTGAAAGAAAAATTATTAAATTATGGTTGACAAGGAGTAGTAAAACCATTGACAATTCCCCTTTTTCTATGTTGTTTTCAAATTTCTGTAATAGATACGGTATTACCCTAATAGCGTAAATAAAAATTCAATACTTTCCCTTTTAAATGAAGCAAACAAATCCTTATTAGATTCCCTTTTGCTTTCCCATAGCTTGAAATAATAATCCTCCTTCTCTAAGTGATATTGTTGGATGGAAGAAAGAGGAAAAACGGTATGTAAATAAAGGTAACATTTTCATTCAACTAATTTCATCAGAAGCATACAGACTAGTACATATTTAATGAATACCTAAATAATTGAAATGATTTAGTGGAAATATAGCTGTAACTCCTTGAAGTGATTTATCTTTCCAATCTTGGCTAGGACAACAGAAGATACAGTTTTTAAATAAAGCCTTTCCTTGATGTAAATTTAGAAGAGTTGTTGAAGACGTTAACTTGAGTTACTCTATTTTACTAGTGATCATCAATTTACCTAGTGTAAATTCCCTGGTTCAGAGGTGTAGAAATTGAGACTCTGCAAGCAGAATGATTTACCACCATGAGTGGCAGTGCCAGGTCTAGAAGGCACATCTCTGGATTGCAGAAGAGTTCCTTTCTCACTATGACTCTGAGTCTCCCAAAAGCTAAACAAAACCCAAAGTCTTCTTTGGTCTGGAACAGTTTTAGTTCTGCATTGCTGTTTCATCTGACATGCAAAGCATAGGAGCCAAAGAATATGAGAACAGTTTTCCATGTCCACTCTGCCAAAACTAACATGCATTGGCAGTTGAACCACCAAAGCAATTTGGAAGTCTTCAGCACAGGAGCAAGGCCCTCTCTCCAACATAAATCACAGGAACAGCATGGTTGTAGACAATGACCATGCGCAGTTTGCACTGGGGAAAGGGAAGAGAACTTGTACAAGGATATGTCCTAATTGCAAATATCCATACACAGCTAAAAAAAGAGACCTTGTGGGCAACAGCTCCCCAATTTTGTGTGCTTTTTTCCTCCCTTAGAGCTAAGGAGGGGAATGGGCATGTATTCATACTTCCATTTTTTATTTGTTTTATAGCACTATTTTAGTGATGCTGTGTTTATTACTGCTTCAGAAAAATAATTCCTTATCACAGAATAATTAGTTTGGCTAGTTGGAAAGATGTTTGAATTTTCTGTGTCTTTAGAGGATGGAGGATGAGACGAGCATTTCATGAGGGAAATGTGACATGCTTCACAGTGCCCTGTGTTTGGCAGTTTCTTGGTAGAATACTCAACCTTGAGATGTGTGCAATTGATGCTAACACTATATTCACGGTTGTAAAGATGTATATTTCTATGTTATTATCTTAAACAATGCTCTCTGCATTTACGCCCTTGTGGAAGCTTTGTAAATTAAAATAAAGTGAAGTATTTTTCCCATATCATCTTTACAAATATTTGAACATCCACAAACTTACAAAATGCTTTTCAGATATGTTGTATCATGCATTTTTTACAATACCCCTTTTGGAGTATATATCATTATTTGTATTTTAAAGATGAGGCAATACTACTTGGAAATGCAGCTAAAAATTAGCAGCATACTGTAGTCTTCCCACTGCCTCTGATCTCACATTTATTGTCCTTTTCACTATGATTCATGACCCCTCTGCTATAGGGGACCATCTCACTTATGGGATAATAATTCACTGAAACTTCTATACTTTGCGTAACTAAAGCTCTTCTAAAATTGTACTTCATTGCTTGTGGGAGATTCAATAATCTATATCTTTCTCAGTGAGAGAAGGAGTAATGGAACAATGTTAACAATAAATTTAGAAGTTTCTCTTGTGATTGTGGGTTTTTTTGTAGGATAAGTTTATTTTGCTGTGCTTAAACCTTGTGAACAATTATAAAATGGTGGTTAAATTTAAATAATAATTGGTTTTAGAAATATCTAATTTTTATGATTCAATGAATTAAAAAAATGCATGTGTGAGCACAGACTTAATAATATAGAGGAGTGGCATTTTAAAATCAGATTTTTAAATGTGCAGGCCTAGGTGACATTTTGGCCATCAGAAAAAAATGTATTCGTATTGAAAGAAAGTATTGTACTTGTTCATTAGTAGTTTTCATAGGAGGGTCCATAGTTTTTCTTCTTGATAATATGCTTTAGACTGTGATGTGGGTCAGGAGTTGCTGGCTGTTTCATCATGATAGTGCTTTTATTTTTCTTAAACTCCAACCTTGTGAAACTGACATAAATGAAAAAATATGATGTTATTTATCCATCTTCTACCATACTCTTCTTCAACACCATCTTTTAATGCCTTTGCTCATTTAAAAATATTCTGGAAAACCTGAACATAGAAGAGTGAGTGACTTGCCAAGATTTTTTGGTTAATAAGTAGATCTGTCAGGACTTGAATAAAATGTGTCTAGTTACGAGGCCACACACTTCACTTAACCACTAAGCCATTATAATATGTACCATGTATGTGTGCACAAGTGTGTCTGTGTGTGTGTGTGTGTGTGACAGAGAGAGAGAGAGACGGAGGGAGAGGGAGAAAGAGAGAGAACATGTAAGGCATGTTCTTCCTTTTCCTAATAATTCTCTTCTAGAAATACTCTAATCACCAAAAAGGGCAATGCATTGGGAGTTATGCAGTCTTCTGTATGAACTCATGTGTTGCCTGGACATATATCTTCATTATTCCCTAATGTCAAGAAAATATGACTTAGTAGCATTTCAATGGGAGAACAGAGATGTGTGTAAGTGGGAATAATTACTCTTTCTGACAAGGAGACATTTTCTTAGTGAACTTTATTTCCTGACCTGAGACAAATATTTTAATCTTCCGTTTTTAAAACTTGAAGGATATAATGATTTAAAATGACTCTTTTTTCTTTTCTTTTTTTTTTTTTTGAGATGGAATCTCACCCTGTCGCCCAGGCTGGCGTGCAATGGCGCAATCTTGGCTCACTCACTGCAACCTCCGCCTCCTGGGTGGGTTCAAACGATTCTTCTGCCTCAGCCTCCCGAGTAGCTGGGATTACAGGCACGTATCACCACACCTGGCTAATTTTTGTATTTTTAGTAGAGGCGGGGTTTCAGCATCTTGGCCAGGCTGGTCTTGAATTCCTGACCTTATGATCCACCTGTCTCTGACTCCCAAAGTGCTGGGATTACAGGCGTGAGCCACCAAACCCGGCCAAAAATGACTTTTTTATGCTTAAAATTTTTTTTGGAAACGGTTTTCAACAACACAGAGTGATCTTTCCTCTCTGCAAAGATCTTAGTGCTAAGTGTTATGGAAAGGAGGTGATATGAAACAATAACCTGAATTATCACCCTAAGTCTGGTCAATTCAGAACAAAAGAAAGAAGAAAATTAGACCTAAACTAATGTGAGCTTTAGAGCGATTCACAGATTGGTGCTGCTAAACAGACTTGATAGCAATTTGTGACCAGATAGATAGAAAAATTGAGAGTGTTCAGAAACTTTCAGAATAGTTGAAAAAAAACTTAACAGTATAATTTTATGTCTGCTGAATCTAATGATGAAAGCAATGGGAGTTTATATTTTTTATGTGTTTTAATTTTCTTTTTCTGGTAATTCATGCCTGTTTTCTTTCATAAAAATATCTGTATATCTTGAATTAGAACTTTAAAAAATCTGGTCTTCCACCACAGATAGTTTGAGAACATGTTGCTGAACCACAACCAAGTCAGGTTTGTTACTTAATTGAGTATAAAAATAGTCGTGTGTCACTTAACCACAGGAATGCCTTCTGAGAAACGTGTCATCAGGTGATTTCATCGTTATGTGAACATCACAGGGTGTACTTTCACAAACCGATATGATATAGTCTACTACACACTGAGGCTATGTGGTATAGCCTACTGCTTCTAGACTACAAACCTGGACAGCATGTGACTGTACTGAATACTGTAGGCAATTGTAACACAATGATAAGTATTGATATTATCTAAGCATATGTAAACATAGAAAAGATACAGTAAAATATGGTATAAAAGATAAAATGTGGTACACCTGTGTAGGGCATTTACCATGAATGGAGCTTACAGGACTGGAAGTTGCTCTGGGCGAATCAGTGAGTGAGTACTGAGTGAAGGTCAAGGCCTGGGACGCTACTGTACACTGCTGTAGACTTTATAAACACTGTACACTTAGGCTACACTAAACGTATAAAAAATATTTCTCTTTCTTCAATAATAAAGTAACCTAATCTTACTCTAACTTTTTCACTTTGTAAACACTTTAAAAACTTTTTGATGCTTTTGTAATAACGCTTGGCTTACAACACACACACATTGTATAGCTGTATAAAAATATTTTCTTTCTTTATATTCTTATTCTATAAGCTTTTTTATATTGAAATGTTTTAAAACTTTTAAAGTATTTTGTTAAAAACTAAGACATAAACCCACACTAGCCTAGGCTTACGCAGGGTCAGAGTCATCAATATCACTGTCTTCCACCTTCACATCTTGTCCAACTGGAAGGTCTCCAGGGGCAGTAACCATGTGGAACTATCATCTCCCATGGTAACAATGCCTTCTTCTGGAATACCTCCTGAAGGACTTGCCTGAGGCTGTTTTACAGTTAATTGTTTTTTATGAGTAGGAGTATGCTCTAAAAAAAAAAGATAAGAAGTATAGTGTAGTAAATACATAAAACAGTAACATAGTCATTATCAAGTGTTAGATACTGTATGTAATTGTTTGTGCAATGCTTTCATATGACTGGCAGCACCACAGGTTTATTTACACCATCATCAGTATGAACACTTGGTAATGTGTTGCACCACAATGTTATCATGGCTACGAAGTCACTAGGCGATGGAAATCTTTCAGTTCCATTACAATCTTAGGGCACCATTTTTGTAATATGTTGTCTGTCACTGACTGTAATGTCGTTATGTGGCACATAACTATACTGGATTAAAAATATGTAAATTATAGCATTAGATATTTTCCACCCTTGGTCAATCAGGTGAATAGGATCCAAAGAATTCTGGAGATTTGCAGTCTAATGGAGACAAATTTTGCTTAATCCCAAGTGAGAAGTTTTGCCAAAAAATTAAAGGGGGAAAATAGCCTAATAGTTGAATATCTTAACAAAGATATTGTGGGGATATCTTTGCTCAGTCTCTCATACAGGAATTACTGTATATCTATCTATTCATTCATTCATTGACTATTGAACTGCAACTATACACCCAGGGCCATTCTCTGGGTATTAGGATATACTTCAGGGACAATATTAGGGGTTGTATGTATGTTTTTACTAAAGTTCTAAATTTTCTCAGATATGCTTAGAGACGATTTAAATCCAAGCCCTTTGAGTTCTTTGGTGTGACCCTTGAAAAACTCAGGCTCGCTGAGCTCATTTGCAGAATATTCTTAGCTGACCTGACTTCAACTCTGCTTTCTCTGTTTTCCTGGCCCCATTAGCTGTCATCTCAGTTTTTTTAGCTCCTACTTTTGGAATGGACCTAGAAGATAACAAGTGGAACAAGACAATGGGAATAGCAGAGTGTGAAAGCTAAATCTGAACACAACTGCAAAGGCAGCTCCCATCACAAAAGCCTACTTGGCTTTAGGCAAGTAGGCAAGGAGGTGTGGTAGACATGATATCTTTGATGACGTAGTGGCCTAGATGAACAGGATGTGCTTTTAGCATAAGGTTAGCAAAGTGTATGTAACATAGATATTGAACATTCAAGGCCTTATTGCTGAGTTTTCTCTCTGGAGAGGCAAAACAAGATTGCAGAGAAATTCTTTTTTGAATCCTATTTGGTGAAATCTAACCTCTGACATTCCACTGTGTGATCTTTTGGGATTTTGAATATCTTTATAAAATAACTCCATCTTTTCTTTTCTTTTGACTTTCTTTTATTTAATTTATCTTGATTTATCATTAACAGTCTTGTGTTAACACAAAAGGGAAAGTTTCCATCATAGATGTCATTCATGATGTTAAGTTGTAAAATCGTCTGTTTTGTTGATAGATATCCAGACAGCACTGAAAGACAAAAGCCTAATCATTCAGTCTCCATCAGCATTTAGGCTGGGTTCATAAACAGGAACACATGTATTGATTGGAACAGTTAGATACTTCCTTAGCATGGTTTGCAGAGTTCTTGATTTTTCTCAATATGGGAGAAGCTGGGAAGGTCAAGAGAAAATAAGCACAAGTCAAAGAGAGACTTATAAAATAAACAGCAACATCTGGCAAATGACTTCCTCCCATGGACATAGGAAGGACTCTTACTCAGGGCAGTGAAGGAGAAATGTTTTTCTTGGCAGAGTGTTAGCTTAATATCCATTGGATCTGGGAATCAGCTTTACTTAGGTTTATAGTATTTCTCTTGCTGATGGTGTGGGCTTTAAGGCCTCATGCTCACAACAGCAAACATTTATTTGGCCATTCTTAAGAATCATTAGGTTTACTTTGAAGTGTTTTCAAAGTTTAAAAAGATATTTAAACATTAAAGACCTCGTAATTCTTCATTATCTAAATTTTTGTTTTTATCTTCTTAGCGAACTATATTATTTACATTGGAGATGTCTAGTTCTGCATTTCTTTTTACTCAATTAATGAAAAAAATACCAAATTCTAACAATTAACCATGTCTCTCCAGACACCAGTTTGGTAGAAGCTGTATAATTTCTTGATGCATAGTTATTCATATTAAATGATTAATAAGATATTAATCTGCAAAAACTTACAATATGTTATTATATATCTTGCCACTGAGTTTATAAAAGGTAGTTTTAGGCCTTTTCTTACCAAGATGGACATTTTAAAAATTGTTTCCACAGACTAAAAGAAGAAAAGTATAAGTTTTTATGTTAAGAAAATAAAACAAGTTTATAAAATAGAAAAGTTCAGAATCTTTCACTCAGGCCATAGCAGTGACAATTTTTTGACTTTGTATAATAATAAAATAAAATAAAGAAAAATTATTTTCACATGATAGTCACTATTTTTAAGTTAATATAAAGATAGCAAAGCTTTCAAGTTCTAATATGAGAGTTTTGCAATTTATTGCTTCTCAGTGCAATAGGGATTGAGAACATGTTTTCTTTGTTATGGGGATGAGAATGAGGTGATGGTATATTTCTCCAGAGGGGAACGTGACTAGAATGTCCACTTCATTTCCCATCTTACTTCCCTTCCTTCATTTCTCAATTATTGCCATTTATTAAAACCAGATGGAAGCAAAGTGATTTAAACATGGAATAATTCTATGTTATGTTATGAGATACGTGGATGTCCCAGTTTCAGGATTTTTGTGACAATGTTGTTTTTTTAGGTGCAGGCCATTCGCATAGTGAAACCATCTGTTTTGCTAAAGCCATGTGTTCTGAACAAATGACTCTCAAAAAGACTCATGGACTTTAGGTGGTGATGTAAGTCTGTGACTTACAAGGGAAATAGAAAATTTCTGGGATTTCTAAAGGGGAAGTTGTTTAAGTGGCAGTTGTCTGAATAGCAGGCCTATCAGGAACTAAGCTGATTGTAGAAGACTTCCCAGAAACCCTATAAGAATGAGAAAACTGGTTAAATAAACCCCTATAAGTAAATATTATAAATATTTATTTACAACAAATATTATAAAATTCTATTAATCTATAATAAATATTATAATAAAATTATAAATACTTATTTATAAGCAAATAAACTGCTGAGATAAACCCTTAAATTAGTTCCCCCCATTCTACCCCATGTTGTTTTAGAAAAATCAGCATACAGAATATAATTTCCTTCTTGAATGGAGTGCACTGGAATTTAGAGAAGGGAGAGGCTAATGTCTCATAATCTCTCTACCTGGCAGCATTTGACATTTGACACAATGACTAACTTTTGAGTTGGTGACTTGGGCGGTGTTGGAGGGTATAAAAGAGCATCCCATGGAGAGGCAATCATGTTCAACTGTCATTTATTTTTTAAATGGTGTGAAGCCCTGTGATGCCAACTTTCTGTATCTTTCCAGAGCTTCAGACTCACATGGCCTGGCCACTGCCCATTTCTCCTTAGGTATGTCACAAGTAACTTGTATTTGTTGTGGCACTTTGGAACAGACAGTAATTCAAGGAAATTTATCACAGAGATCAGGGCTCTCTAACCTGAAAGGGGAAGGAATGTACCCTGAAAGGGGAGGTCGTGGGCATCAAGGTTTGGTTGGCAGTCTGGGACTCTCTGTCTTGTCTCTGCTGCTTCTTTCAGTTTGTAGATTGTATTTTCTCTGCTCTGCTGTGAATGTGACCAGCAGTTTATGGGTTCTCCATTGCTCACAAGTGTATATATCATAGGTCCAGATATATGAAGAGACTGAGTTAGTTCTCTCTTGGTCCTTAGTCTTCCAACAAAGGCTAACAGAGTCAAAAGGATCTACATCGTTTCAACCACTAAACTATGGGACTGAACAAACTAATTAGTGAAAAAAGATGCAGACAGTAAGACAAAGGAGACAAAGGTGAGGCCAGTGACAAAGGAGAGGTTGGAGGAAACTGCATTTTGTCTAAAAGATCAGCATGTACTTTGGCAGTGGTTTCATTCTTCCTAATGAACACGGGTGAGAAACCTGGAGCTGTTGCTTCCATGACATGGTGGGTTCTAGGAAGGTCAAATCTGAAGGAGCAGGACTGACCCGATTCGAACTGGCACACACCCTGGGGGCAGGGATGGCAAAGGCAAGATAGGGTTCTGTTTTGAGAGGCTCTGAATTCTGGATTATTTCCTGAGCTGCACATGGCAAGGAGCAGTGCAGACCAGTAGGCATCAGAGAGATTGTATAAAATGAGAACTTTGTTCTAGAAACTTTTACTGGGGTCCAAGGATGGAGCAGAACTGCTAATAAAAGTGAACTAAAGTGTCATTTTTAAGGACTGATGTGCTCCAGAGGTCCGGACATAACTCAACCTGCAAGCTCTGGTGAGGAAAGGAGATCTGGGATTGGGGTTGGCGGTGGGTGAGAAGCATCCTCTAAATTAGTAGTAAAGGTTTCTGACTCTATAAAAGTACCATGGGCGAGCTGAGAAAAATGTGTGAGATCTTTATATTTATATAACATATAAATTTCTGTCAAAGCCAGGATATGGAGAATCTGTGAAAATTAATTCCCTAGTCAATTTACATGCAATGTAGCAAGAATATTAACTATAACTTGAATCTAATTTCTCGCTGATTTACATTATAACCTGGAGACAGTTTCTTCTACGTAAAATACAATAGTACAACGAGAAAACAGATAATCAGCAGTAAACTGTGGAGAGAAAAGCCAATTTGACGTGCTAATACCCAAGTTTATATTTTTCTTAAGAAAATAAAAGTGCAAACAAAGTCATGGGTTTCAAATTATTTCCCGTGTTTCCTCCCCACCTCCACCTATAGTTTAATTTCTGTTTCATTTCAGAAGGAGATGGTATTAAGTGTCTGGTGGAAATGGAGTGCTGTCTGCTTGCATTTCCTATCTATTTAAGAGATAGTTCCCTCAGTTGTTTTGTTTCTGGTCTCTATACTTGTTGTTAACGCTGAACACCACAATGCCTGCCTTCCATCTAAGACTTGAAAGCTCCCAGTTGGATCCCATAACCTCCAGGAAGCCTTCTTCCACCTTTCTAGCACCCAGTGGTAGACTATTGTCTTCTGGAATACTTTTTGCCCTTATAGTCATCACTGCATACTTTAGTGTTAATATTTAATTTTTATTTAGGTGTATTATATAAGCTGTTCTTTCTCCTCATGAAGGCTGTCAGACTCCAAATCCTGTGCTCTTCTATGCTGAGCTTGATCATCTTGTGGAGAATATTGTCTTTTCTCTTGTCTCAGAAAAATGTGACATCTCTCGTCAGATCTTGCATTGCTTTTCAAGAACCCAGTTCCCCATACTCAGGTCCCTTCCTGAATAGCCTTGTGGGTCCTCACATTGCATTTCTAATGTCAGCCCCATGGAATCCTGCCCAAGATTTCCATTATATTTCTCAACTGCCTGCCCCTTCCCACTCCCTCTCCCAATCACTGCACCTGCTGGAATGCACAGCATTTTATTTATTTATTTTATTATTTTTACTTCTTCAACTTTTATTTTAGATTCAAGAGTACATGTGCAGGTCTATTACCTGACTATATTGCGTGATAATGAGGTTTAGGGTACAAATGATCCCATCACCCAGGTACTGAGCTTAGTACCCAGTAGTTACTCAAGGCTTGTCTCTCTTCCTCTTTCCCTCCCTCCCTCCTGTAGTTGTCCCCAATTTCTATTGTTGCCATCTTTATGTCTGTGAATGCCCAGTGTTTAGCTCCTACTTATAAGTGAGAACATGCAGCATTTGGTTTCCTGCATTAGTTCACTTAGGATAAGTGCCTCCAGCTGCATCTGCATAATTGCCTCTGTTGCTGCCGAGGACATGATTTCATTTTTTATGGCTGCATAGTATTCCTTGGTGTCTATGTACCACATTTTCATTATCCAGTCTACTGTTGATGGGCACCTAGATTGATTCCATGTCTTTGCTATTGTGAATAGTGCACAGCTTTTTATAGTTCACACTAGATTATCCTTATAACCAAGTTTTCTAGACCTCTGGTCTTTCCTTGTCTGGCGCTTCCTGCCACCCATATTTCATCTTTTAATGATCATTTAATATTATGCCCTATATTGTAGGTATTTGAGTCTATGCCTCATTTCTGCTACAATATTCAGTGTAACATTTATGGTTGCTGTGTGAGAAAAACACTGTTGTTCTAATTTTCTAAGTGATGAAACAGAAGCTTTACTGAAGAGTGCTGTGCCCAATGCCAAGCCATAGGTGGTAAGGGAATAATTCAAATCTAGGTCTTCTTTCCCTTCTATTACGGAAAATAAGAATGTATCTCACCACTGAGGTAATGCAACTTGGAATGCAGAAAATCCTTGTAATTGATGAATACTTAAGAGATGATTTGACAATAATGTTTCAGCTTTTTAAAGTAATGTTACTAAGATGAAAATATAATTCTAGTTACCATCTTGGTACTTACGGGAAATTAATTTCAAAGTGTGTAAACTGAACATACTGAAATAGGAAACTCAGTTCTCATTATTTACATTTTTTCTTTTGGTTATTTGAAGGGACATAAAACTACCTGTATTTTCAATTTGTCCCTGGGAGAATACTAGTTAAAGACAGTATTGTGGAAAAAGGGCTCTATGACTTAGAGAACCCGCATTTTGGGGGGCTTTTCAGAGCTAATTTTCTAAGAAATTATTGTTTCCTACTGAAAGTTCAAAAGTACCTCCTCATTGTTATTTTTCATGTGATCTCATCCTAAATGTACAAACCCCAGTTCCCTGTCATCTGCAGTTATCATAATGATCAATGTTAACTTAAATGAGAGCATATATAGGTAGTATAGGTAAATGAAAGGTTATTCACATATTGTATGTTGGTCTCTCTATAGCATCATTGTGGCCTTATATGTATTTAGGAAATTTGTTTCAGTTGTTAAATCTTTGACTAATCAGTATGTCTATGGGCCAAACACACAAATGTAAACTTATATTACAAGGTGATAAAAGAGGCATGCTAAATTTGGGTTTCTCAGGGGATAATTTATAGATTTGATAAGGTATATAGAAGATTATCATGTAATATGAATGGAAAATGATTATAATAAAACAACTTACATGATATTATTTATATTTAAGTATATAGCTAATATTAAAACAAATATAAACATAGAAGATATTGTATGTTTACAATCTCTTTTGGCTCTAAAAATGTTCTTAATAAGCCAGGCATGGTGGCACATGTCTGTAGTCCCAGCTACTCAGGAGGCTGAGGTGGGAGGATCATTGGCGCCCAGGAGTTTGAGGCTGCAGTGAGCTATAATCACACTACTGCACTCCAGCCTGGGTGACAGAGTGAGACACTGTCTCAAAAAATAAAAAAAATTATTAACAGTAATAAATATTTGTCACCAAGCTTTGTATAAAGAATATGGAGAAGGAACAGCCAGAGAGAGGATAGAACAAAAGACAAAGGAGTGAGCATCAGTAGAGCCAAGAAAAAAAGAGTGTTTTAGGAAGAAAAGACTTTCAAACAGAACGTTTTTGTACAAGAAAGAGGAAGTTATCTACCAAGGAGGCTAGAAGGAGATGCAGATGAGGAAAATTCTGTTTACCTTTTGATGGGAAAAATTGAACATGCTTAGAAGTCAATGGCAAGGATCCGTTTGATGGAGGCAGGAAGGCGGGGATTGAGCACTAAAGAGAGAAAAGATATCATCAATAGTTCTTGAGATTGCTGATAAGGTGGATGGGCACAGCATTCAAAGCATAATGGAGGGATTGGCTTTATGCAATCCCAAAGTCAGTTCTGTCACTGTCACAGGAAGGAAGAAGGAGGATAATTGTGGAGATATTTGTATATTGGTAATGCATAATTATGGAATTGCTAAAAATGTTACTGAAATATGACAGACCATAGAATCTAAATTCGATAAGGAGAGATGTGAAGGGAGTTAAAAAGTAAAAAGGGCCGACAGATTGGAACAAAGTAGAATGGGCAATGAAGTTGTGGATAGCTCAAATGGCCATCTCAAGCAAACTAGAAGAGAGGTTATAGCCAGAGAGTGGGGTGCTTAAACTGGTGCTTTTGAAACAGGAACCCTTCCAGATGATGATAAGGTTCAAGGTGTAACCCAGGAAATATGAGGTAATGTGAGGCTTTGGAGAAAGTTACTGTAAGCAAGATGGTTAGGAAACTGAGACACTAAGTTTTTAGACTGACCATGTGGTTGTTGTGGTTCCCCAGAGAGATGACAATGGCTTGGAGAGAAAAAGTGGCAAAGTCTGATGGATGGAAGGGGGTGGATGAAAGATTTGAAGCCTAGAGGGACAAGGAGCAGGAGAAAGTTGTAGCTTCAAATGCCATGGCTCCCAATAGAACAGAGTATCTTACCAGAAAGAAGGACAGCAGCAGAGAAGAAGGAAGACAGCAACTTCACTTCCTTACTCTGATGTCCTTGGGTATGTAAAAACAAGCAGTCATTACTGCAGAAGTTTACACAGAAATTTATACCTTCAGGGGAGAGCAGGTATGGTAAGGAGTTTGGGGAAACACTTAGAGAAGATTGTAGACAGTTTGTTGATTTTGAAACAATAATTCTAGAGGACACAACAGGAAAGTTTGGGGGAGGGAAGCTCTGGGGAAGAACGTACAGATATTATGCACTGAGGGTATGTTGGAGCAGTTGCTTCTCAAATTATAATCTGTATCCAAATGAGCCTATTAAAATGCAGATTGTTATTCAGTGAGTCTGGGCTGAGGACTGAGGTCCTGCATTTCCAACAAGCTCCTAGGTGATGCTAGTGCTGTTGGTCCCAGGCCATAACTTGCTCAAGGGATTAGAGGACACAATTGTTTTATTTGGGGGAGGGGAATGGAAATATACTTTTTGTGTTGACTGATGAAAGTTAGGATAATACTAACTAATGTGTATCCAACTTAATATTAATAGTAATAAATAATATTAATTAATGTGTATATGCCAGAGGCTTTTTAAATGTACGTTACATATATTAACTCATAATCCTTTGAGGTAGGTACTGTTATTAGTGAAACTAATGCGCTTGCTCAAGGATGTACTGATAGTACAGGCAGAGGCAGGGTTTGAAACTAGGCAACACTGACCAGAGCTGACATGCTTTGCAATTCATGAGCAGCATAGAAGTTTAGTTTCAAGAGTCTAAATGAGGAGAGCAAGCACTGGGTCTGTTAGCCAAAGATTTAATCTCTTCTGGTAGGTACCTGAGAAATTTTTGAGTGTATGAATATAGTATTTCATTGTCATAACAATCCTATATGGGTTATAATCTCTTAGGTGGACATTTGCAAGAATTTTGCCCACTTTTCATTAACTTCCATTTCCATAAATATGTGAATATGGTTCTGAATTTAAATGATTAGCCATAACTATTCATATACTAGCTAAATGCAGTCATTTGCTTATAGGTTTTCCCAGATTAGACTTGTGTTTGGAAATAAGATGGTGGCAAAACACCTCAGTTCTCGTATATCCCACCATGTTACAGTTGGATAAACAATGACTCTTATCCATCATTTGGCCATCCCCAGCACCAGTTAGTGGGTGTATCCTTCTGTACTTGTAAAATCTTCCACGACCTTCTTGAAGAGCTTGGGGACACTCAGAAGGACTCCAGAAACTAAAATCATATTAACGCAGCTGGAACATAGTATCTCCATCCACATCTAGTTGGCAAGCTAATCACATTCTTTTGGCAAACTGATTACATTCTTTCCAGTTTAGCTTTCACTAGATTTCTTCCTAAGGGAATCTACAAAGAGAGTATGGGGTAGAAACAGGCTTTATCTTTCATGAAGAACAACCCTATTATTTTCTTTTTTTCGAGACATTCATTCATCTACAAAGGTGAACTTGCCTAAGGCTGAGGATTCAAATGGGGATTGAAACTCAGTACGGTGAAAGAGATCATCCCTTCATTCATACAATATTTAGCTAGACATTTTTTATTGTTGGTCTTATACCTAAAAGTAAAGGATTTGGAGGGGTTTCAAAGCTTATATTTTATTATTAAATAATCTGGTTTCAGGTCTCTGCCAGAAAATGTATAAATTAAAAAGCTAGTTGTCCAAGAATTGTTAAATAATAAAGCTATTGGTATCAGTATAAAGTTTTAGATCAGTCACATTCGTAAAATCAAATTCTGGAAAGAGTAAGTGAAGTGCAAGATGATTAGGTAGAAAATTCTCCTTTGGAAAGTGCTCTTGCCCTGAATCTAGTCACTTTCTGCCTGGAGTAGAATGTCAAACACCTCTCTGGGTTGTCTGCATGAATGGAAATGCTTAATGCAATAAAAAAGTTTTAAGAGAAATGAAATACTGTATATACATTTAGTCACCAATGATTTTATGTGAAGAGTATGCAATTGTGTTAACATCAAAACTCAGACTAATGTTTTTGTTTATTTAAAGGATAGCTTGATGACTTCTGTCTTATCTGGGCACCATTATCTTCTGCTTGGAAAAATCTACAGCCTTTTAACTCAGTTTTTAAAGTTCTGTATGATTTTGGTCCTGTAATAATATTGTGATTTTGATCAAAATCAGCATATGAGTTTGGTTGTATATCATGAACTTATTTCAAAAAGTACAAGTTTGACCAGAAGAATTGGTCCTTCTAGAGATAATTTCTATAAAAAAGCACAATTTAGAATATATTGGACCTTCAAATAGAAATGTCTTGTCAATTAATCAATAATATATGTGATGCATGCATCAGTGAAACAGCTACAGCCCACATCATATCATTTCATGGGTTAAATTATAAATACTGTCCCAGTATCTGGGATGCAGACCATGTTTTAAGCTACTGCCCTAAAGTATATGGCCCAATTTGGTGCATCGCTTTTAATTTATAGATTTTTTTTTAAGACTGAAGACATGCTTTGCTTATCTTAATTTCCCTGCATACACTAAGGAATAAAGCTGGTAACATATCTGATTTCATAGAAAAGTAATATGGACTAAATACCCAATGGTAGAGAAGCACACAGAAATTATATGGATATAATGCAGAAAAAAAGAAACTTAAAATTTTTTTTTCTCCTCTTAAATGTAAGTTAAGTCAGTAGGCTCAGATGTCCACTTCTTGGTTAAAATTCCTTGTTAAAGTTGCAGCCAGTCACCGTTGACTGCAATACCTCAATGCTTATTTCAGAGTTCCTGAAAGATCATTCCCTCCAAAAAAAAATCCACTGACAGACTGTAAGCACAAAAGGACAGTCTTTAGAATGTAACACATAGTTACAATAAATGAAGGACAGAAAGAAAAAAAATAAATGCAGCTAAAATATTTATCTAATTGTTCAGTCATGCATATTAAATGGATTCTTGATCAACTCTCATAAGTATTCTTTGAAACCTCATGCTTCAGTCAAAAAGAATATGTAATTCCTTGCTTTTTGCAATGGTAAAGTTATTGTTGAAAAGTTTCCTGCCAAGAGTGTTTTTTTTTTTTTAAAGAACTGTTCACATTTCTTTCCTTTTGCATTTGTTTAAGGTGGGGGGTGGGTGGATGAGGAGAAATAGAGATCATGTGTTGGATGAGTCTCAGCTTAACCTTGTTATATATATAAGGTGTAGGAGTCGAGTCTCCACTGCACTTCCTGCTATCAATGACCTGGAGGCATTTCTCTGTCTAGTTATCATCCCATAACAGGTACTCTCTTGCCAGGTCATTAAGATCCCCTGCAAGCCTCTGTGACAAGCTCTGCCTCTCAGGAACTCAAGATTAATACTTTAGGGAGAGTTTGGGAATTCCTTGTTATCAAATTGATCTGTGAGAATTTTTCTTACTGCTATCAGGAGTGCAGGATTGCTGTAGAGTGAAGCTAACAAACATACACATGGATACACATCTTCAACTCATCCTCTCTAGCCTTTCTCCTTCCTTTCTATCTTATTTACCTACATGGTTAATTAACTCTCTGGAAGATTAGTTTCTTTAAAGAAAAATACAGTTCATTTCAATATTAGACAAGGGCTGATACTGTGGTTTGGAGTAATATATCAATTTGATTTGGATAAAATTGGTGTTACCCTAAGGTGGTTTTCCTGTTAGATCTCTAGAAATCTTCTTAATTGACTGGCGTTATCTTTAAGTCAGGTATTTTCCTTTTCCATACCTCACCTTTATTATTGGAGATAGCCTTGACTGGGTAAAAGAGATCTTTAACAAAGCCACTTTACCTTTCTGGGATCAGCTACCGTCTCTGTATGATAAAAAATTTGGATAAATGATGGATGAAGTGATTCCAGCTGCCTGGGCTTCATAAACCATAAGCTGTGTTGTAAACACCACACTCCCATTTATTACGGGGTTTTTCAGCATGACAACATATAGGCTGGTCTTGCTCTTTAGCCCATATATCAGTCACAATATGCTAAAATAAATGTGTGACCTCTGAGATATATTTGTTAGTAAAGTTTACTAACTGTGCCTCAGGATTCTCTAACTTCTACTTAACATTGATATTGGTGTTTATGGTGAAAGACAGGAAGAAGGATGGATACCAAGAGGATGATTGTCACAAGTTCAGTAACACTGTTAGGTTAAAATTGTAATTATTTTTATGATAATCATCATCACACTTTAAGTGCCTATTTGCTTATGGCATTGTCCTGGTTAAAACAGATTGGTAGGGAGAGGCCAGGATCTAGATGACTTAGTCCGGATCTTGGGACTTCTATGCTAAACTGCGGGAAGGTTTGGTTCAGTGAAGGGAGTAGGGAGCATGCTACATCAATCAAAATGCAAAAGGTATTGGAGAGGGTCTAAGAAGAAAGAAGATTTTTTTTAAAGAATGGAACCTAAGGAGAATAGACTTATTCTGTGCATTGTGAAAAAAATATATATGTTGACAATGATATAGGAAATAACACTTACTTATAGATAGCAATTATAAACTGTCTCAGGTAATCATTATTAGTTTGGGACTTCCTCCACAAATGAGTCAAGAGGAAATATTAAAATCAAAGGTAATTATTCCAATAGCACTTCTGGATCCTTTGTCGTCTATTAAATAAATTGGAGGAAGCAAATGGGGCCCACTAGCCCTGTGAGAAGGGTGCAGTTATCCTACACTAGTAACAATGGACAGCAGCCTAGTGTGGGAAAGGCAGAGGGGAAATTCGTCACCTTTTGGAGATGAATTAACTCCTTTAGGCTCTAGGTGCCATTCAGTACATATATTTTGTACGAATTAGCACCTTTGGGTCCAAGTCTTAATGAAGGCCAAAAGGGGAATGGTTTGTTCCCCAGACATCAGGAACATAAGACCTATTATTACTGTTTATAATAAAATACTGTACTTACCCAGCACCTTTCATCCCAGCTCAAAGGCTTTTTTCTCCCCTTTCCAAACATTCCCATTAACCCTAGCATTATCACTGGGATTAAGTGGCAAAAACATGATATCATTATTTCCATTTCTGAGAGAAAAGGACTAATCCAGGGGGGCAGCAATTTTCTCAGACCATGGTGACCAGAAATGGAAAAGGGACAAGAAATCAGGACTCCTGGCTTTCCCTCTTAGGCTAAAAATATCTAGCTGAAGAAAGGATGACAGGAACTGACTGCAGAAATCAGCAATGCTTTTGCATCTCCCACTCACTCCCTTATTACCCACAGGGCTTTCATTTGAGATGGAAGAGCCATGGGGAGTTCACCTTTCCCCAAGATGATTAAAGTGGGTCACAGGTCTGCTGGGTATCAACATTATTATTTTTAAAAGTATTGTAAGCCCACCCTCCTATAACACTTTAAAACATTAAAAAATAATCTGACAATGCATTCTAGAAGCAAATTCACTTGAGAAAGAAGCCTTAAAAAGGAATCTATCCTCTAAATGTTGAGTAAGACAAAGATCCATTTCAGCAATGGGGATATCATGGAGATCATCAGTCACACAGACAAGAGAACGCTCAAGAACCTGGATGCACATTGAGTAGGCAAATGACCTCTAACCCATGTCATTTTGTGCCTTATTCTCTCAATAGATCTTTGGGTTTTCCTCTCCAGTTTTCAAACAAAGCCTTCATTCCTTCACGTTATGGGATTTTTCTGAGAGCTGATCTGTAGTTTAAAAATAGAAGACTGTACCTTCCATGACAAATTGGTCACTAACAGACCCCCAGGGAAGGTGGGATTCACTGAGACAATTTTAGGTTTCCTGTACTTACAAAGGCATTTGCAACTTCAGGGAATAGGGCTCATTCATCATAGCTGGGGTAGTCAGGTATGATTGAAGAACCACTTTTTGGAGAGAAATAAATCGATTCCCCTTTTTATTTTTTTATGTGTGTTACTACTACTGAGTAATACTGGGTCTTTATTTAAATCTGTGATACTATCAATATAGATTAAGAAGATAGGCTTTGAAGATCTTAAAACCTGTGTAACCTTGGACATTTAACCTCACTAAGTCTCAGTTTTCTCTTTTGTGAAATGGGGTCATAATCATACTTACCATGTAGCAATAAGTAACAGAATGCATTGAAAGGGCTTCACACAGTGCCTGACACATAGTAAGAGGTCAATCAATATTGGATATTATCATTAACCCCTGGTATACTCAACTTATAAAGAACATAATTAAGGTTTAAAGGCATGCTGAATGGTGCTTGAAAGGGGCCACACATTTCAATGTTTCACCCAATTCCTTTGCTAACTTTGAAGAGAGAAGGTTTCTAGCAGATCCATGAAATCCATGTTTCTCTGGCTTATCTCCAGGGATTTTAATATCTACAGTTTTCTGCTCAGATGTTTTTTCTTGTCTAAAAGGATTTACTCACACCTTAGACAGTTATTTGACCCACTGTAGTCTCAGGTCCTCGGGTTGCCCCATATAATCAGAGATTAATTTCAACTTGTTAACGATTTTTTTGGAAATAAGTCAAAGAACTTTGCCTATTTGATCATAACCATCTTATGATTCATGTTTTATTTCTACACAATAAGAAAGAGGAGGCTGTTATTCAGAAGAGATTCTATTGCAGTAATTATATATTTTACCTCAATATTAGAATCATCTAAAGATGATTCTCAAAAATCCTGATGCCCAGGCTGTACTTCAGACAATTCAACAAAGTTTCTGGAGGTTGGACCAGGCTTCACTCTCAAAGCTTCCTGGGTGTTTCCACATGTGGCAAAGGTTGAAACCCACTCTAGTGTTAGCTCTACACTTTAGTAAGCATCAGAAGTATGCGAAGTCTGGTGATTCCAGGAAGCCACTCTCAGAAATTCCATATTCAGCAGGTCTATGCTAAGTTTTAGAGTTTTACATTTTTAACAAGCACATTCTCAGTCCCCACACCCACCCCATCCTGTGAATCTGGCTGAGTGGTCTTAGGACCACCCATTGGGAAACATCAGTGTCCACCAGCAATCTATTTAGTGATCCCATTTTTTAAATTTATAAGGTTCTAAATTAGAGTAAAAGCCTCACCCACAATATATATTACTCAGTCTCTTCCAGTTACCCATATAAGAAACTTCAGTTGCTTTCAAATATGTGGTCAATTTTAAATTAGCACCTCACAGTTTTCGGGCTGGCTTCTTGTGAACCGCTACGAAGCTACCTTAATTCACCAGACAAGAGGCAAGAAGCTGCTGCTTGACTTCAGGAGAGGTCCTGGGAACGTCTCCAGGGACTGAGGTTGCTTGCAAAGCTGGATTTGCCCCCAGGGTTCAACCCATTGTTTAACTAATTTTATTAAACTTTAAAAATAATCTTTCACTATAATTATCTTTTAGGTTTTCAACCATCTAGTGACATTTCTATAACTTTACCATGGTTTTATTAAATGAAAGCCTTTCTGACTGGATCTCATGTGACGCTGTTACATTTAATGTTGGACTTCCTGTTTGCTTTGTAATAAAATACAACTAAAATGTGCCCATGTTTAATTTTTCTCAAGTCGCCTTTCAGCTTCTTGGGCTTGACATTCCTGGGAGACACTCCACACATTTCCCTCTTGTGAAATCTGAGCTGTAAGCACACTCCATGTTTAACCCCCGCAGACAGACTCCAGTATAAATTGTTCTTGGGAAAGGCCAATGGGGTATGACTTTTAAAAATCTTCCTTTTATTGAGTTTCAAACCAAATATACTAAAACGTTTCGAAAATTGAAAAAAAAACACCCCAAACCAATCCCTCCAAATTTGTAGAACCTTTAGATTTTTAGAGAAAAATGATTATAATGCTCACTAAACAGCACCAAATACACAATGATGCACTTCTGCTTTCTATACAGTTAGGGTATTCACTAATTAACATGGCAATGTGATGATATCATGAGGGCTTTGGATACAGCCAACCTTATAATTTATGGCCTGTGGGACTAAGATTTTGTAATCTGAAAATGATAAGGCAAATTGAGAACAGCCATTCCAGCCCTTTATCCTTGACTCTGAGAATAGTTTACTTCTGGTTTCTTACACAGCTGCTCTCATCTCTACTGTTCACGATATGAGCGCTGTGAACATTTATCTTGTCTTCAAAATACTCTCAAGTGCCTAGAGCAGAGGTGCCTTAAGAACCAGCTTCAAGACCCAGCAGTAACGTATAATTCTGAAATAAAAATATTCCTGGTGACTTATGGGCCCAGGACCAAGTAAAAGGTGCCCCACTGAATTAAGATGGGGCTTAGTCACTAAAAGGAAAACCCAACTTTGCCCCACATATATTGCATTACTAAATAGCTGTACAGTGTGAGTACTTAGGTGGAGGGTCACTTACCTTCAAATGCATTCATTCATTCAACAAATGTTTAACATCACTTATGGAATGCCAAGTTCAGTTTGGGCATTAGGATGCAGCAGTGAACAAAAATCCCTATCCTCATGAACGTTCCATTCTAGTGGGAAGGGATGAGAATAAGCAAAATAAAAACTAAAAAAGTGAATTATATAGTGTATAAGTGCCATGGAGAAAAATAAGGCAGTCAAAAAGAAGATGATAGAGGAGAGAGTGTTGTTGCAATTTCAAAAATAGAAATGAAGAAGCCCTCACTGAGAAAATGACAGATGAGTTAAGGTCCCTAGAGAGGAAAGAGAGTTATGTGGGTATTTGGAAAGAGCAATCCATGTAGAGGGAAGGCTATGTGCAAAGGTCCTGAGGCAGGAGAGTGCCAACCCAGTCAGAAGCAAGGGGCCTGGAGCTTTAGTTCTAGGTGAAATCTACCACCCTTGGCTGGGGCAAACCAAGTGGACTTAGCCACTAAATTAAAACGCATACTGGGCTTAGAAATAAAGGACCCTACTAACCTTCTACTTCTCATCTCCCTCTGCTCCTGTTTCCCTCCTCTTTCTGTTTCTCTCCAAGATTTATTCATGGTGCTATTTTCTGTTTAAAGTTTTCTTCTTCTTTCCATCAAGGATTCTGTAGAGATTCCAAATTACATGGCTATGTCCTCCAAGGAAACATTCCAGAAGGTGGCCCTGACACCTTATAACCTTGTATGAAGGTACTTCTAGCCAATCAAGAACCACATAGGAAAGATAATTACGTTTCATAGCCCAACTTCATATTGAAAATTACAAATGCTGATTTTCTAAAGAAAACTGGTCTGGCTATTCTGGCCTGGTAAGAAAAGGGATTAAGCTGGTGTGGACACCTCTAGGAGGTGTGGGAAGCAAAACACAGGTCTTGGCATCAAACATGAGTTTGGATTTTAGTGAAGAAATTTTCTGAACGTATTTTCATCATTACCTGTTTTCGGAGGGTTAAATATGTTCAAATATCTTATTCATAATTGGTGGCCAATAAATCTTAGGATTACCTTTATACATGTTTAGGCATAAACAGTGAAAGGAGTCCAGGGAAGGCAGAAAAGAGAAGAAAATGGAGCAAAGGGATTTCTTTCAAGGAAACAAAGAAGAGCATATTTGTAGAACGAAGGCAAGAAGCCAGTGGAGATTTAAAGGTGAAAGGCCGTGCCCTTTCACTTTCGCACATCCCTGCAGGGAAGGCTGCAGATAGGACCCTGCTGTCATCACGTCCTCATAAAGCAGCCTCTGTGCCTTGAGATGGTCATGAATAGACTTGGGGTGGAGTGACAGGGGCCACAGAGATACCAGTGGTCTGTGTTGATCAATAATTATCTTCTGGGTGAGGATCCAGTTGCTGATAACAACCATGGGGTTAACTGATGTGATTTATGGCCTGTGAACATGATCTGTCATGAGAAATAATTAGTCCAAGTCAAATTCGGTGAAGAGGGGACTATCAGTTAGGCTCCTTTGAACTTTGATGACTGTGGAAAGATGTCCCCAAATCTCTTAAACACATTTATAATGCCTGGCACATAGGAGATGTTCAATCAATGGCTATTGGCCGTTATGTTAATTTTGATAACATAAGTAGTATTGATTTTTATTCTAAATCTGGTAGAATATTAATTAAGAATCAAGTATTATCACATGAAGGTAAAATTATCACAGATGGGAATAACAAAATGAAAAACAATAATTCATTTCAGTAGTTACAGATCAAGGAGAAAAGAACTTGGATTGAATCAAAACACACTGACAAAGTTTTGTGCGGATGGAAGAATGACACTAGACTCAAAAGCAACTTGAGACTTCCTTTGATTCTGGCCTCTCAAAATACAATGTAACTTTTTAACTTATCCCCTGGTGTCTTGTCCCCCACTCCCCAAAACCCAAACTGTTTAAAACTAATTTAGTATTTTTCATGTGAAATAAAAAGCTGCTGTCTTTTATAATAGATGAAATGATTCCATAATCACGTATACTTGGGAATGGAAATAGAATCCAGAAAAAGAAAGTACAACTACTGTACTTGAGAACTGTGCATTCCTGAAAACCCAGCCAGGAGGTGCTGACTTCCCCCTCTTTTGTTGAGACATCACGGTACTTACGGGGAAAAAAATAAATAAAGGAAGCTTGGGAAAATGATCCAAGCTTTTCTCTCTGTGCTCTCAAATTCATGCACTGTGTACAAAAACCTTTTGTATTTCTTTACTGCTTCTTACTATGAGCTAAGTGCTTTGATATATTTCCCACATCGAACACATACAACCCCAAGTGAAAAGTATTGTCCCCATTTGCAGATAAGAATAGGAATTAGAATATATATGTTACACCAGATAAGCACCATGCATAGCACCAGATATAGGGTTTGAACCTCTGTCCATGTGACTAAAAATAGGTATTTCCACTTCACTATTTTGTTGGTGCATGCCTGAGATATTTTCTGTTCTCTTCCTACTTGGTTTCTACCCACCATCTTTTTCTTCCCACTAATGTGCTTTACCTTCCATTTTACCATAGCCTACTTTTGCCATCTACTGCCTCTGTACCTCCTTTATAAAGATGTCTACAGCACAGAACAATTGTTGACAAAAGACATTGTTGTGTGGGAAATTCTCTAGGGTAGTAGAGAGTGTGGTCCTTGGGCCAGCAGTGTGGGCATCATCTGGGAATTTGTTAATCCTTCAAATTTAGGAACAAACTTGACAATGAAAGTTGTTTATGAATATTAATGGCTAGACAGTTTGGTTTCATGGAAAGCACTGAGGAGATTATATAAAGTGAAAATCAGAAATTTTAAGAAATTGCATGAGACCTTAGTCCTTTTTTATTTACTCCCATGAACAATTATATTTCACATGAATGAATTTGATCTGCTTTGATGTTTTGCAGTAGCTTGTTTTTTTAAGGAGGCATGTTTTTTCGTCCACGATTCCCTGAAACTGCTGCAGGATGCTCATCACAACTTAGAACTCCTTTCTGGGTACATCGTCATGATGAACACTTGCAGAGAGATTTACTAGTGCACAATATGAATCTTCACGCTAGTGGGGAAAGAGTATTTTCTAGCCTGGAGTGAATATCTTTGGAAGTGTTTTCATAGCTGTCCTCTGCAAATAAGCTCAGGATGGGCCTGTTACTGTCTAATGCTGCAAAAAAGGAGGGCTGTTAATAATGGCTGCTTCCTCATGCGTACAGTGGAGAGAAGGCTATGGACAGTCCCATCATGGCCTTGGAAGATTATGTTAACCTGAGAAGTCATTTTAGCTGCCTGAGTGATTCTCATTTGTGGATGGTTGAAGGGTAAGTTTCCATACCACTAAGACCTGGAATTCGTTGTAAATACTGCTGGTTTTGTCTCAGCTCATGAAGACAATATAGAAACATACTGCAGGAAAGCACATGTCCTTTCATTTTTAAGTTATTTAGGGCAGCTTAAAATTCGTGACTTGAAAAGACTTGAAAGTTTGTGTTCTGTTTTAAGAGAACATGAACCTTTGACTTTTCTTTCTGGAAGAAACAAAAGATGGAAAAATCTTATTTAAATCTTCACCACAGGTTTACTTACTTTGGAGCCTTCTGCATTTTTGGCCTATTTGGTAATCCTCATGTTTGAGTCACCTGAAGAGTAAGTACACGAGCAGTTACAAAAGATTTCAAAAGACAGAATTGTGAACTATTTATTCTACTTAGATCTTTCTTGATTTTAGCTGTGTGAAACCTTGATGTGTGTAGCATTATCATTATGTAAAGTAACAGATGTAATGTAAATTTTTTTTTAAAATTATACTTTAAGCTCTGGGATACATGTGCAGAACATGCAGGTTTGTTACATAGGTATATATGTGCCACAGTGGTTTGCAGTGCTCATCAACCCATCATCTACATTAGGTGTTTCTCCTAATGCTATCCCTCCCCTAGCCCCACACCCCCTGACAGGCCCCAGTGTATGACATTCCCCTCCCTGTGTCCATGTGTTCTCGTTGTTCAGCTCCCACTTATGAGTGAAAACATGTGGTGTTTGGTTTTCTGTTCCTGTATTAGTTTGCTGAGAACGATTGTTTCCAGTTTCATCCATGTCCCTGCAAAGGACATGAACTCATCCTTTTTATGGCTGCATAGTATTCCATGGTGTATATGTGCCATATTTTCCTTATCCAGTCTATCATTGATGGGCATTTGGGTTGGTTCCAAGTCTTTGCTATTGTGAACAGTGCTGAAATAAACATACGAGTGTATGTGTCTTTATAGTAGAATGATTTACAATTCTTTGGGTCTATACCCAGTAATAGGATTGCTGGGTCAACTGGTATTTCTGGTTCTAGATACTTGAGGAATTGCCACACTGTCTTCCACCATGGTTGAACTAATTTACACTCCCACCAACAGTGTAAAAGTGTTTTCTATTTCTCCACATCCTCTCCAGCATCTGTGGTTTCCTGACTTTTAATGATTGCCATTCTAACTGGCGTGAGATGGTATCTCATTGTGGTTTTGATTTGGATTTCTCTAATGACCCATGATAATGAGCTTTTTTCATATGTTTGTTGGACACATAAATGTCTTCTTTTGAGAAGTGTCTGTTCATATCCTTTGCCCACTTTTTGATGGGGTTGTTTTTTTTTTCTTATAAATTTGTTTAAGTTCTTTGTAGATTCTGGATATTAGCCCTTTGTTAAATGGACAGATTGCAAAAATTTTCTCCTATTCTGTAAGTTGTCTGTTCACTCTGATGATAGTTTCTTATGCTGTGAGGAAGCTCTTTAGTTTAATTAGATCCCATTTGTCAATTTTGGCTTTTGTTGCCATTGCTTTTGGTGTTTTGTTTTTAATAACTAAATCTAATTCTGTGTGTCTTAGATATTCTACAAACATTCTGGGTGGATTACCAAACATGATGGTGAACTGTTCTATGCTCTGGAAGAATATTGATCTTTTATTTCTTTCTGTGTGTTTTTCTTGTCTATTCTACCAAAATCTAATCACAGCAATAAAGCAGTGTGTATGTATGGTAGATCAATTATGTTACTAAATGGTACACTACGCCACGTTTGATTGCTCACGCCTATAATCCCAACACTTTGGGAGGTCAAGGTGGGTGGATCACATGAGGCCAGGAGTTTGAGACCAGTCTAGCTAACATGGCAAACCCCATCTCTACTAAAAATACAAAAATTAGCTGGGCGTGGTGGTGCATACTTGTAATCCCAGCTACTCAGGAGGCTGAGGCACGAGAATCGCTTGAACCGGGAGTGCAGAGGTTGCAGTAAGTGGAGTGGTGACACTGCATTCCAGCCTGGGTGACAGAGCAAGACTCTATCACAAAAACAACAAAACAAAACAAAACAAAAAAACACCATATGTATATCCTTTAATTGCTTTAAGTTTGCTTTTAATACAAACTTAAAGCAATTTATTCCACATAAGAAAAATATTTACAGGAGCTGAATTTGAGCTTCCTTGGATGAAAAAATATCTATTTAGCAAATTAAAAAAAAACCCAGTAAGTAAGAATACAAAAAATTCACAGTGGTAAATCAATGAATGAATTAGGGTCAAATGGCAAATATTTTTAAAAGCACATAGAGTTTTCTGCAGCTAAAAATGTTTCTACTGGTAATGTGAGTTTGCAAATCAGGTCTTCTGCTTTAGGTTAGTTGACCCTTCCTTTTGATTTTGTAGTCATCAGAGATCTAAGCTTTTTAGTTGATTTGTCCTAATACTCTCCTCAATAGTTTTCCCTTTAGTAAATAACCAATATTAACCAACTATCAATAAAGATCCAAGACATTGCTCTGGATTAGTATTCATATGTGTGGCAAGAGAAATTCAAGAAAGCATCCATAAATATCCACATATACACAGAAAATGGAAATGAGTTAAAAACCAGGTAACTATTAGATTTTCTTTTTGGTATGCACATTGAATTACATTTTATAATGGCTTATTATGCGCATTAGATAATCAGAATACCCACACATTGACACTAGGGGCTCTTAGAGGAGTCTAAAGAAAAGTTCCACCTCAGGCACCCAAAAGTGAAGCCTCTAATCAATGATCTTCATTTGTAATCGGAGAGTTTCCAATAATCTCCTAGTGTCTTATTATTAAATGTGAATGGACAATCATGAGCCACTGTCCACATAATGAAAATTCCCTCCCAGAAACAGACAGTCAAAAATAAATAAATGAAATGAACCCAGAAGAAACACAGATAATTCAGGAAAAAGAAGAAACATTCCACATTACAAATTCAGGGATGAACAGGGATTATTGTAGTCATAAAACAATAAATAGATGCTATGAAAAGGAGAAATTAGAAAAAGAGAAGGTTTGCAAGTTTGAAATATGATTGCTGAAAGAGAGAATTATGTAAATGGTTGGAAGATAGTCAATAAGACCTCCCGAGAGTGAAACACAAAGGGAGATTGGTTATAATAGGAAAATATGAAAGACTAGAGTTTATTTATGATGCCCAAAATTTGAATAAAAAGAATTCCATAAGTAAAGAACAGATAAAACAATAGGAGAAAAATAACCACAAAGTAATAAAATAATATTTCCTAAACAGATGGAAATGGGCCCCAGTAACATAATTAAAAAAGACCCACCCCAAAGCACTTAATTCTAGACCAGGGATACAGAGGAAGATTCTAAAAATTTCTGGAGAGGAAAAATAAAATTGAGTCACCAATAAAGGTATAAGCATTAGAATAGCATCTGCTTTGTGGCTACACTAGGTACTAGAAGGAATGAAGCATTTCACAATTTTGAGTGAAAATGATTTCCTAATTACAATGTCATGTCCAGCCATATTATCAGTAAAAATTTAGGTAAAGTGAAGACAGTTGCACACATACGAGGATTCAGGTACTCATATATTCTTTGAGAGCCTCTTCTGAATGTGCTTCATCACAATGAAGAAATAAATCAAAGATGAAACATCATTTCCAAGAAACAGTGATTCTGACTCAGAAGGAAGAATATTCAAGATGAGCCCTCTACAGCAGGCATTAGTTCAGGTTGGAGCAGCAGGATTGGGGGCTCCAGGAAGGAGATGGTCTGGAAATAAAGGGGACTTGATAGAACATATGATTTAGCAGGTGAGGAGAACAACTCAGTGGTAGACTATGATGGAGAACTTGGAGAATAAAATAAAGATGTGAGTATTGAAGTTACAAAGATCAAGAAATAAGGCAACTTAAATTCAGGAAAAGAGCTATAAGGAGTACAAGAAAAAATGTAGTTCTTTCATAAAATACTTTGGTATTACTTGGTTTTGTAGTGAATAATATTTACATAGGCAATTTTGCAAACTATTACTAATTTAACAAAAAATAATGATATAGTGATATTAGTAGGATGGGAACGAGAGATCAGTGGTATAAGAAGACTCGGTTTTATTCTATCATAATAGCAAGTCAATAGTTAATGCCCAAAACTGATTATTTGAGAGCTAGTCATATAATTAATTCTACAGAAAAAAGGAGATAACTTCCAGAAAATATAGCTAAAAGAGTTAACAGTGATTTATGGTAGGGAGTGAAGTTGAGAGTTGGGTGGGTCAGGATCTGCTATTTTTCATTATAAGAGCAACCCCATATATTTGTTTGCCCATGTCAGTTCTGGTTTACGTGTCATATCTCATATCCTGTTTGCTCTAATATTTATGTGAGACAAAAGTGTCCCAGTTTGTGTAATAAATCATACTGTCACCTTAATTATAAACGTTTTGGTTCAACTTGCTTTTTTAAAAAAGATATATGTATTTCTTTGTTGTAAATTAAAATATAAAGGTTAAAAATAGAAGAAAAGCATAGTGGTTTGCGATCTCTTTGCTTGGAGAGATTAATAAAAACTGAGAAGCATGTCTAATGTTGCTCGGAATGGTCTGGAAGTGGGATGGCCAATACTGGCCTGAGATTTCCATTGCCTTCCTTGTCCTAGTGTAACAGTTGTACAAATATATTGTAAAAAACTTCTCATCCAGTGACTGACAGGAACAGACCCTGGGTCAAATTAGCACTATTTCAGGAAGCAGGCAACAGTTGGAAAACGTGCAGAATTAGGAACTTTGGGAATATGAAAATAAATCCTGGTGCAGGAAAATGATCACTATGTTGACAGTAGAAAAACCTTATTTATGTGGGATTTGAACTTTGCTTGGAGTTAATAGGCAGAAACCTAAATCATTTTAACTTGGATTATAACATGGCATATGCTGAGACGACCAGAAGGAGTAGAATAAGAAGGAAACTAGTGTTCTCTTCTCCACGCACAGGTCCTTGAAGAGTACTATAGTTAGCATGTTTATCGTTGGAAATTCCTGTATCTCAAATCACAACACCCAATGCTAATTTTCCTTGTGGTGAGGAAGATAGGGTAGAGTGGAGGAAGTGCTGATGAGTGGGGATGTTCTGGAAATTCAGCCTAACCTTTGCTTGAAATCAGCAATGGATATCATGCCAGCCTCAAATTCTGTTAGATATTTCTTTATAAAGCTGGATTGGACTAAGTCAACCAGACATCATTTTCTTCTGCTTTGGAAATGATAATATACTTTAGATGTACTTATTCAATTCATAATAATTAAGATCCCTTGTTTTTCCTTAATAATCAAATGCTTTAAAGAAGGAGGAGGACCTAAAACCATCTAGCCCCAATCTCTAACAAGAAAGCAACCATTTTTGGAATGTGTGAACACTTGACTGAACTATCATAACACTTATGGGAAAAAAAATCTGGAAAAATGATCCAAGCTTTTCCTTTTATATGCAAAAATTTACGAACTTAAGTACAAGAAAGTTCTTTATTGCTTTATTGTTTATTATGTGTTAGGTGTTTGAATGTATTTGCCACATGAAACACACAGAAGAATTCTATGAAATAAGCATCATTATACACATTTTCAATTGGGAAAATGGCTTGGGATATATATTTTGCATCAGATGCATCACACATGGGATCTGAACCTATGTCTATGTGACCGAAAAACTAGTGTTCTTTCCACTTCATCACTTTGTTGGGGCATGCTTGAGATGTTTCCTCTTTTCCTCCTATTTGGTCTCTCCCTACCATATATTCTTTCTCATTGATATTCTCTGCCTTCCATTTGACTCTAGCCTACATATGCCATCTACTGCTCCAGCATCTCTTTTGTGAAGATTTCTAGAAATTGGCATTTTTTTCAGAAAAAAACACTGTCATGTAGAAAGTTCCTAGAGCAAAGCTATTCAGAGTGTGGTGGCAGGACAAGCAGCCTGGACATCACCTGGGAACTTGTTAGAAATGGAAATTTCTAAACCCTGCACAGACCTACTAAATCAGAAATGCTGCGGGTGGGGCCCAGGTGCAACCTATATTTTAACAAGCCCTCAAGGTAATTCTGAAGTAGGCCAATATTTGAGAACCACTGCTCTAGGGCAATGCCATTACATGTGTGGTCCAAGGACCAGCATCATCAACATTATGTGAGATTTCTCTAGAAATACTAATTCCTCACTCTCACCCTAGATCTACTGAATCAGAATTTGGGGCAGTGTATTAAGAATCCAGGGTCCAGGATTCTGTGTTTTAATAAGCCTTCCAGGTGATTCTTATGCAGGCTAACGTCTGGGGGGCACAGCTGCAGGAATTATCCTTCTCTCTTTATCACCAAGAGGCGCATTCAGAGTTGAAACTCCTACATTTACTTCCCTCTCACAGGAGACTCATATTCGCTCCAGGAGTAGTGCCTAATTCTCATAGTACTTAGTTTCACCCAGGAACTTTATTAGGAACAATAGTTTTGTAATTCATCTAAGAGGCTAAACTAATCATAGAAAGGTGTTTCTGGTTTAGCAATGTGAGACTTGATTTTTTAGTATTCTTATTCTTTCCTTACGTTGCCTGCCCCTGGGAGCTCTTCCTATCTTCCCTTCATATCCTGTCCTTCATCCTGTTGTATGCACTCAAAGCATGCTGGGCAATCAGTGATTAAAGCACTTTCACTAGCAGTAAAGTTGGGCTTCTTACATGTCTGCTCCTCTCACAGGCTGTAAGTTTCATGCTTTTATTTGCTATTTATTTGAGTAAATATTCCCCAGGTTTCTTAGAATCCTTAGAGCTAAAAGGAAACTTGAATGTCATCCATGTCCTGACCCTTCTGATGCAAGGTATGCTGGGTTTTCATGGATAGGAAGTGTTCGAAGTGGGGAAGCCATGTTTAGATGGGCTCAGCACTTATAAGCCTGACCCTGGCTGTAGTGATCTTGAATTCTATCTGGTTCAAAATCTAGGTCATAACCTTGCAGGGTGGCTTGAAAACCTAGCCTCCTGAGACCTATGCAATGAAGGTGCATTTGAAGGTAAGTGGTCTGCGTTCCAGCATGGGCCAAATCTGAACCAGTTATGCATGGAAAGGCATGGGGATGAGGCATCTGCTTTATTTACTTTGCTGTTTGCTGTGGGTAGCAAGCTTTTACGGAGCTGGAAGAGCCTTATAAAACATCTAGATGGCATTTTCTCCTTGAGGAAATTGAGATCTGGAGATCTGGGTAGATTTTTGCATCAGACTATAAGTTTTTCCATTAAAATTTAAATTACTCCATTTAGATTCTGAACTCCTTGAGGGCAGGAATGATACTTTCATTTTATTATTTGTGAAGACTAGAAAAGTGCTTGATATATAGTAGTTATACCATAAATATTTGAGTGAACAATTTACCTAAGGCTGACAATGATTAAGCCTGAATGGTAACAAACGTTTTCTAGCTTTCTGTGCAGTGGCTTTCTAGTTGTAGCATATAAGACCATAGATGCTAAAACTGTACAAAGATCTCATAATTCGTGCTGCTATTTACCCATAATTAATGCTAATGTTTGTATAGAGAAGGCTCTTCTGAACTTGGTCCAAACCGATCAAGGTAATGGCAAATTAAGGAAGATCAAAGGCTTTCACAGCATGGATGGCACGGACTTTCTCCATCTCTCCCCCATCTCAAAAGCACAAGCAAACTTACATTTTCAGTGGTTCCCAAACATTTCCAGTTAATATACCACTTAATAGGAATAAAGCTGTTTTAAACCATACTGCTTTGCTGAGAGGACAGGTCTTTTTGTTTTAACAGTACATTTTATTTTAACAATGGAAGTCTAATTCTTGTATAGGAACTGTATATTATGCGAGAGGACTGAGCAATGCAAGGATTGGGCTGCATCAAGATATTCCACATGACAACTCATCTTTTGGCTTCACCTGTATCTAGAGTTTCTGGGTGCTTGTACTGAGTTGCTGCAGCTACTGGCCCCACAAGGGAAGAATGTGACAGTGCTTTGCTTTCTGCCTGTACTGTGTACCTTTTACCCCTTCACCTGTGCTGAATGTGAGACCGTGCGTGACCTCCTAAGTCCCCATGTATGTGCATCCCAGGGATTCAAGGAAATCAGTATCAGTGGGCAAAAACTTTGATAATGAGTGGTGGGTAATTTTTTTCTCTTTCTCACCTTGGGTGGATTGTTCTGAGATAGTTTATACAGCCTCTTAGAAGATGGTTACAGAAGATAGAACAATCCGAGGGGCTCTATATACGACTTGCATTTTATTTCCCTCCTTCTTTGATTTACTTCCCCCTTCCGCACTCCTGTCTCCCTGGGCTTGTACACCTTAACAAAGTAGCACATAAGCCTTTGCATGACGTTCTGCTTTCTGGGAAACTCAGACTAAGGCAGAAAGCAATTAATAAATGATAAGTCAGAGCTTATTATTATCTTTTCAATTTTATTTTAAACATTATTTTATATTCATCAAATTCTACCATGATTGAGAGAAGTAAGATAAAGATATACAGTTATGAGTTGGCTTTAATTTAGTGTTATTCTTTTGAAACTGAATTATTGTTACAAGTTTTTATTCTGTACTTAGTATTGGCCCAACAATCGTTTCCCTCCAATGATTGTAATTCCTTCTTTAGTGTTTGGCATTTTGAGTTTGAGTGTCTGGCAGGGAGCAGGTAGGTGTCGAGGATTTCAAAATGGTTTTGGGGAGGAGAGAGTGCTTATGGTTTTCTATACGAACTGCACTGTTCAGTGAATAATCCCTGTCTGATGTTGCATCTGTGATCACCTCTGTTTTTTAAAAAGCCACCTTTCTCTTTAAGCACATCCATGTCAGTATCCTTCTCTTTGCTTTGAGCTGCTTATATCAGTATTGAAAGAAGACCAGAGATAATCTTTATGTTATGAGTAACCTCTGTGGAAGACATATATTGTCACCTGGAACACTAGTGTATGCTTGACTTGGTTTCTTTTGCGGTTACTAAGGTTCTTTATGAATTTGGTTATTTGCTTTTTTCTCTTTGCTCAGTGACTAATATCAGTGTGAAACTCTGTCTGCTGACACACTCTTCTGTGAAAAGCCAGAGCTAAGATTTCATAGAGTGCAACTGCTGCTACTGTGATATTTGAGAAGAATAAGACACTGGGAGGTGGTATGAATATGCTTTACATTATCTCCTCATTATGAAATTAATAAATGCTCATTATGCAAAGTGAGAAAAATTAGAAAAATGGAAGGAAATATGAGCCATAGTTCTATTATCCAGAAAAGAATCACTCTCTGCGTGTGGATGTATTTTGTTTGAATCACTTTCCAGAGCACATTCTTTTTTTTGTTTTTTGGCATTTTTAGTAGAGATGGGGTTTCGCCATGTTGGCCAGGCTGGTCTTGAACTCCTGACCTCAGGTGATCCACCTGCCTTGGCCTGCCAAAGTGCTGGGATTACAGGTGGGAGCCACTGTGCCCGGCCCGAGTTTTTACATAAATATTATCACACAAAATGAAATCTATTCATGTTTTTCAAGAATATATTTTCTGGTTTCAAAACTAATACATACCTGGTGCAGCAACTTTGGAAAATAAGACATTAATAAAAAAAAGTTACTGTGAACCATATCACCTGAAATAATCACTGTAAACATGCAATTTATCTCCTTATGATGTTCTGCATATAAGCAAAACTCCCCTCAAAAATAAGCATTTCTGTTTTTTTTTTTAAGGCAGAGTTTTTATTAGTTTTCTTTTACTTGTTCATTTTTTTCTTTTTTTTTAATATAATTATACTTTAAGTTCTGGGATACATGTACAGAATGTGCACGTTTGTTACCTAGGAATACACGTGCCTTGTTGGTTTGCTACACCCATCAACCTGTCATCTACATTAGGTATTTCTTCTAATGCTATCCCTCCCCTAGCTCCCCACCCCACAGCAGCCCCCGGTGTGTGATGTTCCCCTCCCTGTGTCCATGTGTTCTCATTGTTCACCTCCCACTTATGAGTGAGAACATGTGGTGTTTGGTTTTCTGTTCCTGTGTTAGTTTACTGAGAATGGTGGTTTCCAGCTTCATCCATGTCCCTGCAAAGGACAAGAACTCATCCTTTTTTATGGCTGCATAGTATTCCATGGTGTATATGTGCCATATTTTCTTTATCCAGTCTATGATTGATGGGCATTTGGGTTGGTTCCAAGTCTTTGCTATTGTGAACGGTGCTGAAATAAACATATGTGTGCATGTATCTTTATAGTAGAATGATTTATAATCCTTTGGGTCTATACCCAGTAATAGGATTGCTGGGTCAAATGGTATTTCTGGTTCTAGATACTTGAGGAATTGCCACACTGCCTGCCACAATGGTTGAACTAATTTACACTCCCATCAACAGTGTAAAAGCATTCCTATTTCTCCACATCCTCTCCAGTATCTGTTGTTTCCTGACTTTTAATGATTGCCATCCTAACTGGCATGAGATGGTATCTCATTTTGGTTTTGATTTGCATTTCTCTAATGACCAGTGATGATGAGCTTTTTTTCATATGTCTGTTGGCCGCGTAAATGCCTTCTTTTGAGAAGTGTCTGTTCATATCCTTGGCCCACTTTTTGTTGAGGTTGTTTGTTTTTCTCCTGTAAATTTGTTTAAGTTTCTTGTAGAATCTAGATATTAGCCCTTTGTCAGATGGAGACATTGCAAAAATTTTCTCCCACTCTGTAGGTTGCCTGTTCACTCTGATGATAGTTTATTTTTTTGCTGTGCAGAAGCTCTTTAGTTTAATTAGATCTGGTTTGTCAAATTTTGGTTTTGTTGCCATTGCTTTTGGTGTTTGTCATGAGGCCTTGCCCATGTCTATGTCCTGAATGGTATTGCCTAGGTTTTCTTCTAGAGTTTTTATGGTTTTAGGTCTTACATTTAAGTCTTTAATCTGTCTTGAGTTAATTTTTGTATAGGGTGTAAGGAAGGGGTCCAATTTCAGCTTTCTGCATATGGCTAGCCAGTTTTCCCAACAGCATTTATTAAATAGGGAATCCTTTCCCCATTGCTCATTTTTGTCAGGTTTGTCAAAGATCAGATGGTTGTAGATGTGTGGCATTATTTCTGAGTCCTCCGTTCTGTTCCATTGGTCTATATGTCTATTTTGGTACCAGTACCATGCTGTTTTGGTTACTGTAGCCTTGTAGTATAGTTTGGAGTCAGGTAGCATAATGCCTCCAGCTTTGTTCTTTTTGCTTACGATTGTCTTGTCTATATGGGCTCTTTTTTTGATTTCATATGAAATTTATAGTAGTTTTTTTCTAATTCTGTGAAGAAAGCCAATGGTAACTTGATGGGGATAGCATTGAATCTATAAATTACTTTGGGCAGTATGGCCATTTCACGATATTGATTCTTCCTATCCATGAGCATAGAATATTCTTCCATTTGTTTGTGTCCTGTCTTATTTCCTTGAGCAGTGGTTTATTGTTCTACTTGAAGAGGTCCTTCACATCCCTTGTAAGTTGTATTCCTAGGTATTCTATTCTCTTTCTAGCAATTGTGAATGGGAGTTCACTCATGGTTTGGCTGCTTCTCTATTATTGGTGTATAGGAATGCTTGTGATTTTTGCACATTGATTTTGTATCCTGAGACTTTGCTGAAGTTGCTTATCAGCTTAAGGTGATTTTGGGCTGAGACAATGAGGTTTTCCTAATATACAATCATGTCATCTGCAAACAGACAATTTGACTTCCTCTCTTCCTATTTGAATATCCTTTATTTCTTTCTCTTGCCTGATTGCCCTGGCCAGAACTTCCAATACGATGTTGAATAGGAGTGTGAGAGGGCATCCTTGTCTTGTGCCAGTTTTCAAAGGGAATGCTTCTAGTTTTTGCCCATTCAGTATGATATTGGTTGTGGGTTTTTCATAAATAGCTCCTATTATTTTGAGATATGTTCCATCAATATCTAGTTTATTGAGAGTTTTTAGCACGAAGGGCTGTAGATTTTTGTTGAATGCCTTTTCTGCATCTATTGAAATAATCATGTATTTTTGTCATTGGTTCTGTTTATGTGATGGATTGTGTTTATTGATTTGCATATGTTGAACCAGCCTTGCATCCCAGGGATGAAGCCAACTTGGTCTTGGTGGATAAGCTTTTTGATATGCTGCTGGATTCAGTTTGCCAGTATTGTATTGTGGATTTTTGCATCAATGTTCATCAGGGATATTGGCCTGAAATTTTTGTTGTTGTTGTGTCTCTGCCAGTTTTTGGTATCAGAATGATGCTGGCCTCATAAGATGAGTTAGGGAGGAGTCCCTCTTTTTCTATTGTTTGGAATATTTTTAGAAGGAAGGGTACAAGCTCCTCTTGTACCTCTGGTAGAATTGGACTGTGAATCCATCTGGTCCTGGGCTTTTTTTGGTTGGTAGGCTATTAATTACTGCCTCAATTTCAGAACTTGTTATTGGTCTATTCAGGGATTCGACTGCTTTCTGGTTTAGTCTTGGGAGGGTGTATGTGTTCAGGAATTTATCAATTTCTTCTAGATTTTCTAGTTTATTTGCATGGAGGTGTTTATAGTATTCTCTGATGGTAGTTCATAAGTTTTTATTTCTGTGGGATCAGTGGTGATCTCCCCTTTATCATTTTTTATTGTGTCTATTTGATTCTTCTCTCTTTTCTTCTTTATTAGTCTGGCTAGCAGTCTATCTATTTTGTTAATCTTTTAAAAAAACCAGCTCCTGGATTCACTGATTTTTTTGAAGGGTTTTTGGTGTCTCTGTCTCCTTTAGTTCTGTTAGTTATTTCTTGTTTTCTGCTGGCTTTTGCATTTGTTTGCTCTTGATTCTTTACTTCTTTTAATTGTGATGCTAGGGTGTTGATTTTAGATCTTTCCCGCTTTCTGCTGTGGGCATTTAGTGCTATAAATTTCCCTCTAAACACTGCTTTAGCCATGTCCCAGAGATTCTGGTACGTTTTGTCTTTGTTCTCATTGAACTCTCATTCAAATAACTTATTTATTTCTGCCTTAATTTCGTTATTTACCCAGTAGTCATTCAGGAGCAGGTTGTTCAGTTTCCATATACTTGTGTGGTTTTGAGTGAGTTTCTTAATCCTGAGTTCTAATTTGATTGCACTGTGGTCTGAGAGACTGTCTGTTATGATCTCTGTTCTTTTGCATTTGCTGAGGAGTGTTGTACTTCCAATTATGTGGTCAATTTTAGAATAAGTGCGATGTGGTGCTGAGAAGAATGTATACTTGAGGTGGAGAGTTGATTTGACATGGGGAGTTCTGTAGATGTCTATTAGGTCTGCTTGGTCCAGAGCTGAGTTCAAGTCCTGAATATCCTTGTTAATTTTCTGTCTCTTTGATCTAATTTTGACAGTGGGGTGTTAAAGTCTCCCACTATTATTGTGCAGGAGTCTAAGTCTCTTTGTAGGTCTCTAAGAACTTGCTTTATGAATCTGGGTGCTCCTGTATGGGGTGCATATATATTTAGGATAGTTAGCTCTTCTTGTTGCATTGATCCCTTTGCCATTATGTAATGCTCTTGTCTTTTTTGATCTTTGTTGGTTTAAAGTCTGTTTTATCAGAGACTAGGATTGCATCCTGTGCTTCTTTTTGCTTTCCATTTGCTTGGTAAATCTCTTTCATCTCTTTATTTTGAGCCTATGTGTGTCTTTGCACATGAGAAGGGTCTCCTGAATACAGCACACCAATGAGTCGTGAGTCTTTATCCAATTTGCCAGTCTGCCAGTCTGTGTCTTTTAATTGGGGCATTTAGCCCATTTACATTCAAGGTTAATATTATTATATGTGAATTTGATGCTGTCATTATGGTGCTAGCTGGTTATTTTGCCCGTTAGTTAATGCAGTTTCTTCATAGTGTCGGTGGTCTTTACAATTTGCTATGTTTTTGCAGTGGCTGGTACTGGTTTTTCCTTTCCATATTTAGTGCTTCTTTCAGGAGCTCTTGTAAGGCAGGCCTGGTGGTGACAAAAGCCCTCGGCATTTGCTTGTCTGTAAAGGATTTTATTTCTCCTTCACTTATGAAGCTTAGTTTGGCTGGATATGCAATTCTGGGTTGAAAATTCTCTTCTTTAATAATGTTGAATATTGGCCCACACTCTCTTTTGGCTTATATATAGAAAGATCTGCTGTTAGTCTGATGGGCTTCCCTTTGTGGGCAACCCACCCTTTCTCTCTGGCTGCCCTTAACATTTTTTCCTTCATTTCAACCTTGGTGAATTTGATGGTTATGTGTCTCGGGTTGCTCTTCTCAAGGAGTGTCTATGTGGATTTCCTGAATTTGAATGTTGGCCTGCCTTAATAGATTGGGGAAGTTCTCCTGGATAATATCCTGAAGAGTGTTTTCCAACTTGGTTTCATTCTCCCCATCACTCAGGTACACCAATCAAACGTAGATTTGATATTTTCACATAGTCCCATATTTCTTGGAGGCTTTGTTCATTGCTTTTCATTCTTTTTTCTCTAATCTTGTCTTCACATTTTATTTCATTAAGTTGATCTTCAATTTCTGATATCCTTTCTTCTGCTTGTTCAATTTGGTTATTGATACTTGTGTATGCTTTATGAAGTTCTTGTGCTGTATTTTTTCAGCTCCATCAGGCCATTTATGTTCTTCTCTAAACTGCTTATTCTAGTTAGCAATTCCTTTAACCTTTTTTTCAAGGTTCTTAGCTTCTTTGCACTGGGTTAGAACATGTTCCTTTAGCTCAAAGGAATTTGTTATTACCCACCTTCTGAAGCCTACTTCTGTCAGTTCGTCAAACTCATTCTCCATCCAGTTTTGTTCCCTTGCTGGCGAGGAGTTGTGATCCTTTGGAGGAGAAGAGGCATTCTGGTTTTCGAAATTTTCAGCCTTTTTGCACTGGCATTGATTTTTCTTATCTTCGTGGATTTATCTACCTTTGACCCTTGATGTTGGTGACCTTTGAATGGGGTTTTTGTGTGGATGTCCTTTTTGTTGATGTTGATGCCATTCTTTTCTGTTTGTTCGTTTTCCTTCTACCAGTCAGGCCCCGCTGCTGCAGGTCTGCTGGAGTTTGCTGGAGGTCCACTCCAGACCCTGTTTGCCTGGGTATCACCAGCGGAGGCTGCAGAACAGCAAAGATTGCTTCCTGTTCCTCCCTCTGGAAGCTTCATCCCAGAGGGGCACCCACCAGACGCCAGCCGGAGCTCTCCTGTATGAGGTGTCTGTCGACCCCTGCTGGGAGGTGTCTCCTTGTGAGGAGGCACGGGGGTTAGGGACCCACTTGAGGAGACAGCTTCTCCCTTGGCAGAGCTCGAGCGCTGTGCTGGGAAATCCCCTGCTGTCTTCAGAGCTGGCAGGCAGGAACATTTAAGTCTGCTGAAGCTGTGCCCACAGCTGCCCCTTCCCCCAGATGCTCTGTCCCAGGGAGACGGAAGTTTTATCTATAAGCCCCTGACTAGGGCTGCTGCCTTTCTTTCAGAGATGCCCTGCCCAGAGAGGAGGAATCTTAGAGAGACAGTCTGGCTATAGTGGCTTTGCTGAGCTGCAGTGTGTTCCACCCAGTTTGAACTTCCTGATGGCTTTGTTTACACTGTGAGGTGAGAACTGCCTACTCAAGCCTCAGTAATGGCAGATGCCCCTCCCCCCACCAAGCCTGAGCATTCCAGCTCGACTTCAGACTGCTGTGCTGGCAGTCAGAATTTCAAACCAGTGCTGGGCTCTGTAGTGGTGGGATCCGTTGAGCTAGACCACTTGGTTACCTGGCTTCAGCCCCCTTTCCAGGGTAGTGAATGGTTCTGTCTTGCTGGCATTCCAGGCACCACTGGTGTATGAAAAGAAACTCCTGCAGCTAGCTCAGTGTCTGCCCAAATGGCCACCCAGTTTTGTGCTTGAAACCCCGGGCCCTGGTGGTGTAGGCACCCAGGGGAATCTCCTGGTCTGTGGGTTGTGAAGACCATGGGAAAAGCCTAGTATCTGGGTTAGAATGCACCGTCCTTCATGGCACAGTCCATCACGGCTTCCCTTTGCTAGGGGAGGGAGTTCCCTGGCCCCTTGCCCTTCCCCGGTGAGGCACCAACCCACCCTGCTTCAGCTCACCCTCTGTGGGCTGTACCCACTGTCTAACCAGTTCCAATGAGATGAGCCGGGTACCTCAGTTGGAAATGCAGAAATCACCTGTCTTCTGTGTTGATCTTGCTGGGAGCTGCGGACCGGAGCTGTTCCTCTTCGGCCATCTTGCCAGCCACCTCCCAAAAATAAGCATTTCTTAAAAGTTCTAGCAATAATCTGGAAAAGAAATAAGTTTATAAGATAACTTCCATCAATCTGAATTATGTAAACATTAACAAAATGAACTTAATTTACATTTACTTTTCATAAATATCAAGTTGTAAAGGCAAGTTACAATCAAGCTACTATTTGAAAAAATTATATCTCAAACTCCTGAATATTGGCCATAGCAAATAAAAAATCAGAGTATCTGGCATTTACCAGAAAGAGAATACATTATTTTAAGTTCCTCAAAGGAAACTTGAGTTACTGTTGAACTCCAGATGAATTAAAGGCTGAACTACTAATAAAGTAGCCAAGCTTTTTGATACAGAAGAACTAGAAATAGGAACACCACCACACCACAGGACAGACAGACTTACTGATAGATACATAAACGCATATGCATTCCTGTACAGACTGAAGACAAAAGTAGCTTAAAGTGACTGTTTGAAAAATCTGTTTAACTAGCAGGTCTTATGTACACTTGAATGCATACTCTAGTTTTAAGCAAGCCATTCTAATTTTCTTGTGATTGTTGATTCCTTAAAAGGTAACATATTTGACTTTCCAGTAGTATGCAGACTTTTGCTTATCTTATATTTCCTGGCAGAGATCCAGGCTAGGGTAATACTTTTCATTAATTTGGAAATCACAAATCTTTATTTATCACATGGTTCCTTCAGGTATGTGTAATCACATTTTCTACTGGAAGGGAGTCTGATATTCCAACATTGCATTTTTTTTTAAGATCTTCTAGCTAACATGATTGTGAGCTGCAGGGGTGCAAATATTAGTTAAGCATTCAGGAAGAGTGTTATTGCAGACTTTACATTTGACTATAAAGACATATAAAGATGTATTTTTTAAATTAAATTTTTAAACTTTTGTGATAATTGTAGATTCACATGGAATCATAGAAATACTATGGAGAGATCCACTTACCTAATACATTTTACCTAGTTTTCCCCAGTGGTAACATCTTACAATAGTACAGTATCACAAGTGAATTAAAAACACAGATATTGACATTGATATAATGCACCAATTTTATTCAGAGTTCCTCAATTTTACTTGCACTCATTTGTGTGTGTATGTGGTGATATTTTATCACTATATAGCACAAACACTGTATAGTATGCAGTGTATATAGTGATATTTTATCACATACGGGTTTACCTACATGCTACTACCAACACAACATTAAAGATGCAGATCAGTTAGATCACCACAGGGATCCCTCATGTTGCTGCATGCTTTTCCTTTACCATGCCCACCTCCCTCTTACTCTCACTCCCATCCCTAACCCCTTGCAACCATGCCTGTTCTTTATTTCTAAAATTTTATCGTTTCAAGCATATTATGGGAATGGAATCACACAGCCTGCAACTTTTTGGAATTGGCTTTTTTTTTTTAACTGAGCATTTCCTTGAAATTCATCTGAGTTGTGTGCTTCAATAGTTTGCTCCTTTTGTATTGTATGTAGAGTAATATTCAATGGTATGAATGTACCACTGTTTGTTTTACCATTCACTTATTGAAAGTTATCTATTCTTTTTTTCCCCAGTTTTTCACTTTTTAAATATAACTGCTAAGAATATTTTTGTATAGGTTTTGGTGTGAACATACATTTTCATTTCTTTGGGATAAATGCTCAATAGTGCAATTGCTTGGTCATATGGTAATTGCATGCTTAGTTTTATTATTGAATTTGAAGTGAGTTTCTTGTAAGTAGCATGTAGGTGGGGTGTGTGTGTGTGTGTGTGTGTGTGTTTAATATACCTTGCTACTTTCTGCCTTTAAAAGATGGTGTAATTAGACCATTTCCATTGTTAGGTCTTAAGTCTGTAATTTAATTATTTGTTTTCTGTTGTTTATTCTTTTCTATTTTTTTGCTTTTTTGTGAGTCACTTAACATTTTTTGAGATTCCTTCTTGAGTTATTTATATTGTTCTTGAGTGTCTCTCTTTCAGTAGTTTTCTTTGTGGTTTTGTATTTTAATTTTAATGTGACTTATCATGTAATCATTAGTATCAACATTTAGTATTTTAATGTGACTTATGTGATCACTAGTATCAACATTTTCCACTTTGTGTGAACCATGGAAACTTTATTTCCTTTTAGATCCATTTATACCTCCCCATTTTTTTTTTTCTCTTTGAGACAGAGTCTCACTCTGTCACCCCAGGCTGGAGTGCAGTGGCTGATCTTAGCTCACTGCAACCTCCGTCTCCCAGGTTCAAGCGATGCTTCTGCCTCAGCCTCCCAAGTATCTGGGACTACAGGCACATGCTACCACACCCAGCTAATTTTTGTATTTTTAGTAGAGATGGAGTTTAACCATTTTGGCCAGGCTAGTCTTGAACTCCTGACCTCAAGTGATCTGCCTGCCTCAGCCTCCCAAAGTGCTAGTATTACAGGCTTGAGCCACCATGCCCAGCCTTACCTTGCCAACTTGTTTTACATATTAGATGATGTAGATAAAATTCTTTGATACTACTCGAAGAGGTGGAGCCTAATTCCCATCCTAGGGAGTCTAGGCTGTACTTAGTGCCAAATAGAATAAAGTGGGAGTGATGGTATGCAACTTCAGAGACTAGGCTTACAGGACACCATTCTTTCTCTCTTGGAATTCATACTCTAGCGGAAACTGGCTGCCATTTTGTGAGCAGCTTTATGGAGATGCCCATGTGGTGAGAAACTGAGCTTCCTGCAAACAGTCACAAGAGTAAGCCATCCTGGAGGTGAATCATCCTCCAGCCTCAGTCAAGCTTTTATTTATTTATTTATTTATTGAAATGGAGTTTCACTCTGTCGCCCAGGCTGGAGTGCAGTGTTGCAATCTCAGCATGCTGCAACCTCCACCTCCCAGATTCAAGCGATCCTCTTGCCTCAGCCTCATAAGTAGCTGGGATTACAAGCACCCGCCACCACGCCTGGCTAATTTTTGTATTTTCAGTAGAGATGGGGTTTTGCCATGCTGGCGACGCTTGTCTCAAACTCCTGACTTCAGGTGATCTGCCTGCCTCGGCCTACAAAGTGCTCAGTCAAGCTTTTTTGATACAGCTTTGACTGACATCTTGATGGTAACCTTATGAGAGAACCTGAGACATAAAAACCCAGGTAAGCTGCTCTTGGATTTCTCATCCCAGAGACTTCATAATATGTGTTTGTTGTCTTAAGGCACTGTATTTTGCAGTACTTTGTTATGCAACAATATATAACTAATCAAAATATCAACTATGTAGGAAGGCATGTAAAATATACTAGAAAATCAGGAGAATATTTTTAACTTCATTGAAAAAAATCCTACAGACTACTTTTGCTTTTACAATTACAACAGAGTTTTGGACATAAAACAATTAATATCAGGCCAAGAGATACATCATGAATTGCCTAAACTGGGGAGGATGCTTGTTCTTGTTTTTTCTAACTGGAGTTAGAAGAATCTAGGGCATAGGCCCTTCTATTTCTCTATCTTTCCCTCCCACACATTCCTTTGCCTTTTTTCTCCTACTGAGGCTGTTGGCTGTGTGATACCTTTTGTGAAGTTTGTTTCCAATGACAGACCTTGATCACATATAGAAACACCCCTAAAACTATGTACCGTGAAAAGCAAAAACAACCAACCAACCAACAAACCAACAAACAAAACCTTAGCCAATGCCCAGCTTCTGTAATGATATATTGTTAGAATTTCAGACCAGCTGGCATATCTTTTGCATATATTATTTGCTCAGTGCTCCAATTCATTTATACAAAATAAAGAAGAGGTTCTGATTTATAATATAAACCTAAACCAGAATTAATCACTCATTGTCTTGGTCCCCACAGTTGTGCTCAACTACCTATCCTTATTTTGTATCTATCTTTAATAACTGTTTTCTGATTATAAATATATTCTGCGAATCTTGTATCACACGTTTATGTAACAGCTAAAGCAGCACTAGAGCAATTACTGGCAGCTTCAGACTATTTTATAAAGGAGCTTATTGGAAAAGTATGGCAATCTAGTGGGAATTGGGAGATGGGGCATTTGTATTGAGATTCTACATTAGAAAAGTAATAAGAGATTACAGGGATGGTGGTGGTGGCCTATGTTCTCCTCCCTCCCAGCCACTTGTTGCCACTGCCACTGAAAGCAGTGTTTTGCGGTGGAACTATTCTCCATTTCTTTACTGGCAGCTCTTCTTCTATCAGCTGCTTAACTGTTATTCTTTAAAGCAATAGTTCTCAAACTTTAATACATCAGAATCACTTGGAAGTCTGGTTAAGACAGATTTCTGAGCCCGCCCCTAGAATTATTGATCTAGTAGGTCTGTGGTGAAACCTGAGAATTTGCACTGCCAAGTTCCCAGGTCATGCTGCTGCTGCTGTTCTCTAGACAACACCAAGAACTGCTGCCCTGAAGTTGAGATCCTGAGGACATGGTGAGGCCAGGAGCCAAGACAGCAAAAGAGATCGTCAAACTGCTTTGCATGAGGCAATAACAGGAATATATTTCTCCTCTTGAGAAAGAGGAAATGAAGAGAGAGAAGGAGGAAGAGAAGTGGAGTGAGCAAGATGGCCTGAGGCTGAGGGGTCAGATAAACAACAAGGCAATTATTGAAATGCACCTGGGAGAGCGGTCCCCGCAAATCTTTAAAAAATCCCTCCTCCATATCTGGACAAATCTTAAAATAACACCACATTTACTCATTTCCTTGTAAAGTGTGTATGTGTATGTGTGTCTGTGTGAGAGAGAGACAGAGACAGAGAATGTGCACCTGCCTGTGTGAGGAGATTAAGACAGATGCTGAGTTTGCTATGGGGCTGATGTGACTCAGAGCAGAGGCAGCTCCTGTAAGATGTCGAGATGATCAGTAGATTGAAGAAGTAGTAGGCTGTAGCCAGAGGTGATCTATAACCTATCAGTCCCTACACCTCACGCCTTCCTTCAGTGGAATTTATAGTTATTTTGGAGAAGGATTTGGGCCTGCACAGGACATGAAAATGGAGCTTTGAATCAATCATACCTTGTTTTCTGAGGGCCAGAGAGGCCTCAGCTAACATCTGGGTTACTTTTTCTTATGGTTCTCATCTACTTTTGTGTTTATTCTTAAGTCTTTACATCTGGTAAGCAGATGGCAATACACTTCTTCAAATCGCAACCTTGAGAGCCTCCTGTCTTCTCCTCCTGAATTATTTGGTTACTATATGGAGGTAACAGTTCCTTGCTACAGGTCATTTTTATTCTGACCCCCAGGTGAAGCTTGGATATTCTTAAGACTCTGGGAAGTGGGGGCCGCCCCAGCTGCCCTATATTTGAGGAAGACCAGGAGGACAGTGCTTTGACAATTCTGGGCTGACTGGAGAATGAGAGATGTTGTGGGGCCCCATGAGCATCAGGCCTGCAACGTCCTGTCACCATCTCTGCTGCAAATTCATCTTGTTATCCTCTTTCTCCATAAAAGTCTGTGAGCCTGTGAGGGGAGGGAAGGAAGAAACATCTGCCTTGGGATTTAAGGCCAACAGGCCTGTTTCCTGTCCCCTCTTCCTTGGTTGCCCCTTTGGTCTCCATGCAGATGCATTGCTCTATGAATTTATTTGTCGTTTCCAGCCTTGACTGGTTCAGAATGCTTTTAACCATTAGAAAAAGAAACAACTAGTTAAAGGATTTAATTAAAAGCTAATGATATACTTCAATGTGGTGCTAATTAGAGACATGGAGCTTGTTGTTCCTTAACATCTTGTTCACCAAGAGGACATTAACTTATGAAAAGTTGGAGAGATTAAGCATGGAAACCTTTGATGGTGGTGATGGCGGTAGTTCTGATTGGTGAATCAGACCAATCTTGCCTTCAGGAATCCTACATAGAGTTTGGTGGTTCTCCAGAGACTAAGTTCAACTACTGATGCAGTTTCATATACTGAGTTCCTTCTCAGGGTAAAAATGTCTTTCCCAAGCACTGAAAATTTATGTCAGAAATGGAGTCTTGGCATGTTCTAGAAAATGGAGAGTGCCTCATGAGAGCTGCTGGAGCAAGGCATTCTTTTTCCTGCTCCTGGTATGCCCCACTCTTCCCCTTCCCTGCTGATTTTCATATAGCTTCTCCCCACTTGCCGAGAATACGTTTTCAGGATGGTTATGACTTCTCTACACACAAAAGGGCAGACATGTGAGCACTGGGTTCCACAGTTACTGTCAGTGCTGGGCATCGTACCAACACCAACAGAATCCCCATCTGGGTTCTTCTCAGAGGTTATGCAGTCCTGATTCAACAGACAATAAACAATAGGGAACAAGGATAATGGCCATTGGAGTTGCAAAAGAAGTGCCTGTTTTCATTATTTATACTCTCTGGCACTCCCTTATGGCTCCTTTATTCAAACATCGGTAGACTGAAACAAAAAAGGATTCTTGGAAGAAATAATTATTTAAAAAATGATGAAAAGCATTTCTACTAATTCTGTAAACTTGCTAAAATAATAAATTATTGGAAGAATATTGGGTAATGTAAAGGATTGGTGGAAGAACCGAACCACTAAGCCTGGGGAAATCAGAAAATAGAGGCCTTGTCTTTATTTGGGATTTCAAATTCCAGATGAGAGAATTTGATTGGACCAGACAGGGTGTGTTGTGCCTACTTTGGTTCTAACCATCCACATTGTCAGGAGATCGGACAGGGAGCGTAGCTGCTGTGATTGGGAGAATCCTGGTGAGTTGGGCAGCCTCTTGCAACATGTATGTTCTGCATTGGTCAATCATAATTTTAATCAAGTTAGCGGCTATTAAATGGAATGTGCCTAAACTTAATGCCCTGCATTATCTTGCTTGAAACATGAATAATCTGTTACCAAACTAGGGAAAAAACATAACATCCTCTAGGCAAGAATGGTAGTTCTTAAACTGTGGTCTCCAGACCATCAGCATGGACATGATGGAGAACTTGTTGGAAATACAAATTGTTTTTCCCATTCCAGATCTAGTGAATTCCTGGTGAGACACAAAAAGCATGTTTTAACAAATACTCTAGATGATTCTGATACATGCAAAAATTTAACGTGTATGAATCACCTAGGGGTGTTGTTACAGTACATATTCTTTTTTAGTAGGTCTAGGGTAAGGCTGATACTCTGCATTTCTAACAAATTTCCAGGTTACCCCATTGGTGCTGATGCAGGGACAGACTTTGAGTAGCAAAAATAAAGATATTGAAGGAGAAAACTTATATCACTATTTCAAACTGTTGAAATTCTGTAGACAAAAGAGCAATGAAAACCTTAAAGTCCTGTATGAATAAATTATTATTATTGCTATTGGATGATACTAGTTTTCATAAATCTTCAGAACATTGTGTATTTTGGGGGTAGAGGGGACTCTTATCTTCAACTGGCAGGTCTGAAGACAGGATTGGTTATAAAGTTTATGTAGCAAGTCACCTTTAAGTCAAGTATATAAATGCCCCATTTGTCTTAATCTCAACATATAATAGCGTGTAGCAAGAGTAGTATTTATATCTCCAGCTATCACTTGTCTCGTTCATGACAGAAATAACGTTCCACATTATTTAAAAATTATAACTCAAAGCATAATGCTAATGAAGTTGCCAAGCTATGACCCAAAAGAAGGCAGAGCCTGGCCAGATGGCTCAAGTTACTGATTACAACTTGTTGGGTCTTTCCTGGCCCAGATTGATCTTATCTAGTGTTTTTAATCTCTGGCTATTTGGTGAATAATCATGAAAGCTTTTGAGCATCTGGTTCAATTTCCAGCAATTTGCTATTAGTGATACTCAAATCTGATTGCAGTGATTTGGCAATGACTTAATGGGAGTAGGGAAAGATTATCTAACTGGGTTTATGAACCTTGCTAGCTAGGGGTCTCTTAGATTATGTTTGCCAATATTTTCCTTTCATTTCATTGCTGTTATTATCAGATGACTGTGTTTCTTGGAGTTTTTGCTTTTGAAGATTATAGATACTTTCATTTCACCTAATGCATTAAAAAAATTTAAGAGGACCTCCTCCACACAAAAATCTCCCACTAGGTCAACATTAATGTACATAAAAAGATCTCTCATCATAACTAAAATTAAAACAAGAACTAAGACTTACTGACAGAGTAATTCTGTTGTATTCCTCAGAGAGGCCAAATAAACCTGAGAATAAAGACAAACAAGGGAACATAATTTATTTAGTCTTTCAAAATTTATCATAAAACTTAGTAGGAAAGAGAATTAAATCATTAGTAATTGAGGAGTTCCCCCTTTCCATAAAGTCCTTGCTTGCAATCAAGAAATGAAGAGCAGAGATATGTAGGCATTTTTCTGGAGAAAGAAACACTGATATTGTGACATCCAAAGATTTATTTCTGATAGGTGTCTAAGTTAACATTTTTATAAATAATCTGAATGGATAATTATACATAGTTAAATGGTAGATAATGACTAGGATAATAATATGAGAGAAACTAATGGCTGTTTCAAACTTGAGCTTAAGGTATAATTGCATCTTGGTTGAGTTCTGAATATCAGTGTCTGATCTCTCAGCTTCCAGGTTGGAAGTCTTGGTTGCCTTTTTATTAAGAGAAAATTTCTAGGAAAATGGCTTCCTTACTTGAAAAAGGCTCACTAAAGGTAAGAGAATGTGTATACTTAACATTTTTTTTATTGACGTATATTTAACACAAAGATTTAAGGTATACAATTTGATGATTTAATACACACATACGTTGTAAAATAATCAGCACACACTAATTAACACAGCAATCACTTTAGATAGTTACCACTTAAACGTTTGTATGTGTGTGTATGACAAAAATACTTAGTGTCTCCCCTCTTGGCAAATTTCAAATATACAATAAACTATTGTTAATTATACTCATATTATTGTACATTCGATCTCCAGAATGTATTCTTCCAGCATAATTGAAACTTTGTACCCCCAACCAACATCTCCCCATTTTTCTCTCCCCTCACCCCTGGCAAACACTATTCTATTCTCTGTTTCTATGACTTCAACTATTTTAGATTCCCTCTTTTTAAGGCTGAATAATATTCCATTGTGTGGAGTGTTTGTATGTGTGTGTGTGTGTATAGCCCCCACATTTTCCTTTATTCATTCATCATTTCCATACTTTGAGTATTGTAAATAATGTGGAAATTAACATGGGAATGCAGATATCTCTTGGAGAGCCTGATTTCATTTCCTTTGGATGTATACGCAGTAGTCAGGTTACTAGATCTTTTTATTTTTTGAGGAACCTCCTACTGTTTTCCATAATGGTTGTACCAATTCACATTCCCAGAAACAGTATATAAGAGTTTCCTTTTTTCCACAGCCTCTCCAACACTTGCTATCTTTGGTCTTTCTGATAATAGCCATTCTAACAGATGTGAGGTGATAACTCAGTTTTGATTTGAATTTCCTTGATGATTAGCAATGTTGAGGGCATTTTCATAAACTTGTTTGCCATTTGTATGTTTTCTTTTGGGAAATGTCTATTTAGATCCTTTGCTAATTTTTGAAACAGGATGTTTTTCATTATTGAGTTGTGTGAGTTCCTTATATATATTGGATATTAACCCCTTATCCTTCTCGCAGTTTTTCAGTTTCAGGTCTTACATTGAAGTCTTCAATCCATTTTGAGTTGATTTTTGTATAGGTGTGAGATAAGTGTCTAATTTCATTCTTCTGTATGTGAATATCTATTTTTATCAGCATCACTTATTGAAGAGACTGTCCTTTCCTCAGTTTGTGTTCATAGCACTCTTGTCAAAGACCAGTTGATTGTAGATGTGAGGACTTATTTCTGGGCTTTCTGCTCTGTTCCATTGGTCTGTATGTCTGTTTTTATGAAGGTACCATACTATAGATTTGTAAAATAATTTGAAATTAGGAAGTGTGATGCCTGCAGCTTTGTTCCTCTTGCTCAAGATTGCTTTGTCTATTTGGGGTATTTCGTGGTTCCATATGAATTTTGGAAGTTTTTTTCTATTTCTATAAAGAATGACATTAGGACTTTGATAAGGATTGCAATACTGTGAATTGCTTTGGGTATAATGAACATTTACAGACGTTAATTACTCCAATCCATGAACACAAGATATTTTCCCATCTATCTGTGTCTTTCTTAATTACTTTCACAAACATTTTATAGTTTTTAGTGTACGTGTCTTTCACCTCTTTGATTAAATTTATTCCTAAGTATTTTAAACTTTTGGCTGTTATTGTTAATGGATTATTTTTAAATTTCCTTTTCAGATGGTTCATTGTTGTGAATAGAAATGTAATTGATGTTTGCATGTTGATATTTTACCTTGCAGCTTTACTGAATTCATTCATTATTTCTAATAGTTTTTCTTTTTGCTCGTTGTTGAGCCTTTAAGATTTTCTATGTGTATAATTATGTCATTTACAAATAGACAATTTTACTTCTTTTCCAATTTGGATGCCTTTTTATTTCTTTTTCTTGCCTAATTGCTGTGGATAAGATTTTCAATTCTAGGTTGTAAAGAAGTGGCAAGAGTGGGTATCCTTGGCTTGTACTAGATCTTAGAGGGAAAGCTTTTAGTTTCCCGCCACTGATTATGATATTTACTTTGGGCTTTTCCTATGTGGCCTTTATTGTGTTTAGGTAAGATTCATCTGTAGCTGTTTAGTTGAGAGTTTTAAGAATGAATGGATGTTGAACTTTGTCAAATGTGTTTTTTTTTTTGCCTCTATTGAGATGATCATGTGTTTTTTTCTCTCATTTTGTTAATATGTTGTATCATGTTGATTCATTTGCATATATTGAACCATTCTGGTATCCCTTTGTTAAATCTCACTTGTTCATGGTGTATGATTCTTCCAATGTGTTGTTGAATTTGGTTTGCTAGAAAAATTGGCCTGTAGTTTTGTTTTGTTTTTTTCCTGTAGGGTCTTTTCTTGGTTTTGGTATCAGGGTGAAGCTGACCTTATTCAGTGAATTTGGAAGAGTTTACTTTTTTTCTATTTTTTGAAAATTTAACAAGGATTGATATTAATTCTTCAAGTGTTTGGTAGAATTGACATGTGAAGCCATCAGGTCCTGGGCTTTGTTGGAAGGTTTTTGATTACTGAGTCAGTCTCCTAATTTATATTCAGGCTTTCTATTTCTTCCTGATTCAGGTTTGATAGCTTGTATGATTCTGGGAATTTATTCTTCCAGATTACCCAGTTTGTTGGCATATAATTGTTCCTAATACTCCCTTATAATCTGTTTTATTTCTGAGGCTTCCATTGTATTGTCTCTTCTCTTATTTCTGATTTTATTTATTTGCGTGTTCTCTTTTTCTTAGGATTTGTAGATTTTAGTAATCTTTTAAAAAAACTTGTAGTTTTATTTTATTATTTTTTATATTTGTTCTGCATTTGATTTATTTTTTTCTCCAATCTTCATTATTTCCTTCCTTCTGCTAACTTTGGGCTTAATATTTTCTTTTTCTAGTTCCTTGATGTGTAAAATTAGACGTTCATTAGGGACCTTTCTTCTTTATTAATGTAGGCATCTATTGCTATAGACTTCTCTCTTATTACCGCTTTTACTACATCCCATAGGTTTTGGTATGTTGTGTTTTCATTTTCATTTGCCTCAAGATCCTTTTTAAAATCCCTTTTCATTTTTGCTTTGTCCTAATGGTTGTTTAAGGGTATGTTGTTTAGTTTTCACATGTTTGTTGGAATCAGTTACTGGAAAATTATTGTGTTTGTTTTTGTGGCACCACTTTTTGAATTTTTTTTTTGTTCGTTTCTTGTGGCCTTGCATTGATGTCTGTACATTTGAGGGAGCAGTCACCTTGTCCACACTTTATAGACTGGGAAAAGACCTTCAGCTATGTGTGGGTGTGAGGACACTGGCTAGGTGGATTGTGGTGGTTCTGGCCCTGCAGGGCAGGATGCAATGGTGGTTCTGGTCTTGGAGAAGGCACGGTATTGAAGTCTCCATGGAATTTCATCAGCTGAGGTTAGTGTTGGCAAAGACTGCAGGAGTCCTCTGCAGCTAAGGCTGCAGGTGTCTACATTGGCAATGGGCTATTGGAGTCATTGGTGGTGAAGTCTGTTGATATCCACCTATTCTCATTTATTCCTTCAGGGAATAATTATGGCTGAAGGGATCACTCTTGGCATGTGGTCTAGCACATGTGATCACATGCACTGGTGGCAGCATCTGGGTTAGGTTTGGGGCACAGACACATTTGACATAGTGGTGGATGTGTTGTCCAAGGTACAAGAACACACCAAGTGTTCGTGGAAGCACACTAAATGGGGTCTGGGGCTTGGGGGTACGTTGAATGAGTGTGGCATTTGGGGCAGAAGTAGAAATGTACTTACTACAGTGGTGGCACCAGTGTTCAAGGTGCAGATGATCCGAGTGACCCTGGATCTGAGGTCTAGGTCCTCTGTGCAATTGTGGGAAGGTGTAGGAACTCTGAGGAGAAGGGGTTGGGTAGGACACAGCAGTGGTGGCTCTAGTCCTCAGGATGGGGCTTAGGAGTGGGCTTTGGCCCCAGATGGTGTGGGGAGCAGCAACAGCAGCTTTGGCAGGGAAGGAGGTGCAGCAATGCTTCCTCTCTGGTGGGGGTAAACAGTAGCTTCTTTTGTAGTGGGGATGCAGTGGTGGCTCCTTTGGGGTGGTGGGCTGTGGTGGCTCTTCCAGTGGGGGAGGTGCTACAGCTGCTCCTTGGTTGGGGAAGTGCAGTAACATGGACTTTGTCAAACTGGGTCCTGTGTTGATGAAGGCTGTGGGGGACCTTGGTGGTGCAAGACACAGGGTATCAATAGTGGCAACGAGGGCTGTTGTGGTCTTACCACTCTCTTTTCCCACAATGTGGGGTGGGGAGTGAGGCCAAGGGGATCCCTCCTGACACCAAGCCATGCCTGACAGGAATGGAGTAACACAGGCATACTGCTTTCTGTGCTTTTTCATGTAGCCACTTTCAGCCTCTGTGCACCACAGGATTCCTGGAGCTTCTTTATTATATTCCGGAGTTCTCCCGTGGCTATTCTTGTCAGCATGTAGTTTTTATTCACTGTTTTTGTTGGGGGAGGACAAGCGTCAGGGCCTCCTAAATGGTCATCTTGCTCCTATAACTCCAGTGGGAGAAATAAAGGTATGGTTCTTACAAAGACTTTTGTCCTGATTATAAAATCTATAGATGTTTATTATAGGAAACTTAGAACACATAAAAATGCTCAAATTAAAAAAAAATTCTTCCATTCCAATCTCACCATTGTTAACATTTTCATATTCTTTTGGTCTTACTATCTGTAAATACAGTAAAATTTTAATAATCTTGCATAAACACTTTTGTACATTTAAGTGAATTTACTGGTTCAATGTATGTGCTAAAATTACTTAGTAGGTATTTTATACTTACTCTCTGTAAAGATATAACAATTTGGATTCCCATCAAGTTAGATATCAGGGTGCCTATTTTTTTCAAATTTTCATCATCACAAGATATCATTGACTAAAAAAATTGGTAACATTTGTAGGAGAAAAATGATATTCTGTTATAATTTGTATTTATGTGACCTCTTATGAGGCTGAATGAATACAATGACATTTGTATTCACTGAACTATATCTTTTTATGCTTGTATCTTAGTGAATAATACAGAACCTGGCATTAGTAGCTGCTCACCTAATTTTGTTTTTATTGATATGTTACAACTGTAAGAACAAGGCTATTTATTCAGTTGGAAAGTTTTATTAATTTACTAAGGATATCAAATTATCTCATGGACAGGACTCAACATAGTTGTGTGTGAGGTGCAAACAGGGGTTGGGAAGGGTGAGGAGGGGTCAAAGTCTAAGCTTATACTTAAAAAGGAGAGTTCATCTGGGCCAAAGGGAAGTTGAAATAACACGGGAAAATGTTTCACAAAGAGGGGAGACCAAGTGCAAGGTTCTAAAGGTAGTACAACATAGTGTCTAGATAAAGTATATGGTTTCAGGCAGATGGATGATAGAGAGTATTTAAGCTGTACAGGGAAACACTAACCAGATCATAATGGGTTTATTTTTCTAACGAGTTTGAACTTTATCTAGAGGATAACTTGATAATATATATTAAACGCTTCAAACCATGTATTGCCTCATTTCAGAAATTCCACAATGAAAAATGTACTGTAAAGAAGTAGAGATGCAACAAAAATAGTCTTTGTATCGTTAATCATAACAGTAAAAATTGGACACAGCTTAAATATCCAATTATAAAAAATTGATGAAGTAAATTATGCTCATTCTATGAAATTATATTGGTCATGAAAAACACACTTTGGAGGAATGTTATTAGAAAAGATATTTTTCACATAATCTTAAGGGAACATATTATATGAAAAATATGGTCCCAAATTAAAAAAAAAAGATGTATAAGTGTTGATCATTTAAAGTGTCATTTCTGAAATGTACAAAGAATATAGAGCTTCTTCATTTTCTATTGCTACTCTCATATTGTTCTTGAGCCCCTTTAGCTGGGTTCAATGTGTGTGTGTACATGTGTCTTACTTAAATACAATTTATTCTCTTCTAGTTAAAAAGAGGCTCTTTTGTTTTTAGACGGTCTTATTTGGACAAATCTTCAACCTTTCACAGTCCTTGCTCAACCCCTTTTGCTCCCCACATATGGCTGCCAGGTATGCTGGAGCAGGTAAGACCTCCAGCTGGCTAGAGAGGGAAGCTTTAGGTGTGTTTACCAGTGTCCCTTGGTGGTCTTCTAAATTACTTTAAACCTGTTGGGGAGAGATATCATTCCACTTGTCTTGGGCATTAGCCTCTTCCTCATCATTACTGAGGTGCTTGTTCCTACCTGGTCTTTGGGCCTGTGATGCCATCTGCTACTAGTGAACTCCATTCTTGCTTCTGCCTTAATGTCCTGGCCCTCAGAAGTATCTATATTATGTTTCCATGCCTCTTTTTTTGCATCAGCCTTTCCCCTTGGGTGGGAATATTTTGAAAATCTGAATTTCCTTTATACCACATACAACCTGGGAGGTATTTTTTGATACACTTCCCTCTGATACTATTGCACTGCTGTTGTTGCACCATCTTGGATGTGGTTTCAGGCTAAGTGCAAGGCTTCTGGGGGAGTTTGCAGCCTCCACCAGACAACACCAGGACGAGTGGAACACTAGCTTAGATGCTCTATTATCCTTTGATATTAATATGAATGTCTCTACAGTGCATTCCCCACATCCCATGAAAGTCTCATACTCTCATATTTAATCTACCGACTATATCCCTTTAATGAATTCCTCTTTCTTTCTTCCAGAAGTGGAAGTATTTTTCTTTCATTTTCTTTTCCATTCTGGCTAGGAGTGTTTCTATATAATGTTATTTTTCAGGATGTTTTGATGGGAAGCATGCAGGAAATCATGATTTTAAAAAATCTCTTGAACAATTTCCTTTACAGCACTTGTTATATGCCAGGTACTATTTTTAAACACTTCACAAATACTAAATTATTTGTGTCTCCTCAAAATTCATATATTGAAATCCTAACCCTCAATGTGACAGTATTAGTAGTTGGGGCCTTTGGGAGGTAATTAGGTCATGAGGGTGGAGACCTCATGAATGGGATTTGTATTCTTATAAGAAGAGACACAAGAGTTTGCTATCTGTCTCTGTTCTCTATCATGTGAGAAGATGTAATGAGAAGATAGCCGTCTACAAACCAGGAATGGGCCCTTACCAGACACCAGGTCTGTTGACACCTTGATCTTGGACTTCTTAGCCTCCAGAGGTGTGATAGATAAATGTTTACTGTTTAAGCCACCAGTCTATGGTAATTTGTTGTAGCAACCCAAACAAAGACACATCCCAATGGTTGAAATTGCAAAGGAAAGTTGAGATCCCGAGAATCCAGATATTGCTAACAAATATTTACCCCAAAAGAAAGGGATTGCACACAGGAGTAGAAAGTCTGTCACTCAATCTCAGCCAAACAGCCAAACTAGGAGAGGGCTTTTGAAGCCCCTTTGTCTGTATGAGTGCGGGGAGACTTTGAGAAGCTTGAAAATGCTATAAATTTGAACCCTATAGAGTACCTGGTTACCAATCTTTATGCTATAAATTCGAGCCCTGTGAATTCTTATAACTAATCAGCTGAAGTTTTCTTCTAAGACAAAGCCTCATATTGAGGAACGACTTCAGGGGGTAAAATCCACATTGACAGCAGGACAGAGCCATTAAGGGGAAAAAAAGAGATTCAGATATGAAAAGGAGAAGAGAAAAGAAAGCAGATTTTGGAAATAACTGTCTCCATATTTTAAATTATTCAATTGTTAGTATAGAACTATGAGCCCTATAATAAAGAAACTAAGAAATATCTTCTGTTCATCCTGCTCTCCTACAAAGCAGGCTCCTCTTAGAAGCACAGAAAAACGTGTTGTGCTTAAACATGAGTGACACAAAAGGATTGTAATTAAGTTCTATACGAAGTTATGATAAGGGAAAAAATGAGCAAAGTAACATCCCCAAGTACATTGAAGCTAAAAACTGTAACCATAATATTTAAAATAAATTTTTAATAGGTTGAGATATCAGCAAGGTGGCAGAATACGATTTTTAACACGCATCCCCCTGCAGAAACATCAATTTGAACAACTATCCATGTACAGAAATACCTTCACAAAAGCTAAGGAAAACAGTTGAGAGATTGTAGTACCTTGATGTAGTGCAGAAGTAAGAAAAGATACATTGGGAAGGACAGTTTTACATTTCTCATGTCGGTGGGGAGGGTGGGTGGTGGGGACAGGGGAGACACCCTTCACTTGCTGGAAGGAGAGGAAAGTGAGCACCAGACCTTAGATCCGAACACCAGGCGCACCCAAATGCAGTTCAGCACTGGCAAGACCCCCTTGTCTCCAAACACTAGACTGGTAACCATAGACTGTGCATTTAGGTTTACCCCAACACCAAGCCTGACATTGCAGCCCCAGTGTCCAGGCCTGCCAGGTATGTTCAGTCTTCGGGCCTTCTCTACCACCAGGCAGCCCCACCCAGCAGCCCCAGGCTCTAGACTGGCCCCAGCACTGGGCCAGCCCCAGTAGCTGCAGGCTTTGAATGCCAGCCAGCCACCAGAGACAAGGCTTCAGAATCATCCTGCAGACTCAAGTCTCCAAGCCAGGCACAGTGGCCCTTGGCTTCAGGCCTGCCCAAGCCACCAGGCTGGTCCTGCAGCCCTAGCCATCAGGCTAGCACCTATGGACCCAGCCTTCAGGCCAGCCCCTGTGGATATAGATTCTAGGCTCACCCAATGCCCAGGCCAATCTCTGTGGCTCCAGGCTCTAGGCTTTCCCAGTTTCCAGCCCAGCCTAGAGCCAGGTCAGCCCATGTAGCCTCAGACTTCAGGCCTGCACCAGCACTAGGTTGCCATACCTGGCTTCAGGTGACAGGCTGGCACTTACAGCTATAGGTACTAGGTCTGCCTAGTGTCAGGCCAATCACTGCATCCCGACCCTCCAGACTGACCACACGTTCCAACAGACTCAGGGTCCAGGCCCATCCCAATAGACCCTAGTGCTGGGCAGCCTCCATGGACTCAAGCTCCACGACTTCTCCTATAGACCCAGGTTCCAGGCCTCAAAGCCCCAGGACTGAGGTAGGCCATTGCAGACCTTCAGGCCAGCATCAACAAACCTAGACTTGAGACTAGCACTCATGTACCCAAGCTCCAGGCTGACTAGGCCTCCTAGGACCCAAAATTCTAGTCTCCATGGCTTCAGGTACCAGGCCAGTACACACAACCCTAGGCTTTAGACCAGCCCCTGCATACCCAGATTTTCTGCCTGCCCCAGCACCAAGCTGGCCTGAGGATCCAAGGAAGTCCTAGTGGCCTCAGGCTTCAGTGGACCCTGGGTTCAGGCCTGCTTCAGGACACCCAAGGTCTAGGGCAACTTCAATAGACTTTAGTACCAGGCTGGCCCCTGTGGTTCCAGAACCACCCTGAAGATCCTGTCTCCAGGCCATCCCCATGGACCCAGGACCTAGGCACATCTCCATGGACTCAGGCTCCAGGTTGACACCAGTGGACCTAGGCACCAGGCCTATCCCAAGATCTGGTCAGCTTCTATAGACTCAAACTCAATGCTCACCTCAGTGCCAGGTCAGCAATGTGCATCAAGGCTTCAAGTTAGCAACCACGTATACAGGCTCCAGGCCCACTGTTGCAGAACCAGGCTGCAGACACACGCCCCCTCTCACCCCGCCACAAACCTAAACAACAGGTCTACCTCAGTGAACAGAGGCTCCACACCCAACCCTGTGGACTCAGGTACCAACTGATCCAGACACCAGGCCAGCCTGCCTGAGGACTCCAGCAGTAAGTCAGCCTACAAACGAGGCCAGATGTCTTGCCGAAAAATCTCTGCAGGGGCTGACTGGTAAAGGGCATTCCCACACAAAGCCAAACTGTAAAAACTAAAATAAGTCACTGCTTCAAATGTGCAGGCATCAATGCAGCCACAAGCATAAAAAACAATCTGGGAAACATGACACCATCAAAGGAACAAAATAAAGCCCTTACTTCTTCAGAGTAACTGGCTCTGAAGATATGGAGACTTACGAATTGCCTGACAATTCAAAATCATTGTTTTAAGGAAGCCCAGTGAACTTCAAGAAAATACAGAGAAGTAAATCAATGAAATCGGGAAAACAGACAACCAAAATGAAAAATTTAATGGAGATATTGAAATTATATATATGCACACATACAAATGTTATAACATATATAACATGTTATATATATCAAATATACTATATGCATATATAATGAATTCTGGAGCTGACAATTGTAATAAATGAAAAGAAAAATGCATTAGAGAATGTCAGTAGCAGACCTGATCAAGCAGAAGAAAGAATCCATGAATTTAGAGACAGGTTATTTGAAAATATAGGACCAGAAGAGGAAAAAAAGGAATAAGTGAAACTAATGAGACATATGGGACAGCATCTAACAAACAAATATTCAGATTATAGGACTTCAAGGAAAAGAGAGAAACACTGGGCCAGAAAACTTCAAGAAACAATTGCAGAAATTTCTCCAAATCTGGGGAAATATATAAATATCCAGGCGCAGGAAGGTCAAAGTTCTCCAATTAGATACAACCGTAACAAGACTACACCAAGAAAAGTTATGATTAAACTGTCAAAAGATAAAGAGGTCATTCTTAAGGCAGTAAGAGGGGGAAAAAAAAGGCCTATCACTTATCAGGGAGTTCGAATAAGGCTAGCAGCAGACCTCTCACAGAAACCTTACAGAGCAGATGAGAGTGGGATGATATATTCAGAACACTGAAGGAAAAATAAAGTCAAAACAAACCTACCATCCAATAATTTACCCAGCAAAACTGTTCCTCAGGTATAATTTACCCAGCAAAGCTGTTTTTCAGATATGAAGGAGAGACAGGGTTTCTCAGACAAACGAAAGCAAAGAGAATTCATTACTACCAGACCTGTCTTACAAGAAATGCTAAAGATAATTCTTCAAACAGAATGAAAAGTGTATTGTCAAATTCAGAATACTCTAATACTGTAATGGTAATGTGTAAATGACATATCTTTAGTACAAAAGTTAAAAGACAAAATTATTTTAAAATAACAGCTACAACAACTGTTAAGAGATACACAGTATAAAATGATATAAATTGTGTCATCAAACACATAAAATTGGTGGAGAGGTTGAGGAAGAAATGTTGAGGATTTTTTAGTGATCAGTTAAGTTGTTATCAGCTTTAACGAGCCTATTATAACTGTAAGATGTACATTGGCCTTGTGGTAAAAATAAAACAAAAACCTACAGTAGATACACAAAAAATAAATGGTAAGAATTCGAAGCATACCACTAGAGAAAAATCACCAAATCACAAAGGAAGACAGCAAGAAAGGAAGAAAGGAACAAAGGATCTACAAAACAATTGGAAAACAATTAAAATGACTGTAAGTCCTTGCTTGTCAATAATTATGTTGAAAGTAAATGGATTAAATTCTCCAATCAAAAGATATAAAGTTGCTGAATAAATTTTTAAAAATCCCAACTATATACTGCCTATAACAGATTCACTTCACCTTTAAAGACACACATATCCCAAAAGTGAAGGTATGAAAAAGGATATTCCAGACAAATGGAAACCAAAAGAGAGCAAAGTTAACTATACTTATATCAGATAAAAATAGATGTTAATAAAAAATTATAAAGAGAGACAAAGAAGGTCACTATAGAATGATAAAGGGGTCAATTCATCAATTGGATATAGCAGCTGTAAATATATATGCACCCAATATCCAAGCTCCTTAATTGTATGAAGCAAATATTTATAGATCTGAAGGGTGAGACATACTGTAATACAATAGTAGTAAGACATTTTAATATCCCACCTTCAGCAATGGACCAGTCTTCTAGACAGAAAATCAACAAGGAAACACTGGACTTGAACTGCACTTTAGACCAAATGGACCTAACAGACATATACGTAACATTGCATCCGGCAGCAGCAGAATACACATTTTTCTCAAGCCACATGGAGGATTCTTCAGATATATTACCTATTGAGCCACAAAACAAGTCTTAATAAATTTTAAGAGACTGAAATTATATCAAGTATCTTTTCCAACCACAATGGTATGACACTCTCAGCAGAAACCTTACAGACCAGATGAGAGTGGGATGATATATTCAAAACACTGAAGGAAATGAACAGAATGAATTTTGGAAAATTCCATTATTTACTCCTGAAAAACCCAAATCGATCAAAGAAGAAATTTTAAGAGAAATTAGAAAATGTCTTCACACAAACAAAAAGGAACACACAACATACCCAAAATGATGGGATGCTGCAAAAGTGGTTGTAAGAGGGAAGTTTATAGCAACAAACATCTGCATCAAAAAAGAAGAAAGATCTCAAGTGCAATCTATTATTTCATTGTAAGGGACTAGAAAAAGAAGAATAAATTAAGCCTGAAGTTAGCACAAGAAATAAAATAATAAAGATCCGAGAAGAAATAAAGGAAACATAGAATAGAAAAAAATAGAAAAGATCAATAAAGTGGAGAGTTGGTATTTTTGAAAAGATAAACAAATTCAACAAACCTGTAGCTAGACTAAGTATTAAAAAAGAGATAACTCATATAAATAAAATCAGAAATGAAAGAGGAAGCATTACAACTGATCATAACACCATATTCAATGGTGAAAATTTGGAAACTTTTTCTTTAAAAGATCAGCAATATGACCAAGAAGCCTACTCTCATCACTTCTATTCAACATGGTACTGGAAGTCTTAGCCAGAGCAATTAGGCATGAAATACAAGAAAAGAAAGGCATCCAAATCAAGAAGGAAGAAGTGAAATTCTCCCTGTTTACAGATGACATCATTTTATAAAAAGTCCACAGGAATACAAATAAATCCAAAAGGATCATAAGAGACTATGAATAATTATATATCAAAAATTGGATAGCCTAGAAAGAATGGATAAATTTCTAAACACATACAGTCTACAAAGACAGGATCATAAAGAAACAGAAAATCTGAATAGAACAAGAATAAGTAAGGAGATTTAATCATTAATTTAAAAAAACTCAAATAATTTATGTTCTCACTTGTAAGTGTGAGGTAAGCTATGAGGATGCAAAGGCATAAGAATGATGTAATGGAATTTGGGGACTAAGAGGGAAGAGGGGAGAGTGGTGAGGGATAAAGGACTACACATTGGGTACAGTGTACACTGCTGGATGACAGGTACATCAAAATCTCAGAAATTACCACTAAATAATTTATTCATACAACCAAAAACTGCCTGTTCCCCAAAACCTATTAAAAAAGTCTCCTGTCAAAGAAGTGTTCAGTATCTAATGGCTTTATTGCTGAATTATACCACGTATTTAAGCAAGAAGTAATGTTGATCCTTCTCAAACTCTTCCCAAAAATTGAAGTAGAGGGAATACCTACAAACTCATTTTACAAGGTAGCATTACCCAGCCAGAGCAGGACACTAAAAGAAAAGAAAACTGCAGACCAATATTCATGATACACATACATCGAAAAACCCTAAAACAAATACTAGCAAACTGAATTCAACAACACATTAACAGGATCATTCACCATGATCAAGTGGGATTTATCCCTGGGATGCAAGGATGTTTCAACATATGCAAATCAATAAACTTGATGTTACATTCACGGAATGAAGGGCAAAAACCATATGATCATCTCAATGGATACATAAAAAACATTTGACAGAATTCAATATCCTTCTATGATAAAAACACCCAACAAACTAGTTATAGTAGGAATGTACCTCAACACAAAAAAGGCCATATATGACAAGCCTACAGCTAACATCATATTCAATGGTGAAAAGTTGGAAACTTTATCTTTAAAAGATCAGGAATATGAACAAGAAGCCTACTCTCATCGCTTCTATTCAACATGGTACTGGAAGTCCTAGCCAGAGAAATTAGGCATGAAATACAAGAAAAGAAAGGCATCCAAATCGAGAAGGAAGAAGTGGAATTGTCCCTGTTTACAGATGACATCATTTTATAGAAAGTCCTGAAGACTTCACTAAAACACTGTTAGAACTAATAACAAAATTGAGTAAAGTTGCAGGATATAGAATCAACATGCAAAAATCAGTAGGGTTTCTATTACTAATAACAAGTTATATGATTAAAAATATCCCATTTTCATTAGCTACCCAAAAAGTAAAACACTTAAGAATAAATTTAACCAAGATAAAAAAAACCTATACTGTATACTACTATAAAACATTGATAAAAGAAGTGGAATAATACATGAAGAAATGGAAAGATATCCCTTTTAAGAAGATTGAGGAATTAATATTGTTAAAATCTCTATACTACCCAAAGTGATCTACAGATTCAATGCAATCTTCATCAAAATTTCAATGACATTTTTTACAGAAATGGAAAAAATAATCCTAAAATTCATATGGAAGTAAGATACTCCAAATAGCCTGATCAATTTTGAACAAAAAGAATAAAGCTGGAAGCATCAGTCTACCTGATCTCATAATACAAAGCTATAGTAATCAAAACAGTATGGTACTGACATAAAAACAGACATATAGACCAATGGAAACAAATAGCCCAGCAAAAAACCCACACATTTATTATAGTCAATTGATTTTTGATGTAGATGTTAAGAACACACAATAGGGAAAAGACAGTCTCTTGAATAAATCATGTTGGGACAAATGAATATCCACATGCAGAAGCATGAAATTAGACCCTTATCTCACACTATAAAGAAACTCCAACTCAAAGTGTATTATAGGCTTAATTCTAAGACCTAAAATTGTAAAATGACAAGAAAAAAATAGGGGAAAATGTTTATGAAATGGTCTGGGCAATAATTTTTTGGATATAAACCCCAAAGCAGGCAACAAAAGCAACAATAGACACACGGGATTACAGTAAACTAAAAATCCTCTGCATAGTCAAGGAAACAAACAACAGAATGAAGAGGCAACTTATGAAATGGGTTAAAATATTTGCAAGCCACAGATCTTAAAAGGGGCAAATATTCAAAATATATAAAATACTCAAAAAACTCAATAGCAAGAAAAATAACCTGATTAAAAATGGGAAAAGGACCTAAATAGACATTTCTACTCAACAGATAGATAAAAAGATGTTCAACCTCACAAATTATCAGAAAAATGCAAGTTAAAACCACAATGATATATCACCTTTCACCTGTTGGAATGGCTGTTATTAAAAAGATGAAAGAATAACAAGTGTTGAAGAGGATATGGAGAAAAGGGAACCCTAGCACACTGTTGGTGGGAATGTAAGTTAGTATAGCCAGACTGGAAAAAGAGTATGCAAGTTCCTAAAAAAATTAAAAATAGATTTGCCATATGATCCAGCAATCCAACTACTGGGTATACATCCAAAGGAAATAAAATTATGTTCGTACTTCCATGTTTATTGTAGCATTATTCACAATAGACATGACATAGAATCAACCGAAGTGTTCATCAGTGAATAAATGGGTAGGGAAAATGTGCTGTATAGATACAGTGGAACACTATTCTGCCATAAAAAGCAAATTTTTTTATTTGTAACAAAATGGATGAACCTGGAGAACATTATGTTGAGTGAAATAATCCAGGTGCAGAAAGATAAATACCACATGATTTTACTTATATGTTGAATCTTAAAAAGTTGAACTCATAGAAGCAGTGAGTAGAATATTGGTTACCGGGAGCTGAGGGTTGGGAGAGTGATTGGGGAGATGTTGGTCATAGGATAAATATATTCAGCTGCTAGGTGCAATAAATACAAGAGCTCTACAACACTTTGTACAACACTTTGGCCATAGTTAGTAATAATGTATTATATTCTTGAAAGTCACTGAGAGTAGATTTTAAGTGTTCTCACTACAAAAAGTATAAAGGATATGTGGTAATTCATTTGTTCATTAGCTCAACTTAGCCATTCCACAATGTACACATATTTCAAAACATCATGTTGTACATGATAATTATACGCAATTTTTATGTGTCAGTTAAAATAAATATATTTAAAATAAATGTAAGGAGCTTTCACTTCTAGATGTACCTTTCCCTATTCTTCCAGCTAAGCTCTAATTAACTACAAATCCGGGACCTTATATATAAAATAAACAATAGAAGCCATTGAAAAAGAAGAAGGCAGGCTGGCTAAGAACCTTGGGATGTGAGGGGTGATGTGAATGTTTGGTTGGCTTTTTTTTGGGGTCTCATATATCTCAGACCTGGATATGAAAAATCAGAAGCCCCAAAATGCCAATGAGTGCAGACCAACAAAAACAATAAAAACCCGTCTAAAAGCCTTATCTCTTTAACCAGAAGACCAGGAAATGGACAACCCAGGAAGACAAAAAAATTTTAGATGTTAATTTGTCGACTCCAGTTAAACATATGTGAACAGTTGACCCACTTGCAATCACAAAATCAAAGGCTGAGTGGAAAGCTAGAGTTTCACCATTGCAAGACTATGAAAAAGCACCCATCAACCCATCTAGGGTGCTATCAGAAAAGGCCAAGTAAGAGTTTAATTCTGCCATTCTTGTAACAAGGCCCTGTGGTGTCAGAGAAGACCACTGCTACTAAACAGTAATGAGGATTATCCCATGTCAGGTGTCAACTGAGGATGAGTGGGTGACTAAGAGATTTCTGCCTTTGCTTTGAAGAAATGAGGCAGCACCACCTTTTCTTCCCCTTCCTGAGCAGTTTTAGAGAAAGTCAACTAAAACAGAAGGCTTAATTATATACAGTCTCAGAACATAATAGGAAAATGCCTGTGTTTTTAGTTCAAAATCATTCATTATCCTAAGGACAATAAATTTCTCAAACTGAATAAAAAAGACAATCAATAGATGCCAACATTGAGATGACAAAGCAGCTGTGATAAAAATGCAATAAGTAATTACAAACATATTTGAGCCAAATGAAAAATTAAAAAATAAATCTTAGCAAGAAAATAGTCTTAACAAATAAATGTAAGATATAAAAGGGAATCAAATGGAAATTTCAAAATGAAAAAATACAACAACCGAAAATAAAAAGTACAATTGATGGGCTCAACAACAGAATGGATGAGACAGAGGAAATATTCAGTGAACTATAAGAGAATAGAAATTACCCAATCTGAAAAACAGAAAGAAAGTAGACTTTTAGAAAGAAACAGAGCCTCAGAGACCTGTGTAACTACAAGAAAAGATTTAACATTTGTGGTTTTAGAGTACTGGAAGAAAAGGAGGAAAAGGATGGGGCTGAAAAAGTACCAGAGGAATAATGACTGAAAATGTCCCAAATTTGGTAAGAGACAAATCTACAAATTTAAGAAGCTGAATGAATCCTGAACAAGATAAATCCAAACAAATTCACACCAAGATACATTATAATTAAACTTTTATAAACTAAAAACTTTTTAGGTCATCAAAAAATAGTTTCACTTTACCTATAGGTGAAAAACAATTCAAATCATAATTGATTTCTTACCAGGAACTATGGGACCCAGTAAGAAGTAACATATTTTTTAGGTGCTGAAATGAAAGAACTGCCAGCCCAGAATCCTATACCCCACACAAATATCTTTCAGGAATAACGAATAAGTTAATACATTCTCAGAGGAAGGAGAAGTATGAGAATTTGTCACTAGTGGATGTATTCTAAAATAATTGAAGTTCTCTAAATAGAAATTATGTGATAAAAGAAGAAAACTTGGAACATTAGGAAAGAAAAACACAGTAAGAAAAAACATGGGTAAATACAATAGGCTTTCCTTGTCCTCTTGAATTTTCTAAATTATGTATGTAGTTGAAGCAAAAATTATAACATTAATGTGGCTCTAAATGTACATAGAGAAATTACTTAAGTAATTATAAATGGAGGGGGGTAAAGGAACTAAGTTATGTATATTTCAGTCAAACTGGTAAGAAGATGACACCAGTAGGGAGTAGAGTATGATTCTATGATTCTATCTATCTATATGTCTGTCTGTCTGTCTATCATCCATTTATCTATCTATATCTCTATTTAAAATGTAACATCTAGAGTGACCACAAAAAAAACTATCAAAAACAGTATAGGTAAATCAAAATCGATTCCAAGAAAATGTTTAAATAGCCCCCAGGAAGGGAGAAAAAAGAAAATTAAGAGAGAAAAAAAAACAAAGAGAAGAAACAGAAAATGAAAACTAAAATGGCAGATTTAGGCTCTAATAATAATTACATTAACTATAAATGGTCTAAATATGTCTATTAAAAGACAGAGATTGACAGATTGGATTAAAAACACCACTTGACTATACTTTGTTCATAAGAAATTCATTCAGTTACAAGCACATAGGCAGGCTGAAAGTAAAAAGATGAAGAAAACACATCATGCAAACATTAATCAAAAGAAAGCACAAGTGGCCATATGAATATCAGGTAAAATTGATTTTAGAACAAAGAAGATTATTAGAGAGGGAAAGAGTTATTACATAATGATAAAAAATCAATCCATCAAGACAACATAGAAATCCTAAATGCATATGCAACTGAACAACAGAGCTTTGAAATATGTAAAACAAAAACTGATAAAACTGAAAGGAGAAATAGACAAATCCTCTCTTAATAATTGATAGAATAATCGACAAAATTATTAATATAGATGAACTCATCAACCAACAAGATCTAATTGTTATTAATAGAGCACTCAACTCAACCACAGCAGAATGCACTTTCTGGGCCATAAGACAAACCCTCAGTGAATTTAAAAGTATTGAAATCATATACAGTGCATTCACCAACCACAATGGAATCAAACTAGAAGTTAATAACAGAAGGATAACAAGAAACTCACCAAACTCCTGTAAATTAAACAAAACACTTCTAATTTATCCATGAATAAAGAAGGAAGTTTCAAGGGAAATAAAAAAAGTTTAACAGAATAAAAATTAAAACTTATCAAAAATAATGGGAAAAAGCAAAAATAGAATGGGGGAAGAAATATGTAGCAGTAAATACATATGTAAGAAAAGAGAACACATCTCAAATTAATAATCGAATCTCTCATGTCAGTAACTTGAAAAGAATTGTTGCAATATAAACTCAAAGCAAGGAGAAGAAAGGAAAAAATAAAGATAAAGCAGACATAGAAATTGAAAATAAAAAAGAGAGAAAATATATGTAGCAAAGAGCTGAATTTTTGCAAAGATCAATACAATTGAAATTAAAAAACTTATAGCAATATCACCAAAGAAGGAATGCAACAGGGGCGATCAGTACAGACCCTGTAGATAATAAAAGCATAATAAGTGAACACCACAACCCATACATTTGATAACTCAGATGAAATGATTTAAATCCTTGAAAAATATAAACACCACAACTCACCTAATATGAAATCAATAATTTAGATAGGCTTTATTAAGGAAATTGAATGTATAATTCAAAATCTCTCCAAAGGTTTAAGGAAGAATTAACATCAATTCTACATAACTTCTTTCAAAAAATAGAAGAGAAATGAGTATTTTCCAATTTGCTTTATGAAGTTACTGTTATCTAGATACCAAAACAAAGACAGTAAAAAAAAATAGAAAATAAAACAAAATATTAATAGATTAATATCCCTCATAGTTATGGACACAATAATCCTTTACAAAACATTAGAAAATGGAGTTCAGCAATTTAAAAAATTAAATCCCATTACCATAGGGGGTTTATTCCAGGAATGTAAGGCTATCTGTTTTAGAAAATAAATAAATGCAATCCACCATATTAACAGGCTAAATTTCCAGAATAAAGTAACTCTATAAAGGTAGAAAATACATTAGAGGTTACCTAGGGGTGGTAGTGGGTGGGTAGGAAATGAACAGCAACTACTAATCAATACAGGATTTCTTTTGGAAGTAGTAAAAGTATTCTAAAATTGACTTTAGTGATGATTGAACTACTTTATGAATATATTAAAAACCACTGAATGTTACACTTTAAGTGGGTAAATTGTACTCTATGTGAATTTTATCTCAATAAAACTGAATGTGTGTATATATATATGCATAATGTATACATACACACATATGTATACGTGTGTATATATAAATAAGTGTAAATCTTATATACATATTATATATATGTGTAAATCTAATAAAACATGTAAAGTACTTCTACTCTGAAAACTGTATAATGCTGGTGAAAAAAATCAAACATGTTCATGGACTGTAATACTCAACATAGTAAAGTTATCAATTATCCACAAATTGATAAACAGGTTTAATCACAATTTCTATCAAAATTTCAGCAATATATTTTTGTAACCATATCCAAGATTATACTAAAAATTTTAAGGAAAAGCAAGGAAATTAAAATTATAAAACAGTTTTGGAAAAGAAGAATAAATTGGAGTAACACTCTACCTGATTTCAAGACTTACAGACTATATAGCTACAGTAATCAAACTGTGTGGAACAATAGACACAGATCAATGAAACAGAAGAGAGAATCCAGTAATAGACCCATGAAAATATGCCCAACTAATTTTTTACAAAGTTGCAAAAGCAATTGAATAGAGATGCAATTTAACAAATTGTCCTGGAGAGTTGGAAATCCATAAGCAAACAAAATTCCCTACATAAGTCTCATAGCTTACATAAAAATTGACTCAATGTCCAGAGAATTATGGCAAGTAAAAACCAATTCCAGTATGTTAGATAATGTATGACTACATTTATATAGCACTCTTTTTTTTTTTTTGAGACGAAGTCTCGCTCTTGTCACGTAGGCTGGAATGCAATGGCATGATCTCGGCTCACCTCAACCTCTGCCTCCTGGGTTCAAGTGATTCTCCTGCCTCAGCCTCCTGAGTAGCTGGGATTAGAGGTGCCTACCACCACGTCTGGTTAATTTTTGTATTTGTAGAAGAGATGGGGTTTCACCATGTTGGCCAGGCTGGTCTCAAACTCCTGACCTCAAGTGATCACCCTCCTCAGCCTCCCAAAATGTTGGGATTACAGGCGTGAGCCACAACACCCAGCCTACACTTCACTCTTGAGATGACAAAACTATAGAAATTAGTCGTTGCCAGGATTTAGAGATGGTGGTAGGGATGGGATGAACTAGGATGTTGCTATGGCAGGGCAACATATGGCATCCCCACGATGATGATAATGTTCTGTATCTTGTCTGTATCAAAATTCATTCAATGAAAGTTAGACTTATGTTACAGTTAATTAATACATATTATGGTGACCTTAATGTCACAATATAATTTATGTAATTTCCATAAAGTATATTTAATTCCAATTTAAGCAGAAGAAAAAAATCACATGCTTTATGTGACTCTGACTCTAGGACAATACTTACAATATGACTTTATCACAACTCCAGAATAATGAAGAACATATGTCTTCAATTACACATGGAACATTATAAAATTTGCCATATCTTGTTTCCAAAGAAAACTTTAATAAATTCCAAAAAACAGAAAAATCAAAAAGCATTTTCTGATCACAATACATTAAAATTATTAATATAAATTATAAACAAAATAAACAACAACAAAAATTCCATAGGGTGGCTTATGGCTGTAATCCCAGCACTTTAGGAGGCTGAGGTGGGCAGATCACTTGCGGCTGGGAGTTGTAGACTGGCCTGGCCAACATAGCAAAACCCCATCTCTACTAAAAATACAAAAATTAGCCAGGTGTGGTGGCGGGTGCCTGTAGTCCCAGGTATTCGGGAGCCTGAGGCAGGAGAACTGCTTGAACCTGGGAGGCAGTAGTTTCAGTGAGCCGAGATCATGCACTGCACTGCAGCCTGGGCGACAGAGCGAGACTCTGACTCAAAAAAAAAAAAAAAGCCCTTTTATGTTGACATTTAAAATAATATATTAATACATCTGGGGTAAACGGAAAACTATATACTGAAGTTATATATTTTTTAAAATAGAACAATAAAGTAAGAATATTATACCAGAATTCATGAGATAAGCTAAAGAAGTTATCAGAAGAAAATGTATAGTATTAAATACTTCTGTCAATAAATATGGAAAACATGAATTGCACTCAACCCAAAAAGCTAGAAAAGGAACAACCTAAAGAAAGCAGTGTCTTAAATATAGTCTCGTGAAGTGTTGCTGTTGAAAAGATAATCTGATTTTCTTTCCCTTTTAAGTGACTTGGTCTTTTTGACTGTACGGCATTTTTTTTTAATTCCACTTATTTCAATAGTATATTTCTTAGTGTTGGTTATGTCTGGTCAATTTTTCCAGCTATGCAGTATGTCCTTTCAACACGTAGTTGAAATCTTTTTTTTTTAAACCTTAACTTCAAGAAAGTTTTCTGGATTCATAGTTTTTATATGCAGTGTGCCTTTTCAGATTTTTAATTTTAGATAAGTATTACTGAATTTTAAAAAATTATTTCATTGCTTCAGTGTTTTTTTTTTTTTTTTTGGAGCTTCCTGTTGTATGTGTTTACTTTTCTTTGCCTGTCTCCATTATCTATCACTTCTCTTAGGTTTCTTTTTTTTTTTTTTTTTTTGAGATGGAGTCTCACTCTGTCACCCAGGCTGGAGTGCAGTGGCGCTATCTCAGCTCAGGGCAAAATCCACCTCCCGGATTCAAGTGATTCTTCTGCCTCAGCCTACGGAGTAGCTGGGACTACAGGCATGCGTCAACACGCCCGGCTAAATTTTGTATTTTTATTAGAGATGGGGTTTCACCATATTGGCCAGGCTGGTCTCGAACTCCTGACCTCATGATCCACCTGCCTCGGCCTCCCAAAGTGCTGGGATTACAGGCGTAAGCCACCGCGCCCAGCCTAGGTTTCTTTTTTTTAAAAAATCTTTCTGATTAAAAAAATTTCTACCTTTTCATTTTTTATTTCTTCTATGGCATTATTTCTTCTGTTGTTATTTTTTTGGTTTGTTTCCTTGCAGTTTATTCTTTTCTGAAAAAAATTAAACAAAATTTCTACTTTTTTAAAATTATACTTTAAGTTCTAGGGTACATGTGCACAACGTGCAGGTTTGTTACATATGTATACATGTGCCATGTTGGTGTGCTGCACCCATTAACTCGTCATTTACGTTAGGTATATCTCCTAATGCTATCCCTCCCCCCTCCCCCCTCCCCCCACCCCACGACAGGCCCCAGTGTGTGATGTTCCCCACCCTGTGTCCAAGTGTTCTCATTGTTCAATTCCCACCTATGAGTGAGAACATGTGGTATTTGGTTTTCCATCCTTGCGTTAGTTTGCTCAGAATGGTGGTTTCCAGCTTCATCCGTGTCCCCACAAAGGACATGAACTCATCCTTTTTTATGGCTGCATAGTATTCCATGGTGTATATATGCCACATTTTCTTAATCCAGTCTATCATTGATGGACATTTGGGTTACTTCCAAGTCTTTGCTGTTGTGAATAGTGCTGCAGTAAGCATACGTGTGCATGTGTCTTTATAGCAGCATGATTTATAATCCTTTGGGTATATACCCAGTAATGGGATGGCTGGGTCAAATGGTATTTCTAGTTCTAGATCCTTCAGGAATCACCACACTATGTTCTACAATGGTTGAACTAGTTTACAGTCCCACCAACGGTGTAAAAGTGTTCCTATTTCTCCACATCCTCTCTGGCACCTGTTGTTTCCTGACTTTTTAATGATCACCATTCTCACTGGTGTGAGATGGTATCTCATTGTGGTTTTGATTTGCATTTCTCTGATGGCCAGTGATGATGAGCATTTTTTCATGTGTTTTTTGGCTGCATAAATGTCTTCTTTTGAGAAGTGTCTGTTCATATCCTTCACCCACTTTTTGATGGGACTGTTTGATTTTTTTTCTTTGTAAATTTGTCTGAGTTCTTTGTAGATTCTGGATATTAGCCCTTTGTCAGATGGGTAGACTGTAAAAATTTTCTCCCATTTTGTAGGTTGCCTGTTCACTCTGATGGTAGTTTCTTTTGCTGTGCAAAAGCTCTTTAGTTTAATTAGATCCCGTTTGTCAATTTTGGCTTTTGTTGCCATTGCTTTTGGTGTTTTAGTCATGAAGTCCTTGCCCATGCCTATGTCCTGAATGGTATTGCCTAGGATTTCTTCTAGGGTTTTTGTGGTTTTAGGTCTAACATTTAAGTCTTTAATCCATCTTGAATTACTTTTTGAAGGGATCCAGTTTCAGCTTTCTACATAGTAATCCATCTTGAATTACTTTTTTGAAGGGATCCAGTTTCATCTTTCTACATATGGCTAGCCAGTTTCCCCAGCACCATTTATTAAATAGGGAATCCTTTCCCCATTTCTTGTTTTTGTCAGGTTTGTCAAAGATCAGATGGTTGTAGATGTGTGGTGGTGTTTCTGAGGGCTCTGTTCTGTTCCATTGGTCTGTATCTCTGTTTTGGTACTAGTACCTGCTGTTTTGGTTACTGTAGACTTGTGGCATAGTTTGAAGTCAGGTAGCGTGATGCCTCCAGGTTTGTTCTTTTGGCTTAGGATTGACTTGGCAATGCAGGCTCTTTTTGGTTCCATATGAAATTTAAAGTAGTTTTTTTCCAATTCTGTGAAGAAAGTCATTGGTAGCTTGATGGGGATGGCATTGAATCTGTAAATTACCTTGGGCAGTATGGCCATTTTCACAATATTGATTCTTCCTATCCATGAGCATGGAATGTTCTTTCATTTGTTTGTGTCCTCTTTAATTTAGTTGAGCAGTGGTTTGTGGTTCTCCTTGAAGAGGTCCTTCACATCCCTTGTAAGTTTCTAGGTATTTTATTCTCTGAAGCAATTGTGAATGGGAGTTCACTCATGATTTGGCTCTGTGTTTGTTATTGGTATATAGGAATGCTTGTGATTTTTGCACATTGATTTTGTATCCTGAGACTTTGCTGAAGTTGCCTACCAGCTTAAGGAGATTTTGGGCTGAGATGATGGGGTTTTCTAAATATACAATCATGTCATCTGCAAACAGGGACAATTTGCCTTTCTCTTTTCCTAATTGAATACCCTTTATTTCTTTATCCTGCCTGATTGCCCTGGCCAGAACTTCCAACACTATGTTGAATAGGAGTGGTGAGAGAGGGCATCCCTGTCTTGTGCCAATTTGCAAAGGGAATGCTTCCAGTTTTTGCCCATTCAGTATGATATTGGCTGTGGGTCTGTCATAAATAGCTCTTATTATTTTGAGATACGTGCCATCAATACCTAGTTTATTGAGAGTTTTTAGCATGAAGCGCTGTTGAATTTTGCCAAAGGCCTTTTCTGCATCTATTGAGATAATCATGTGGTTTTTGTCTTTGGTTCTGTTTATATGATGGATTACATTTATTGATTTCCATATGTTGAACCAGCCTTGCATCCTATGGATGAAGCCAACTTGGTCGTGGTGGATAAGCTTTTTGATATGCTGCTGGAATCGGTTTGCCAGTATTTTATTGAGGATTTTTGCATCGATGTTCAGCAGGGATATTGGCCTGAAATTCTCTTTATTTGTTGTGTCTCTGCCAGGCTTTGGTATCAGGATGATGCTGGCCTCATAAAATGAGTTAGGGAGGATTCCCTCTTTTTCTATTGATTGGAATAGTTTCAGGAGGAATGGTACCAGCTCCTCTTTGTACCTCTTGTAGAATTTGGCTGTGAATCTGTCTGGTCCTGGACTTTTTTTGGTTGGTAGGCTATTAATTATTGCCTCAATTTCAGAGCCTATTGTTGGTCTATTCAGGGATTCAACTTCTTCTTGGTTTAGTCTTTGGAGGGTGTATGTGTCCAGGAATTTATCCATTTCTTCTAGATTTTCTAGTTTATTTGCATAGAGGTGTTTCTAGTATTCTCTGATGATAGTTTGTATTTCTGTGGGATTGCTGGTAATATCCCCTTTATTATTTTTTATTGCGCCTATTTGATTCTTCTCTCTTTTCTTCTTTATTAGTCTTGCTAGCAGTCTATCAATTTTGTTGGTCTTTTCAAAAAACCAGCTCCTGGATTCATTGATTTTTTGAAGCATTTTTTTTGTGTCTCTATCTCCTTCAGTTCTGCTCTGATCTTAGTTATTTCTTGCCTTCTGCTAGCTTTTGAATGTGTTTGCTCTTGCTTCTCTAGTGCTTTTAATTGTGATGTTAGGGTGTCAATTTTAGATCTTTCCTGCTTTCTCTTTTGGGCATTTAGTGCTATACATTTCCCTCTACACACTGCTTTAAATGTGTCTCAGTGATTCTGGTATGTTGTGTCTTTGTTCTCATTGGTTTCAAAGAACATCTTTATTTCTGCCTTCATTTTGTTATGTACCCAGTAGTCATTCAGGAGCAGGTTGTTCAGTTTCCATGTAGTTGAGCAGTTTTGAGTGAGTTTCTTAATCCTGAGTTCTACTTTGATTGCACTATGGTCTGAGAGTTTGTTATAATTTCTATTCTTTTACATTTGCTGAGGATTGCTTTACTTCCAACTATGTGGTCAATTTTGAAGTGTGATGTGGTGCTGAGAAGAATGTGTATTCTGTTGATTTGGGGTGGAGAGTTCTGTAGATGTCTATTAGGTCCGCTTGGTGCAGAGCTGAGTTCAACTCCTGGATATCCTTGTTAACTTTCTGTCTCGTTGATCTGTCTAATGTTGACAGTGGGGTGAAGTCTCCCATTATTATTGTGTGGGAGTCTAAGTCTCTTCCTAGGTCTCTAAGGACTTGCTTTATGAATCTGGGTGCTCCTGTATTGGGTGCACATATATTTAGGATAGTTAGCTCTTCTTGTTGAATTGATCCCTTTACCATTATGTAACGGCCTTGTCTCTTTTGATCTTTGTTGGTTTAAAGTCTGTTTTGTCAGAGACTAGGATTGCTACCCCTGCATTTTTTTGTTTTCCATTTGCTTGGTAGATCTTCCTCCATCCCTTTATTTTGAGGCTATGTGTGTCTCTGCACTTTGGTGAATCTGACAATTATGTGTCTTGGAGTTGCTCTTCTCGAGGAGTATCTTTGTGGCGTTCTCTGTATTTCCTGAATTTGAATGTTGGCCTGCCTGGCTAGGTTGGGGAAGTTCTCCTCAATAATATCCTGCAGAGTGTTTTCCAACTTGGTTCCATTCTCCCTGTCACTTTCAGGTACACCAATTAGACGTAGATTTGGTCTTTTCACATAGTCCTATATTTCTTTGAAGCTTTGTTCATTTCCTTGTACTCATTTTTCTCTGACATTGTCTTCTCACTTCATTTCATTCATTTGATCTTCAATCACTGATACCCTTTCTTCCACTTGATGGAATCGGCTACTGAAGCTTGTGCATTTGTCATGTAGTTCTCGTGCCATGGTTTTCAGCTCCATCAGGTCATTTAAGGTCTTCTCTATGCTATCTATTCTAGTTAGCCATTCATCTAATCTTTTTTCAAGTTTTTTAGCTTCTTTGTGATGGGTTCGAACATCCTCCTTTAGCTCGGAGTAGTTTGTTATTACTGATCGTCTGAAGCCTTCTTCTCTCAACTCGTCAAAGTCTTTCTCCATCCAGCTTTGTTCTGTTGCTGGTGAGGAGCTGTGTTCCTTTGGAAGAGAAGAGGTACTCTGATTCTTAGAATTTTCAGCTTTTCTGCTCTGGTTTCTCCCCATCTTTGTGGTTTTATCTACCTTTGGTCTTTGATGATGGTGACATACAGATGGGGTTTTGGTGTGGATGTTCTTTCTGTTTGTTAGTTTTCCTTCTAACAGTCAGGACCCTCAGCTACAGGTCTGTTGGAGTTTGCTGGAGGTCCACTACAGACCCTGTTTGCCTGCATATCACCAGTGGAGGCTGCAGAATAGCAAATATTGCAGAATGGCAAATGTTGCTGCCTGATCCTTCCTCTGGAAGCTTCATCTCAGAGGGGCACCTGGTCGTATGAGGTGTCAGTCAGCCCCTTCTGGGAAGTGCCTCCCAGTTAGGCTACTCAGGGGTCAGAGACCCACTTGAGGAGGCAGTCTGTCCATTCTCAGATCTCAAACTCCATGCTGGGAGGACCACTACTCTCTTCAAAGCTGTCAGACAGGGACGTTTCAGTCTGCAGAAGTTTCTGCTGCCTTTTGTTCAGCTATGCCCTGCCCGCAGAGGTGGAGTCTACAGAAGCAGGCAGTCCTCCTTGAGCTGTAGTGGGCTCCACCCAGTTCGAGCTTCCCGGCTGCTTTGTTTATCTATTCAAGCCTCAGCAATGGCGGACGCCCCTCCCCCAGCCTCGCTGTGGCCTTGCAGTTGGATCTCAGACTGCTGTTCTAGCAGTGAGTGAGGCTCCATGGGCGTGGGACCCTCCGAGCCAGGCCTGGGATATAATCTCCTGGTGTGCCGTTTGCTAAGACCATTGGAAAAGCACAGTATTAGGGTGGGAGTGTCCCGATTTTCCAGGTACCATCTGTCAAAGCTTCCCTTGGCTAAGAAAGGGAATTCCCGGACCCCTTGCACTTCCCCCCGACCCCTTGCACTTCCCAGGTGAGGCATGCCCTGCCCTGCTTTGGCTCATGCTCTGTGGGCTGCACCCACTGTCCAACAAGCCCCAGTGAGATGAACCCGGTACCTCAGCTGGAAATGTAGAAATAACCCATCTTCTGCCTTGCTCACACTGGGAGCTGTAGACTGGAGCTGTTCCTGTTTGGCCATCTTGGAACCTCCTCCTGAAAATTTATACTTTTTTTAAAAAACTATACCTTCTGAAAAGGGAGACTTCTTTACTGATTTTATCACCTCATTTCTGGAATCTTTTATTTATACTGTCTTTTTACATTCTGCATGACTTTCTTGCTTTTTATAATTTGGCTTAAAATATTGCATTCTAATTTTCATCTGTTTTGGGGGGTTATAGTTTTGGTGGTGTGTTTCCATAATCTGTGGGAATTTTGTACCAGTGCCTATTCTCTCTTTTTTGACAATAACTACGTATGTTTATAATCTTTTCTGTTGCTCATTTGTCTGCAGATTAGTTTTCTGGAAAAAAAGGTAGATGGTATCTGGATAGCTGTGGATCTTTTATCTTCATGAAGTGTTCAAAAATGTAATCTCGTTCTTTTTGGGATCTCTTGATTCTGTTTTTCTCTGTTGCTTTTACTTGGCTTTCTCTTTTCTTTTGCTTCTACTGCCTCTGTCCTGTTTAATTTGGAATCTATTCTCAGCTGTTTCTACTCACTGTAGAAATGTATTCTGGAATATGTTAGATTCTAGTTTTCATAAGACTTGGTCTCTTCCCTTTCTGTTCCCATGCACAATCACCTGAAGTATGAACCTCTTCCAGTTTAATTGTTTTGCTGATATTGTCCCTTCATACTTTCTAGTAGGTGTCTGTTATCATTTGGCTTTCCTGTTCTCATGTCTGATAGATGTCCATTGCCTCTCCCGCTTCCTTCAGTGCACGTGTTCATATACCATGTGGGTCTTACAGATGTGGGTGGTATGTCTTCATCCACTAGTATTTTGGGGTTTGTGAGATACCTTGTCACTTAGTTTTGTTTTAGATGCTCCACATTTAGTTTTGCTATCTAGGGACATCTCTTTTTATAGGAGGGTTTTGGTGAGAATAAAAACGATGCTACTACTTTTTCTGCAACCCTGTCAGAATCCTCCCAAAAAGGAATTATTGATTATTCCTTCTAAATGTCTCGATTTAGAATGAATAAACAAGAATTCATTCTAAATCAAAACTTATTTAGAATGAATTATTATTGATTATAATAACTGTTTATTCTAAACTGATTATTTATTCTAAACTAGTCTTTACTAAATTTTCTTCATATCAGTAAATGGTATCACACAATCACACAAGCCAAATCAGTCACACAAGCCAAAAATCTATGTGTCAGCAATAATGTATCCTTTGCCTTCATCCTTCACATCTGATAGTTATGTCAACAAGACCATCAACAAATCCTGTTTCATATAGCTCCAAGATGCATATTAAATTTCTTAATTTCTCTTCATCTTCACTGTTATTACTCAAGTTCAAATTGCTGTCATCCTCTCCCTGGATTTCTGTATATCCTCTTTTTTTGGCCTCTCTGTTTATTCTCTTTTCCTCCTACAAAAGATAGAGTGGCCTTTTAAAATTATAAACCAAATTGTTACTTTTCTGTGTGAAATGGCTATTAGTAACATTTCAATAAAATAAAATTTTTCTGTAGTATAAAATCCCAATTCATTTCCAGGTCTAAAAAGTCTCTATGTAATTGGATCTCCTACTTTTACCCTATATTCTACTCTCACTTCTGTCTATCCACAGTGGCTTCCTTTTTAGATGAAATAAGTGCTGAATAGATTGGGAAAAAAATATAGAAGTAGCAGCCTGATGACTTCAATGAAGTAGAAGAACAAGTGACACTGCAGAGTAAAAGACAATGAAAATTAGGACATTGTGGTCAGGAGAAAAGATGCTTGCAATTACATTTTCTGTCATGAGGCAGTTTTGGGTGAAAAGTTTCATCAGCGTTGCCTCTGTGTAGGTGGTGGCTCATGATGAATGCTATTGGAAACATATTGGAGTTGAAGCAATTAATAAAATAAGAGGCTAGAGAGTGGGACGGGCTAACTGCATGAAGATGGCTTTTACTCAGTATGATGACAGAAAATAGAGTTTAAAAAACAGTGATAGGTACTCATAAAAATCAAATTTTTGGTTGATAGGTCTACTCCAGAGGTTTTTCTGTCTATATAAATGAGAGATGTTATTGAAATTATTGAACCCTCTCAAAAAAAAAACACTGGAGAAATATTGATCAGGTCTGAGTTTCCAGCTCTCATTTTTGTAGATTTAGTACTGTTCATGTCCTGATATTAGTATTGTCACTAAACAGTCTTTTTATTCAACAAACACTCATAGATCACATCCTGAGATAGGCTCTCTGAAATGGTCCCTGATTCCATGATTTTTTTTCGTGGAGATATAACTCACATACCATAATTCACTCTTTTAAAATGTACAATCCGATGGTTTTTAGTATGTTCACAATGTTGTACAACCATCGACACTATCCAATTCCAAAACACTTAATTACCCCGAGAACAAACTCTGTATCTATAAACAGTCACTTCACACTTTTTCCTATCTCTATGGATATGACTATTCTGGACATTTCATACAAATAAAAATATGTGACCTTTTGAATCTGATGTCCTTCACTTAACATCATGTTTTTAAGGTTCATCCATGTTGTAGCATGACTCAGAACTTCATTACTTATGGTTAAATAGTAGTCCCTTATATGGACTGATAAAGTAGGACTTAAATCTACTATTTTGCTATTTGTTTTCTACATGTGTATGCCTTTTTTTGCTCCTCTATTTCTCCATTGCTGCCTTTTTTCTGAAATAAAAATTTTCCAGTGTGCAATTTTAATTCCCTTGTCATTTATTTTACTGATTTTTGGTTGTTAGTTTCTTAGTTATTGCCTGGTGTTATAATTAACATCTTCACTTATAGCAACCTAGTTTGGATTAATACCAATCTAATTACAATAGTATATAACAATTTTGCTCTTATACGGCTTTGATTTTTCACTGTCTTTCTGCTGTTATTTTCATATAAATTATATTTTTATACAGTGTGTGCCCCTCTATACAGATTTACTGCTTTATAAAATTTTTCTTTTTGATTTTTTAAAATGCAATTTTCTTTTAAATCAGATAGTAGAAAACAGTTACAAACAAAATATACAGATATTTATGAGGTAAATGCATATATTTATTTATGTAATAACCTTTACTAGTGCTCTTTCTTTCTTCATTAGATTTGAGTTACTCCAAGGACTCTAGTATTTTTTATAGCACAGGCTTCTAAGTGATAGATGCTCTTAGTTTGTGTTTTTCTGGGGGTATCTTAGTCTCTCCACCTTAAGTTTTGAAGGATAGATTTTCTGGATATAGAATTTTTGATGACAATATTTTTTCAGCACTTTAGACATGTCATCTGTTTCTAGCTTCCATGGTTTGTAATGAGAAATTGGCTGTTAATCTTATTGAGGATTACTTGTATGTAATGAGTCACTTTGCTGTCGCTGTTTTCAAGGTTCTTTCTTCATCTTTGTCAACACTTTGATTATAATATGTCTTGATGTGGGTCTCTTTGAATTTATCCTGCTTGGGTTTCATTAAACTTCTTGGATATGTAGATTATTTTTAAATCAATTTTGAGCTTTGGCTTTTTTTTTTTTTCCAAATAGTATTTTTGCACCTTTTGCTTTCTCTCCTTTTTCTTGTACTCCCATTACACTGAAGTTGGTACACTTTATCTGGGAATATTAAGATATCACCAGATAAACACAAACTAGGAGTCTGTTCATTTTTCCTTTTTTTTTTCTTTCTGTTCTTCATATTGAATAATCTCCATTGACATTCCTTCAGGTTTGTTGATTCTTTCATCGCCATGGTCACATTTACTGCTGAGCCATGCTAGTAAATGTTTCATTTCAGTTGTTATATTCTCAATTCCAGAATTTCTGTGTATGAAGTAATTTTTTATCTATTTATTGATATTTTACATTTTGATGAGATATCATTATTTAGGTATTGTTGTGTTTCATTCTTTGAACACACTTAACATAGATTATTTACAGTCTTTTGTCTAAAAGTACAATGTTTGATTTTCCTCAGAGACATTTCTATTGTTTGCTTTTTTCCCTGTGTATGGAGCATACTTTCTTTTTTTTCATGTCTAGTAATTTTTTTTTTGAAAACTGAATATTTAAAATAATATGATGTGGCAAATCTGAAAATCAGATTACACCCTCCCCAAGGAGGAGGGAATGTTGTTGTTACTTAGTGTTTTTTCTGAAAGAATTCTACAAAATCTGTATTCTTTATTATATGTGGCAACTGAAGTCTCTGCTTGATTAGTTTGTTAGCTTAATGGTCAGTTAAAGGATTGGATAGATATTTTCTTAAACACTTGAAATAAGTGTTTTCCTATCTTGGGGAAGGGCCTTGTGTATATATTGGGGCATACCTTCAACCCTCAGCAAGGCCTTCTTACTTGTGCAGAGCCTCCAAGTCAGCCCACAGTGACAGCTCAGGTCTTTCTCAGGTCTCTTCTGACTGTGTGCACAGACATGGGCATGTGCACAACTCTGTGCATCATGTTACCTTCTGGATTCCAAGAAATATGTTGGAGCTTTTCAATACCTTTGTGGGTATCTACTTCCCCAGGCTTTACTTTTAAGCATTTTGGTTAGCCTACTGTTTGCCCCAACTGTTGTCCATTGCCTCATACAGCCAGAAAGTTATTCAATTGCCTCTAATTGTTTTTGGAAAATGCTCCTGGGGAAACTGGATGAGTTCTGGGCCAAGTAAAAAACAGACAGCTGTGGGTATGGGGTCTTCCAGGGACCATAAGACAGGCAAAATAATGACAGTGCTTTGAAAATGAGCCTTTAAAGAAGCTTCAACACTATTTTTCCCTCTCTGGCAGCTGTCAGCCTACTGGTTTTCACTGTGATTGCAGGCTGTTGGCTTTCAAAGCTACTTCAGAGCTGTGGAGGAGAGGATTGGATAAGACAAGTTAAAATGCTACAAAGCTTGCTCTTTACCAAGATTCAAATTTTTTCATTTTTTTTTTCCAAATAAATGCTCCCCAGGTTTCTGCAAACCTTTAGCTAATTTCTAGAGTTCTGAGCAAGTTGATTCTGATCATTTTTGCCAGTTTTCTCATTGCTTTTATGGAAGAGAGAATTTTTTTAAGTCCTTACTCTGCCATTTTTGCTGATATCATCTCTCCAAGATTTTATCATGTAGGTTATATAACAAGCTCCAATAGATATTCACTTGAACACATATTCATATGTTATAGTCCCTAAGATTAGTTTTTTTTTCCCCAGCTGATTCTTTAAATAGTGAGAGAAATTTAGTTCCTAGGAAGTATGTGCTCTGGCCATAATGATTAATAATATGTAGAATACTACTGACAACAAACTGAACATTTTTATTCAATTTTCAAAAATGAAGTTAACCAACCTCTGTACTATTTTATGCAGTTCTTATTTCTATCTGTTAAGAAATCATAATGGCCATAGAGAATATGCATATGATATAACATTAGGGCTTTCTAGTTTTAAAAGATAAAAACTCAAGGAAATTTATCCATGATTAATGAATTTGTGGAGGTTGTTTTTCAAGGGCTAATAGAGACTAAAACATAGATATATGTCTTAGTCTGTTTGTGCTGCTATAACAGAATATCAGACTGGGTAATTTATAATGAACAGAAATTTATTGTCTCATAGTTATGAAGGCTGAGAGATCCAATATCAAAGTGCTGGCATCTGGGGAGGACCTTCTTGCTTCATCATAACATGGTGGAAGGCATCATGTTGTGAGAGAAACCAAGTGAGAGAAAGCAAGCATGGGCAAAACCATTCCTGCAGTAACAAACCCACTCCTGCAGTAATGGTACTAGTTGATTCATGAGAGCTCTGCCTCTAAGAGATCCCACCTCCCAATACCATCACAATGACAATTGAAATTCAACATGAGTTTTGGTGGCGACAAACATTCAAACTATAGCAATATATTGAATTATCATATCAAAAATATGCCTTTGCTCTCATTCCTTCAATAAGTTGGACAGGGCAGTAGAAATGAATTAAAATTTAGAAAATCCTTCTTACCTGAATGTAAAATATTGTAAAATTTAAGTTTAGCAGGATTTGGCCCTTGTCTCTAATGCTATAACAGATTTAGAGATTGTTCCATTCAGAGAAACCATGGTATTACTAAGAATAATGAAATACTTACTTAAGAACATTTCTGCCATTAGCAGGATAAAGTTTGATTAAAAATCTAAAAAGTATTTTCTTGCTAATTGAAAGGAGATATCAAATCCTAGGCCTAATACTTTAGCAATGTTCATAAAATCCCTGCCAAGATTTGGCTTCCCCCATGAATCATGGGAAACTGTGATGTGCTAAGTCTGACCTTAGAAGATCTATACTGATCTAAGTGATTGAAAATAAACTTTGTTTTTTTAAATTTAATTTTGGCCAATTGACTTCCTGTGTTTCCTATTTATGTATGTATGTAGTATGCATTTTGAGAGAAAAAATGGAGAAAATTTTAAGGATTATTTTTAATCCAAAACAATCAGAATCTTCAATTTCAGTTCCAAAATTAATTAATATCAGCATAAAGGACAAAAATATACATGTGCTTAGTGAAATTATATTGTACTCATGATGTATATGACTAAAATTATCTGTTAATTTTATGTAAAACATAAAACAGAGTACTGTACGTGTTGCCCCATGCACCTATGTGGTAGGGGTAGGTCACTCTTCAGGTAAAAAATATCCGTAGCCCACATGAGGCTGGTGGCAGTGAGAGCAAACAGAAGTGGATGGAGGGGAGATGTTTAAGAAGGCAAAAAACCAACATTTGTAACTTCTTTCTCCCCATTTAATATAACTCACTTCACCCAGATTGTAAGATTTTATGGCATTAAACATTCCATTACCTTCCAATAAAATGAACTGTCTTCCATGTCATTCTTTCTTAGAAAAAATGCTGTGCTCTCTAGCCACACATTTGAAAAATACTTCTAAAATGTCTTAGGAGAAAGCCTTAATGTGGAGACCTTCATACTAAAACTAAAAGAATCATTTTCATTTGGCCTAAATTGAATTAGTTGGCAACTTTTAAATGTAGAGAGTTTCTTCACATAAAAGTACAGATTTTAAAGCTTTCCTTGAAAATGTGGGTGATCTGGCCACATGGACTCTCTCGGCATGAAGCTACCAGTTGGAGCAGAGTAGCTGCTCAGAGACCATGTGCTCTCCAGACTCTGACAGTTCTCACTCATTAACAGGAGCTTCCTGCTCCTCCTGGAGGCATTTAAGTTGGCAACTTCTGCGGCAAGTTTAAAAAAAAAAAATCCCCAGTTGAAGTTATAGGTGGTTTTGAGAATACTTCTTTCCAGTTTGGGTCAAGAGTGATCAGAGCTTTATATAGCTAATGTTTGTTCTGTGAAGATAGGGAAGCTATAAAATATTAACTTGACATCTCTGGGCCACTTGAAGCTAAGAAGCCCAGATATGTGACTCAGCAGAAAGAGGAGTGAAGGAAAGAAGAAAGAGAAGTGATAATCAAAGAATATTTGCAAGGATTTGGAGGCATGGAGAATTCAGAATTGACCTCGAGTGTTCGCAGAGAGCAGCTTTAAAAAAAATATTTGCCAGTTAGAGATTAGGCGAGGAGGAAGCTTGGCAGAAGTTGTTAATTAGAAATTTGGGGTCCATAAAAAAGATAGACTAATAGAGAAAAATTCCTGTAACTGGGCAAATGTTTCTTGGTTGGAAATTTTTATAACTAGAGATAAAGTGATTTTTCCTTTCTCTGAGGATAGATTTGGGACCCAGCAAGAAAGAAAGTAACCAGGAAACAAATAATTGGTGTTTCTGAGAGAGAGAAGTCTGTCTCTTTTTCCTTTCTTCTTTTGTCCTTCCTTTCTTCCTGTTTCCTTCCTTTCTTCCTGTATTCCCTCTCTCCCATTCCTTCCCTTCTTTCTTCCTTTTTGCTTCCTTCCTTTCTTTCTTTCTGTCTCCCTCCCTCTTTCCTTGTAACCCTCTGTCTCTCTCTTTCTCTCTTTCAGTTTATTTATTTATTTATTTTGAGTCAGAGTCTCACTGTGTCACCCAGGCTGGAGTACGGTGGCACAATCTTGGCTCACTGTAACCTCCACCTCCTGGGTTCAAGTGATTCTCCTGGCTCAGCCTCCTGAGTCGCTGGGACTTCAGGCATCAGCCACCATGCCTGGCTAATTTTTGTATTTTTAGTACAGACAAGGTTTCACTGTGTTGGTCAGGCTGGTCTCAAACTCCTGACCTCAGGTGATCTGCCCGCCTTGGCCTCCCAAAATGCTGGGATTACAGGTGTGAGCCACCATGCCCGGCCTTTCAGTTTATAAAGCACATGCTGTCCTCCTGGTGTACTTGTACATGACTGTAAAATGAGGCAATAAGTGTTAACTACTATATTAGAGGTTCAAAGTGCAATAGTAGAGGGCCTAGGTTTAACAGGGGAGAGGTAGTATGATATAAAAGCAAAGGGATTTGCAGCCAGACTTATCTGGATATCATTAGATCTTATAATTTCCTAGCTATATAGCTTTGAATGAATTATCTCAAAATCCTGCTTTCCTTGTCTGTTAACTTGGGGCATCAGTATTTATTGAGCACTTACTATATACTAAGTACATGCCATATATTATTGTAGTTGATCTTCACAGGAGCCCTATTAGACAGGAAATATTGTCCTCTTTTTCCTGAGGAAGACATGAAGGCAGAAGTTCTGCCCCATTTCCAAGGTCACACAGCTGTTTCAACATAGGTTTTATTATTATTTAGGCATGATAAAGCAACACACCAGGAGGTGACTGCTATTGAAAAGATAGTTTGCTATACTCATAGATTCCAAGAGAAGTGGCACGCCACACCATGGGGGGTTACATGGGGAAGCACTACATCCAGTTAGGAGGCAGAGGGAGAGAAGAAACTATGAGCAAGGGCCAGTATTATAGTTTCCATGGGAAGGAAGGCAGGGTAAACAGGCTTAGGATTGGCTGGTTTGAATGATTTCATGGACTCTTGGGTACGGGGACTGTCCCTAGTTGTCTGGGGTGATTAGGGCAGTGGGAGTGTGAGAGCCCAGTTAAGGAGATGGTTGGGTGTATGGGCTCTAGATTGGTTGGTTTGCATTTGAAAAGCAAGCTCCCACATTTACCATCTCTGAATAGCTAGCTCTGGGAGGGACAGGCTGTCCAGGATCAGTGGGGCCCTACATGTCAAAGCATCAGAATACTGAAAATTAAAAAAAAAACATGGTTAATACAACAGGTTTTAAGTAAGTGATGGAACTGGGATTGGATACTGATTTCTTGACTCAAGCCCAAGTCCTTAACATTCTGTGATGGATGTATGAAGGGGCTTAGGTGAAGGGATTTGAGGAGATGACCAGAGGACTGGGAATTGAAAATCTGTTAATTAACTGTAGAATTTAGTTGAGCTGATTTACTATATGAGATCAAGGCTCTGCTTCCTTGTAATTCCTTGAACAGGGACCTTTCATTGCCCTTAAGTATTGTTAGTTTTCCCCGTCAGAATAACAGCCTATGAAGTGCTGCAGTGAGATTAGCAGAGAAGATAGCAGAGATTCATAAAAGGAAGAATGTGCTGGCCATTTTGACCTGGCTTTGTGGAGACAATGCCTCCTTTTCTCTTAGAAGGAATTTCCAGAATTACTAGTATGGGAAAGGCTCATGCTTTGAGGGCTCCTTTGGGCCCATTTTATCAGAGTTCCTTGAAGTGAAGGGAAGTTTCTTGTTCTAATTGTTTCCTCTTAAGACCTCAGGCCTAACAAGGATCACCTCAGTTGGAAAGGGAAGATGACCAAGGGAGGGAAGCTGGAGCCATGTTGAGGTTGCTCTGCAACAGCCCCATCATTCTGTTAGTCCCCACCTGCTTTTCTTCATCACGGTGCCTGTGCAGTCCAGGCTCATTGGCCAGATGTTGGAGGGTATGTAAGAGGCAAGGATTAAAGAGTGGGACCCCACTTAGAACAGTACATTTAAGACAGAACTGCTAGTGTTTTTCTGAATTTGGGTATGATCACCCAGAGTTACTTTGTAGAGAAAAGTAACTGAAGGAAAATCTGTTTTTCATTTATTCAGCAAGTTAATTGCCTCTTTACACATGTAGTTCTGAATTGTTTACTAATATGTAACATTCCTGGAATTTCACAAGTTCTCTTTAAATAGTACACTTTATTTTCAGGCATAGTTCAAGAACTGAGTTAAAATCAGTTTTGCTTATGAAACTAGATTCCATATGATTTATTTACTGCGACTCAATGACTTGCCATTTATGGGGAAAATATAAGCTACTTGGTTTCTTTAAACAGTATCTTTCACTAGAAAATCTGGAATCTTTAGAATGAAAGCTTTAGGAAAATGTGTACATTTTATCTCAATATTGTAAAAGGTGGCTTTAAGAATGAAAATATCAGGGTCCTTCTAAATGAATCCTGCCAGGAAGATGGAGGAAATTTACCAAAATGACAATGATTGAGTACAAATATTGTAGTCAATACAATAGACTCTTAAGATGGAATGATGTTCTCAGGGCAGCAGAAACATTTGAATAATGGAGCCAAAATGTCACTTTTTTAATTGGCTCCATTACTTGGCCAATAAAGGTGTGACAACCACCGTGGCAGTGGTATGAGTTATGGTTTATTCTTTGAGGTTTAAATATCTAATTTCAAACAAGAATCACTACTGTTTAGAACAAACTGTTTTGCTATGATCACTCTCAGAATTTAATCAAAGACTAGTTGGGAGGAGGTTTGCTTTTGTGAAATCTTCTGATACAGGAATCACTTTAAAAGTGACTCAACAAGTATCCTGTCTTACAACTTAATTTTTGAGTAATAGGATTTGTAACTAAAAAAAAAATTCCATTGCTGAACTAAAGAGTTACTGTTCTCTATTAAAATACATTAGAATGATAGTTCACTAAAAGAATATACTAGGAATATAGCTGAATTTTGAGTTGGGAAACTTTGTTAGAAAATAACTCTCTTTGGAAAGACTGCAATTAAGAGCCAATTTTATGGCTTCACACATTTGCTTAATTTTAAGGCCAACTTGAATCTCTTGTAAGATTTGGGTTTGGGGTTGAGTTTCGGTAACACCTTCCTCACATGTATGATTTTGTTGGCAGTATAGCATCTACAGAACATGGGTGAATTTCCCTCTAAAGAGGGAACATTAGCTTTGAGTTAGAGGATCAGGCAGACCAAGAGGAGGGAGGAAAAAAAGACAGAGATTGAGACAGACAGATGCTAGTGCAAGGGGTTCTTGTTTTTTATTTCATCCCCTGAATCCCAGGATAAGACTTTTCTATTGTTTTCTGTTTCAGACTGCGATGGTCTTTATGATTTTGATACATATGTAGTAATTCTTTGTAGTCTCTCAGAAATATCCAACTAAAAGGTTTTAAACAAACTTCAGAAGTTTTAGAAAAGTTCTTGTGTAGGTTTCATAATATGTCGATTGGTAAACAGAGTATCTCAGTTTGGAGCATTTTTATTGCTGGCCAGGGGCCCCAAACAAATCTGAGTGTTTTGTTTATCATTTCAGTGCCTTTGATTCAGTAAGGACAATTCATATATGTGTGCAGGATAAGAAAATCATGTACATAAATCCCCTCAAAGGTATTTGATCTTCAGAGGTACTGAAGAGTCCTTGTTCATTGCAGTTACAAATCTGTGATTCATCCGGTTAGCTTTGTGATTTAGGGAATGACTCTGAGATGTCACCTGGGGGCAACATTGATGACTTAGATGGTGGGAGTGATCATGTACATGTTGCGCATCTTGAGGCTGCTGCTAAACCTTCTGGGGAGACTGAGTAGGTTACAACAGAGAGTCACCACGCTCCCTCAGTAGTCACGGCTCAGCTCTACCTAACATCTTCCCGAGAGGCACTGGAACAAGAGTGTAACTTTGGGGATATTTCAGATTTGGAAACTCACCGATGGAAAGCTCACCTATTCTTCCTGGCTTGGCAAAGTTGGGAAGTTACATGGATGTAACCTAGTTTATTTGCCCTTCCTTTCTTTTTATTGGTCTCTCCTTTGTTATTCTGTCTATATTCCCTGTGCTGTGAAATAAAACCCTGCCATCTTGGTCTCCACTAATTCTTTGACGCTTTTTGACACACAGGAGGTTTGCTGTGAGGAACATTATTGTATTATATCACCCTCACTGGTGAGCCTGTTCTTCACTCCCTTTAATCTTACCTTCTCTAAGTTGGTTAAATTCACTCTATGTATATGGTGCAATAAAGACAGATTTTGTTAATGCCTCTACCAGGTTAGATCTCTGAAATCATTCAGAATAGTGCAAATAATAGGGTTTTAAAATTCACAGCCTGGAGATGGAACAAATCCAAAGTGCATTTCCTTGTACTTTGAATAGAAATAAGTCAATGTGTGTGGCCAGTGATGCTTTTCAAAAGCCTTATATGATGCAGTCATTTGAAGTGAATATTGTTCTCACTATAAATATACACACTCTCTTCCAGTGTATGAGAAGACATAAATAATTTCTAAATAGATAGGTTGCTGTTTCAGCTTTTATTGTACCTTCCTCCATAGCTAACCTATTGTTTTAAAACAAATAGAAGATTAGCAGGACTATTTTGAAAGACATTTTCATGAACGTTGCTCTTGGGAGTGTAAATTGCAACAAAATTTATGGAGGACAATTCAGCAATATATTTTAAAAGGCTTAAAAGTCTCATACTCTTTGAACTCAATAATTTTACTGTTTTGAATTTACTGTAAAGAGAAAAAATCACAAACATGCAGAAAGAATTATATTCGAGGATTTTTTATTGCAGAGGTAATAATAGTGAAAAATAAAATCCCCTCTATGTGTCCAACAATTAAGAGTGATTAAATGAATTACAAAATATACATATGATGAAATACATATATGCTTTTGAAGTTATTTTATACATAAAAAGCTAAAAGAAATTACTGACTCTTAATAATGCTTATTTCTTTGTAGCATGTGGGAAAATTTTATTTTCATTTTTTTCTTTGTTTTGTAACTTATTCTGCCTTGTATTACTTTTTTAAAATGAGAAAATAGCATAACAACCAAAATAAAGAGAACTCATTCTTCTGATTATTCTTAACCAGAATAATCAACTATATTATTAACTTGACATGTTTCAGCAATTGTTCATCTTTGTGATTATCTAAGAATCTTATTATTTTGTTTGTTTATTCTCAGCTTCTGTTGATTTAACCATTTATTAGTCCTGTGCTTCAAAGTGAATGAACAGGGAGGCTAGGAAGCAGACAGACTCGCAGGACTTTATTATGGACTGGATTTGAATATAACTTTTATTAATAAAAGTTGGGGGAAAGTCTTTTATTCAATAAAATAATATTTTAAAAACAAACGTTTTCACAGAGATTGTTGAAGTGATGAGATTATGTGGGAATCAGTAGTAAATCTTCAGAGTAACTTCTGATTCTTTGTTTCTTTTAAAGAGAATTCAGGAGCAGGATCTGTATAGGCATAAAATCAACATGGCTTCCTTCTGGGTAAGTGTAGCTAACTGAGGGTTTCTTCCCTAAGAGATCCTGGGGAGAAGCGCTGTTGACCTGACACAGAGGACTGTTGACCTGACACAGAGGACTCGGATTTTTTTTTTCTCTTCTTAGCTTCCTTTTCCTCTATCCTAGTCTCTCTAAAAGTTTCTCAGCCACATAGTTGATATGCTCAAGTATTTAACAGATTTCAACTATAGAGTACTGAGCAAGAAATTACTTTAAAAATGCCTGTTCCATATAACCATAATGATGGAAGCTGGAAAATTAAAGTCATATTATTTGTGAAAAGAATCATGCTCCTTATACGTGTACATTCTCTGTGTAGGCACTTTGTGTTTTGATCATATTAATAGTCAACAGCATGGCCCTTTTCAGTTTTATTACTGGCTTGGAACAATAGAAAATGTGTTACAAGGGATGACACAGGGGCACAGGCATCCCAGTCTTGGCTTTTATCTTTTTAAATGTCTGATGGTTAAAAAGTTTTCTTTTCATGACCTTTGCGAAGGCTGAAATGAGTTGATATGTGTCTAGTCCATTAGCCTGAGAAGTTGTTCTTAATTGCTGTGGTGAAGCCCAACATTATTTTGTTCAAGTTAGAGAGTTTGAAGGTAGTCTTGCAACTGCTGTCTCCCTCTTTGCCACTCTGTTCAGTCATGACTACACCCAGTCTATGCTGAATAAATAAACTTCTTGGTGCTTTGTTGGGAAATGAAATTATTCTAGGAAAGGCACTCCGGCCCATCAAGATCCATCAGGTATTGGGTCTTAAAAATTAATCGGCCACTACATCAGATCCATAATGAGACACAGTTCATACAGTCAGGGCAGGCACTGAGTGACTACATTGCTGTGATACATTTTAGAAAGCATTTAGATTGCTTAATATTGGGTGCTCTGTTGAGGTAATTTGCAAGAGACCTATAAAATGTGGGGACTGATATACCTACTGAGGAACTTCAATGTTTTATTTTCTTTTTTTCTGATTATAAAAGTAAATTATGCTCATTGTGGAAAACTTGGAAAATCCATACATATTTTAAAAAAGAAAATTAGAATTACCTTTTATTCCCAGACATCCAGGTAAATACTGTCAGCATTCTGTTGTATTTTTTTTCTAGTCCTTTTTCCTCTGGATATTTACATATGTAGCATTGTTGAGATCCTTAAGTGTTTTGCTTTGTTTTTCTTTCATAAACATTATATCATGATTATTTCTCTTAGCATTAAAAATTCCTCAGATATATATTTAGAATTTATAATATTTAATCAAAGAACCTCAAAGCCCCCCTGTTTTTGGACATTTAGATTGTTTGCAGTTGTTAATTATAAATAATGATGCATTGAACATCTTGTGCATACATTTTTGCCCCTATACAACTAATTCTTTAGGACAGCATCTTAAAAGTGGAATTTGTGTGTAAAATGATGTGTTGAAAAGTTTATATTCTCTCAGGTATGACTAAAATCATATTTCTAGAAAATCAGATTTATTTTCTGGGAAATAAGGCTGGGAAGTGATAAAGTGGGAAGACTGTAGAGCCTTCTAACATAATAATTTAAACTCTGTTCTGATCTCCCAATTAGCCATAATGGTTCAGACTCCTGATAATGCCACTTCAACTCTTTGTGCCTAATTTTCTAATTTTGTGGGATGAATACTACTACTCTTTTTTTTGTTGCCGTTTTAGAAAATTTTAAAGTGGAATGATTGATGGGAGTTTTTAAAGTACTTTGAAAATTAATTTTAAAAGTGCTGTGGAAGAATAAGTAATGCCAATCGGTTGTTTACTTTGTGTTAGTGAACCAAAATCAGATGTGTGGACCTCCAGTGGTTAGAGGCTTGGCTGGGAATGCAGGAGACAATGAGACTGGCCAAAGCAGCATTTACTGTTCAGTATAATTTCAAAGATATGCTAAGAGAAAGAAAGCTCAGTCAAGAATTTATGAGTCGGTCAGAGGCAAAGTTGAGAGCTATCACCTGCTTCAAGGAGGACAGCTTTGGATGAGTTCATATATATGCATGGCACACTGCTGCAGTCTAACTTTATGACTTTTAATGACTCCGACCACCTAATCACTTGTGAAAGGATGTGCTGGAGTTTGCCTTCACTCAGCTTGACAAGGTGATGGGAGGCATATATCTTCCTTACATGAAAACACTTGTCAGTTGCATCATATTTGGTAAGACAAGCACCAATGTCACCTTGGGGGGAAAGAAAAGTAACTCAGCTGACATCCAATGCATATGAGTTTCCAATGTGCTGCAACATAGCCTAATTTCAAGTGAAATATGCAAATACACCCTATTTTGTCTGTAGTTTTTATTTTCCTGATGCTTTCTCTAAGTGCCATATCTTCTGCTGATGGAAACATTGTGTAACTTCTTCTGAGCTGATGCATATTTAAATACGCAAGGCAAAGAATGCTCAGCCTTTGAGTAGAAGAAGCAACATGGCAAGCCAAATGCAAATCTCTCAGTCACCTGTTCTTGTTTTGTTTGTTTTTATTTTATTTTTGGACTTGGGCTGCACTTATATAACCAGTTCACTTTAGTTCAAATTGCTGAATTTTAGACATTTTGTGGGTAGTAGGTCAGTGGAGTGAAGTCAGGGCTTATTAGAGTTTGGGACTAAGCTATGTGGGTGATAGAGGAGAGCAGAGGGATGACTGGATGTGTTCTCATAATGAGTAAGATCATAATGAGTTCTCATAATGAGTAAGGAGTTGGATCACAGATTCATGTCTCTTTCTTTCTTTTAACTAAACTTTTAAGAAGAATGTTAAGGCAAATATGTTTTGTAATCCCCACGGTGAGTTTGTATATTTATTTTGTTTTAATTTCTAAATGACTTATGCATTTGGGCAGTGTACCTAAAGAATTTTAGATATAAATGCATCTCAGAGATAAATATTGTCGATCAGTTGAATATGCTGAATTAGGCCAGTGAGGTACATGGTTTTCAGAGTAGCAGAGTCCTGTTTCCCAGGGAAAGGAAAAGGTAAGTTGAAAATGGGGTGCCACTGAAAATGCTTCAGTGCAAGCCTTGTGCAAGAATAGAAGAAAGCTATAGAGGTATTTTAGAGAGATTGCATTGCCGATTGCTAAAATGGTTACACAGTGTTCCATGGAAAACAAAGAACTTTGCCCACCATCAGACTTTCCCTAATAGAATGTCCTTGTTAAATAAGGAGATAGGTGTCCCTCTTTGTGTACTTCAGAGGACCCAATCTGCCAGTGTTTAATTTGAGTCTCCTAGGTTGTCGTAAATATGTTCAGTCCAACTCCCTATAGTATGCTTTTCTGTTTGTTTTTAATATATATGTATACATATATGCGCATTTATTATAGTTGCCATTTTCTTACAACAAGCTGGTTAGCTGTTGCAAATTACAATGGTCAAAGGTTTCATTTTATTTCGTAAATATATATTGCCTTTGATTGCTGCCAGCCACATATATTCATCACTTCTGAGCGGCTAGAGCGGACCTTTCTCCCACTGAATTGTGTAGTAGAATTCTCCCTATTTTGGAAGCAAAAATTGCTGAGCATTTGCTCATATGTGTAGAGCAAACAAAGGTTTTGTTTTCAATTGGATATAACTTTATTTCCATTTCGTTGTTTCATATCATGAAGAAATGAGTCCTGCTGATGTGCTGAGCCAACGTGTTTCCTCATCCAAGAAACAAGAATCTCATTGTCAGAATTTGATTCTTCATCTGCTAAGTCTTGTCAGTGCTAATGGAAACAGTTGATGCTTACTTTATATAGTTTTTAGAATGTCAAGGAATAAAGATCCAGCGGCCTGTAATTGTCCTCAGTAGCAGACTAAGATAAACATGCAGATAGTGATGTGATATAGTTCCATTTACAGTGCTACACATTCAGAAAAAGAGAGTTCTCTTATAGTCAGAAACAAAACAAAAACAAAAAACCCTACAAATTGCATGGCCCATTGTGAAAACACTATCCTAGAAAATAGTAAGTAAAAACTACATTTTTAAATTCATTTTAATTCAATAAGGGGCAAAATGATGTCAAGTTTATATCTGTGGCCATCCATAACTTTCTTTAAACAAAAACACTAATCAGTAAATGTAAGAGACAGCTATGTGGTTTGCTATGTTAATGAAAACCTTGCTGCTTGGGGCTGGTAGGCTGTATTGAAATTTTTCATTTTAAATTTCAAGCCTTTCTTTCCAAAATTCAACATTCATGACTATGTGATGTTGTTATTATTACTATTTCTTTTTTAAAAGTTGGTGGAAGCTGTATTCCAATGATCATCCACTTATGGTTTGATTTTTTTTTTTTTTTAAATTGGAAGTTATTTGAGAATAAAGTAAGCATCACTATTAATCTGAAATGAAATACATGTTGGGAAACAAACTTTTGCTCATCTGCAATTGTCTCTTATACGATAGGTAGGAACAATGACCCACTTTAGAGTTTATTATTGTGTAGCTCCTTCCACATGTGGAACATCAGTTACATATTTCCTGCTGGTGCTATTGTTCAGTGGTGGAGGAGGGAAACAAAGGAAACGCACTGAGTTGTCACATGACTATTTGAGGGTAGTCGTGAGCAACATTTTCTTCTTGTATGAAACAATAACATTTAAATTTTGTGGTTATGTATCATGAATGTCTGACAGCAGAAACCATTGTGATTGGCAGGCAGTAGATTAAATTTATGGGTTTTAGGCTTTTTTTTTTTTTTTCTTAATAAGGATACCTTGAGAAAGTCCAAGGGAAATGAAAGTCAGTTTTGTCATCTCACACAGATTTCAAAGGCAGGGGGCTACACCAGGGCTTGAAAGGTCTATATTACACCGCTGCTGTCTAGCCATACCTGACAATGAGACATACCGTATTTGCTCACGGTGCTGGAGTTTATCATGCAAGAAGAGTAATTATATTTGAATTGTGTCAGCCAGCCACCCTAAAATGAAGGAACGTCAACGAATGTTGCTCCAAGGAGAAGGAGATGATTAGTTATAATTATACTCAGTGTCCAAGAAAAATGCTTCATTCCCTCATTGTGTTGCAAAAGGGAGAGGAAAAAAACCAACAAAAAATTTTCAGTACTTTTCGGTATTTTTGAGAACTTTTAAGGTGGTCATTTGTTGTAGAAATTTCAGATAAACTGTCTGGTGTGACCATTTAAATCTCTGGGGACTTACTTGGTCTGTGCACAATTTTATAGTCTTAAAAATAGATAACATGTTATACATCTTTAGATTTTTCTTCCTCACCATTTGTGATGATCTCCTAACAGGGGAATGTTAAACAATAGGAAGCAAATTTCTTAATTCCTCTAACTATGGTTTCATCTACATATGCCAAGGTTTAAAATATGGCTTTACAACCACTCATGAGTATAGTGATTTGATCTATAGTTTTTATCAAGCAATTTGTTTGAGATGATGAGATGGATACCTTGGACCATTGCCACTCTGATTTCCTAAAATGCACATTTTATAGTTTATGTGTCTTTGGGACTTTTAAGTTGGTGCATGTTGTCATATATTGTTTCTTATTATGCAGCATCCATGACTAGTTTAGAGTGAGAGTTTTGGGGGCATTAATTTGTTGGTCAACTTTTACAGTAGTTGATTTCAATCATTTTTTATGTATAATCTTTTGGGTAAAATTCTCTGTTTAGCAACTTTTTGTAATGTTGAGATGATCATATGGTTGACGGACTTGGGTTATCCTCAAATAAGTTATTATTGTTCTTAGTTATGAAAATTAGCTTTATTTATAATTATTAACATTTACGTGGCTTTAGTAATTTACCAACACAATTTCATGCAATCATTGTTATAAGTAATGGTAAGATGAGTAAAAATAATGGATTTTAAAAGGGATAATGTTGATATATTTGCTGAAAAAAACAAATTTGTACTTGTAATTTTTGCACAGTATTTAATCCAACTTTCTTATCAATGAAGATACAACCAATACATTTTAAATATTACTTCTATTATCTAAACAATGTATTATTAGTTTTATAACTATAATTATATAATCAGTATGTACCTATTTTCATTGGAAATTGAAATAGTAGTGAAGTATTTTCAAAGAAACTACAATGAGAAAAGTCATTGAAATTGTCTAGTTTCCATTTTAACGTCTTGTTGAATGACTATATGGATCACTCAGAAGTGCCTTGACTCATATTTAACAAAATAGTTTACCTTTCATAGAATTCTGCAAACTTATCAGATGATGTGCAATGTAACTATGTCTGATCCATATATAGTGGACTGGGGACATGACATAGTCTTCATTCAGATCATACCCCATCATTTTGCCTGAAACAGCCAGGTCATTGAAATAGAATTTCTCATTTATTCACACAGACACACACACACACACACACACACACATAAATGTGTGTGTATATATATATACACACACATACAAATCACACAAATATATGTATATTTTAGTCTCTCTATATATGTGTACACACACACATATGTTTCTTTTTCCTTTCGGCTGCTTAATCCATGCACATATGTAGCAAAGTGATGACACTGCTGCCTGATGTAGTTGCCTCTTCCAGGTGGTGCTGGGCATCTTAGTGCCAACCCTGATTTTGTAAGTTAGATACAAATGTGCCACGTGAGCGCTGTTGCTGCAGTGAACTGTTCAGATAGTCTTCCCTTGGTTTGATTTGCTTTCTTCATGTGTTTAAATACTATCAGACCCATAAATCAATTTTAGAAGTGAAAAATTTCTGCATAAGATTTTAAAGCTTTCTAAATTCTACTTAACTGTGGTTAAAATTATGGTTTTGGGATATCACCAGTCTATATTTTTTTGCTATGCTTTTTAAAATATCATTTTCTTTCTCTTTAGATGAATTTTATCTTTAGATGTGGCTGCGTATTGATTGTTCCTAATGTCAATAGCTATAGCTACAAAGTACTTATGTGTTTCTTCGTTTTTGTTTTTGGTCAAATACACAGAGTTGAGTCAACTATGGTCCTTGTTCATGGCCCACTATGTCATAGGTTGGCTTGGTACAAGCCTCTCTTCTGTTTCATCTAATTTTCTCACTTGGTCCCTAAGCTCCTCTCTCATTCTCTTGCCCCATAGACATCTGCTGTAACATACTTAAAGTGTATTCTTACAATTCTTCTCATAAAATAATATATACAATTACATATACATGTAATAATTTATACAGTTGACCCTTGAACAACACAGGTTTGAATTGCGTGGGTCCACTTATCCATGGATTGTTTTCAAGAAATGTTACACCAAGTATGCCTGTCTCTCCTGCCGCCCCTTCCACCTCCTCCACCTCCTCCACCTCTTCTGCCTCTGACACCCTTGAGACAGCAAGACCAACCCTTCTTCTTCCTCCTTCTTCTCAGCCTACTCAGTGTGAAGATGATGAAGATGAAGACCTTTATGATGATCTACTTCCATTTAAAGGATAGTAAATATGTCTTATCTTTGTTATTATTTTCTTAATAACATTTTCTTCTCTCTAGCTTACTTTATTTTAAAAATACAGTATATAATACATACAACAAGCAAAATGTGTTTTAATCAACTGTTTATGTTATCGGTAAGGCCTCTGGTCAACAGTAGGCTATTAGTAGTTAAATTTGGGGGAGTCAAAAGTTATAACCTGATTTTCCACTGTGTGGAAGGGGCAGTGCTCATAACCTCATGTTATTCAAGGGTCAATTGTACATGTAGATTTAAATTTATATCTATACAGTTGGCCTTCTGTATCTGTGGTTTCTGCATCTGTGGTTGGTTGAATCTGCGGATGTTGAACCCACAGATACAACGGGCGAACTGTAGTACACCATTTTATAGAATGGACTTGAGTATCTGCAGGAAGTCCTGAAACCAATCTCCTGCAGATAAGAAGAGCTGACTGTATAACTACACAGACTTAAAGTTAAGTACAATAGCCCCTGCTCATCCTAGGGGGATAATAGTTTTCCATGACCCCCAGTGGATGCCTGAAACTATGAATAATAGTGAACTCTATATATACTATATTTGTTCATATACATATATACCTATGCTAAAGTTTAATTTATAAATTAGGCACATTAAGAGACTAAAAATAGCTAATATACTATTAAAATAATTACAATAACACAATTATAACTATAAGCCAGTACCACTACTCTTGTGCTTTGGGGACATTATTAAGTAAAAAAAGGGTTGCCTGAACACAAGCATTGGGATACTGTGATGATGGATCTGATAACCAGGACAGCTACCAAGAGACTCACAGGCGGGGAGTGTCTGCAGTGTGGACATGCTGGACAAAGGAGGATTCATGTCCTACATGGGCTGGAGTAGGACAGGGCGAGATTTCACCCACTAAACAGAACAGTGCACCATGTAAAACTTAGGAATTGTTCATGTCTGGGATTTCCCATTTAATGTTTTTGGATTGCAGAAACAAACTGTGGATAAGAGAGGGAATACTGTATATCCCTGGAACAATATAGTATTGTTTTAAAATTTATACAAATGATTGTGTGCTATAAATATCATTTCATTTCTTTTAAAAAACTAAGTATTAGGTTTATGAGCTATTTCTATATATGTATTGCTAAATGTAAATCTGCTCATGAGTTCTGACTTTGTACTTGTTTTGTGCACCTGTGATATTTTCCCATTCCCTAGAGGTACTCTATTTTGTTTTCTTTTTGCAACCATTAAGAATGCTTCTATAAACATTCCTGTACAATAGGATCTGTGGATCTGTGAGACTAAATATTCAGCAGAAAGACTGCTGGGTTGTGGAGCTTGTGTCCTTTTCCTTTTCCTTTTTAGGAAAGGATTTAGAAAAGGCTCCCTTAATAAAGCCTTTTCCATCTGACTTTTTACTGATGAATGAACGCATGCTGATTTACTTTTTGGGATGACCTAGAATCTTGTTCCTTGTTTGGGGTTCAAAATTAGGTTAACAGATGTCTTGGAAAAAGAAATGATCCTATTGTCCCCCTTTACATAATCTAATTAGGTGACAGTATAAATATATTTTACTTTTTAAAACCCAGGAATAAAATGGAGGAGGCTTTATAGTAAACTGTGTAAAATATTTATCCTAGCATTGTAATCAGTAGGTCTGTTTTTACAATGAGAATGACTATTTTTTTGAGGATTCTACATTTACCTAGATGACTAATAAAATAACTTCAATGATATGATTGGCCATTTGAATACATTTTTTTACTATATTGCCCACTATGGGCAAAAGAGTAAACAGTAGGCAAAAAAGTGTCCAGAGGGAACAATTGTGCCTTTTGTGTGTGTGTGAGCATCTGCCTGAGCTCTTCATTTTCTGGTTTGGTTGTTCTTATTATAATTTCTTCCATATTCTTTTTATCTCCCAAATCAATAAGCACTTTGAAACAAGTGCTTCAGAAAGTAAATTAGAATGATGTTTGGTGAATAATATTATTTGCCGAATACTTTTGTCAGGCCCTATTACCGGAAGAGTCCCCATTTCAGTGAGTCCCAGACTGTGTTGCACAGCATCTTTTGTTTACTGGAAACATAAACCTTGTACACCCAGGTAGAGGGGTCCGTTTATGTGGGACAAACAGTTATTAGACAGCTAAACTGAGAATCTCTGATTGCTTTCTTATGAGGAATCATATAAATTTCTAAAATTACTTTAAGTGCTATTTCCTTTCATATTTTATTTTCCTGTCTTTCCTGGTATATCTGCAATGAAAATCAGGAAGAACTATAATAAAAACGATTATAAAGGAAAATGTGTTGTTTAGCTTGGTCATGAGAAAGCTGTTATATGGCTGTTTAGATAAAATCTTAATGACCAGTTCTTAATTTAGAAGATTTGGTTATAATTCCAAACAACATTTGTTGTTTCTTCTATATAATAGAAAAAAAGTGTTAACTCTCAGGCATTCTGCTTTACCACAGCTGTATTGATAGCCCTCTGCCCTAATTTTATTGGATAGAAACAGTGATTTCTTTTTCTATTTCCATTGTAAATTCTTAGTGTATTTTTTTAAAATTAGCTGATAGTAACACTGATTTATATAAAAATTATTGAACCCCATTTTTACAAAACTAAATATTTCATCAGATTTCACAGCGATAACAAGAACCAAATTCTTGAACTTTTAGTGTGTGCCTTCTTTTTACCAACCCTTAACTACTCCATTTGGAATTGAAGAGTCCTTTCTGGCTTGTGTTGGGGCTGGGCATGGTTATTAATTCATTAGGGGATGGTGGATGCACTGTTAGGCTCTTCTGCCTTTCTTTGGTCCTGAGAGCCATGGAGAGAGAGGAGGAGGGGTGGTGGGGGAAAGAGTGAAGGGAAGAGGGAGACAGGGAGACAAAGCCTGAGAGGGAGACAATGACATTAGAGGTGACACCTAGCTATCATGAACTTCCTAAGACTGAGGGAAAGAATAATGAAGGGTTTCCCTGCCTTCTACAGCCCGAGGACAACCCTATGGCCACAGCACCTTTTCTAATCCCATTTTCTGTGTGCTGCATGTCATAATCTGTAAGGCACTGGTTCCAAGGGAAAACACTGAATCCAAACAGTGACTGGGTCTTGTATTTATTTGCACTTTAAAACTACAATGTGCAGGAAAACTTACTCTAAAAAAAAAAAAAAATAGAAAGGGAGAGGGACAGCAGCAGCACAGCACCATAAGTTTGTTGACATCAAAAGGGAGTCACTGGGCCCAGAGAGCCTTACATTTTAGTTCTCTGATTTACAGTGGCATTTTACCCATGAAAGAAAAGTGTGTGTTCTCTTTAAACAACTTTTCATAAAAATCTGCCTCCTTTGGAATGTCTTTGTTTCATGCAGTGTTGGACCCTGTGAAAGTAGTTGTCCTAGAGTCTGGCAGACCCTAAGTCCCCCCAGTGTCTGCCGGACCTTGGAAAGCTAGAGTAAAGTGACTCTGAGTGGGAATGGGGTCGGACAATTTTCCTAGAGGCCGGGACCTGGGAGGCAGCATGTGAAAAACAGGGTTATATTCTGCATGTTATTTTGTACATGAAGATAAAACGTAAAAATCAGTAAGAAGAATCTCTATATGGAGCCCATTGCCATAGCCCCTTACCAGCTTTCCTCTACCAGCCTGGTGAGTAGAAGTCATTGGATTAAATTATTTTATTGTTTTGTAAGGAGGGAGTTAGTTGATGGTTTAAAAGTGTGGACAGGGCCGGGCGCGGTGGCTCACGCCTGTAATCCCAGCACTTTGGGAGGCCGAGGCGGGTGGATCATGAGGTCAGGAGATCGAGACCATCCTGGCTAACAAGGTGAAACCCCGTCTCTACTAAAAATACAAAAAATTAGCCGGGCGCGGTGGCGGGCGCCTATAGTCCCAGCTACTCGGGAGGCTGAGGCAGGAGAATGGCGTGAACCCGGGAAGCGGAGCTTGCAGTGAGCCGAGATTGCGCCACTGCAGTCCGCAGTCCGGCCTGGGCGACAGAGCGAGACTCCGTCTCAAAAAAAAAAAAAAAAAAAAAAAGTGTGGACAGTCTGTGTGTGTATCCTGAAAATATGAATAGTATTTTTAAGCCTCCTGGGAGTTACAGGCAAAGAAGGTTGGATATGAACTAGGGTGACAAGATGATTCATGACTGCATCAGTAAGGAGGGAGGAACAAATCAGGGGCACTGGAAACCAGGCAGACTTCTGGGAATAGCATTGGTGTCTGCCTGCCTGTTAAAGAGCGTTCCAGGCAGACCTTAAAGAGAAACTCTTGGAAAGAGCGTAATCTGTCCATTTTACAAATACTGATTAATCATTATGGTTGTAAATATCTCACTGATGTAGAAAAATGATGATTATAGTTGAAAAAAAATTATTACTTAGATCTTTAGTCATTAGAATTCTATGGACAAAATGTTCACTATTTTACTCCTTTTTCATAGTTGGGGCATTAGAGACGTTAAGAATTTAGAACACAATTTTATTATGAAATTGTATTTACTTTTTGCAAATATAAAAAACACCTTGTTTTGAGCTAGTTTACATAACTGGAAATAGATTGTGACAAAGTATTAATAATATGCACTACTTTTTAATAAAGAAGTTTAAACAATATAAAAAAACTGAAGAAAATGCTTTTAAGTGAACATTTAATTTAGCTTTTAACATTCTTCTTATCCCATAAATCTTCTTTCATTTGCTTGTGGATAAGTTGGGGGTACCTAATTTCTTTGTTCACTCTCTCGGGCTATAAATTTACTTCATGTAATTATGCAACAATTCCAAAGGAAAATATTTGGTTATCTTTTGGTTTAATAAAAATCATTGGCTGAAGATTAGAGAGTTGGTTTAAAAATCCACAAATGCATACTAAACATTTTTCAGTAATTATGCCTCTTAGAGCAGTAATAGAAGTCCTCCACTTAAAAAAGTATGGAATAAGAATATGGAGGAAAATAATCTGCTTATCCAACCAGTGAGCATCTAATACTTTGTACAAAAAGGCTGTTTGGCTGTTAGAATTTTATATGTGTATTTTCTGATTCCTGAAGTTAGTTATTATTAGAACTGGCTATCAACTTGGAGGGAGTGTGATGAGCCATCCTTAAAAAACATTTTTAGATCAGTATTTTTTTCACTTAGATTATAATTAGGCATTCATATCTAATAGAATTTGCTAGTTCCCATTAGAATATTATGATTTTTACCCTTTTCTATCTGGTAGTTATTTATAGAGAAAACAAAAGCATTATAGAAAGGCCATTTCAGGTCATTTATCATTGTGTGTGTTTAATGGAATTTTGGCTCATTTAGTATATTCTCATTTTGGAAGAATTAATGGATACCCCAGTGGATAAAAATGCACAATCATTTGTGCTTGACTAAGCTAATTTCTTATTTTTAAAATGATAATATTCTAATAAGATCTCAAGTCACTTCATTTCAGAATAATATGAATACTGTAATAGGCATAATTGTATAATTTCAGGTACATTATGGATACAGAATTTGATTGCATTTCAATGTCATCACTAACTAGCTATATAATGTTGGACAATTCACTAAATATTGTCAGACTTCAGATTCCTTATCTAAAATGAGGACGGGGAAGAGGAATTCCAAGGTCTTTTTCTAATTCTAAAATTTCATGATATGGAAATAATATGCGTGAACTTTAACTGAATGTCTATGTAGAAAACCAGAATTACTTTGATAGGGCAATAAAATTAAATTGAACATTAATTTTCTTTTCAGACATTCAGAAATGTTGTTGAGAAGAAAGTTGAGATATCCTTTCAGTGATTCTGACCATTTCATCTGGTCTGAGTTCATATGACCTGATAGTTGCCTATATGTAAGAAGAGATACTACATAGTAGCTTGCAGTAACTTACAAAATAACATCACAATTTTATTAGTTAGCAATCTATTGGTTATTGGTTGCAAAGTGCCTAAACTCTGGCTCAAATGACCTTATGCAAAATATGGGGAAATTACTGGAATATTGACTACCATCCAAAGATAGATGTAGCTTCAGGTATAGGTAGGTTCAGGGTTTCAAATGATGCCCAGAGGGCTTTGTTTCTCTCTCAGTTCCATTTTCCTGTTGGCTTAATTTTCAGGCAGGCTGCTTCTCAATATGGTAGGAAAGGAATCCCCAAGGATATATCCTTCTTAATTTTGATCAAAGAAAGACTCTTTCTCTCACAGCTAGCTTACATCAAATCTGATCAAATACTCTGGCCTTTTTGAGGTAATGCTGTCATCTAATTTTCATGATTGACATGAGGATAGAACATTCTCTTTGGCCAGTTGTGAGTCACATGATCACCATGGCAGGTGGATTCATCCTACCTAAACCATAGAGAATAGACTCTCTAAAAGAAAAAAAGAATTCCACTATTAGAAGTGAGATGCACAGGCCGGGTGTGGTGGCTCACACCTGTAATCCCAGCACTTTGGGAGGCTGAAGTGGGTGGATCGCCTGAGGTCTGAAGTTCCAGGCGACCAGCCTGGCCAACATGGTGAAACCCCATCTCTACTAAAAATACAAAAACTTAGCCAGGAGTGGCGGCAGACACCTGTAATCCCAGCTACTCGGGAGGCTGAGGCAGGAGAATTGCTTGAACCTGGGCGGCGGAGGTTGCAGTGAGCCTAGATTGCATCATTGCATTCTAGCCTAGGCAACAAGAGTGAAACTCCGTCTCAAAAAAAAAAAAAAAAAAAAAAAAAAAAAGTGAGATGGACATGCTGAAAAGACACAATTAAATAGCAAATCTAACACAGTGTCTCAGATGGAAGACCTTTTTTGCAGTTGAAAAATTTTAGCCAAAGAGACAATTTGTCAACACCTAGGGAAAAAAAAAGCAACAACCTGCTGTTGAAAGGCTTCAACTTTTTCTTTAGAACATTCAATCAGGCAAATGTCAAGGCCCTTCCAGAACTAATTTAAAATTGATCTGCCCAAGGATTCAGAAACTTTGCTTTATTCATGCATTTATTTCATTCTTTTAATAATTTATAGTGGTGAAGCTCCAATGTATTCAAGATGGGTACCTCAATTTTCTTGGTTGCTAACACTAATATGTTGTTGCTAGTATTTCTGCTCCATTCCTATTTTATATAATAAAGAATATAATTTGATATGATAGGAATGGTTTGGTTTAAACGGTGTACTCTTAAGTGATTTCAGCCTATTTTCCCCTGGGCGAGACAATAGTCAAGCAAAATTATTTTATTGCTAAACATTTATAAACTAATGATTAACTGTTTATATGTTCGCATTCTAATCTAGTTAGAAGGAGGTGTGAAAAGAGTCTAGGAAAACGCTGGAAATCTTAAATACATTTTAACCTCACTTTCTTTTAATTCTTGCCATATGATTTGACACTCGAAAAAGTTATGAGGAATGAGAGAACAGAGTGAAAATGTGTAGATTGGAGTTGGAAGTAGAAATAATCCTCACACAGTGAGTGTTCTACTCACAGAATTTACCCTAGTGTACAGCAAATACCAGGAATATATTCAGTCCATAATATACATTTTGCATTTTTTAAGAATTCTTTGTTGATTTTTTAAAATTAAATGAGGTAATAATTTTGTCCTGAACCTTTTTTGATATGAAAAAATGAAAGTAATAGAGTTTTTCCCCCCAAAGACATTTTAAATCATGGAATTTTAAATGATGTCACTGTATATTTTTAGATTATAAAAAGTTATTGAATTTAATCAATTATACAGAACAAAGGCAAATTCAAGGGAGTTTCAATAGCTTTCTAGACAATGACATCACAAGTCAGCCTTCCATTAAGGCAAATTGAAGCCCAACAATCAATAGCATGCTGTGGGCAATAGGTAGGAACTGGAACTTGGAGTTTTAATTGCTACTTTGCTCTAGGTCATGCCTCAGAGTTTCATCTAAATCTCTGGTGTAAAGAATCCCTTGTTTTCTTCTTGTTGCATTTGAATACCTAATGGAAAGAAGCCTGTGCTCCTCAGGGAAATAACTTTGAGCAGTGTGAATCAATCTCTCTCTCCCTCACTCTTACTCTTATTGTCTCTCAATTTCTCTTCTGTGAAATCTAATTTTAGTGTAAATATAGCAAATCAAATGCAAAGAGAAAAGAGATCAGAATTGGTGTCCATTTTTTCTTTCAATGCAAAGTTTTTAACCAGGAAGAGAAAAAAGAGTTGATTTAATCAGAACAGTTTTAAATTTCTGTGTAGAAAAGGGAAAGCCTAGTGGAAATGAAAGTCTGGAAAGCACCAGGATATGTTTGGCCCTAACCTCTGCTATTGAGTAAAAACTATGATTTTGAATAAGTCTTGGATTCTCTACTTGGTCGTCTACATTATTTTAACGACAGTATTTTGACTATGTAGACTCCAAGTGGGAATGGATATGAGCCCAAAGACTGTTGCATTCTAGCACAGAAGAGGATGCGTACATAAATAACGCATCTAATGTTAGGTAGAATGTGATAAATTGTCATAATAAAAATTGTTATGTTGACATGCTTTGGGAGTTCCTAGTGAGGAGAGATTATTTCTGTTGGAATGTGGGGAAGGGGACAGCAAAGGATTAGAAATGAAAAGATAAAGACATTCAAGAAACTGATGACCTTTGAGTGAAATTTTGACAGTTAACAAGGACTTAAGGAATACATTGAAAATTCAAAAGCTATTTAAGATTTCAGAGATGTTGGGATATAAGAAAAAATGTAGTATAATACAACTAATACGAATCTAGTTAAATTAATTAAAATTATTCCCAAACATCTTCATAGCAGCTATATATGTTAATTATATAAAGCTGAGTAAAGCTGTAACTTTCTATGTGTGTGTATTTGTGTGGGTAGATATGGGTTTTAGAAGCCAGTATTTGTGTCTGACTGTCAGAGTTCAGTTTCAGTTTTTATATTGATGAGGAATTTTAACCTCTGCTTGTTCCAATTTTTTGCTGCTTAACACTTCAGCCACCCTGGTCTCCTACTCTTTGAGGTGAAGCAAGCCAATATTAGGAAACTACATTCACTTTGGAAGGTATATACATGAGGATATTTTTTTTCTAATTTTACTTTAAGTTCTGGGATACATGTGCAGAACGTGCAGGTTTGTTACATAGGTATACATGTCCCATGGTGGTTTGCTGCACCTGTCAACCCATCATCTAGGTTTTAAGCCCTGCATACATCAGGTATTTGTCCTAATGCTCTCCCTCCCCTTGCCCCTACCACCCGACAGACCCTGTTGTGTGATGCTCCCCCACTGTGTCCATGTGCTCTCATTGTTCAACTCCCACTTATTAGTGAGAACATGTGGTGTTTGGTTTTCTGTTCCTGTGTTAGTTTGCTGAGAATGATGGTTTCCAGCTTCATCCATATCCCTGCAAAGGACATGAACTCAATTCTTTTTTATGGCTGCATAGTATTCCGTGGTGTATATGTACCACAATTTCTTTATCTAGTCTATCACTGATGGGCATTTGGGTTGGTTCCAAATCTTTGCTATTGTAAATAGTGCTGCAATAAACATACATGTGCATGTCTCTTTATAGTAGAATGATTTACACTCCTTTGGGTATATATTCACTAATGGGATTGGTGGGTCAAATGGTATTTCTGGTTCTAGATCCTTGAGGAATCGCCACACTGTCTTCCGCAATGGCTGAACTAATTTATGCTCCCACCAACAACGTAAAAGCCTTCCTATTTCGACATGAGGATATTTTTAACCACATGGCACATGAACCACTGATTTAGTTAAGCTGATATCTTTGAGATACTATTTTGTAAGTGATTTAATATTCAGATTGGGATCATATATCATAAATACCATAAACTACAGAGAATTCCTCTCTATTTTGACCCCCAAGAAAAATCACATTTTGTCCTAATAAAATTTTGTGAGTCCTAAAAGGTTGGAGTTAAAAGTTATAAGCCACAGATTTTTCAAAAATGTCAAATGAACTAAGTAAATGGATTAATCATTTTCTTAACTGGGGCAAACAAATAAATAAATACATCATAGTCCTGGAATATATCAAGGGTAACTAATTTGCTGGCTGTTTTTGAAAGAACAAATAAGGTTCAAATGTGTAGTGAGGAAAAAAATGATGTTGTTAAGTTTAATTAATTAGACTTTAATTCATTATGCCATTGGAATTTCATTTGAACAATGTGATAATGAGCAGGTAATGGCACCTCTGAAAAGGAATACTGAGTGAAAAGTGCACTGGATTATAGCCCGCTAGCTTTGAGCTACCTTGGCATAGACAGCTGTGAGGTAGCTAAGTTCAGAGGCGCATGGGCTGGAGTCATGCCCGCACTCCCCACTGAGGCTATGGATATGCACAAGTTGTTCTTTTGGATTCTCGCTTTTCTTACATGCTGGCTGGGGGAAATAATAACTATTGCCTGGGGTTGTTTAAGGATAAATAAAACGGAACATGTAAAATGCCAGGCATATAACTGACACTCTATAATTTACAGGTTTTATTGTTGCTGCTATGTATTATTTGCAAAAGGAGTTTTGAGGCCATCTTGGATCCCAGAACATTTGTTGGTACTAAACTAAAACAAGAAAAAATTCAGGAAAGACAATGCTACCAAGAAGTCTACAAAATCTTACTTATTTCTGGTGATGGTGCAAACTGGAATAACTCTTTCTGAAAATGATTTAGCAATTTTGAATCTATTATAACATTGCTGCAGTGCAAGAATGCTCTATTTTAGAGTATTGTAAGAGAACAAGGTGGTCAGGAAAGTGCTTTTGATGGTCCAGTGGGACAAAGGGAGCCCAGAGGAATCAGGAAACGTCTCTTTGGTAAACACCGGAAAAAATGAGAGAAGACAGAGAGGGAGAGAGAGAGAGAGAGAGAGAGAAATGCCAATCTTCGTGGAATTAAACCTTTGCTCTCACTCTTAGCCTGTTTTGACAGCATGACCTAACTACATGCAGAAGGTGGCAGACAAAGCAGATGGTGGTGCAGGCAGTTGGGCTGCTGGCAGGTGGAAACTGGGAGCAACTAAGTCCGTGGCAAAGATTTTTCAAACTGAATCTTGATTCAGTGTCTAGCATGCCATGGGGAAGGAGTGAAAACACACCCTGATGAAAACCCATCCAGAGTCAGCACATTTGAGAAGTTCCACTGTGAGGTAAGGACCAGGAGACAGCACTGACCTCAAGGAGTCACATGAGCAGGTGCGATTAGGTTTCCTAGGCTATGCCCTCCTGAATTTTCCAGGCCTGGGCAGCTTCCACACACCTGTATGAGCTGTATACCATCTAGCCTTTCTGTTACCTACACTTCTTATCAACACTTTTTGGTGTGAGAGTTTGTCCTTTATTGTAAATGTATTGGTGAGACCTAAAAGGTTGGAGTTTGGTTTAAAACTTGTAAGTCATGGATTTTACAAATGAACTAAGCAAATGGATTAACCATTCCTTAACCGCGACAAAAATAAAGAAAGAAAGAAAGAATACATCATAGTCCTGGAATAGTATCAAAGGTAATTAATTTGCTGGCTGCTTTTGAAAAAAAAAGTAAGATTTAAATTTGTAGTTAGGAAAAATAATGGTGCAGTTGAGTTTAATTAACTAAAATATTGAAAAAAGCTAGGACAAGGTGTATACCATCTACCCACATTACATGAAACTATCTGAGAGAATACTAGAGAAACATACAGAGATCAAGGTACTGGAGTAACTGATCTAGAAGATGTCCACACATTTTTTTGCTGCAGTAGTCCTGGATCACACTACTCAATCTGGAAAGGATCCAGAAATACATGAAGAAGTTAAAAAGATAAGCATTTTATTTAAGTAAAGATTTACTTAAGAAATAATAAATAGAATACTTAAAAGTTTAATTAAATTAATAGAATATTGTGCTTCTAATAAAAATTACACATGTGAAAAGGCAATTTTATTTAATGTTATATAGGAAAAAGAGGGTACAATATTTGATGTATGTGATAATTGCAATATGAAAAACATATAAAGTAATGTTTATTTAAAGAGAATATACAAGAACAGTGAAGGGAATATACAAAAATAGGATAATGCTTATATTAGGTGACATGCTTATGGGATATTATTTTTATGTTAATTTTAAAATAAAACAAGAACTTATTTATGTAAAGCTTTTTCTTTTAAGAGAAACTATTATATGTACATCTTTTGAGAACTGGAAAGACAAAAAGAAGAAATTGGTATTTTATTGTGAATATGATAAACTCTTTAGATGAAGTTCTCAAGGGTTGGATTTATTTGAAAGTGAATTATAACTAAATAAAAAACTAAATATAGTCCCATAACTTTAAAATTAAAAGCAGAAATTTTAAAAATGAACTTCAAGATATATGAAAGTTAACCACCTTACCATCACACCAACTAGATGTATTTATTTGTGTCACAGTATAAACAGAAATTACAGACATTGGAGATGCAAAATATTCCTCATCTAATATTTCTTTGGGAATTTTTCATCTCTGCCCCCTTCTGTGTTTCTGGGAATATAAAGACTATTTTGACATTGTTTACTGTGTTGGTCTTCTACTCCTTAATTATTAAAACAGAAAATGGTAGAAAAAGGTGTTAGAAGATCATGTTTCTTTGGGAATGTCCACCAGCTCTTAAGGAAAGTATATTTTCTAAGTCAAAATGTCACAAATATTCAAACAAGAGAAAATCTGGAGGCTGGTTATGGAAGGGAATGTTTTATCATTCGGACCAGATTTTTTTGTTCTCACTTTTCACATAGAATATCATGAAAAGTCCTTCTTCTCTGTTCGAACTACTTTTTCTTTGATGTCTTTGATAATTTTCCAATCAAACAACTAAGAGAAAAGTTTTTTTCTTTTTGTGAAGAAACTAAGGATCCTTTCCCCTAATCCAGTTAAAAGTACAAGAAGACTAAATAATTAGACAGCAGATCTCAGAATCTGCCTAAATCAGCCTTACCAAGAATCATAAAAACCTTGCACTTCCTTCTAGTTCTTCTTTCTTTATATTGGCCTATTTCCTAACAGACTATAACCTCTGGTATGACTCATAAGGTAGTTAATGTTGGAAGTTTCCTTTAATTGGAAGTGTTGATTTTAGGCCGAAAGACCCTTGAAATGCATTTAAAATTAGCATATTGGATTCATTCCTTTTAAAAAATTGACATTTGAATATATCCACTCTATGGAGAATGTTTCTTAGTTTTTCCATTCCTGTCTCCTGACTTAATGGGGAAGTACATTCATAAATATTTAGAGATAGATGCATTATAGCACACAAACTTTTAAAAATGTTAACCTATAAATAAATGCATTCAAACTTGTAAAAGCATGCATACTTCATGGAATACTATGTCAAGCCTATTTTCAATAATTCAAATATTTCAAGGCAGCCATCTAACAAAACTCAGGTCAAAACTTTTTATTTGAAAATGGAAAATATGTTGGTGTGTTTCAATGCTAGTTTCTTCCATTAAATTAAACAGTGTCCAGAAACCAATCATACAATGGGTCTTATGAAATAATGTAATATACCCTTTTTTACTTTTTAGTATCAGTATTTATTTTCTTTACTGGAATCTGTTTTAAGGGTGATTGATTGGATTACGTTTACTGCCAGCTAAAACTTGCATTTTCTCTGTCTATTAGTAGAGAACAAATAGAAAGAGGCAGTGGCAATACTAATATGAACTGAGTCAATATTAGTCTTTTGATCAATTAGAGTACATTTATGTATATAATTTTTGTAAACTACTTACAAGCTAAACTAGTAGGAAAAAATGAATAGATTTTATTTCAATGGAAGCAAACTACCACACCTATCCTTCAAGTATTCCTTGGACTGCCGTCAAAGCATGTGAAGTTTGGTTGAAAGAAAGAGAAAAATAATTGGTTGACTCTGAATTGAAGCTTAAGTAGGGTTGAGGAAATGGAATGGTTGCTACTGAGAACAGAGTTTCAGTGGATCGACTACTGTCCTAAATTCTGTAATAAATACAGTCTACACAGTCATAGATTTAAGCATGTTTATTCTATTGGATGAAAAAGATCAGGGCCCTCTTTCCAAACTCCTCTGCATTTAAAACCTTCTTCTGGTTTGATCCTATTCCGGAGTAAGGAAGTCTTTAATCTGTTTTGGGTTTTAGGAAAGAACCCATTAATCCAAAATAGTTTATCATACTTGCAGTGTGTAAAAATTTATTTGACATTAAGCAAGTTTAATTTCTAAGGTCTCTGGCTTAGAGCAAACTCTTCATGTGGGGTACAGTTTAACGTAATACCACCTAAGAGATGAAGTTACCTCTTTATGCACAAATTATGAAATTCATACATAATAGAAACTGAAGATGTCTAAACTTATCTTCTTGGAATCAAGGATGGATTGAATGTTCCCCTCCCCCCCATTCACTCTATTGCTGTCCATGGACAGTGCCATTTTTCATTTGAAAGTTCAGGTCAATTCAACTAAATGTATCAAGAGCCTGTTTCCTCTGTGCTGTATGTGCCAGGTACTCTGCTGGGTACTCCTGGTGGTTTGCAAGTGATAGCCAGGAATCCTTGGCAAAGACTCAAGAGCCCACAGCAGCCTTCTGAATTGAATTGAAATTATTTTATGTTGAATTTTGGCAGACAGGCAAATTTTTATTCAGGAGGTTTCTCTTGTGTAGTTTTCTTTTCTCATAGTTAAAATATCATGTGATCTTATTATTGCAGAACAACGTGCCTTCAGTTATGAGCTGGTTTCCTTATGCACATACAATATTCTTTTCTCTTATTGGTACAAGATGTTCCAGCCCTAAGAATGTCTCGATTTTCCATAATTGGGTTGTTTTTCATTGTTACAGTAGATTCCAAGGAAAATCCACATACTGAGTGAGCCAAAGGCAAAACTGGGGTACTTTATTTTTTAAAACTGAAGACTCTCATCTCCTAGTTAGTTCTTGGTTGCTTGTTTGCTGATTATAATAGCTGAGTTTTAGGTCCAGGCCCGTGTTGTTACAAGGCTAAATTTTATGCTTAAATATTTTACAAAGTGCATCATAAATAGTAATTAGACTTACCTTTCATTGATACATATAAACCTCTGGGAAGAGAAGTGTTCAGTGCATAATTAATACCTAATATATGTTTCCTATTATTATTACTGAACCCCCTTCACTTTGTGGTTGATTATGGCCCTTGTGGGCATGTTACTTATCATAGAATGTAGGCACTATCAAATATGTGGTTTTGTTCACTGACTTATCCAAAACACCTGGTAGAGTGCCTAGCAGAGTAGGTACTCTGTAATTTTTTAAAATTAATAATAGATTGGTCTCAATCTGGCTGCCCACCTGCCATCCCAGCCTTAGACTTCAACTTGACACCAATAGGTTTGCAGCTATAATGAGTGATGAAACACACTCCAGACAAATGCTGTTAACACTCCTGTGTTATTAGGTGCTGTGATGGCAAAGGTGCTCACTTATTTGACTGAAAGTCATGGTCAAGGGAACTCCTGGACTTGAGTGCAGAGAGAGCATGAAAGCTCTACTCCTGATAGGAATTTTAATGAACTCTTCCATTTCGGTTTCTATTGGCTACATTTTATTAAAGCTCTTTATTTCTGGGTACTTTACATTACAGATATTGTCTTGGAGGGGAAATTATAAACAAAGGGATATATATGTTATATCTTTGTTATAATTGATAAAGGGATCTATATAATATAAATATATAATGTATAATAAACAAAGGGATATTATATAATATAAATATATAATATATATTATAAACAAAGAGATATTATATAATATATATAACTTAAATATATTATATATTATATATAACTTAAATATATAATTAAGTTCATAATTAATGTATTTATTACTTGTTAATTATTAAATAATATATCAAATTCAAAAATGAACTTTATATATATTTATTTTAATCCTACCTGGTATTAAGATGATAAATTTTAAAAATGAAATGAAATATACATATTTAAGTTCATGTATATATATAAGTTCATTTTTAAAATTTATCATTTTAATACCAAGTAGTTACAACTTAGAGACAATGACAAAATATTAAAGGTTTTAATACATCTGAAGTCTGTTCCAAAGCAAAACTGGGAGCAATTATCTTCTAGTTGTGGCAAATGAAGAGAAAAGTCATTTCAGGACAGATTTGTTTTTCAGTTTAAGGTGAAAACACTTTTCTGGCTCATAGAGCATATGCCTTCTTGCAGCCCTTCAGGAATTGACTTGTTGAATGTTGAGAGGATAGCACAGCTAATTTGGCTTGCCACATAAAAGTAGAAATCTCCTGTTTTCTTTGTGGTGCTTCTCAGCAGACCATGTTTCAGTTAGATGATTTTTTAAATTCTAGTTTTCTCAAAGGTTTCCAAATTCTAGTCACTCTTGAGATTTATATTGCCTCTAAAGTCTAAGGATTTTTAGATTTGTTCAGTGTTAAAAATAAATGCTGGATTTATTTCATGACTTCTTATAATCCCCTGTGATTTTTTCTACTGTTACACATTTACCAATTACTGTCCCTGCTTTTAAGTAAAGTTTTCATTTATGACTCAATGGATTAGCATTATTACAATTATATTGTGTTTTGTACATTTGCTTCCATTCCCCATCCCTTAACTAGTTTTTATTTGTGTTAATCACTAACTTTATTTTATTATTATTATTTTTTAGAGATGGGGTTTCACTGTGTCACCCAGGCTGGAGTGCAATGGTGCTATCATAGTTCACTGCAGCCTTTAACTCCTGGGCTCAAGTGATCCTCTCAGCTCAGTCTCCTGAGTAACAGACTACAGGTACATGCCACAACACCTAATATTTTTTTAAAAAAGTTTTTTAGAGATGGGGTCTCACTATATTGCCCAGACTAGTCTAAAACTCCTGACTTCAAGTGATCCTCCTGCCTCAGCCTTCTAAGTAGTTGGAATTACAGGTGTGAGCCACCATGTCTGGCTTCACTAACTTTGACCAAAGTCATTAGGATGGCTGAATTTGTCATTTTAATTTTTACTCTGAAAATTTAAATCTTTCCATGTCCCTATGATAGTGAAGTGAAATCTTGCCTCATCTCTTGAGTAGCTTATATTTAAACATATGTTTCAAGGTATGATGTGTTGGCCTTGCTGAGTTTGCCTAGAGTCAACTATTCTTCTTTTATATTTTTGTTATTCTATCAGTCCTAATTCTTATTCATCCGTTTCCATTGCTCCATTGTTCCTATTGACTATTAGGAATGATCACATTGCATTATTCTGATCTATGTCTCACAAACAGAGATTATAAATATTTTGAAGATATAGACCATTCCTTTTCAACTTTATATATGCAATATGTGGCTTATACTAGGCATTCAGTTATATTTTTGTTGAAAAAATAAAACTGTGGCCAGGTAGTATTTGTTACTTAAGTCATGGACTCTACAGAGAAGTATGGAAAAGAATAGATATTACAAATGAATATTATTACATCTTTAAATATAAGAAACATACAAATATAAAACTCACAGCTCTGGTGGATCCTTGAAAAACAGCTTGTCCTGTGCTGCTTTCAAGAAGGCCAAATGTAATAAATTTGATTTGAAATCATCCTATTATTAACTCTCAGTTTCCATTTTATGGGATTATTTTACTGATGAGACTAATTTAGACTGAAGTTCTTATAGAATTATATTAAATACACTTGTTTAGGTTCAAGGCTAAACCACATTTTACTGAATATTGTATCATATCTCACATATTATCTAGTATCGTAGAGTTGTAGTTACTTTTAAATACTTCAGTGGAAATATATTCTATATTCTTCTTTGATAACTATTCTGATTGTTAAGAAGAAACATATTTTTAAAGGTTCATTTGAAAAGTGAGCCCTGGAGGTAGATACTGTGACAAAAATTGCTTTCTCTGTATAATGATGTAGGGTGCCTGAAAGACTTCTTAATTGCATTTATAGTCACCTGTAGTTCTTCAGGGCTTAAAGAACTGAACAAGGGCCAGATATTTATTAAAAATAAAGGTAAGTTTGCAGTTTCCATTTTCACCTAGGATGTAAAAAGCTAGAATGTATGCCACTTCCACCCAACCTAACAAGGAGAAAAACTCAGATAAACGCTAAAGTTGTAACTTTTCTTGAACCTATAAGAGAGTTGAGGTCACAAGGAAGCCTAAATTCCAAGGAGTGACAAGTCCATGGAATATGAAGTATCTTAACTACTGGGGGAAGACACAAGGGCCACTTAAGCTGGTAAGAAGAAATCAGTAAAAATTTTAACTAATTGTTCAAGGCCAAGTGTGGACTAGCATGCCAATCTGAAATAAATGAGTACTCGCTCTCTTAGTCTCTTTGGATTGCTATAACAAAATACTATAAATTGGGTAGCTTATACACAGCAAAATTTATTTCTCATGGTTCTGGAGGCTGGGAAGTCCTAGATCAAGTTGCCAGTAGATTTGGTGACTGTTAAGAGCCTGTTCCTTATAGATTGCATCCTCTTACTCCATCCTTACATGGTGGAAAGGCAGAATGAGCTCCCTTGGGCCTCTTTCATAAGGACATTAATCCCAATTTCTGAGGGCTCTGCCTCATGACCTAATCACCTTCCAAAGGCCCCACCTCCTAATACCATCACTTTGGAGGTTAGGATTTCAGCATATAAATTTTGAAGAGGGACACAAACATTCAGACTCTAGCACACTCACTAGCAAGAACTTTTCTATTAGGTTTCACTGGGTGCTCCTGAGGGCAGGACAGGAGACCGCAGAGACCATCTTTCTTTGGGGGCATAGGCATGCAGGAGGTAACCTGTGGCTCCTAGGGAAAACCTCAAAGTCTCTCTCACCCCTTTTTGGGTCCCTTCTCTCCTGTGAACCAAACTCCTTAAGCCACTGAGGCAAGGGAACAAAAACTTACACTCATGGGGCACAAAGAATGATTGTGGCTGGGAGAAGAATGGAAGAAAAACTCCATGTTTGTGGGAGAACAGGAAAGCAGGCTGGATTCCATAGTGATACCCTCCACTGGTCTGCTACCACTGGGAGAGAGCAGAAAATGCCTGTCCAAGATAAACCACAGATGCAAGTTCTTAGAGACCTATAAAGAGACATAGACTCCTACACAATAATAGTGGGAGACTTCAATACTCCATTGACAATATTAGACAGATCATCGAGGCAGAAAATTAACAAAGATACTCAGGACCTGAATTCAACATTGAAACAAATGGATCTAATAGACCTCTGTAGAACTCTGTACCCCAAAACAACAGAATATACATTCTTTTCATCTCCACTTAGCACATCCTCTGAAGCTGATCACATAATTGGATATAAAACAATTCTCCACAACTGTGAAAGAACTGAAGTTATACAAAACACACTCTTGGACCATAGTGGAATAAAAATATAAATCAACACAATGAAAATCACTCAAAACCATACAATTACATGGAAATTAAACAACATGCTCCAGAATGACTTTTGGATAAATAATGAAATTAAGACAGAAATGAAGTTCCTTGAAAGTAATGAGAACAAATATACAAGGTACCAAAATCTCTGGGACACAGCTAAGGCGTGGTAAGAGGGAAATTCATAGCACTAAAATGTCTATATTAAAAAGTTAGAAATATCCCAAATTAACAACCTAACATCACAACTGAAAGAATTAGAGAAACAAGAACAAATCAAGCCCAAAGCTAGCAGAAGACAAGAAATAACCAAAATCAGAACTGAACTGAAGGAAATTGAGACATGAAAAACCATTCAAAACACTAATGAATCCAGGAGTTGTTTTTTTTGAAAAAATTGATAGGCCACTAGCTAGACTAATAAGAAAACAGAGAAGATCCAAATAAATGCAATTAGATATGATGAAGGGAATGTTACCACTGACCCCACAAAAATAAAAACAAACATCAGAAACTACTACACACACCTCTACACACACAAACTAGAAAACCTGGAAGAGATGGATAAATTCCTGGACACATACACCCTCCCAAGACTGAACCAGGGAGAAATGATTTTATGAATAGACCACTAACGAGCTCCAAAATTGAATAAATAAAAAATAGCCTACCAACCAATAAAAGCCCGGGACCTGGTGGATTCACAGCTGAATTCTGAAAGATGTACAAAGAAGAGCTGGTACCATTTCTACAGAAACTGTTCCAAAAAATTGCAAAGGAGGGACTCCTTCTCAACTCATTCTGTGAGATCAGCATCCATCCTGATAACAAAAACTGGCAAAGGCACAACAAAAAAAGAAAACTTTAGGTCATTATCCTTGATGAACATCGAAGCAAAAACTCTCAACAAAATGCTTGCAAACTGAATCCAGCAGCACATCAAAAAGGTAATCCATCCCAATCAATTAGGCTCCATCCCAAAGACACAAGATTGGTTTAACAAATGCAAATCAATAAATGTGATCCATCACATAAACAGAGCAAAGAGAAAAAACACATGATTATCTCAAAAGACACAGAAAATGCTTTTAATAAAATTCAGCATCCCTTTATGTTAAAAACTCTCAATAAACTAGGTATTGAAGGGACATACCTCAAAATAATAAGCGCCATCTATGACAAACCCACAGCCAACATTATACTAAGTGGGCAAAAGCTGGAAGCATTTTCCTTGAAAATCAGCACAAGACAAGGATGCCCTCTCTCACTGCTCCTATTCAGCATAATATTGGAAGTACTAGCCAGAGCAATGGGACAACAAAGAAAGGGCATCCAACAGAAAGAGAGGAAGTCAGACTATCTCTGTTTGCAGATGACATGATCCTATATCTAGAAAACCTCATAGCCTTGGCCCAAAAGCTTCTTCAGCTGATAAACAATTTCAGCAAAGTTTCACAATACAAAATTAATGTACAAAAATCCGTAGCATTCCTATAAACCAACAGCGAAACTGATAGCCAAATCAGAAAAGCATCCCATTCACAATTGCACAAAAAGAATAAGATAGCTAGAAATACAGCTAACCAGGGAGGTGAAAGTTCTCTGTAATGGGAATTACAAACCACTACTCAAAGAAATCAGAGATGACACAAACAAATGGAAAAACATTCTATAATCATGGATAAGAAGAACCAATGTCATTAAAATGGCCATACTGCTTAAGGCAATTTACACATTCAATGCTATTCCTATCAAACAACAAATGCCATCCTTCACAGACTAGAAAGAACTATTTAAAAATGCATATGGAACCAAATAAGAGTCCAAATAGCCAAGGCAATCCTAAGCAGAAAGAACAAAGCTGGAGGCATTACATTACCTGACTTCAAAATATACTACATGGCCATAGTAACCAAAACAGCATGGTACTGGTACAAAAACAGACACATAGACCAATGGAATGGAATAGAGAGCTAAGAAAGAAGGCTGCACACCTAGAACCATCTGATCTTCAACAAAGCTGAGAAAAACAAGCAATGAGGAAAAGATGCCCTATTCAATAAATGGTGCTAACTGGCTAGCCATATGCAGAAGACTAAAGCTGGAACCCTTCCTTATACCATATACAAAAATCGACTCAAGATGGGTTAAAGACTTAAATGTAAAACTGCAAAATATAAAAACCCTGGAAGACAACCTAGGCAATACCATCCTAAACATAGGAAGGGGCAAAGGTTTCATGACATAGACACCAAAATCAATCAAAACAAAAGCAAAAATTGACAAATGGGATCTAACTAAACTAAAGAGCTTCTGCACAGCAAAAGCAACTATCAACAGAGGAAACAGACAACCTGCAGAATGAGAGAAAATTTTTGCACACTGAATCTGACAAAGGTCTCATATCTAGCATCTATAAGGAACTTAAACAGATTTCAAGCAAAAAACAACCCCATTAAAAAGTGGGCAAGGGACACAAAGATACTCTTTTCAAAAGAAGACATATGTGGCCAACAGGCATATGAAAAAAAGCTCAATATCATTGATCATTAGAGAAATGCAAATCAGAACCACAGTGAGATACCATCTCACATCAGTCAGAATGGCTATTATCAAAAAGTCAAAAAATAGGCTGCGCATGGTGACTCATGCCAGTAATCCCAGCACTTTGGGAGGCCTAGGTGGGTGGATCACTTGAGGTCAGGAGTTTGAGAACAGCCTGGCCAACACAGTGAAAACCTGTCTCTACTAAAATTATAAAAATTAGCTGGGAATGGTGGTGCATGCCTGTAGTCCCAACTACTCAGGAGGCTGAGGCAGGAGAATCGCTTGAACAGGAAAGGCAGAGCAGAGGTTGCAGTGAACCGAGATCACGCCACTGCACTCCAGCCTGGGTGACAGAGCGAGGCCCCGTCCTAAAAAAAAAAAACAACAAAAAAACAGATGCTGGCAAGGTTGCAGAGATAAAGGAACACTTACACACTGTTGGTGAGAGTGTAAATTAGTTAAACCATTGTGGGAAGCAGTATGGCGATTCCTCAAAGATCTAAAAGCAGAATCAACCTAGATGCCCATCAATGACAGATTGGAGAAAGAAAACATGGTACATCTAGACCATGGAATACTATGCAGCTGTATAAGTGAACAAGATCATGTCTTTTGTGAGAACATGGTTGGAACTAGAGGCTATTATCCTCAGCAAACTAACATGGGAACAGAAAACCAAACACTGCCATGTTCTCACTTATAAGTGGGAGCTAAATGATGAGAACTCACGAACACAAAGAAAGAAACAACAGACACTGGGGTCTATTTGAGGGTGGAGAGTGGGAGGAGGAAGAGGAGCAGAAATAATAACTATTGGGTACTGGGCTTAATTCCTGGGCTATGAAATAATCTATACAACAAACTCCCTTGACATGAGTTTACTTACATAACAAACCTTCACATATACCCCCAAACCTAAATTAAAAGTTTTAAAAATGAAAAAACTCCTTCAAAAAATGAAGATTAAATACTTTTTCATACAAATTTTTATATAAAATTTTTATACAAAATTTCAAACAAAAAATGAGAGAATTCATTGCCGGTTGAACTGCCATATAAGAAATACAAAATAAAGTTCATGCAGGAGTATGATACCAGGTAGACATTAGGATTTATTAGAAAAGAAAGGCAAAGTGCCAATAATGGTAAAAATAAAGGTAAATGTAAAATGCACATATAACTTATTTTAATCACTTTAAAAGATAATTGACAATTTAAAGCAAAAATAGTAAAAATGTACTGTAGGGTTTATGATACATGTAAAAATAAAATGTATGACAACAAAATGTAAGTTATAGGGAGAAGAAATGGAAATATACTGTCATAAGTTTTTTTCATTGTATGTGAAGTAAAAATATTATTTGAAAACAGTATATGATTGTTAAAGATGCATAGTGTCAACTTTAGGGCAATTTTTCAGAAGAAGATGTAACTAACAATCCAACCATAGAGAAAAAAATTAAATGATAAAATATACATAATCCAAGTGATTGCAAAAAAGGGAGAACATCTAGGAAATGGAAAACAACTAGAAAGGTGGTAGATTTAAATGTCATTATATCAACAATTACCTTAAAAGTGATCTAACACACTGATTAAAAGGCAGAGATTGTCAAATTAGAGAATAATGCAAGACTGAATTATTTTCTGTCTATAAGAAACTGTTTTAATATAAAGATCTAGATCTGTCAAAAGTGAAAGGATGGAAAAAGATATACCATACAGTCATGAATCAAAAGGAAGTGACCCTATTAAAATCAGACAAGATAGACTTCACTCAAGATATATTATCAAGGATCAGGAGGGACATTACATATTGATAAAGGTGTCAATTCATGAAAAATGCATTGCTATTTTAAATGTTTTTGGATCACAGTAGGATACATGAACCAACAACTTATAGAAATACAAAAATCCATAATTATACCTGAACATGTCAATACTCTTAGTAATTAATGCAACAAGTTGACAGAAAATAACTAAAAATACAGAAAGTATAATAACTGTCAACTAATTTGACCTAATTGACATTTTACGTTCATCAAAGTAGACCATATTCTGGGCCATAAAACAATCCCAACAAGTTTTAAAGAACTAAAATTTTACAAATTGTGTTCTCTTTGAAGTTTTATAAAGAATTGAAATTTTACAAAGTATGTTCTCTAATTTAATTCTGGGGAATTAAACTAGAAATCAATAACAAAAAGATATCTGGAAAATTAGAAAATATGTGATTAAACCTAATGCTTCTAAATAACCCATTCAAAAAGGAATTTACAATGGAAAGGAGAACATATTGACAATGGAGTAAATAAGAAAATATAAACTATTAAAAATTAGAGGTGCACCTGATGAATAAAATAAAAATTATAGCATAAAGTTCTTATATTTTTTAAAAGCACTTTTACATCAATATTTAAAAATTTCTTCTTTAGACACTAGAAAAAAAAGAAGAGCAAATTAAGGTCAAAGCATGCAGAATGAAGTTTTTATATGACCAAAAAAAGAGAAAGAAAACAGATGAGTAAGAGACAAATTGATAAACTGATCTAAAATTTAAAGATTTAATACCAATCAAAATCCTAGCTGAATTTTTTTTGGGAGGGAGGCATGGTACTTGATAAGCTGACATTAAAATTTACATGGAAATGCAAATGGCTGCGAATAGGCAGACACTCTTAAAGAGAAAAACAAAATGAGAATATGATCTCAATTGGTTGTCAAGTATAAAAGCTATATTAATGGAGCCGATATGGAATTGGTGCAAGAATTGCCAAATAGGCCAGTGAAATAAAATTGAGAGCCTAAAATTCAACTCTCACATATATGAATCCTTGATTTATGACAAAGCTGGCACTGCATGATAATGGGAAAAGGGCAAATATAAAAGCTGCTAGGAAAAGTTACATATCCACCTCAAAAAGAGTAAATTGGGATCCTACTTCATACTATATATAAAACTAATTTTAGACCTACATATTTGAGGGAAAACAACAAAAGTTTTAGAAGCTAACATTTGGGGTTTCTTTGTGACTTCTAGTTAAAGAAGCAGTACTGAAAAATATTTTCTTGAGTTCCGATAAAAAAAGAGATTACTTTGGCCTAGGTAATGATTTAGAAAGTTTTTTGAAGAAGATCAAGTTGATCGGAGCCTCGAAGAACGGGTAGGATTTGAACAGGTAGAAATTATAGGGAAGGATATTCTAAGCACAATCAAAATGTAGACTTTGGAAAACATTGATTACACTGGTTTGGCTGGAGCAGAAGATCTTCCGTTTTGAGAGAGCTGGTGGGGGAGATGCCCAAGGGCCAAGAGTTAGTGGGCTTTGATTGCCAGATGAAGTTGGTATTTACCTCATTGTCAATGAAAATGAGAATATAACGTAATGCAAGTAATAACATGGCGGCAGTGTCAAGTACGGATTGAGGTGAGGAAGTAAGAATGATGCAGTTGGTGTATCCAACCCTGAAATGGTGGATACAAGAGACTTCCTTCAAAGATGAATATTACAAGTACTGTGAATAGATCATTGAATGTGGAGGTGGATGAGGTGATTCAAAGATAACTAAGATTTTAACTCAGAGTAACTGGAGGATTGGTGGGAGATGTTTAGTAGCAAGAGGAACATAAGGGAGAAGACGTTGTGGAGAAAATAATAAATACATTTGGAGCATGTCACACTTAAAGAATGAGCAAGATAGTCCAGGTAGAAATTTCAAATGGCCATTGGAGATGGGTAGTTTGAGCTTAGGAGATTGATCAGGAGAGGAGATATTTGTGTACATAAATGAATGTAATGATGTTTAAAGCTGAATAGATGAGGTTTCAGGATAAGTGCTTAAAGAGAAGAGAAACCTGGACTTTAAGCCTTGGGGAACACCCACATTTAGGAAAATGAAGAGGCAGAAAAGGAATCTGGGACAAGGTGATTAGAAACATATGGAAAACCAGCAGAGACTGGATTTCAAGAACAGATATTGTTAACAGTTTTGAGTTGCGACAAATTGGTAAAGAATGAAGGCAAGGCAATTGCCTTTTAAGTTTGTGGTCAGGAGATGATGGATAACATCAGGAACACAGTTTCAGTGGAGTGGGAGAGGAGACCAAATCTTCAGGGACCAAGGAGTGTGTATGGGAGTTCATTCCCAAACATTTTGTAAACAAAAGAAAGGAATGAAATAGATTATAGATAGAGGAAACAAAATGTCTTTTATCAGGCAATTAGTTTAAATTTATCTTCAAAGATGGAAGGAGCCTTAGAAATTATTTAATTCAGAGACAATTATCTGAATGTCTGGGGACAAATGTGATTTTCAGGCTGCATTACACCAGTAGATATTTTTTGCTTGGCCAATAGAGTGCTTAAAAAATTGAATTAGTTGTGAACATTTAGAAATGGGAAGAAGTTACATATAAATCTTTAATTTCTAGCTTCTCTTGAAAAAGCTGGAAATTTGGCACTTCTGGGCCCGTACTAGGCACATACCATTTAATTAGCTGGAGATGAATAGCACATGACCCTTTGGAAGGGCATGCATTCTTCACTTAACTGCAATCCTTACGCTGCTGGGTCTCCCCATTAAACTACCTGCTGGATCCTTGTAGGTATTTGAGTTGGCAGTCCCTAATTAAGTCCAACTCTCTCATTCTATAGACTAGGAGACTGAGGTCCAAAATGGGGGAGTGACTTGCTTCCAAAGTCACATATCTGGTAGGTGGAAGAGTTCATGTCAGAGCCCAAGACTCCTGATTCTTATTTCAGTAGTTCTCCTCCCGTATTAACTCACTAAGTGTTTCTCTAGCTTGGTAGTCTCTTGAGGACAGGTCCATGGCATTCCACCCTCTTCCTGGATTCTAGCATTGCCAGATGGCACCTACATGATTTGTTTGGCTCTGCCCCAACCAGGTTCTCGATACTTTTCATGTGCTCCAGATGGTGACCAAAGCTATTCCTTGGACAAGAAGGAAACTCTACTCTATGGTCACCAAGTCCAAGTTCACTCTTTTTAGAACTTGGCATGCAACAAAGCTCATAAATTCCCCATAAGGTTTCTTTTATGGAGATTTTTTAGTCCTAAGTGGAATATGTTAAACAATTACTCTCATGCATTGCCTCCCAAACTAGAAAATTCAATTCAATTCACTGAAATTAGTACCAGATCACACTCTCCAAGTCCCTCCACCCAAGATCTGTAGTTGGTCTGTCAACTGAATTTGAATACTGTGTTTACATTTATGTACTTTCTATCTTAAGAAGAAAGTTGTTATATAATGGTGTTTCCTATTTTCCTTTAGATATGCAAATTCATTAATTTTTCAAAAGTATTTCTTTAAAATTTAGGAGAGCTGGTAACAGTATTTAAAAAACCAAACTGCATTGTTAGCCGGAGCATAAACAGTTTCTAACCCACTCACTCAAAAAGGACTTTCAGAAACCCTGGTGTAACAGCCACATTAATTCCTTTCTCCTTCCTCACGCCTATCTTTGTCCCTCCACCACTCAAAATGTATAGGCTTGGCTCAAAGACAGAGGGCCTGAAAGATGTTTGACTATTGGACTTCAGTTAGACAGTGTCATTCTGCTTAATGTTAAAGTTATAATAGCCCTGTGAAAATTCAGAAATACTGCTATTTCAATGAAGCATGACTCCTGAGATAATTTAGTGTTCCAAACTAGCCAAATCTTTCCTGAGCTTATCTTTTTTATGTAATGCCTTGCCAAATGCAGCCTATATTAGCCAAGATACACTATGGGTATTACATCTTTCCATTTTCTTCCTCTAGAGCCTCTGATGCAGTGGGCTGTAGTCTTGTCTATTAAGTTATCATTGATAATAGTTTTACAACCTGCTTCTCATTGTGCAACTTAGATCACCGTATTTCCAGCCTGTGAATTAGCTTCTTTGATGCCTGATGCTCTGCCACATCTTAAAAGTTTCATGATACAGTATCCACTGCCAGTATTAGTCAGGTTGGGCTAAGTTGTGGTGCAGTGATAAACAAGCTTGGGACTCTCAGTGGCTTAGTAAATTAAGATTTACTTCCCTGTCTGATGCAGTTGAAGTTGCTCTGCCATTTTCATTGCATAGTCTCCATTGTTGCCTTTATGGATGACCATGCATTGAATTTTATGAAATAGGCATGAAAATGGTAAATTGCTTCCTTCTATATATCACTGGCCAGAACCCAGGTACCTGTAATTAACTCAACTGCAGAAAACACTGGGAGTTTTATTTTTCCTTTCTTTTTGGAGAAAAGGAAAATAAGATTAGTAAATGTCTACCCAATCTTGCTGTAATATGGATTCAAATATACATCACTTTAACTGTAAATAGCGTTTTTGTTTCTTTTAAACTAGTACCTTGTGACAAGAGTACGACATAAACTTTAGAGCTCTAGAATTCAACTCTGTGATTTGACCAAGCAGATGAGATCACCAAAGGAAAACCTTGTGATGAAAGAGATCAGAGTCTCAAATATCATCTGTTTGTGGTAGGTACCTTCTAAACAGGAAAATAAAAGCATTTAAATGTGTATATGAATTTGTTAGAAAATATAAATGTTTGTTCCTACAAGAAAGAATCGACATATATGAATGCGTATTAGTATGTCTACTAATTACTAACAAGTGATCATCTTTCTCTATCGCAAGGGCGATTCCAACCAGCAGACTAAACTACAAATCATAACAGTGTCATTTCAGAGTTATTGAAATAATTTTATAATAAAAATAATTCTAATCAGCTCATTAAGAAGTAAATAACATGCTTAATTGCCCCAATGTTTAAATATCAATTTTTTAAAAAATTCGATTTTGATGGTGATTGTTTTTCTATGGAGTTTATAAATTCAACTTTTTGGACTTATATATTAAATATGTTAGTTCAAAGTTAAAATTTTAAAATGCATTTTATAAACATGGAAAGTTTAAAACTTTTAGTTTGGAGATTTCCTTGTATGCAATGAAGAAAAATATCTCTGGACACATTAAGTGTGTATATGTACATGTGAATAGTAAATTTTTAAAAAATAATGTGTTTGCTTAGTGATGACCAAGTATTTTCAAAAGAATGCATACGGATCAAGAATGTTATATTTTAATCTAAGAAAAAATTCTGGCTTTGGCCTAGAGCAAAAAAAGCTAATATTTTCGATGTCTATAATTTTCTGATTTTTAATTTTTGTGTTTACTTTAAAAATCCCTTATACCACTATCTGAACTGATAATAAAAGATTTGTACTTATAATACATACTTATTATGCTTGAAGAATTCTCTTTAATACAAACGTGCTGTTGTTTTTCTAAATAACCAATTTCAGAATCCTGACAAAATAAATCTATAGGCATTGTTATTCTTAAATTCTTTGATGTATTTATTGCATTAGATCAAAAATATTGATCAAAGTATAGATCGTTTCTATTTCTATCAAGAAATACATAAAATCATTAAATTTAATCTATTTCTCTAATAATTTAAAATTTTAATTTTATGTAGTATATTTAACTTGATATTAATTGGGTTGCATTATTTTATATTTCTACTTTGAGGGAAATAATTGTATTTATCTAAAGACCTTTCAAAGTTGGTCTCTAACACTAATTTTTTCTGAATTAGGAAGTAGTGATGTTGGAAAAATTCCCCACCATAGGTATTATTTTATAATATGCTTGGATAAGATTTAAGTTTATTTTTAAAATCGAAGTTATGAAAACTTTAAATATGAATTTAAATAATAATTTGGTATAACAATATATGATAGTATATTAATGTTAATAAGAAAATATTATACATTACATAGGAGAGAAACTGGTAGGATAGAAAAAGGAAAACATGAAAAACTTTTGTATCGGGATAAAATGAGATAAAGTGAAGTTAGATTTAAATTGATGCATTCAAAACTTTACAGTCTAAGGACTCATGTATCATTGCACATAATTTGGTCTATTACCAAACTCACATGTAATTCAAGTGTGAATTAAACATTGTGAAAAATTAATATTGGAATGATTATAATCCCATTACTATAAAAGTAGGTTTACCTCAATTAACTGTAGCCTAAGAAGAATCACCCTTGGAAATAGAATGCAGATTCTCTATTGATAAGCTGAAATGTTAACATTAGTGGTTATAGACTAATATGATCATTCTGTTCTTCTTGGTTAGGGGACTAATATGTAATCCTGGGATGAAGAAATGAATAAATTAAAAATATTAATCAAACTGAAATGTCCTATAGAAGAGCTTCAGGAACCATCCTGCCCACTGACAATGACTTCATATGATGTTTGCAAACTTGATTCCATGTTTCCAAACAGCCTCATTTATAAATTAAATTCATTAACCACTTCAAAAAGTGTTTAAAACTTTAATATAGCTGATTTTCTCTGATACTTCAAATGCCTGACAAATCTGGCAAGCAACAACTTTCTGAGCATTTAGTCTGTTCCTGCAATTTTAATAAATCTTGTTTATAGTGATTTGGCTACTATGTACGTTGTTTTTATATATGTATGGTAACACATTACATTGCTTTGTGTGTGCTTCAACTATTAGGATGCATAATATGCCTAGAAAACCACATTTATTACTATCCAGTAGTTGAATGATGCACCAAATAGGGAATGTAATCTGCATAGGAATCTATTTCTAATTGCAAGTGTTCTACACAAAGTAAGGAATTTCTTAGAGTTACTCAAGGGCAAATAATTTGACTACATAATTAGGTAGGTATATTCAAATGATGGCCCACTAAAGTCAACTGCAATATTGTCTGATTGTTAACCTAGAAGTTTTATTGTTACTGGGGATATTAGTGAAGTTTTGTTAAAAACAAGACTTGATAGTTGGTGGTGCAATAGTCTGGATCATCAGCATGGGGGCTGTGTTGCAATATGATAATTAAGATCATGGTCAATGAAACAGATAAAAGCTTGTATGCTAGTATCACTATGCAGGTGGAGGAGTGCAGAATTCCCTCAACTTTAATGAGGCAGGATGGAGGTTAATTTTAATCTATAATTTAATCTATAATTTTAATCTATAAATGTGGGTGAAGAATCTTACAACTCTGAACAACTAACAGAAAGTTGTAAATGTTACTCCAACTTTCTAAGACTTGGTTTCCTCTTTTGTAAAAACAGGGAAAATAATAGGATGTCGTTCATAAGGGTACTTGAAGGATGAAGTTAAGTCATCTATATGCCGTGTTTAGTAGAGCACATAGTCAATAAGCATCCCACTGCAGCTGCTGATAGCAAAGGTGGCTGTTGATGGTAGCATTGTTGTTAAGTAGCATGTTAGGCAGGTCAAGCAGACACTTCTTTTGCTGCAGAGAGACATGACAGAATGTGCTGTGTGTGGGATGGAATTCTTTCTATTGCTTCCTTCAGAGGACTTGTCCACTTTGGCTTTCCTCCATCATTCTATTAAGTCTCTTACTGTTTATATTTTTCAGAACCTAAAACAAGCCAATATATTTCAGTTTGGATGCCTTCCTTCTCCCTGTAACTGATACTCCTCTCCTATCTTTTCTCTCTTCAGTTCCCGCCCATTTTGGTGGTAATTCTGGTGAATGTCTTTTCGTTAAGGCTTTGTCTTCTGTTGGGTCTTTGGTGGAGAACGTTAGGGATAAGAGGAGCTTTTCTTATTCTAATTGATTAAGGAACCTAGAGTGACAACTAGGCAGCTCTAATATCTTTCCTGTACTTAGAAACTTTCTCTCTCTCATTGTGGACTTTTGCTTTTCAAATCAATGGCTCGAACATTCTCATTTTAAACATATATTTTTTTGTTTCCTAACACTCCTCATTGAGAAAACATTTTATAAGTGAAATTTGCTTAGAAGGATGTTTCTGGCCGGGTGCAGTGGCTCATGCCTGTAATCCCAGCACTTTGGGAGGCCGAGGCCGGCGGATCACGAGGTCAGGAGATCGAGACCATCCTGGGTAACACGGTGAAACCCCGTCTCTATTAAAAAAAATACAAAAAATTAGCCAGACATGGTGACAGGTACCTGTAGTCCCAGTTACTCGGGAGGCTGAGGCAGGAGAATGGCGTGAACCCGGGAGGTGGAGCTTGAAGTGAGTCGAGATTGTGCCACTGCACTCCAGCCTGGGCAACAGAGTGAGACTCCATGTCAAAAAAAAAAAAAAAAAAAAAAAAAAAAAAAGAAGGATGTTTCTTTAGTAATTCCTTTTGTACTTTCTCTGCTCCCTTTTTTCATCTTTTCTTTTCCTACAGGGTCTACTTGCTGCCCAACTCTAGCAGGTAGTATTCATATTGAATGCTATGTGAATGGTGGCCCTGAAATCATGCAATTAAGTCATCTTGCTCCCAACCCAAACTTGTAGTTCTATTAAAGCAATACTCTACAGAATCATATAAAATATTAGTACCATGAGAAAATGTAGATGAATCATAAATTCCTAACATAGAGATATTGGAGAGATATTATCATAGAGGTATTAATATAATTTTATGAAGTGTATGCAAATGGTTACTTTTAATGACTACAAGTCCACTGGACCCCATTTTTCTCAGCAAGAAAATAAAATTGGAGTCTTTGGTAGTAGTATTCTACTTGACTTCTGGGTCTTATTTGCCACTATATCCTTAGAGAGTGCCTCACATGCCATAGATAATTTATTGAAAGCTTACCAATATGGTTGAGGACCTCACTCAAAAACCTTTTCTCTACATGGTTCACCACGTCTATAATCCTGTGGGTGATTGCATCACAGAGAATAACAATAATTGTTAATCATTTTAAGAGCTACAAGTAGCAGCTTTGAACAAAGTTATTATTAAGATGGTTATTAAAGTGACTCATATGATCTTCAACTTCTACACTTGCTTTCTATCAGTAGCAGTTTCAGATGGTTAGTGTTATTTCCTTTCTAAACCATTTTGATATTTTTGTTTATAATCTTTCTAAGATGGTATGCAGCCTGTTCTGTCTAACTGAGGTCAGAGTATCTGAACTACCAGAGAAAGCATCTCAGAAAGTGGTTGTATATGTATCCCAGCTTGCAAGTTCTTTGTGGAAATCATCCAATCTTGGGCTAATTCTTGCTGTCTCTACCACACTGTCATAGTCAACTACTTTTTACATTTTTAAAGAGGATTAGACTAAGAAAATTCACAGAATATTTACTCACTTTAAATACCTTCTGTTTTTTCCCTACATCACGGACGACAATGAAAAAAAATGAAACAAGAAAAAGAAGAAAAGAATTGTAAAGATTTAATACATTTCTTTTAAATGTTAGGTTCACCCTGACTTCTTTCAGGTTGAGGGTAAATAAGTTTGTATCTGATTTGCGAATGCGTAGTATAGCTCAATTTTGCATTCTGAGGTTCTTGTATTGGTTGGTATTTAAAACATGAATGCAATAGCGAAGATTATTGGAGCACCTATCCTGTGTCCCTTTCTCTTTATGAGACTAAATAATATTGACTCATAATCCCTATTTCATCACATAAAGGCTCATGATACCACGGAGGACCTTAGAATCTTACTTATTTTCCCAAGGAAATGCTTGAACCATCCGTATCCATTAAGGGAGTGTTTCTCTGGCGGATGCTGTTCTGGGTTCTTGGGTGTAGGTCGATATTGATCCATGAAGCCCAGGCTGGCAGAGCATGACTTAGAGTGCCTGGAGCCCCCTCCTCCCCATCACTACTTTCACTTTCCTCTCCTTCCCCAGCTAGTTACTTCTAGACACACTGACTTGTCTGATTACTGCTGAGTATAAATACATACTATCATTTTCTCTGAGAGCCATTACTTGGGAAACACTGCTTTAAGTGTTAATATGATCATATCTAACTTTTTCTAGTCAGATACATATGAAATCCTGTGGACTGTTGGTATATCCCAAATCTGAGAGAGACACCAGAACCAGCTGAGAGGATAAAGGCAGACTGTCAGGTGTCCCAGCTATCTGCTAACACAAATACTACCCTTCATTCACACATGATTGGTGCAGTGGAGTCCTGAATAAGGTGGCTGTGGAAATTGTAGAAACCCTTAACAATTCCCTTAATAAAACATTTTGGGGGACTTCTTTTTTAACATTGAGATGGGGGGCAACAAAGGATAAAGGTGTGTGTGGCTGGAGGCGAGCAAATGACATCCATTATCAACTACATTTTCTCCGAGCCTCCCATTAAATGAAACATTCTTAAATGCAATTTTTTCTCTCCCATACTCATGTTACCTTAAGTCAAGGCTTAATTCAGTGCCACTATGTAATGATCCTCTGATGGGCCACAAAAAGTACACTTAACATTTTCCCTAAAGATGTTCTACGATCCCTTGTTCTCAGAGGGCCAGATTTAATTGTTTGCTTTGGTAATAAGAAGCCATTAAGTCCACCAGTGCTTCTTGTCTTCAGAAGTTGTAGCTAAATATGCAGGTGTGGCTGAAGGGCTGCTCAGGACTGTATCCTGTGCTCTCACATCTGTTGGTTTTCATTATGGTCTCATGTAAGGAGACCTGTAGATGTGGCCCTTCCAGTTAAACAATTCAGCCCTCATTTCATGTAAATCCTTCTTCGATAAGTAATTTGGCCCTTCTCTCTTCATGGCTTATTGTTTGTCTTATTAAAAACTGTTGGTCAGGGTAGTTATGATCTTCTGGCACAGTTCATTAAGTGAAATTAGTAATTAGAAGAAAGCTAAGAAATGAATAAATTCAGAAGTGTTCCACATTTGTACATTCTTATATGATTGTGGCCAGCAGGGAGTCAGGTCTGACTACAAACACTTTTGGTGCATAAATCCTTGTGTTTTTGTGCTCTGGAGAAATAATTGTTACATGCCTAAGAAATTAATACATATTTCATGTTCTAAGTTATGGACCCACTGAAGTACCAACAAACTACAAATAAAACCAGACTAGCCCATACTCACAGATTGTTGCTATTACAGCCGCATTTGTCAGACCATCCTGCAAATATTGACCATCTCAGAATCTTCAGTCACAAAAACCAAGAGGCAGGCTTACTGTGAGAAGATATTATAGATGTATCATCTGCTCCTTCCCAGTTTTTCAGGGTTAATAGCCTACTGGGCTAAAGCATAACATGGTTCACTTCTTTATAACGGTTCTCTAATTAAATTGAGGAGGTTGATGTCCCTTCTTCAGAATGCACACATTTTACCATTAAACAAGCAGTCCACTCTATTAAGTCTGGAAAGGATCAAGCTATGCTTCAGGGACAATTGTCTAAGATGATGTTCCCTGCTAAGGAGTGTGAAGTAGCACAGCCTGGTGATGCTCCTACTGAGCCTCGACATGAAGAGACTGGCTTCTGCAGAAATATATTTGAAACCATGTCTTCTGGCATAAGAATGATGTGCTTATTTCCTTACAAGATGGCTATTTTTCATTGAGACTTAGTTTTTGGCCTTTGTTTCCTGTGTGTACGTTTCTGATATGGCGTGATTAGGCTGTTTGTTTAAATTAATCTGTGCTTAAAGGAATGTGATAGAGAATGTGAGAGCATTTCTGGAATTCTTTGGAATGCTCTGGCTATTTGCAAGAACATTCCTGCCTTCAGCTTGATTGTTTTTGGCTGACAGGTGCTGACTTTCCCCTTAATTATCAGGGTAACAAAGAGATGTGCAGTTCTCATCTATCTTCAATATTAGAAAAACTTGGATATGCTAGCTTCACTTATTAACAAATAACATTTGGTCAGCTTTATTTCATGCCATGCGTGGCTGGTCTAATCCTCATGACAAATTTTTGATATAACTACTAATGTGATCATTTTACAGATGAAAAAACCGAGGCCTTAAAAATTACCCATTGTTCCAGATGACACAGCTAAAATGTGTTGGAGGATTCAGTGTTCAGGCTTCTTTGATACCAAGGCTTGAGCCCACAATTTTCAAGATTTATAAATGTTTGGTACATTAAAGGATGCAACATATAAGCTTATGATTTGTGAATTATTCTGAGAAGCTAGTGACTCTTCCCTTTTGGGGAGTGGCTTGTTTTTGTTTGTTCTTTGTATGCCAGCACAGCATATTGGACTATGTTCTTTAGAATAATGCATCGTTTCATTTAATGTATCACTTTCATTTGTATGAGGTACTTTCACATCCATGATCTAATTGGTGCATCATAGCACTGGATTTGATGCTTTGCTCACATAAATTAACCTGCGATGTTCCCCATGGGAATGCAGTCTCCCTCCCCTGCCAGGCATACTCCCTCTTATTTTCTTATGCCCAGTTTGGCTCTTACCTTTATTGTGACACTTTTCCCGAATTCCTAAGGTAGAGTCAATTTCTCCCCTTCTGAGCTCTTAACTCCTTTAGAACGGCTATCAGGTTGTTGCTTAATTATTAACTTACATGTCTTCTTCCCCTCACGGGGCTCTAATCTACTCGAGGTGGGGGTATTATCTATTTATCTTTATATTCTCTGCATGTCACATGCTTGTAAGTATACTTACATACAGAGAAATGGTAGGGAGTCCAGGAAGATGGCAGAAGTGAGAAAGGAATCTGTTACTGACAAGAGTTTGATAATAACACCTCACTTCTATTATCCAGGAGAGCACTTGATTTAATAGCCTATATTTCTATGATAGAAGAACTAGTATATAATTAATAGGATGCAGATTTGGAAGGATCTGAAGCTTATACAATTTTGGAATACACTCCTTAAAAAATATAAAGTTATGAATATAAAATTGTATAAAAGGTAAATATTTATTACAGATAGGAAATCACAAGAAGTTGCCAACTAATAAAATCTGAGAAATGCCATATATACTTTAACTTCCAGAAAAATAACATAATGGTTTTTATTAATACAGTGCCTTGCAAAATTCCATATTATCTTTTTACCCTACTTTTTGGCTACGTTCTTTTTTTATCACCTCTGCATAAGACAACAATTTTGTAATATTTTTCATAAAGAGAACACAAAAAGAATTCAGTCTTTTCTCTAAAACATGATTGATTTAAATGTATGTATTATTAATAACATAGAAAAGTTTGTTTCAGATTTATAGCTTGTTACTGGTAATGCCATACATTTTTAGGGTTGCTGTCAAATTTGGGAAGACTTCTATCAAGTTTCTTTTACATATGAGCCTTATAATTTAGAAGAATTTTCACAGACTAGCTGTACCTTCATGTCATGATGCTGCCTAAGTTGGCAGAGCAAGTATTTAAAATACATTCCCTTTATGATTCTTTTAATAAAAGATCATTGAACAAATTGATTAGTCTTGTCTGTTGTTAAGGAGGACTCCTCTTACCTCAAACTTTTCCCTAGGTTTCCTTGAAAATGTCAAATTCAGTCAAGAACGCCAGAGAATGAGGAAGGTGACATGGCCATTGTATTTCACAACAGGGAGTTTTTTGTGGATTTACAAACATTGTTGTCCACAACCTTTCATTATGGCACCGGAGAGAGGAGAGAGAGTCCATATTCCTAGGTGAGCAGGAGGAAGCAGGTGTTGAGAAAAAAAAAAAGGAGGCAGTGAATATAGACTATATATTTGAAACTTTTGTAAAATAAGAAAAACTAGTAAGAGAAAGACCAGTAGGATTAAATAAAAAATTGTGAGAGAGGGCTATTTGCATTTTTAAGAAAGAGGAGCTTGAATGCAGATTCATAAATTTGTCTAATCAGCTCTGTGTTGGCTCTGATGCAGCTTCCCAGGAAGGCATTGTTTGTGGGAGAGTGTTAACCTGGCATCAATCACCAATGCATAGAAATGCTCCTTCTAATAACTCCGTCATGCACTTGTCAATCATAAGCTTAGATAAACTGGCTAGGCATGGTGGCTCATGCCTGTAATCCCAGCACTTTGAGAGGCTGAGGTGGGTGGATTACTTAAGGCCAAGAGTTCGAGACCAGCCTGGCCAACATGGTGAAACCCCATCTCTACTAAAAATACAAAAATTAGCCGGGCCTGGTGGCGGGCACCTATAGTCCCCGCTATTCAGGAGGCTGAGGCAGGAGAATCACTTGAATCTGGGAGGTGGAGGCTGCATTGAGCCTAGATGGTGCCACTGCACTCCAGCCTGGGTGACAGACCACAACTTTATAAAAAAAAAAAAAAAGTTTAGATAAGTCAATGTTTTAAGTTATTTGACTTGTAACATCTTGCAGGTGAATATTAATGATATCTTCTATTAATGTACCACTTCATTTGTATGAGGTACTTTCACATGCATGATCTAATTAGAGCATCATAGCTGTTACATTATTTATAAATAAATAAGTGATGTCCAGTTTACAAGAAACAGGTGAGACTCTAACATGCCTAGGGAAACATTCGAAAGAATAGACAGTTAACAGTTTGGGGAACTGAAAGAAATGGCATTGGGAGTACCTTCCTCTTCTTGACAATGTGGAGCAAAGGGACTGATGGGAATACTTATGGGGAATTAAAAAAATTTTTTTCTGCAGTATGCAATGAATTTCCCCTCCCTCTTCTGTGTCACCTAAAAAAATGCTTGGAAAAACAAGATTCACTGTTCCAATGTTTTTACATCAAAGGATTCTTTAAGGGGGAATAATGAGCATGCTTTAGTGTGACTAAGTGGGTGCTTGAGTAGAGAGTGAAACTGCAGACTGAAATTCAATGGAAACAAAACGGGACAGGGAACTCAAAGATGTGTTGAGTTCTGCATCCAGGTGGGTGTGGGTCATGGGCTGGAGCGGGAGGATCAGGACAAAGCTGATCTCTGGATTGTGCCTGTTTCTCCAAGGAGGAGTCTGAGGCTTAGAGAAATTATATGACTTACCCTAGGTAGCTTAGAGCTGACAATTGGAGGTGGACCAGGGACTTGAACCTTAGTCTTCAGTCCTTCAGTCCTACATTGTAACTGGCCTGAGAGACAGCATACCAATGCGGTGAAGACTGTGGATTTTAGAACCAGGCTCCTTGGGTTCGAATCTCAGCTCTTCCACTTATTAGCTATATTATCTTAGACAAAAGATTTAATCTTGGCATGCCTCAGTTTCCCCATTTGAAAACAGGGATAATTTGTCATAGCTTTAAATGAGTTGCTACTGGAGAATCCTTTCAGTAGGCACCATGCAACTATCTGTAAGATAATTAAGAAACTCCTCTCTCATGACCTACAGGGTAGAAGACAGTACTTTATTTGTTTGCCCCAAGTGTATATTGCACTTCATTGCCTCCTCTCCACCTACATCCTCATCTATGGTATCCACATCTGGTGTCTCCCCAGCTCTGCCTTCACTGAGTCTTCTCTTTCAGCTTTGTGGGCTCCAGGAAAGGATAGAGCGACCCAGTTAGAGGCAGGCACTAGCTGCCTTCCGTGCAAAGCCAGCAGAGGCAGAAAGGGTGTTCTAGCTCATTCTGTTGCTTTGCCCTTGCTTGCATTCACAGAGATTTAAGTTTCAGTTTTTAAATCGGCTGGTAGAAAATGATTGAAAATGCTACCCAGGCACAGGAGAAAGTGGGCTTTTTTGTTTTGTTTTGTTTCCCCCTTTGGACATTCTAATATTCTACTCTTACTGGCCAGGAAATTTGCCACACGTTTTCCAAATCTGTAATGATTCCCTTTCCTCTCTCTTTTTCAATGTTTTTCAGAGCAAGTCTTATTTGCTGAACGTGGATGGCTCCTTTTTCACCCTGTCCTATTTGTTAAAGGAAAACACATATGCATTTAAAAATCATAATTTTCTCTCTGACAGTGTCCAGCAATTCTCAGTTGCTTTGTTATTTTTGGATATTTTCCTTTGCTGGCCTCTGATATCACAGTACATGTGGGTGTTGTCAGTGGCTGTTAGCCAATCCATGGGACAGCTGGGTGTTGTCTCTTGTCCTTGCCTTGTCTCACAAAGGTGGCACTAGTAGAGGGCCTTCATAGACTTTTTCTGTGGGAAGCCATGACTGCCCAGGCAAGTTGCTGGCTCACTCAACCATAAAGGGCAGTGGGGCAGGCTCGTTTATACCCACTGCTGGGAGTGAAAATCAGTACCTGGTTCCGAAGATAAATATGGCAAAATGTATGCATACATATTACAAATACATACCTATTACTTAATACAAAGTACATGTTAAATCTTAAAAGTTTGCAGTCCCTGACTTGGTAATTCCATGTCTGGGAATTCTTTATTTCTAAGGAAATATTAAACAAGTGTACTAAGGTTTATAAACAAGTGTATTTATAAAAATGAGTTGTTTATAACAGCAAGAAGATTGGAAGCCACTCTACTGTCCATTAATAGAGGCTTGACTAATAAGTTATGGTACATCTACATAATGGAATGTCAGGCAACTATTTAAAACCACGATATGGGATATAATTATTATATATAATATGGAAATTTTAAATTTAGCTATGGGAAAAAGGATTATATATAATGCATCTTTAAAATTTGGTATATTTATCTATGTATGAATTTTTATATGCTTAGAAAAAGTCAGCAAATATACACAACAAAATATTAACAATAGTTATTTCATACTGTGGTATTATTAATGATTTTAATTTTCTTATTTTAGCTTATTTATTTTTCTAATTTTTCATACTAATAGTGTATGTTACTTATGTAATAAAAATGACTATGCGGAACAGTTTATATATGACAAATAGTGTGTTGTAAGGTGTTCTTCCCTGAATTCTTATTAGAGAAGTTTATACATGGGAGTAAATGTTCCTAACATTTCATTTTGTCAAATGAGGGAGAAGAAAGAGGCAAGATGGCTCCTTGAAGTGCTTCTTGAAGTGCTGCATCAGTACTCAGAAAGCCAAATTGCTTTAGGTCTGTCATTTGTTGGCTTGTACAGAAAGATATCTCCATAAAGTTAGACCACTGTTGGGTTAGCTTGTGGACCCTCTGTTTTTATATTCTCAAATCCATGCTACAAAACCAGAAGGACTGACCATCTTCCATGTTTTTATAGTGCACATCTAGAAGCCAAAAGAAATAAAGAATAAAGCCAAAACCCAATACATATACATATAATTGTTCTATATTTTACTTGGAAAATATTCTAGAGAAACATCATTAGCGCCCAAGATTGCATGGCATTGAATTTGCTTCTTTGTACTCTATGCCATTTAAATTATTCTACATTCTTATCTGCAATTTTATGGACATGTTACAAATAACCTTCTGAATGCCAAGAGTCTTTTTTAAATGCTTTCTCAGTTTGAGGTTTTCATGTTGTTTCTATAATAGAGAAGAAAATATGTCATCATGGTAAGTTAGGCAACCAGATTTTAAGCCTGGTTTTGCAGTTGACTGCTCTGTGAGCTGGTATGATGGTGATCATGATGATGATGTAATAGTAGTTGTAGTAGTAACAATAATAATTACTAGGTAGTTATGCAATAATAATAATATTAATTGTTAATATTAAATGTTATTAATAAATCTAATACCAATATCATCTATTGATCCCTTACTATATGTGAGAAACTCTACTAAATGCTTTACATACATTGTCTAATTTAATCTTGAAATCTCCCTTATAAGTAGATATTATTACCTTCATTTTACAAATGACAGAATTGAGGTATAGAAAGGTTAAATAATCTGCACAAATGAGAGAGTTAATAGGTTGTAAAACTACTGATCCAATCCAGGTTATTTGTGTTGAAATACCTTGCTCCTTCTGGTATACACACTGTCTTCCCAAATCTCTTAACAATCCTTGGAGCTTTAGTTTACTACTAATACAATAAGGAAGTTAGGCTAACTAAATAGTTGCTGTGTTTTCCTGTAAGTTTAACATTCTTGCAGTCCATATACATTACAGTAGGAAATTGAGATAACTAAATGGATAAAGCCTGTGTTCAGATCTTGGCTTTACCATTTGCTAGCCTTGTGATCTTGCCAAGTTACTTAATCTCTCTGTACCTCTATTTCCTTATCTGTAAGCTTAAACTTGCAATAACTACATTTCATAAGATGGTGATGAGGATAGAAAGAGATGATAGGTTATGTACAGTGTTTGACATGTTATGAATGTTAGCTTTATGAAGGGAAGATCAAATTGAAAGCATGTAAGTTCTACAGTGTCATCCTGAACCTGACAAGTAAGGTCCTCTCCTCTCCCTCTTGTCCCAGGGTTAATCTACACATGAGCTGCTGAAACATCCCAGGTGGTTTCCTGTGACCTAAAATGTCTTTGCATTTTCACTGACCTGGAATATTTAGCTGAAAAAAAATACTCATATGCCTCAATCTTTTTACTTTAATAAGTATTTACTTTAATAAGCATTTCTTCTGCAATGGCCTTCATGGCTTGAAACTAAAGTGTCAGAATATGTGACCCAGGCATGTGGAAGTATGCAAATATTTCAGTGATACCACATGATCAGCTAACCCATGTACCCTGACTACTTCTACATTGTTGGAATATAGTTGAAAGTCCTTTAATCATCTGTCACATGTCAATTTTGTGTCAAGATTTCTTCTAGGAAAAAATGCCTAAAATGCATGCCTTTATTTCCTTATCTGTAAAAAGTAACTAATAACAGTACTCATCTACTAAGGTTGCTTTGAGGACAATTGAGATATTCCGTGCAAAGCACTTCAATCTGTGGATGGTATGTTAAGTTCCCAATAAGTATTTGACAGTATTATTGTCTTTCATTAATATGTATGCAGCTAGCACAAAAGTCCCTGGACAAAGTTGCATTCAACAAAGTACAGCCTACCAATCAAGAATAATAAAAATATTTCTGATATTTTCATATTTTCGCAAGATACGTTAAAGAAAGTCTAACTTTCTTTTCTTTTCTGTACAATTCTTTCACATCCTTAATCTTTGATTGAGCAAAACTCCAAACAATTTCAAGTTCTAGTAATCAATTCATTGGGGTTTGCCAGGGACTTTTCCAGCTTGAGCCCTGAAAGTCTCATTTCCCAGGAGACTCTTCTGTGCCAGATAAACTTGGATAGTTGGTTACCCTACTTTTTAATTCTCTACCAAAACTCCCTGAGGCCCCAGTTTCTGTGGCTTGTCTTTTCTTCATTCATCTTTACATTTCCAGTAGCTTTGTCTCTCCCATCCTGGAGGGATGTGGGAGAACTCATTAATAAATCTCTTTCTTGCTACACTTCTCTATGTGCTTTCCTACCAGCTCACGCCATCGTACCAACTCACACAGTCAAAAACAGATATATATATATATATATATATATATATATATATATATATATATATATGCATGCTTGTTCTACATTTTACTTGAAAAATATTCTAAAGAAACATGATACAATTTCCATCTATGCAAACTTGGATGGCATTAATTTTGCTTGGCAAATTGTGACTCTTAAGTCAGAGTGTTATAGAACTCTAGCTGAAAGTTATCTTAGATTGATTGTATCTTGTCATGTTTTGAGATATGGCTGGAAGCGGCCCAGGTGACTGTAATAGGATGAGGAGGCAGAAAAAAACTCAACCCATACATTAAGGTCATGGAGGGTTTGGGGGGCACAAAGCCAGGTGTAAAGTAAAGAAAAGTTCACCCAGTTTGTTCCATGTGAGGACTCTGGTGACAGGTGGCAAAGAGTAGTCTTGATTTTTGGGAAGGAGAAAAATACACCGATGAGTCCAACAGGTGAGTGGCACACAGCAAAGGAAAATCCAGGGACAGGGATTTTCAGTTTCAGACAGGAAAGGCAGGTAGGCAACGTCAGGGAAACCAGTCATTAAGCAGACAGACTCCAACTAAAGAACAGTTCAGGGACAGAGGCCCAGGCAGGAAGCCATAGAACTGGCCTTCTGAAAGCGGCCAGAATTTTAGGCAGGTTCCAGTCAGGGAATCACTAAAAAATAAGGCAAAATCCCAATTATTTGAATTGGGACACAGATGCAAACCACATTTAATGAAAAGGCAGAAGCCCATTGTCAGACTCAGGGCACTAAGTCAGGGCCAGAATATTGACAGGATGGCTTAATGCTAGGTATTAGAGTCTTTGGCTTTGTTCCCTAAATCGGAATTTTAGCCTAATATCAGGATTGGCACCAGAGTAGTAGTTGCCAGTCTTTACTGTTTATAGGAATCACCTGGAGTATTTATAAACAGGAAGATTCTGAGGCTTGATTCTTTTTTAAAAAAAAAAAATGATTATTATACTTTAAGTTCTGGGATACATGTGTAGATCGTGCAGGTTTGTTACATAGGTATACACATGCCATGGCGGTTTGCTGCACCCATCAACTCATCATCTACATTAGGTATTTCTCCTAATGATATCCCTCCCCTAACCCCCAACCCCTGACAGGCCCCGGTGTGTGACATTCCCCTCCCTGGGTCCCTGTGTTCTTACTGTTCAGCTCCCACTTGTGAGTGAGAATATGCGGTGTTTGGTTTTCTTTTCCTGTGTTAGTTTGCTGAGAATGATGGTTTCCAGCTTCATCCATGTCCCTGAAAAGGAAATGAACTCATCCTTTTTTATGGCTGCATAGTATTCAACGGTATATAGGTGCCACGTTTTCTTTATCCAGTCTATCATTGATGGGCATTTGGGCTGGTTCCAAGTCTTTACTATAGTGAACAGTGCTGCAATAAACATACGTGTGCATGTGTCTCTATAGTAGAATGATTTATAATCCTTTGGGTATATACCCAGTAATGAGATTGCTGGGTCAAATGGTATTTCTGGTTCTAGATCCTTGAGGAATTGCCACACTATCTTCCACAATGGTTGAACTAATTTACACTCCCACCAGCAGTGTAAAAGTGTTTCTATTTCTCCACATCCTCTCCAGCACCTGTTGTTTCCTCACTTTTTAACAATTGCCATTCTAACTGGCGTGAGATGGTATCTCATTGTGGTTTTGATGTGCATTTCTCTAATGACCAGTGATGATGAGCTTTTTTTCATGTTTGTTGGCCGCATAAATGTCTTCTTTTGAGAAGTGTCTATTCATATCCTTTGCCCACTTTTTGATGGGACTGTTTGTTTTTTTTCTTGTAAATTTGTTTAAGTTCCATGTAGATTCTGGATATTAGCTGCTTGTCAGATGGATAGATTGCAAAAATTTTCTCCCATTCTCTAGGTTGCCTGTTCACTTTGATGATGGTTTCTTTTGCTGTGGAGAAGCTCTTTGTTTAATTAGATTTCATTTGTCAATTTTGGCTTTTGTTGCCATTGCTTTTGGTGTTTTAGTCATGAAGTTTTTCCCATGCCTATGTTCTGAATGGTATTTCCTAGGTTTTCTTCTAGGGTTGTTATAGTTTTAGGTCTTACCTTTAATCCTTTAATCCATCTTGGGTTAATTTTTGTAGAAGGTGTAAGGAAGGGGTCCAGTTTCAGTTTTCTGCATATGGCTAGCCAGTTTTCCCAACAGCATTTTTAAATAAGGAATTCTTTCCCCATAGCTTGTTTTTGTCAGGTTTATTGAAGATCAGATGGTTGTAGATGTGTGGTGTTATTTCTGAGGCCTCTGTTCTGTTCCGCTGGTCTATATATCTATTTTGGTGCCAGTACCATGCTGTTTTGGTTCCTGTAGCCTTGTAGTATAGTTTAAAGTCAGGTAGTATGATGCCTCCGGCTTTGTTCTTTTTGCTTATGATTGTCTTGCCTATATGGGCTCCTTTTTGGTTCCATATGAAATTTAAAGTAGTTTTATTCTAATTCTGTGAAGAATGTCAATGGTAGCTTGATGGGGATATCATTGAATCTGTAAATTACTTTGGGCATTGTGGCCATTTTCACAATATTGATTCTTCCTATCCATGAGCATGGAATGTTTTTCCATTTGTGTCCTCTCTTATTTCCTTGAGCAGTGGTTTGTAGTTCTCCTTGATGAGGTTCTTCACGTCCCTTTGTAAGTTATGTTCCTAGGTATTTTATTCTCTTTGTAGCAATTGTGAATGGGAGTTCACTCATGATTTGGCACTCTGTTTGTCTATTATTGGTGTATAAGAATGCTTGTGATTTTTGCACATTGATTTTGTATCCTGAGACTTTGCTGAAGTTGCTTATCATCTTTAGGAGATTTTGGGCTGAGATGTTGGAGTTTTCTAAATATACAATCATGTCATCTGCAAACAGAGTCAATTTGACTTCCTCTCTTCCTATTTGAATATCCTTTATTTCTTTCTCTTGCCTGATTGCCCTGGCCAGAACTTCCAATACTATGTTGAACAGGAGTGGTGAGAGAGGGCATCCTTGTCTTGTGCCAGTTTTCAAAGGGAAGGCTTCCAGCTTTTGTTCATTCAGTATGATATTGGCTGTAGGTTTTTCATAAATAGCTCTTATTTTTTTGAGATACATTCCATCAATACCTAGTTTATTGAGAGTTTTTTTAGCATGAAGGGGTATTGAATTTTATTGAAGGCTTTTTCTGCATCTATTGAGATAATCACGTGTTTTTTGTCATTGGTTCTGTTTATGTGATGGATTACATTTATTGATTTGCATATGTTGAACCAGCCTTGCATCCCATAGATGAAGCCCACTTGATCATGGTGGATAAGCTTTTTGATATGCTGCTGGATTTGGTTTGCCAGTATCGTATTGAGGATTTTCACATCAATGTTCATCAGGGATAGTGGCCTTAAATTTTCTTTTTTTGTTGTGTCTCTGCCAGGCTTTGATATCAGGATGATGCTGGCCTCATTACATGAGTTAGGGAGGAGTCCTTCTTTTTCTATTGTTTGGAATAATTTCGGAAGGAATGGTACCAGCTCCTCTTTGTACCTCTTGTAGAATTTGGCTGTGAATCCGTCTGGTGTTGGGCTTTTTTTGGTTAGCAGACTATTAATTACTGCCTCAGTTTCAGAACTTGTTATTGGTCTATTCAGAGAGTTGACTTCTTCCTGGTTTAGTCTTGGGAGGGTGTATGTGTCCAGGAATTTATCCATTTCTTTTAGATTTTCTAGTTTATTTGTGTAGTGGTGTTTATAGTATTCTCTGATGGTAGTTTGTATTTCTGTGGGATCAGTGGCGATATACCCTTTATCACTTTTTATTCTGTCTATTTGATTCTTCTCTCTTTTCTTTTTTATTGGTCTGGCTAGCAGTCTATCTATTTTGTTGATCTTTTCAAAATACCAGCTTCTGGATTCATTGATTTTTTGAAGGATTTTTTGTGTCTCCATCTCCTTCAGTTCTGCTCTGGTCTTAGTTATTTCTTGTCTTCTGCTAGCTTTTGAATTTGTTTGCTCTTGCTTCTCTACTTCTTTTAATTGTGATGCTAGGGTGTTGATTTTAGATCATTCCCACTTTCTGCTGTGGGCATTTAGTGCTATAAATTTCCCTCTAAACACTGCTTTAGCTCTGTCCCAGAGATTCTGGCACATTGTGTCTTTGTTCTCATTGGTTTCAAAGAACTTATTTATTTCTGCCTTGATTTCATTATTTACTCTGTAGTAATTCAGTAGCAGGTTGTGCAGTTTCCATGTAGTTGTGTGGTTTTGAGTGAGTTTCTTAATCTTGAGTTCTACCTTGATTGCACTGTGGTCTGAGAGACTATTATTGATTTCCTTTCTTTTGCATTTGCTGAGGAGTTTTTTACTTCCAATTATGTGGTCAATTTTAGAATAAGTGCAATGTGGTGCTGAGAAGAATGTATATTCTATTGATTTGGAGTGGAGAGTTCTGTAGATGTCTGTTAGGTCCACTTGGTCCAGAGCTGAGTTCAAGTTCTGAAAATCCTTGTTAATTTTCTGTCTCATTGTTCTAATAAATTGCTTTATTTCATTGACAGTGGGCCGTTAAAGTCTCCATTATTGTGTGGAGTGTAAGTCTCTTTGCAGGTCTCTAAGGACTTGCTTTATGAATCTGTGTGTTCCTGTATTGGGTACATATATATTTAGGATATTTAGCTCTTTTTGTTGCTTTGATCCCTTTACCATTATGTAATGCCCTTCTTTGTCTTTTTTGATCTTTGTTGGTTTAAAGTCTGTTTTATCAGAGACTAGGATTGCAACCCCTGCTCTTTTTTGCTTTCCATTTGCTTGGTAGATATTCCTCCCTCCCTTTATTTTGAGCCTATGTGAGTTTTTGCATGTTAGATGGGTCTCCTGAATACAGCACACCAATGGGTCTTGACTCTATCCAATTTGCTAGTCTGTGTCTTTTATTTGGGGCATTTAGCCCGTTTACATTTAAGGTTAATATTATTGTGTGTGTGAATTTGATCCTGTCATTATGATGCTAGTTGGTTATTTTGCCTATTAGTTGATGCAGTTTCTTCAGTGTCAATGGTCTTTACGATTTGGTATGTTTTTGCAGTGGCTGGTACGAATTGTTCCTTTCCATGTTTAGTGCTTCTTTCAATAGCTCTTATAAGGCAGGCCTGGTGGTGACAAAATCACAACCACAAGCATTTGCTTGTCTGTAAAGGGTTTTATTTCTCCTTTGCTTATGAAGCTTAGTTTGGCTGGATATGCAATTCTGGGTTGAAAATTATTTTCTTTAAGAATGTTGAATATTTGCCCCCACTCTCTTCTGGCTTGTAGGATTTCTGCAGAGGAATCCACTGTTAGTCTAATGGGCTTCCCTTTGTGGGTAACCTGACCTTTCTCTCTGGCTGCACTTAACATTTTTTTTTTTTTTCATTTCACCTTGGTGAATCTGATGATTATGTGTTTTCTGGTAGCTCTTCTTGGGGAGTACCTTTGAGGTGTTCACTGTATTTCCTGAATTTGAATGTTGGCCTGTCTTGCTATGTTGGGGAAGTTCTCCTGGATAATATCCTGAAGAGTGTTTTCCAACTTGGTTCCATTATCCTTATCACTTTCAGGTACACCAGTCAAATGTAGATTTGGACTTTTCACATAGTCCCTTATTTCTTGGAGGCTTTGTTCATTCCTTTTCATTCTTTTTTCTCTAATCTTGTCTTCATGCTTTATTTCATTAAGTTGATCTTCAATCTCTGATAACCTTTCTTCTGTTTGATCAATTTGGCTATTGATACTTATGTATGCTTCACAAAGTTCTTGTGCTGTTTTTTTCAGCTCCATCAGGTCATTTATGTTCTCTCTAAACTGATTATTCTAGTTAGCAATTCCTCCAACCTTTTTTCAAGGTTCTTGGCTTCCTTTCATTGGGTTAGAACATGCTCCTTTACCTCGGAGGAGTTTGCTATTACCCACCTTCTGAAGCTTACTTGTGTGAATTCATCAAACTCATTCTCCATCCAGTTTTGTTCCCTTGCTGAAGAGGAGTTATGATCCTCTGGATGAGAAGAGGTGTTCTGGTTTTTGGAATTTTCAGCCTTTTTGTGCTGGTTTTTCCTCATCTTCTTGGATGTATCTACATTTAGTCTTTGATTTTGGTGATCTTTGGATGGGGTTTCTGTGTGGATGTCCTTTTGTTGATGTTGATGCTATTCCTTTCTGTTAGTTTTCCTTGTAACAGTCAGGCCTGTCTGCTGGAGTTGCTGGAGGTCCACTCCAGACCCAGTTTGCCTGTGTATCACCAGCAGAGGCTGCAGAACAGCAAAGATTGCTGCCTGTTCCTTCCTCTGGAAGCTTCATGCCAGAGGGGGGTGTGCCAGATGCCAGCCAGAGCTCTCCTGTATGAAGTGTCTGTTGTCCCCTGCTGGGAGGTGTCTCCCAGTTAGGAGGCACAGGGGTCAGGGACCCTCTTGAGGAGGCAGTCTGTCCCTTAGCAGAGCTGAAGCACTGTGCTGGGAGATCTGCTACTCTCTTCAGAGCCGGCAGGCAGGAACATTTAAGTCTGCTGAAGCTGTGCCCACAGCTGCACCTTCCCCCAGGTGCTCTGTCCCAGGGAGATGGGTGTTTTGTCTATCACGCCTTACTGTGGCTGCTGCCTTTCTTTCAGAGATGCCCTGCCCAGAGTGGAGGAATTTAGAGATGCAATCTGGGTACAGCAGCATTTCCTAGCTGCAGTGGGCTCCACTCAGTTCGAACTTCCTGGCACCTTTGTTTACACTGTGAGGGGAAAACTGCCTACTCAAGCCTCAGTAATGGCGGATGCCCTTCCCCGCACTGAGCTAGAGCATCCCAGGTCAACTTCAAACTGTTGTGGTGGCAGCGAGAATTTCAGGGCAGTGGATCTTAGCTTGCTGGACTCTCAGGGGGTGGGATCTGTGAGCTAGACCACTTGGCTCCCTGGCTTCAGCCCCCTTTCCAGGAGAGTGAGCGGTTCTGTCTTGCTGGCATTTCAGGTGCCACTAGGATATGAAAAAAAACTCCTACAACTAGCTCAGTCTCTGCCCAAACAGCCTCCCAGTTTTGTGCTTGAAACCCAGGGACCTGGTGGCATAGGCACCAGAATGGATCTCCTAGTCGTGAAGACCGTGGGAAAGGGTAGTATCTGGGCCAGAGTGCACAGTCCCTCATGGCTTCCCTTGGATTGGGAAAGGAGTTCCTCGACCCTTACGCTTCCTGGGTGAGGCAGCGCCCCACCCGGCTTTGGCTAGCCCTCTGTGGGTTGCACCCACTGTCTAACCAGTCTCAGTGGATGAACCGGGTACCTCAGTTAGAAATGGAGAAATCACCCACCTTCTGTGTTGATCTTACTGGAAGCTGTAGACTGGACCTGTTCCTATTTGGCCATCTTCAAGTTTCTTTTTTTTTTAATCCATTCTAGCACTGGTGGCATAATCAGTGATTGACATTGAAACGTCAACCTGGAAATATAATTTTTAATCATTCTCAAGAACATTTATGAGATAACTATTTTGGGCTAGGCAGTTTGGAAGAACAAATCCTGTGCTCAAAATCATTCAAAGGCTGGTAATTTTCTATTAAAGGAGGGAGGGTGCTTGACGTAATAGAAAAATAAAGGGATGTGTAGTCAGACAAACTTGGATTTGAATTTCAGTTCTCCATTTTCTAACTAAGTTACTGTCTAGGAAACTCTCGTGGAAAGTAACCTAACTTACCTGAGACTTTGCTTCCCTTCTTGCAAAATAAGATAATCATGGGTGTGTGACAGTCACTGCCAGTTGCCTTGATAATACTTATTCCTCTCCTTCTCCCTATTTTGTTGGGGTGGCAATGTACCCAGCTAATAAGCTTGATTTCTCAGACTCCCTGGAAGCAAGTGGTGGTCAAGTGACACATTTCTGATGAATGAGGACTAAGCAAAGGGGAAAGTAATAGTCTTGAGGTCACAGGGATAATGGGGCTAGGCAGATTCTGAGGGGCCTTGAGGCTATTTTAGGGCTTTGGATTTTACTGAGTGAAAGGGAAGCCATAAAGCATCCTGAGAGATGACCACTCCAGATGCTATGTTGAGAGTAGACTGGAAGGGTGAGGAAGGGAGATCTGGTCAGAGAATGTTGCAGTAATCTATGTGAAAGACCATGATGGCTTAAACTAGGTTGGTGAGCTGTAGAGATGGCACAAATTGTCTGATTTTGGATAGGTGTTGGAAGGAGAGTCCACAGGATTTGAAAATAGAATAGTTGTGGAGAGTGTGATTACGATAATTAAGAAATAATCCAAGTTTTTGGCCTGAGTAACTGTCAGGAAGAGATTGCCCTCAACTGAGGGGAGGAAGGCTATAATAAAGTGTGTTTGATGGGAAAGGCTAGGAGTTCATTTTTGTTTATGGTGAATTTGATGTGTCTACTAGAAATCCAAGAGGAAATGTGAAGTAGGTAATTTTGTGTATAAATCTGGAGTTGAAGAGAGAAACCTGTGCTGAAGAAGCAAATTTAGGATTCTAACATGTGTTTAAAGCTGTGAGATTGGATGAGATCACCAGAGTTAGCATAAGTAAAGGAGAGGTGTGTGTGCCCTGTACCAATCCACCATTATGAAACACGGAGAAAAGAAAGGAGACTGAGAAGGAAGATCTAGTAAGGCAGGAGGAAAAGCAAAGGGGTGTTGTCTTGGAAGCTAAGAGAGGGGGTGCTCAACTGTGTCAAAGGCTGCTGATTAGTCACTCTAAAATTCAGACAAAGAATTTACCATTAGATCTAGCACCATGGAGGTCATAGGTCACCACAGGGAAAGCGCTTTGTGCCTGCTAGATGTGCCTTGGGGGAAATGAAAGGGGAAGAATTGGAAACAGAAAGTAAACAGGACTCTCAAGGAGTTTTAAGGCAAAGATTTAAGATAGTTGTTAGTAGGAAAGTGGAATAAGGGGCAAGAGAAAGTGGTGTGCATGTGTATATATATATGTGTGTGTTTAGAAAAATTACATAATAGTATCTTGATGAAAATAATCCCATCATCAAAATTTTGATGATGTTATAGAGAGGAAAAATGGCTAATCACTTTAAGTAGGATAGAGGAGACGTAATCTAAAACACATTTAGAAGAGCTTATACTTTTTTATGTATACCATCTGTAGTTAAGGCATGGGTGGTTATGGAAGAAACAAAAGGCAAAGTCTGTTACCTCAAAGTACATATAGTTTAGCTAGGGAAATGAGAACATTATGTACGCTGCTACCTCCTTAGAGCACGTCCCACCCCATCCTTTTTGTTTCATGCGTTGTGAAGATTCTTTGACTCACAGTGAGATGGACACACTATTATCTTTCTTTGTTATCTCTGGGCAGAGAATTTCAAAAGTGGTATGCATTTGTCAATTAAATTCACCATACCAGAGGACTACCATAATTTTACCTATATTTTATGATTGGTTTATAACAGCTTCATTGTGTTTCTTTAAACTTTCAACAAACTTTTTCCACTCCCTCTACAATTCCAGGCCGTTTGCTAGGTGCTGGGTTTGGAGAAATAGGAACTCTGTACTTAAGCAAGTAATGAGACCCTGAAATAAAGCAGTGGTGTTGACAGCAGGGTAGAGGGAAGGGGGCGTGTTAGAAAGAGATCCAGAAAGTAGAGTCAGTACAATTTGGTGATTGCCTAGAAATGAAAAATTGGTGAGACTGAGGAGTTTAACTTTATTTTGAGAATGTTCTAAATACAAATCTCAGTTTCTACAATAATTAGATTGATAATCATATATTATTACTCATTTTATTTGACTTCTTAAGCTAGTTTTGTTTGTGTTTTCCTATAAATTAATCAATTTTGTATACATTTCTCATCGTTTTACCATCAAGTTGTACGTAACATTCTGTTTACATTTTAAATATTTTGTAAATAAATTTGCATTCCTAAGATTTTACACTGGTGCTTTATCTCTTAGCTTTTTGAAAATTTTAGATGTTTCACTAACCTCTGTGTTTACCTTTTTGCTCTTTCATTTCTTGCTTTCCTTAAAATTTTCATTGATTTTTCCCTTTAGATTCTAGAATTAAATATTTACTTTCATTGTTTCCATTCTTTCTTATTTAATAATAAAAGCTTGTAAAAATACAACTTTTCCTCTGAATATAGTTTTGACCACATTCCACTTCAATTATCTGAGTAGCGTGTCATTCCTACTTGACCCAGAAGAGTGATTTTTCATATACTTTACTTTTAACATACATTGATGTTTTCACTTTTATTAATAGGTTAGAGTCTAACTTTATGGTATTCAGAGAATATATTGAATTTTTCATGGAATAATAGGTGATAAACTGAAGGCCTGCTATATAAAGTGATTCCAAAGTGATAGAGAAATAGTTTTCTGTTTTGTGTGAACCTTGAGTTCTGAAATAGGAAGTAGGCAGAGGGAGAAAGGAAAAGAAAGGATATTCTTACTTTTAGGTGAGCAAAGCATGGGTAGGCCACAATTAAATAGAGCTTTATTGGCCTTCTAGTGCTGTAGGAAATTGTAGGTTGTAGGAAATTATCTAATTTTATTTTATTTCTGATACTTTATTTCTGATATTTCCTTGACTTTATATATACTTTTTTGGTTTTATTTTATTTTTTTAAAGATAAGGTCTTTTTCTGTTTCCCAGGCTGGAGTGCAGTGGCACGATCATAGCTCACTGCAGCCTCAAACTCCTGGACTCAAGTGATCCTCCCATCTCAGCCTCCCTATATATACTTTTTCATTTTTCGTTTTAGAGATGGCATCTTTCTATGCTGCCCAGGGTTGTCTCAAACACCTGAGCTCAAATGATCCTCCTACCTTGACCTTCCGAAGTGCTGGGATTATAGGAGTGAGCCACAGTGTCCAGCCCTTATATATACTTTTATACCTTATTTCTGATATTTTATTTCTGTTACTTGGGTTTCAATGTTACTGTAAGTTTTCATTTTTCTGTCTTCATAAGGTTAAGTGAAATGTTAAGACCATCTGCCTTGTAGTCTTCCTTATAGCTGGGTGCCTGAAAGAATGACAAAATTAATACATGATTAATTTATGAAAATTTTAAAATATAAAAAGTGAATTTAGATCTATAACTTTATCACCCAGAGACAATTATCAGCATTTTTACACATCATGAATATGCTTGCTTATATAGAACAGTAATATTATAAGTAAAAAAAAAATCATTTAGTAAATATTGTGTGTAACTTGAGTATTTCACTCAACAGTATATGTGTGTATTTCCCCATATTACTAAGTATTATTCTATAACATGCTTTTTAAATGGATGCCATTCTGTAGTAGCATTATTTATATATACTCTTTTGATGAACCTATATATATTACCTTTAAAATATATATATACTTTTGCTATTATGAACTTCCTTGTGCATATATTTTCTATAGATCCCTGTGGTTTTCCTAGGATAAACTTCTAAGGCGTTTAAGAATTTGTGGGGAGAGGCACCTCAGCGCTAGGAAGCTTTGCTCTATGTTGCAGTTTGCCCTTTAGAATGATGGTATCAATTTACACCCTCACCAGTATTGCACTTAGGCCCAATGGATATTACCATTTATTGTTATCTTTCATATTAGTTTGCTAGGTCTGCCATAAGAAGATACCACTGGCAGGCACAGAAATTTATCTTCTCACGGTTCTAGACAATAACAGTCTAAGATCAAGGTGTCAGCAGGTTTGGCTTCTTCCCAGCTCTCTCTCCTTGTCTTGCGATGGCTGTCTTCTTGCTGTGTGTTCACATGGTCCCTGAGTGCATGAACGTGCCAGGTGTCTCTCTGTGTGTCCAAATTTCCTCTTCTTATACAAACACCAGCCAAATTGAATTAGGGCCCTACCTCAATGGCCTCATTTTAACTTGACCACTTCTTTAAAGTTCCTATCTTCAAATACAGACACATTCTGAGAAACGTGGTTAGGGCTTCAACCTATGATTTGAAGAATAGGACACAATTTAGGCCTTAACATACATCTTTGTTGGAGAAGAGGCAAGTAATGCTATCTAATTGTTGTTTTCATTTTTATTTATTTAATTATTAGTGAGGTTAAACATTTTATATATTTACTCACCATTTGTATTTCCCCTCTTCATATTCTTTGTCCAGTTTTGGATATTTCTAGTTTCTTCTTATTCTCTACATCTTCTTATCTTTTAAAACATACATATTAATATATATGCATCTTGTTGATTTATAAGGGCTCTTTCTATGTTATAAATATTGGCTGTAAAATATATTGAAAATTTTCAATTGTACCAGTCAGCTTTAATAATCTTCACATTTTGGTATATAAATGTTTTTAAAATTTAAATGTTCCTTTTTGGAGGTCGTTAACCAGTTTTTCTAATGGATTCTTGAGAAGTACATCTTCTTAGTATTAAAGGCTACCTTTTATGTATTAAAGTATTACATAAATGTGAATGAATTCATTTATTTTTATATATGGAATCTCTATGTTGTTTAATAACATAATTTTATAATGCATTTTAAGAAAATTGCAGGGCAAGCCTTGCATCTTTTTTTTTTTGAAAAATACTTTTTCCTTATGTTTCTTGTTTCTTTTTTGCCATTTTTTTCTTCACATACATTTTATAATTATTTTGAAAAATCTTCTGCATTGTCTAATGCCACCCTGCCACCGATGCTATTGGGATTTGCACACGTAATTTCATTAAACGTTTGGGCTGCCCCAAAGTTTAGCCCTCTGTCACATAAGGCAGAGAAATCCCCACAGCAACCCCAGGTTTCATGCAGTAAACCAGGCTCCAATTTCCGACCTCCCTCCAACAAATTGAGTTAGTTTTGGTGACACCCTGGGAGCTGAATTCCGAGCCTCTTTTGTCTGCCTCTGCATCTGGAACCCAGGAGGCCCATGGCTTCAACTCCACTTACTTATTTCACCCCTTTGTGTTTCAGACGCACAGAGACAGTTACTTAATTTTTGATAATGACCGGGCTATTTGAATTATCCCTTTATAACCTAAGTGTCATTGCTATGTATTTAGAACAGAGGAGCTCTCAAAGCATGAATTTTTAATACCCTTTAAAACAGAAGATAAGCAATTGATCTTGTATTTTTCATTTGTAATTGACAGCCTTGTTGAACTCTCTTCCTAGTTTTCATGTTTCATTGATTTTTTGGGTTTTCCAAAGAAATTACTGACTTGAAAATGTTACCAGTTTGGTCTTCTCTTTCCCATTTTTAGATTGCTTATTATTAATACTGTCACATGTCGCTGAATGACAGGAATACATTCTGAGAAATGCATTGTCAGACAATCTGGTTGCTATGTGAATATCATAGAGTATACTTAAACAAACCTACATGGTATAGCCTACTATACACCTAGCCTGTATGGTATTGTTTATTGCTCCTAGGCTACAAACACGTACAGGATGTTACTCTTCTGAATACAGTAGGCAATTGTAACACAATGGTATTTGTGTCTCTAAATGCAGGAAAGGCAGTGCATTGCACTACAATGTTAGGACAGCTACAGTGTCAGTAGGTGGTAGGAAGTTTTTAGCTCCATTACAACCTTATGGGACCACCATTGTATATGTGGTCCATTGTTGACTAAAACATTATTATGCAGCATATCACTGAATTATTATTTGTTCTCTTGCACCAGCTAAAGCTGTAATGTTAAATAAGTTTGGGGAAGATGGGGTAGTAAGCATGCTATTTTGGAGAAGCTTATGGAAGCCAAACTGGCTGGAGTGGGCCAGAGAAGGAGCACAAGAGGTCAGACCACCTCTGTGCCTGAGATTAATCTGGTTGTATATATTTTTCATCACCTTTATATGTCAATGACTGATTACACAAATTGGCTGATATAAAATCATAAGACCCAAACTTTTTAAAAGAACTCTGTAGAATAGATGTTACGCTACTGTCCTTTGGTTTTTAAGACTGAGAAAAAGAAATCTGAGATTAATTATTTTTCTTTCTGCCTGGGTTTTGCATTTGCTCTTTTTTTTTTTGGAATTTAATTTTGTTGCCCTGAAATATGTCTAGATGTTGGTATTTCTTTAGTAACATTACTTTGTGTATGGTAAATCCGTTTGTTCTGCACCTTCATATCTTTTTTAGTCCAGAAATAGATCTAATGGTTACGTCTTTATTACTTATTTTCTGTCTGCTCTAGACTCTTCTTTAAAAGTTAATAATCATTCTTGTTTGGGATCTTTGTTTTCTATTCTCTGTATCATTCATCTGTTATAATTTTCTGTTTTATTTCTTCTCTTCTAATATACATTTTAACGTCTCTAACATATTTTGTTTTCTTGGAGGAAAATTTTTTGTACTGCCCTTAACAGTTTATCTTTTATTTTACAGTATTGTTTCACTTCATCTTATATTTTATTTCATATTCTGTATTTTTGAAGGCAGAGAGTGTCTTTCTGACCAATATTTCTTTTTTTTTGTAATGTCTTTATCAATATTATTCTCTTCCTCTGTATCTTGCATGATATATTCTCCCTTTTTTATATAGAGGAATCTTTTTCTTTCTAATTATCCATGAATGAAGAACAGGCTATCCAAGCCCATTAGATGCATGGGAAGCTGTGACTTGCAGTCTCTAACTATCTTCCATCACGTATTCAATGTCTGTTAATATAACTTTAAATTACTTGCTCAGTTGTTGGACTGCCACGAAAGGGCATGGGAAGGGAGTTAAAGCCCTTGGGCAGTCCAAGCTGAGGATCATTTTTTTTTTCTGACTTTGTAGGAGCAGCTTCCTATATCTGTCTGTTAGGCCATTCCACATCAGCTATATTGTGTGTTTGTGCTGTGTCTCCTTTATGATGCAGCCATCTACATCCAGATATAAGCCCCCACCTCTCAAATCTTAGAGAATCCTTGCCCCTCTCCTGGCTCTTTTTGATGCCCCCATTTTATGAGCCAGTTGGGCCTTTCAGCACGATTGTTTTGAATGCTGCAGATTCCCATGGCAAACGGCCTTTCCAAGTGGTGTGCTCCTTCTGTCCTTAGACCCTTTCCTTTACCTCTAAATCAGAGGCTTTTGAAAGAATCTCTTCTATTGTTTCCAGGGTCTCCCTTATCTATTCATATGGTATGTTCTCAAGAAGCTCTTTGTTATTTTTCTATTGTTGCCAAAACAAGTTAGTACAAAGTTAGTGGCTTAAAGAAACAAATAGATTATCTTACAGTTCTGAAGTTCAGAAGTCTGACACATACACCTCACTAGGCTAAAATCAGGGCCTTGGCAGAGCTGCATTCCTTTCTGTAGGCTCTAGGTAGGATACTATTTTTTTTTTCTTTCTGCCTTTTCCAGCTTCCCCAGGCCTCCTGCAAGCCTTGGAGTGTGGTTCCTCCCACCATCTTCAAAGCCAGCAAAGGCGTCAAGTCCTTCTTGTATTGCCTCACCCTGACCTCCTCTTCTGCCTCTCTTCTACTTTTAAAGACCCTGTGATTCCACTGGGCCCACCTGGGTAATCCAGGATAATCTCTCTCTTTTAAGGTTACATGATTAGGAACCTTAATTCCATCTTAATTACTCTTTGTTATATGGTTTAGTGTATTCATGGTGTACTTTAGGGATTAGGACCTGGACATCGTTGGGGGGACCATTATTCTGCCTACCAAGGCCTCTGTATCTTTTTCAACTGTATTATACCTCCAAAATATCTGGTGACACTTCCTTAACATTTCCGGCATAATCTTGATACTCTTAACCTATTTTCCACGACTGATGCCACTTTTCGTGTACTTTATTTTCAATGGGAGAGTTACATGGGTGTACTCAGGCCACCAAATTTTCAGGAAAGTGCAGATACTATTTATTATAAAAGGAATTATGTGACTTTTTCAGGGAGTTTCCCCATGATTACATTTACATATTGATTATGAAATTTGTGGTTATTCAGGTTATATTTATTTTCCTGGATTTATGGCTTTCTGTTGCATTTTTGGGAATTTCTCTGCAAGTTTTGTTATCCAGGAACTCCCTTTCTCATGGACATTTTCAGCACAGGGTGGATAAGGAACTAAATTTAGCCACTTTTGGTTCTCATGTAAAAAATGGACTGGGGAATGGGTCAAAAACTTCTCCTCTCAAAATCAGTGTACTCAATGCAAATTTGTTATGTTTCTCTTATATTGAACATTAAGCTCTATTTATCAAACACTTCCCACATATGTTTTCCGTTAGCTTTAAACCCTGGTGAATTTTTGGAAGATACCCTAGCTTTTAATGGTCCCTTGAGGAAACTGCTGAAATTTTTCCAATTCATTTTATGTTGTGAAAACTAATTTTTATTCTACTTTAAATTGTGTCTTAAAAATGTCAAGGGTTTAAATTTCTATGAACAACTTCTTTGAATTTTGTCTCATAAATTAGGATTCCCATGGGCATATTATTTTCCTTAACATTTTAAAATTTTCAAGATTATATGACATTGTAATATTTACTTATTCTCCAGGGATGCAGTCTCCAAAGAAATTGGAAAGTTTTTTTTTGTTTGTTTGGTTGGTTGGTTGATTGTTGTTTGTTTTTACATTAAAAAAATTTTCCTAATTGGCTAGTAATACCTTAAATCCCAGCTGTATACTTCATATTTCAAAAAGGCTGAAGAATAAGCTGTCCCAAATGGCACTAAGATAATATCTATACGTAAAACAACATATGAGTCTCTTGTTTCTTTATTACCAATAAACTGCAAGATTAATTTCTTTGTTTCCCTCCAAACATCATTTTATTTGGAATGGAGTCATTGTAACATTTCTTTTATGCACTTAATGACCTAGATTTTTGTTGAACTCCGTAATCTAAACACCATTTAGATCTACTAATGGTGTAAGCCTTCTGTGCTGACAGAACACCCCATGTGCTAACTTTCAGCTTGGGTCCCCCGATATAAAGTCTGCTGGTAAAAGTTGCTGAGCACTGTCAGGCTTATCAACAGACTTCAGTGAGGAGTGTGGCATTTCAGTGATACTAAGCCAGGGCTGTGCTGTTCAGACATACCATTCATCACCTCCTTCACAGGGCCTGGACAGGCATTCCTGCTTCTAATCAGTACTTATATGGTGTTGGGAACAACGACAACAAAAAGATGTCCGCTGCACCAAAGTAGGACAGTCATTATATCTAGTGGTTGTTGAATTGGTCGTGTACTAATTGCTCTCATTGAGATATACTGCTCAAGAAAAATGAGGAATGAATAGCGGCCAGGACAGGCGTGAATGAGAAAGAGCTTCACAAATCCTTAGGTTTGGTGTTTCAGAGGAACCAATTGTTGAAGAGAAGGCCAGAAGCAAATAATGAAAATAGGCTCTGCAAGTATCTGCATTAATATACCAAATAAAATAAAGTTTATTTTTATTTGGATTATACAGAGCAATATTAATGCATTCTATATAGAAAATCAGACCACTGAACCAGAGGGCCCGCCTCTGTCCAAGACTGACTTGGTGTGATCAGACCTCACTGTGTTTTTAAACCTGCTGAGGTGTGGGAGGATATGGAGCCATGAATCTTTCCCTGCTTGGCACAAGATGAGTTGGTGGTGTCAGGTGTGGCAGTGGCATGATTCCTACTAGTGGTTGTTATAGCTGTCTTTGAAAAAGAGGTTCTCCTAAATATCCTACATTAGAAATTAACTAAATAAAGTATGGTTTGTAATTAGATTATGAAGAAGTCATTAAAATCACATTCTTTAAGAATATTTAACTACACAAAAGTATATACATATTTTAAAGGTAATATATACAGGTTCATCAAAAGAGTATATATAAATAATGCTACTACAGAATGGCATCCATTTAAAAAGCATGTTATAGAAGAATACTTAGTAATATGGGGAAATACATATATTGTTGAGTGAAATACTCAAGTTACACACAATATTTACTAAATGATTATAATTTTAACTACACAACAAAATACTCACTATTACAAAAAGGGGTAGGCAACAGGATGCAAAAATTATTAAAATGTGCCAAAATGTTTTCAGTATTTGTTTCTGGATGTTAGCATTATAGTAAATTTAAAATTTTATTTTTTATGTTTTTTTTTCTATTTCTTGGATATTCCACAATGACCATATGCTCTTATTATCACAGGGAAGATGTATTTTTAACAAAGAAATTTAAGGAAATATTTAAAGCAAATATGCCAGGCCTGGATCTATCAGTTCTAAATTTTGTTGAATAAGATTTAGAGCTATGTGGACAATATTTAATCTTGAGATTTGGGTTATATTGGACAGGTAAAATGTTAGTTGAATATATTTTTAATGGAATTTGATTCTCATGTTATTTCAGGGGTCTATTTTAAAGATAAATATGAAAGTAATAATTATTTTCAATATGTTAAATGTGTACAAAGATAAGCTTTAAATTTTATATTTTTCAGTGGGAAAAGAAAAAATTAAGCTAGTGCAATGCTATGGTCCCAACGTTGGTGGCCACTAAAATTCACATGTGAAAACTACTCCTTAATGAAAACATATTAAGAGGTGGGCATTCGTAAGGGTGATAAAAGAGGCTCGAGGGACCTGTTTACCCTTCCATCATGTGTGGACATGTAGAAGGCACTATCTATGAGAAACAGGGCTTCGCCAGACACAGAATCTGCTGGTGCCTTGATGTTGGACTTCCCAGCTCCCAGAACTGTAAGCAAAAAATTTCTGCTGTTTATAAATCACCCACATTTTATCTGGAATAAATGATAGTGGAAATTTGGTTATTCCACATCCATATCACCTTTTAAGTACTCAATAGATATTTTTCTTAATGAATAAATAAGTGTCTGTTTCAGTCAATCTATTGTAGAACAATTATTGCCAGTGACAAAAGTCATTGTTTGTTTGCCCTTTGGCTAAAACTAACAAATAGAGAGAAAGCTGAACTCAACAGTAAGCAATTTTGAGCTGTGAGCATGTTATGTGAAGTTATTCTATGTTCTATGATAACCATGAAAATATCATTTAGTGTTATTTCCAGGATATACAAAAATGTAGGAGGTAAGCTCTTTGAAATACAGCTCTTATTTTCTTTATGCTACAGAGAAAGGGGACAGTGGAAGGTAAGAATAATATCTTATTGTCGAATGACAGTAATCTACTAAACTAGTGAAGGCAAGAAGATACGATGCTATAAAACAAAGAATTGGGAATCAGATTTATTTGGTGTCTCCCTCTGCTTTGTGATTAATTTGTGTCTGTTGGTTGCTCTGTAGGCCTTAGTTTTTTCAAGTGTAAACTCAAACATTTGTTCTAAAATTAGTTCTAAAATTGTCAAATTGCAGAGGCCCAGGAAAGCTACAGAATCTGGCAATGGCAATAGTGAGGGGAGAAGCAGGGTACCTATGAGCCATTTTCACCCTTTCTGATCAGATTGCCACTTTGCTTATCTGTTTTTGGAAACTGGTTGTTTTATGGCTTCCAATGCAAAATAAATAAACACACTCCCTACTTATGAAGAATTGTTTTGGTGGGAGAGGCACGGAACGACTTGTTCAAATGAGTGGGGTTAATTTAAGCTTTATTTTCATATATATAATGATGTTTGATAATTATTTTTAAAGGCTTGCTGACACTACAGGATTGCAATTCATTGTTGTCAATGTGCTTTGTTCTGGAGGTGTGGTTTTACACTAGCTAGTTATTATTTCATGTGGTTAGTTCAGGGATGAGATGAAATCAGTCATCAAGTTGTAAGTAGTGAGTGTCCCTATAAAAGAATGGGATCTAATGGCTGAAAAAAAAAATAGTCCCTGATGGGAAACCAGAAAATGTGCATTCTGTTCTCATCACCCACTGGCTAAAGGAAGGGGGACAATATAATAGAATTTTCTGCATTTTGCTTTTCCTATCAGCAAAATGGAGGTAGCACATGTCAACCATCAGTCTCCACTGAGGTTTTCCTGGGAATCAACTAAAAAGGCTTTTCAAGTGCTCTCTGGGGTAGACACAGTTTGTATTTAAACGACTTTGACAACCATCTTGGAACAGCTTCACTTGGCATTCTAGTGAATGAGCTCAGATAATTTTTTCATTCAATTTATTATTTTATTGATACATAATAGCTGTACATCTTTTCAAGGTACATGTGATAATTTGTTTTTTGTTGTTGGTTTTTTTTGTTTGTTTGTTTTACTTTAAGTTCTAGGATACATGTGCAGAATGTTCAGCTTTGTTACATAGGTATACATGTGCCATAGTGGTTTGCCACACCTACCAACCCATCATCTAGCTTTTAAGCCCCGCATGCATTAATGCTCTCCCTCCCCTTTCCCCCCACGCAACAGGCCCTGGTGTGTGATGTTCCCCTCCCTGTGTTCATGTGTTCTCATTCATTGTTCAACTCCCACTTATGAGTGAGAACACGCAGTGTTTGTTTTCTGTTCCTGTGTTAGTTTGCTAAGAATGACTTTTTTTTCTTTTTTTCTTTTTTTTTTTTTACTTTAAAGAGCCTGGATACTTTTAGAATGACTTTTCTTACTCTTATATAACTGAACTACTAATAACTTAATTTTCCCCAAAGTATTATTTCCTTTGTGAGCTTGAATGAGGGAGAAAGAAAGGAGGTATGGCAAAGTTTACATAATAGACTGTACTTGAGTGTTTTAACTATAGTAAAGCACAATGATCTTGCTTCTCACCTGGGGTGACTAGTTGTTCTGAGGTCTGGAAAGTCTGTCAAGACCTACATCCATGAGAGAGAATCTTATTGACCACAGTCCTGTGTGTTCTCAACCTCATGGGTCACCCAAAGTTTTCTTGTGACCATAGAAAGATAATTATTATCTTTTCTCTGCTGAGATGTTTGTGTTCTCTTAGATTTCAGAAGATTCCAGCAGTTAGAAAATATAAGGCCAATATTTTGCAAAGATTCAACAATTTTTTTGGGAGAGCTAAATTTGCAATGCACAGTAATGTATCTGCTTTCATCAAATAATCAAAGGCTTCCTTATTGGTATAATGTAACTTGTAAACTAGCCCACATTTTTTAGAGGAACCAACTAGACCTAGAATTGCAGTAATAGATTCCTGGACTGCAAAATTAAATGCCCCAATAGTTTGCCTCTGTATCCAAAGTCACGGTTATCCATTCACTGGGTGACGTGTGTTACATGCCCTTCTGTACTCAGGAGTATTAATTCCCTTTCATTAATAATGTGGAAGTTAAAAACATATATTTTTTCTTAAGTAATAAATAGGATCATAAAATGTAATAGATAATGAAGCTCCTCCTATGGGCAAAATCTTAAATTTGCTTAAACCTTAAATTTGGTTAAGTCTTTTGCTGTGAGTGTAGAATTTTCCATCTCCAAATGGGATCAAATCATTTCTTGACTGTGTTCAACTAATTTATTTTAAGGATGTTCATTTTTCTTATACACAGATTTTCTCATTCTACTTACTTTTCTTTCTTTTGGAATACGATGCATCATTCCAGGTCTTCCTCATATCCCACCTCTTCTGGGAAAGCTTTCTAGCCATGAATGGCTCACAGTGTTCTCTCTCTTATAGGAACTTTCTCAGTACATGATTGAGAATTTCTTTGATCTTTATTTTTGTGTAGTAATTTATCCTCCATTTCTTTTTTTTTAAACACACATTTTTATTGTGACAAAATATGCATAACATACAATTTACCATTTTAACCACTTTTAAGTGTACACTTCATTGGTGCTAAATACATTCACATTATTGTTCCATCATTGTCTCTCACCTTCTCCAGAACTTTTTCATTATTCCAAACTGAAACTCTATGTCCATTAAACAATAACTCCATATTCCCGCAGAACCCTACCAACCTTGGTAACCATCATTCTACTTTCTTTTTATTATTATCATTATTATTATACTTTAAGTTTTAGGGTACATGTGCACAACGTGCAGGTTTGTTACATATGTATACATGTGCCATATTGGTGTGCTGCATCCATTAACTTGTCATTTAACATTAGGTTTATCTCCTAATGCTATCCCTCCCCACTTCCCCCACCCCACAACAGGCCCCAGTGTGTGATGTTCTCCTTCCTGTGTCCATGTGTTCTCATTGTTCAATTCCCACCTATGAGTGAGAACATGTGGTGTTTGGTTTTTTGTCCTAAACCATCATTCTACTTTCTATGTCTACGGATTTGACTACTTCAGGTACCTCGTATAGGTGGAATCCTACAATATTTGTCTGCTTATGCCTGGCATATTTTATTCAGCATGATATCTTCAAGGCTGTAGAATGTGTCAGAATTTCCTTCATTTTCAGGGCCAAGTCATATTCCACTGTATGTATATACCACTTTTGGTAATCCATTCACATGTTGATGGACATCTAAGTTGTTTCCACTTTTTGGCTATTGTGACTAATGCTGTTATAAACATTGGCATGCAAAGCTTTCATATATATCTATATATGATTTGAGTACCTAAAACAAAATCTTTTAGATAAGACAAACTAATAAGACATTAGAAATCTAATACTTGGTGTTAACTGGGATGCCATACCTGGTGAAATTTTTGAATCATTTTGGAAGTATACATTATAGTTAGAGTGACCACATAATTTATCATCCAAACCAGGATAGTCTTGACAATAAAAATAATATGACTAGTATTTACCTAGACAAAATTGGCACAAAACAGAACTATCCCAGGCAAACCAGGTCATGTGGCCATCTTATCCCTTTGAAAGGCAGTTTAATAAATAGAATCTTTTGTTTCCAGGTACTGGGATCTGTCATTTGAAAATATTGTATTTAATTTCATTGGAAATCATGGTCAGATTTTCAGATTAGGAAGTATATTAGTAGTTTTAAACCTCTGGGATTCCATTTAGTGAGATGAAGTCAAACCCATTATTCTCTTCTCATGGAGAATCTGAGATAATTACTGACAAAAGTGCTAGCAATAGAAAACAATGGGTTCACCTAGACCTATCTGCTTGGTGCCACCTCTGTTAATAATTATCATTTCCTTAATATCAAAGGACAGTATTAAGTGGTTAACTTAAGGGAAATATATTCCATTTCTTTAGCAATTTCCACAATGTCTAGCTCAATGCCAGTATGGTGCCAAATAACAAATAAGTGCTCATTAATTACTTGTTGATGACCATTTCTAAAATGAATAAATGAACAGGTCTTCAACTAATACAAAATTATTTTTACTGGTTTTAACTGTGGTTTCTGAACTCTGTGTTGTTCTGGGAATAATCACAGAGAGACTAGAAGAACATCACTGTAATTTTAGAAGCAGGAAACCCAATTTTTTGTATTGTTTTGAGACACAGTGGATAAACAGAAGGGTGATACTAGCTTAGAACATAGAAGGTTAACCTACTGAGTCAGAGGTTGGTAGTCATTATGCAGGGGTTAAAGGGGAGCTTCCTTGACTTTTAGACGTAGGCACTCAGGCCACTGTGGTTGGTCAGTATCTACTGTTGACTAACCTTTAATTCACTTACTAATTGTACTAATTGATAATTCAAGCATTTCCATTGGACTGATAAGGTATTTTCTTCACTCTAAGAGAATAAATTGGCATTCTGATTTACCAGTCTCTATGTTCTTGGCTAACGTTACTCTACAACCAGGAAGATAGTTCCTGGTTGGACTGATAAGGTATTTTCTTCACTCTAAGAGAATAAATTGGCATTCTGATTTACCAGTCTCTATGCTCTTGGCTAACATTACTCTACAACCAGGAAGATAGTTCCAGGTTGGCCCTGCAGGGCTGAGGGCCAAACTCTTGGCTGTGGTGCTGAGGAGGCCCTTCTCATGGAACCTTCTATACTTCTTATACTACATACCTTAACATTAAGAGCACTAAAAAGAGCTAAAAAGAGACAAAGCCTTTTATCCCAAAAACTATTTATCATATTTTAAGCATATAGAACATAGCAGCACACTTTTAAATGCAGAATACAACAGTTTCCTCTCAATGCTCCATGATCAGTTTCTTTTCCTTTTTTCTTTTCTTTTTTTTCTTTTTTTTTTTTTTTGAGACAGAGTCTTGCTCTGTTGCCCAGTCTGGAGTGCAGTGGCGTGATCTCAGCTCACTGCAACCTCTGCCTCCCGGGTTCAAGCAATTCCCCTGCCTCAGCCTCCCAACTAGCTGGGAACTACAGGTGCATGCCACCACACCCGGCTAATTTTTTGTATTTTAGTAGAGACGGGGTTTCACCATGTTGCCAGGATGGTTTTGATCTCCTGATCTCATGATCCACCCACCTCAGCCTCCCAAAATGCTGAGATTACAGGCATGAGCCACTGCACCCGGCCTCCATGAATACTTTCAACAGGGAGTGCAGATGACCTTCTGAATGCAGTTCTGAGTGACAACATTTAGTTTCCTTTTTATGTATTTAAAGAGGCATAGAAAGAGAAAAAGAAAAAAGAAATTCAGAAACAGTCATAAGGGACTTAAAGATTCCATTTTTTAAAAATGAAGTCTCATAAACACTAACCAGTTTAATTTTTTTAAGTTTTATGTGCCCATGTGGTATGCTTAAAGAGACACTATACATTTATGTAAAAGCAAGAGCCAGAGACGGAAGGGGACAATTATGGTGACCCAACATGGCTAAGATGGAAGAATTTTTCTTTTTAAATTTTAAGTACCTGCACACCAGAGGGACTTAGGTCAACTGGCTACTGCAATCCCAATTTCTCAAGTTTTCCAACTAGGTTGGAAGAGGGCTGAGGGACCTTTTGGCTCTCCATGGAAATTTGAGGCACGTAGGAGTCACTATAGATAAGGAGATTTGAAGGTGTAAGAAAGGGAAGCTGAGTCGTAAAGGATTTTTTATTTTTTTATTTTTTGCTCCACAGTATAGCCATGTAATCCCAGCACTCTGGGAGGCTGAGGCAGCTGGATCACCTGAGGTTGGGAGTTCGAGACCAGCCTGACCAACATAGAGAAACCCCATCTCTACTAAAAATACAAAATTAGCTGGGTGTGGTGGCAGGTGCCTGTAATCCCAGCTACTCGGGAAGGCTGAGGCAGGAGAATCACTTGAACACCTCGGAAGGCGGGAGTTGTGGTGAGCTGAGATCTTGCCATTGAACTCTGCCCCAGGCAACAAGAGTGAAACTCCGTCTCAAAACAAACAAACAAACAAACAAACAAAAAAAAAAACCAAACCAAAAACAAAAAAACTCCACATGCCTTTGATTTCACTTTTTGTTTACCTAGAAGTGGCAGTCTCTTCATGTGTAAGGTAATGGCAGTTGCCTTTTTGATTTTGAAGTGTTTGAGGAGGATTGAAATGGAAAGAATTTTAAAATTTATTCTCGGAATGGTGAGAAGTAATGGCATTGGTAGAAAAATCATGCTAACGTCTCATGTATTCTATTTTCTCACAGAAATTATAGAGCTAGATCTTTGGCATTTGTCCCCCATCTAGATATAGTTTTCTTTGGACGTTTTCTCAGTCTTTTGGAAAAATTTTGAATTTGGAAGACAGTACCTAAAGACATTTATTTTCTTCTTTAGGATGACTTTTTTTTTTTTTTTTTGGTTGTTATACAACACAATGACAATAGCTACTATTTTCAAATGCCTATTGGGTTTTTAGGGGTTTTACGCACAGTATCTCATTTCATCTTCTTACCAACTCTGTAAGAAGTGAATAGTAAATATAGTAAACTTTATTTACTTCCCCTGTTTAATTTAACTAAGGTGGCTTAAAGGAGGGAAGTCAGTTGTTCAAGGGTACAGAAGAATTTTTTTAAAATTCACTAACTATCATACAGGAACAATGTTATGTAAAAGAGCAGGTTTCCAAAGCTGATGAGACTGGCTTGTTGTATAACTTACATTATGCAAATAGTGCTCTGGTTGAGGAAAATACTGTGATTGGAGGCTCATAGGAAACTAACACTCTATTTCCTCTAGGAGTGATCGTTTGACATTTACTAATTCAGTGATTATGATGACTTTATAGAACACAGCTACCACAAATAACAAGAATCATCTGTATACAGTAAGTCCTCACTTAATGTCATCCATAGGTTCTTGGAAACAGACTTTAAGTGAAATGATGTATAGCAAAACCTATTTTACCATAGGCTAATTGATATAAATGAGTTAAGTTCCTATGGCATATTCCTAGTCACAAAAATTCACCAAACTTCTAAATAAAGATGAAAACACTTCTAATATTAAACATTGAAATAAATGTGAGATATATATACATTTAAGAGAGATTAATAAAAACAAATAAGGTAATAGTTTACCCAGTTATTCCAGCTCAGGGTTGCAGGTGGCCTGATTCCATCCCCGCAGCTCAGGGCACGAGGCAGGAATCCCACCCTGGACAGGATGCCATCCCACCACAGGGTGCACTCACCACTCCCACACTCACTCAGGCATGGAGACGCACCAATTCACCCCACGTGCACATCTTCAATATGGGAGGAAACCAGAGTACCTGGAGAAAACCCATGCAGACCTAGGAGAATGTGCAAATTCCACACAGACAGTGCCCTTGGCTGGGAATTGATGCTTTTCCTCATCAATGTTGTAACAAAATAACATTGAACGAAACAATATTAGTTGAGGACCTGCTGTATTCACCAGGGATAATGTAGTGGATTCTAAACACCCTTTGACTCCTCTGAGAGGGTGGACTCTGTCTTTTAACACATCTTTGGGCTTGTTTTCTTTCTCTTTATGATGGTTCCTTCATTTTTATGTTGTTCTCAAATTCCATATCAAGTAAGAGCTTTTCTTAGCAGAACTGACAACCTGGGAATCAAAGGATGTTGACCCCATATTCCAATATTACATTACTTTGGAATGAAACTGTCATCTTCTTCAGTCAATGACTGCAAGTCTGAGTGTAGTGTTTAACCAATGAGGCGAGGAGAAATGGCAGTGCCACAGCCTTCAGGTGGGATTATTCTTTGACCTGGGAATCACAGAGCATCATCTATGTATTCAGCAAGTATGTGAGCCCAAGTATGTATTAATGCCCAAGGCACTGCGAGTGGCTTGTGCATCTCCTCGGAAAGAAAAGAGCTTCAAATATATATTTAACTTTGATAAAAAATGGACTTCCACAAAGAAGGGTTCTTTAGGATCACATTTTCCAGGTTTGTTCTTTCTGAGGACCAGAATTTCGACTTTAATAGTCAGGAAGGTTCTACTGCATTGAGGTATCAATATGTCACAATCCCTGAAGGGATGCTTGAACTAAGCATTTTATGAACATAGCAAAACCTCATGACTTAGCCAAGGCTGGGTAAAGAGTAGGCACTCAATACTTATTTATGAAATTTATAAATAAATGAATGATTGATAATCAACACTGTACATTGGTAGTTATATGTATATATGTACACACACAATAAAACAAATGACAAGGAATGTGTGCATGTGCTGTACAGTCTTGCTGTGATTTCCAATTCCTTCTCCCTGTGGAATTAGTCTGGAGTGTGACCAAGAGAGTATATGTGATCCTGATCTGGTTTGAATTCCTCTTCATGCATGGGTCCAAGTTCCTGCTGGATAAGCTCCAAAAGGACAAGCATTATGTTTGTTTTGTCCACTGATGTATTCCAAGTATCTACAACAGTGCCTGGCACACAGTAGATACTCAGTAAATATTCACTGAGTAAATGAATGAGCACTCATCATCTTTACATGTGTGCCAGACTGTTGTCTTCCCATGCTGTCTACTGGACTGTTGTTCTCATATGTCAGAGCCCTTTTGGGTAAGTGGGTAACATTACTTCTTCCAGTCTTTATCATTGTTTTGCTAGAGTTGTCTGCTCCTTCAAATCTGCTCTGAACAAAGCCTGCTTCCTGCTTGACTTGACAACATGAGAATGTCTATTGCTGCATTTTTTGCCTCTTTCTGATTGTAGAGCTGTGACTACATTTCTGCATTTATTGCCGGCCATAATGTGGTTAAAAAAGAGGCATTTGAAACTCTCTTCAACTGCATGTTTTCAATGTGGACAGTGTGCAGGGACCTATGAAGAACGGCAGCTATAGGTTTTGACCAACGGTTGGAGGTTGTGAGGGTTAAATAGGCTTCTTATTTCCCATTGGTAGACAACTCCTTAAAAGGAGCACTCATGGCTGAGGAAGAATCTATTTAGGTGTGAGCTGAAAGGTAAAACCTTAAAGGTTGGGTACACTTTCCTACCTCATTGATTTTGCTCTCTAAAAACGGTATCACTTTGATTTTTTAAAGCTGGGGAGCTTTTTAGAAAATACAGTTTTTCAGGTACTGCACCCATTCATTTGTTCTGAGGTGTAGCCCAGGAATCTGGATGTTTATTCCCAGGTTATCACGATGAGAGAGAGGTTGTTGTTATGGAGAGGGAGTCTGGTAGGGAAAAGAATTCAGAGAGAAAGAAGATATCTACTGTATCAAGTGAAAACCCACTGTCTTTTGCAAGAATGCTCCTATGAAATGTTTCTGAGTTCCAGCATGTTATATCTCTATACTTAGGGATGTTATATCTCTGTGCTTAGGTTTATTGGAAAGACAGGTGAGGCTATGCCCTGTTCATTGCACAAGTGGACCTCTTTGTTATTCAAAGTCCAGATCCATCTGAATTTTCCTCTCTGCTCTCTTCTGGGATATCATTCTGCTGACAACAGCATGAGATTTTAAGTCGCAATGTTTATTCATAAGGAATTAGACTTGAAATAAGCTAAGCAATAAAATTTTTTTAAACCTCTAAAGCTCTATAGGCATCTTTTGTATTATTATTACTACTAAGAAAAACAGTATTATTGCTGAATCTTGTGGGTGCTTTGAGGCATGCAGTAAGCCAAGCTGGACATGGTAAGTAGGAAGGCCCAGGTGTGGTTGGTGGACTCACCTCTGGTGAGCGCTCTGTGAAATCAATTGAGTTGGCTTATGCTCTCTAGCCCCAGGAGGATACACTTTTCACATTGTATCCTTTGGCAGTTTAAAAATGTGTGTTCCAGGATTATTACTTTAAAAATTTTTGCCTGTGATCCTACACCCTAACAAATATGTTGTTTTTCTAGCAGATTTCTTTCTTTATTCTTATACATATATGCACATATTTTATACAGTTTTATTTATGTTATGGATACAATTTTCTCAATTTTTTTAACCAAACATTTTTCTTGTTTTTTCTAATCTTCACAATTTTAATCGTAATAACTACATATTATTTGGTATTTTTATTTGATTATTGTACAATTATTAGATAGGTTGTTTCCAAATTTTTCTGTGATGAATAAACCTAGGATTAATATGATATCTTCATGCCAACACCTCCTCCAACAATTTGAGTTTTTATCTTTGGCCAAACACTCAAATGTGAGATTATAGTCGCAAAAGATAGAAACATTTTCCAGGCTCCTGAAAACTATTAGAAAAACCTCTGCGCTTGATTTTCTCATCCTTATGATGAGGTTATAATAGTATGTTAAGTGATTAGAACAATGCATTCAATACATATTGGTGGCCACAGCTGCCACCACTACCACTGTATTACTACTACAATATTATTTGTATTATCATTTTGGGGAAGATCAGCTTTATTCTTATGAATAAAAACAAACATCTTAATACAATTTTGATAATCAGAATGCTCATATAGGGTTTTTTTTTTTTTTTTTGGTTTCTCTTTGTCTTTTTAAATTGATTTGAAGGCTGTTTGGTTTTTGTCCTTCCTCAATACCAGCTTTCGTCTTAAAATAATTGTCTTCTTAATTTCCTCCTTTTCCTTACTTTTTCCTCATGATGCCATTTCCATATAGGAAAGTAAACTATGCGTCTCTTATATTTATATATAATATTCTTACATTGTATTTGGTGGTAATAAAGGTAAATTGAAGAGGAAAAGGTGCTAGGAAAAGAAACACCATTGTCTGTCTCAGACTCAAGCTTAGCATCTATTCGGGTGGGGTGTAAAAATCTGACCTCTGGTGGTTCTGACCTGTAGCTGCAGGTCAGACTTAACCAAGTCTGAAATGGAGCACAGAAAAATGTATCCTCTGGCAGTGGCTGAACTGGTACAGGGCTGATTGATTGTTAAAGTTCTTTTGTACTGGTTGTGATGATCATTCCTTATGCCAGTTAAGACACTCTTGCTTTCTTCCTTACCAAGGAATTATCTTATAATTCAGTTCCTCAGAATGAAGGGCTTTAAATAAGTGTACCAAGCATCACAGTCTCCAAAAAATATTTTCTTAAAACTACTAACCACTACCATCATCGCCACAACCACCACCTGTTGAATTTTATCTAGAAATTTCAGAGAGGAAAAATGGATTCTAAACATGAGCAAAAGGGAACATCAGAGGGATTAAAATTCTATTTTTTTTTGGTCTTCAGAACTTCTTTAAATGGAGATATACCTTATCTCCTGATCAAATATTTTCAAAATTTTTACCTCCCAGGATTTAGGTTTTCTTAAAAAGTAAACTTAAAAGTCTCAAAAATAATTGTCAGATCTCATCAGATATCCGTATTTATTTATTGATCATGTAATTAAAAGGGAATAATATAAATGAAGGAAATAAAATTAGGTCTAAGAGGCTACAGGGAGTTTACGAGAAACACATGGAATATTTTTGTTTTTAATGGTTGTTTAAAATGATATGGGAAGGGTGTCCCTTTGCCTAAGCTTGAGAATAAATATTTATATTAAATTTTTATTATTTTGACTCTATAAAAACCTGTTTTCAAGGTGATTGAATTAATAGCACACAACTAAAAGTTAATTTGGTATTGTGCGTTTACATGTGTTTGTGTACAAAAGCTAGTTGAAAAGTGGAAGGATTTAGTTAATCATAGCTATGTGTTTGGTTCACATGAAATTATAGACTGTGAGACAGTTGGCATTGAAAATAAGTTTATTATTTCTAGATAGATGACACATTCTCCTTTGGTCCCACTATAAGTAGGGGCTGGTGTCTATGTTATTGTCTCTAGTCAAGAAGGGGATTATTAGTGACATGTCCTTTGCAAATTGGTTCATCAATCGTCCCCAGAATTTATACTATTGACCTTGACTTCAAATAAACAAGATTAATACTTTTCTGTAAAATAAGGTTGAGATTTGAATGTGTTTCTCGATCTCTTCCAAACCAAATCTTAGACTGACTAATGTTTAAAAGCTTACTAATGAGCCCTGTCATTTCAATATATTCTAATTATATATTATTGCTATGAATTATTTTTGAATTTGTATATATGTTGCAAAAAAGTTCAGAAATGCCAAAATATATAAATAGGACAATAATATATATATATATTTTGAGACGGAGGCTTGCTCTGTTGCCCAGCCTGGAGTGCAGTGGCGCGATCTCGGCTCACTGCAAGCTCCACCTCCCGGGTTCACGCCATTCTCCCGCCTTAGCCTCCCAAGTAGCTGGGACTACAGGCGCCCACCAACACGCCCGGCTAATTTTTTTGTATTGTTAGTAGAGACGGGGTTTCACCGTGTTAGCCAGGATAGATTTGATCTCCTGACCTCGTGATCCACCTGCCTCAGCCTCCCAAAGTGCTGGGATTACAGGCATGAGCCACCGCGCCCGGCCTAATATTTTATTTTTAAAATATGTTGACATTATAATTTATTTTAAATGGCCCATAGTTTTCTTATTTGAGCAGAATTAGTTAGCAAAAATAAATAACTAATATTTATTGTGTGATAATTCTGTGTGAGACAGTTTTTAGTTTTCATATGTAGTACCTAATGTAATGTTCCAACAATCTCATAAAGTACTATTATCCCTAATTTTGCAGGCGAGAAAATCTACAGAAAGTTTGCCCAACATGATACAGTAAGTGGCTACATGAGGAGGTGAACCCAGGTTACGTGACTACAAAGCCTGTCTTATAAGCAATGCAAATTTAAAATGGTAAAATCTACGTGTGGACCGATCATGAGCCATACCTCAAAACACACAATCCAGACATATGAAACTGCTTAATTAAAATCAGTTATAATAACTGGAAAACATTCTCTACCATCAATGAATTTTACTAGTATAAAATGTATTTAAAACAAATCAGAAATCTATGTATATTTTGATAATATGAAGTCATCATTTTTTTCATACTTTAGTTTATCCTGGGAATTTTGAGCAACCAGAAATTGGTTTAGAGAAGGAATTTCTTCTTTACTTAAATCCTATTCTAGTTCCAATCTTTTCAATTCACTGAACTTAAAAATAATTGCTATCCATATTTTCTCACTAGCAATAATTGCAGTTCTGGAAATGTATTAAGTGGTTTTATTATTTTCTAAATCCTGCTTGCATTTCTTTTTCCCAGTTGAATCCACACCCAAAGCCGTATCTTCACCCCACCACAAACTATTAGCTTTAGAAAGGAAAAGAAAAACCACAACAAAACAGTGTGTGTGTACCAAAGACTTATATGTGCATAAGCAAAAGCAAACAATAGCATTAGCAGGAACTCGTGGACATTCCAGGGAAGGGGAGGAATTAGGCGGGGGAGCGCGCTTCGTTCCCTCTGATCTGATGCACAGACAGACACGGACACGGTTATCCCCTAGGGTCTGGAGGGCTGTCAGGGAGCCCTGGCTCAGTCTTGCTGAGTGACAGGCCCAGGGAGCCCCGACTCCCCGCTGACCCCGCTCGGCGCCTGCCTCAGGACGGCCGGGAGCTGCCGGGAGGGGCCGCGGTGCCTCCTGACAGCCAGACGCCAGGCACAGCTCTGGGGCAGAGGGACGCAGCTCAGGGGGCCCTCTGAGAAGGAAGGGGGCGTCGCTTCAGGGAGAGAGGGAACGCGGCGCTTCACGGGGCTCAGTTTGTGCAGTGCCAGAGTGGCGGATGAGGCAAAGATGATACTAGGAATGCAGCTGCTGCCCTCTGAGGATACAAACTCGCCCCTGATTGGCAATAGAGCAGAGAAGAGCCTTGTTTTCTAACTAAAATCTGTAACTCCTGGTCTCAAGCAGGGCATCAAGCCATTCTACCCAGGCAGTAACTAGGGTTACTTAATTGAAACAGCAAATACTGACTTGAGGCTAAGGTGTGCCATCTACTGTTCTAGATACTGGGAATATGGAGCTCTCAGAAAGCTGACAGTTTATAGAACTGGGTCTTTTATATCTTATCCTCTTCCCACCGCCCAATTAGCATGGGACCTGATGCGTGTAATAGATACTTGGTCATGTTCATTGATTGAATGAGAGCAGTGAAAGGTGCCAGGGCAGAGGGGATTGCCCAATGACCCAGCGATGAACCTGGTGGATCACTGTGTTTCCAGGTTTGCCAGCAGTGCTAAGATGGGTTTTTCTCCCACCTGGCTGCTGCTTCAACCTTCTCCTGATTTCTTCTCTTCAATCAGGCAGCTTAGGTGAGCCTCTCCTTTCAGTTGCTCAGATCATGATGGAGATGGATGTTCTAACAGCTGGTAGTGGCCTCTGAAAAGCCAGAGAGGAAATCAGGTGAATTGGAGAAAGACTTGTATTTTGAATGCCCAGAAAAGAGAGAATGGAGTAAACAGACAAGAGTGCAGGAAATGAAGAAAGTGGCAGGAAATACAGATGGATGAGGACAGACCTCTCCTCGGCAGTCAGACGGCTGTGCTGCCTTCCATCCCAGGGGGGCTCAGAAATAGGATTCCAGAATCTATTGGCAGAGGCCTGCAAATGACTTTAGCTGGGTAGGTCTGTTTCCACACAAACTACTCATTTTGCTCTTTGCCTATTAAAATGTAAACCACTGTGTCCCTTAAAATGTATCACACTTAAAAATGTTCCTGTAGCAGAGCCAGTTTCAAAGATGAACAGTTGTACCTCAGTGGTCAAGGATGCCCGTGGCCACTCACAACTCCTGACTCTGTAATATGAGGGGCTGGAAACTGCTTCCCATCCATCTTGCCCTTGTAAACCATTTGGGCAGGCTGCAATGGCTACTCCCACCAGTGTACTAGTACAAGTTAGGATCACTTCGACAGTTGAATTTCATGGTAGGGAGAGGTTATGGGAAATTTCCTCGGCTGCAACCATGAAAACGAGAATTGTGGTTTGGATTTTTGTTGTTTGCTGTTTGCCAGTGAGAAATAAGGACTGTATTTCTCCAGACCAAGTCTATTCCTGATAGTTTGACAATTAGGATCAGGGATAATGAGAACCATGTCTGCGGAAGCAGAACAGCCAATCTCCTTGTATGATGGGCCTTTCCCCTTTCAGAACCTGATGTGCTGCCACAGCCTTTTTTTTTTTTTACCCCCTGCCTGAATGGTGAGCTCTAAGATGGCTTCAGCATGTGAGACACAAAGATCACATCCAAGACTTGTTTCTGTGGCATGGATGAATCCTTTATCAGATGCCAAAAGTAGTTCCTGTTTGTATACATGGGTCACAGCAAAAACTCTTGGGCTAGTGAGTGAAAGTGTATGTTTTAGTCTTAGTGCTTTAATCTATATATTGTTTTTTTTTTCAGAAATGTTAGCTATATGAGTGCACTAAGAATGCTACAAAATTTGGGCCTATTTTTCTCGATAATTAACAAAACTACATGAGGCTATTTACATTTTGGTTGTTATCCTTCCTCTGAATAGTAGGAGGCTTCTCATTCTGGGCTCTGAAAGGCCCAGCTGATGAGATCTGATGAGATCTGATGAGATCTGATGAGATCTGAAGGGCCTGTGCTGCCGCAAAGCCACTCATGTACATGGAGCTCATAACTTTTCCTGGCTGTTGACACATCTTGGCATGTGAGCAGATTGAAAAAGCCTTGTTCCACAGCTCAATATTAAGATGGATGTTACTGAACCACAAGGTTAGGGGAGTGTGATTAAAAAGAAAAAAACTAGATTTGTGTAGGCTGGGTCTAGGCAACACTAGGAAAGATGTAAAGTTTACCTTTATCGTTTTCCCTTTTGTGTGTCTTTCACTTGCTTTGCCAAAGTAAAGTTTAGGGGTGTGTGTACATATTTGTGTGAATGTATGTATGAGTCTCTCTGTGTTTGTCTACCAATGAGTTAAATCCCAGTTATCCAAAATGAAAACATTCAGCCTCTGTCTTCAGTGTATTATTGATAAAGCATCTACAAATCTTTAGCTAAGGATGGTTCTGTAATGCCATGGCCATTGCAATGTTACATAAGAAAGGTGTCTATGTTTTTCCTCAGTTAGGTAATGTCTTTTTAATAATCCCCAACTCTGATATGTCATGGTTTATTTTAGTTAGTGTTCATTTAGAATCTCTTTCCTAAATGGCAATTAGCAGCACTTCTAACCCTTTCTAAAAGGAAAATATTCAAGTAATGCCTAAGGGAAAATACTGACCAGGGTAAAAGGTCAAAAGAAGAATACTCTGCTATGTTGAACTCTCAAGATCTGTTGACTGACCTGAGGTGACCATTACACAACTCACAACCATGAAGAACAAGGAAATTCAATCAAGAAAGCACTTATTGCAGAAAACCTTAAATGTAGACAAATTATGATTAATTTAAAAATATTGATGAAACTTATAGGCAAATTGTAGCAATATTTCAAAAATTTCTCATAATTGTCCGTTTATCTACCTACCTATTTGTTTCTATATGATGGGTATGATAGAAGTTGACATTCCTCAAAGTATATTCCATCTGCAGGATGCTCAGGGCGAAGTAGTTCCATAGTAAATAATTTTGGGACTTACCACCTGCTTATGTCTCTCTTATTAAGACAGTCAAAGGACTCTCTTACATAGAGAGTTCTGAGAAGTTCTGCAGTAAACAAGCCTATTAAAATTTATTCAGTTCAATGTTCTTCAAGTGTACTTGACTCCAAATCCTTCTTTACAACGATACCTATTTTGCATTCTCTTTTTCTTATCAATGCAAAAAAACAGATGAATCTGTTTTAACAGGGAGCTAACTTTTACTAACATTGATGCACACACACAATTTTAAACAAAATTTTTAAAGAAATCTTAACAGATCAATACTTATGGAACAAAAATTTTAACTTATAAAAATTTCTTATAGATTTCTAGGTTAGATATATATATGTGTATATATATGTATATACATATATATGTATATATATGTATATACACATATATATGTATATATATGTACGTGTATATATATATATATATATATATATATATTTTTTTTTTATGAGATGGAATCTTGCTCTGTTGCCCAGGCTGGAGTGCAGTGGCGTGATCTCGGCTCACTGCAAACTCCACCTCCCCGGTTCACGCCATTCTCCTGCCTCAGTCTCCCAAGTAGCTGGGACTACAGGCGCCCGCCACCACGCCCGGCTAATTTTTTTTTTTGTATATTTAGTAGAGACGGGGTTTCACCATGTTAGCCAGGATGGTCTCGATCTCCTGACCTCGTGATCCGCCTGCCTCGGCCTCCCAAAGTGCTGGGATTACCGGTGTGAGCCACCGCGCCCGGCCTCTAGGTTATATATTTTTGTGGTTAATTTGTAGGAATATTTAAAGGAGCTCATACTTCTTATACTATATGTTAAATTAATAAATCATTTTGAAGCATATAGAATGATGGACAATATTCCTGCCAAAAATACCTGAAAAAGATCTTTTCCTTATCTCTCACCCTCTCCAGCCAAAGAAAACCTCAGAGCAATTCTTGTTATGAATGTATATTAATTCTTAAACAATAAGTAAGCCATATTCCTTGGTCTATCTAAGAACAATCCGCTATCGCTAACTAGGGTTAGCAAGGAATGTAAGGGTTATTTATTTATTAGAATATTAAATAATGTAATTATTTCAAAAGGTTAATAATGATAAATCATTGAGAAAGATTTTGAAAGCCCATGATAAAAATTAAGCCTCTGTTTGTGTATAGCTCTGTGAGCTAGGACTTGAAGAATAATTATTTAACAAGATAACCAATGCCCACCTCAAATCAATTGCCAATCTCATCTTTAATGGTGAAAAACCATGGGAAATAAGAATGTCTTTCATTACCATGAACATTTCCATTTCAAACCAATACAATAAGAAACAAAGCAGAAACAAGAAACCAACCAATAATAATATATAATAAAACACAAGATTATTATTATTTTCATATAATATGTTAATCTAGGAAAACAAAAAATCATCCCACCAAATTTTCCAATAGTTCAGATAATTGGCTAGTATAGAATAAATGTGGGAAAAATGTCAATAGATTTTTCTCTAAATTCCTAAAAACACTCTATTATCTGAAACTGAAGACCTCACTAACAATATCAACAACAACAAGCAAGAATCCTACATAAAGAAAACTTTAAAAGTGTACTGAGTGATTTTCTCTTCCATAAATGATGAGTGGGACAAATGAAGATATAATCTGTTCTTGAAGAATAGATTTATTCAAATAAATATATCTATTCTTCCTTTTAATTTAAAGTATTAATGAATTCTAATTTAAAAACCTCAACGTTTCTTTCTTAACTTGGAAAATATCTTGACATTAATTTAGAAAAATTAATATGCAAGGAAGAGCTAAAATGTTTTGAGAAGAAAAATAATGGCTTAGAAGATTTTATGAGATATTTAAACTTGATTTGAATTCCTGGTAATTAAAATAATATGGTATCAGGAAAAAAATGGATAAGCAGATGAATGGAAAAATACATCAGCTTTTAAAATTGTTGCAGTACAATAGTGTTACAGGAAATTATTAAGGTTAAATACAGGAAGTATTTAGGGTCAAATAAATGAAACTATTTTAAAGAGGTTTTCATAGCTGTATAAACATTACGTAACCTTTATTTTGGTCGCATATATTGGGAATCTCCAAGAGGGGGATTTAATATCCCATATTCTCACAATCATTTAAACATGAAACTTTTTATTTTAAACTAGCTTATTGCTGGAACCATTATTCTTTGAAACATTGTTTGTGAAAGGCTGGCAAAACCAATCTAGAAACAGCAAATATTTGCTAAATAAATAAGAAAATCTTTTGGTCTAATAGCACACTATAAAAGTTTATCTCCTCATCGAGTATTCCTTGTTAAACCCTAAAAATATTTCTTTTAGTTTAAAAGGACAACCTTCTCTTATATCTCACAAATCCACTGTTAGTATAATGTCCAATTTCTCCTTTGCGCTACTATATGGCCACGCTAGGAGATACCATACAGCAGCATTTATCATTTAGATGTTAATAATTATTTCTAATTACTAGCTGTACTCCTAAAACATGAAAACAATATCGGAATATAATTGCACAAGAGAGATTCTTACCTAACAACTATGTATCAGTGAAGTTCCAAAATAGGGCCTGAGGAGAAGGTTAATTCATTCTAGGCATGGTTTATTAAGAGGGTCCCAAGAACAGTTGATAAGCCTTCAAGTTTGGGGATTCTCTAGCTGAGGGTCCATGCCTGTAGGATTCCTGGCAATTATAAAATTAATATGAAGCCTTGACCAGAATTTAAATTAGTTTACCTTTTTGCTGTTGTTTTTCAAATTCAATTTAGACTATAAATTAATACCAAAGTCCAGTAAAGTCAGTTTCTAAATTTAATGACATTGTACAGGGTTATTCTTAGTACAAATAAAAAAGATCCTCCCCAGCCCCTGTCGCTCTTCTACCTTATCCCCATATATGTAGCTTTTTGAAAACTGGCAAATACATTTTTCTCTTCTCATATATCAGCACTGTTCACTGTTAAGATTTTATCTCCTCCTATCTTTTTTTCCCAACCCTTTTCCTTTTCCTGCTTTGTTCCTTTCATCTCAACCCTATGACAAAATCTTCATGGATTGGCTACTGTCTTCCATGCGCTGTTTCTTTGTCCCTGTTCCTAATCCATAAGCAGGGACCCTGCTGAGCAACATAAGCCATTTCTTCCCCTCTGTCCTCCTCTGGGCTGCCTCAAACACACACACACATCTTTGGGTTAACATATCGCCAAGCTGAATGCAGCTGGAAGTTACAGTGGTTACTTGCATACCTTATGGGTTTAAAAGCCATAGATACATAGGAGTTTACTGCCTATACTGCATTTTGATTATAATGTCCAGTAAGTGTCAGCTATTGGACAATTAGCCAGTTAGCCAATAAGGCAGCTGGCTAAATGGTTCTCATTAGCATAACTTGACCTTTTTGCATTTGTGCAAGCCTTACTCTTTCTTTCAAAGATAGATTTAAGTCAGCAGTTCAACCAACTGGACATGTGCCTTATGCAAATGTTAAAAATTAGTTCCAACTCCTAGAGAGTGTGCCTCCTTTAAAAACCTTAAGCAACTTATAGTAACATTTAACATTCCTTAAAACCAGAGGGATGTCTAATCCATGATGCCAAACTACAAGTCCAGACCTAATCAATAATTCAATTGCAGATGAGAGATATTTTTTTCCTATGAGGAATTTATTCATTTGAGTTTAGTGAATTAAGTTTCAGAAAAAGTGGGAGAATGTATAATAGATATGATTTTGATGATAATACTATATTTCATCTGCTTTATATCAAATATTACAAAACATTTCCCATACTTAAATATAGGATAACATTTGTTTTAAATGATATTTTTCATAGACTATCACAGGCTACATAAGCCTATTATTATAAAAATTATACACATAATTGAATTGTAGTTGAGGGTATGAATGTGTCTATACATTTTATATTGTAAATGAAAGACAGAATTTCTGGTCAATTAATTAAAAATGAATATATATTCAGTGATTAGATTGGCAAAAGTATTAAAGTATTCTAAGTGAAAATGCAAATTGTCATGAGTTAGCCAAAGGAAATGCTTCAGTGGAATGAAAAACTGGCAAAAAGGTGTATTTTGCATTTCTCCTTGTACTCGATGTGGTGCATAGAGGCAGACCACTTACGAGATTTGCCATTTATTCCTGATACCCACGTGACCTGAGGTATGTATGAGATTGGGTGGCCTCAAAATATGCTTGCAGAGGTAAGAATACCAACAAGACCAGAAGCTGTGGCATTATTAAATCATAAACTACATTCAGGGAGGAGTGCACATTCGTTTTCATTTTGTAATGCAAGCAGAAAAGATAATTTTACTCCTGAATCCCATATATCTATTAATAGATGAAAAGTATGTTTGTAGATAAGACAAAAAAGATAAGATAGGAAAAAGTATCAAAAAATTTCTAACAAGATTGAAAGCTGATGGATACATGTAGCCATCATCTTTAACAGAATCAATTAGACTAGTAGAAGGTGAAATCATTAATAACAAAACTAGTAAATTATAAAACATCTAGGGTATTGTAGCTATTATTGAAACCTGTACTGCAATTATTTTACAAAATTTTTGAGTTTGATATAGGCTCATATATTTTTTTAAATAACAGATTTCCAAAAAATAAATTGAAGGAAAATATGCTGCTAGAATTACTGCAGTTTCCACATCCTTGAAAAACAAGAAAGCCTGTAAAATGTATAACGTTAGTATCAGAGAAAAATAATGAATTTCTTTCTATTCGTATTTGGGAAGAGAAAATACCTTGTCCCTACTCCAAGAGGAAAATGACATTCTACTTTGGTCACTATTGGATTTCAAAATAGCTTACTTTAAATGGAGCTCCATGCAGAAATAGGGCTAGAGATTTGCTAGTTTTAAGAAATGATAACACATAGATTTTACAAAAGAAGAAAAAATACCTTCAATGGAAAAAATAAATTTAGTAAAGCCTGAGCCATTGTTTTTTTGAGCTCTAGGAAAATAAACAATCAAATCGACAGCTTCACTTTGCAACTGATTATTACTTAAATACATTCATGACACCGTAAAGGAAAGGTAAAATAAAGAAATCGATAGTGTATCTGTTTGTGTGACTAAATATTGAATGTTTTTATTTTTATTTTTTGAAATGTTTTAGATAATCAGAATAAATATAGGATCAAATGTAAAACTACAAATGTAAAAACACTAGTAAGTAGTTTAACACAACATGTATTGAAATGAGGCCGGAGAAAACTTGCATGCAAAGTGATGACACACAGGCACACACAGGTCGCATTTCCAAACAAACTTGACACAGTGAACCAAATGAAAAGAATGAATTCTTAAAGTTAACATTTTATAAATCAATTTTTTAACCTCATAAAAACTGAGAAAAATGTCTTTCTTATTCATAATTTACACCAAAACCCAATAAGGTGCATTAAAAGATTTTAGAGAAGTGAAAAACAGAAAAAGACATTCACTAAGCAGTAAGCTTTCCTTAAAACTATGGTGATTACTAAGTGACATGCTAGAATGTCACATGGCTTACTATTAATTATTAATCAATTGCTATAGACCCGCAATTTTTGAAGCTTTTCCAGACCTCGGTCTTCTTCAAAATGAAAAAAAAATATGAATGGCTCACTCCATCTGCTCATAGAAGACAGATATCAGATAAAATAAACATTTCTCCAGAATATCAGAAGAACTAGTTTTACATCTTATGAGATACCAATGAACTCAGTGAATTTTATTCACCTCAGATAAATTAATAATTCATACTAAAATATTAGTTATAAACATTAAGATTAGAAAATGACAAACTACAAGTCTGTAGACATCCTAGAAGCCCTTTATTTTCTGTTAAAAGTCTTTCAGAGCTCTTCTCTTTCCTTCCTGAAAAATTCGGTCCTAAATCGTGAAGTGGGGCAGAGCAAGGCAAGCATCCGAGGTATGTGTGTGTCGGAGATGGACTGCAGTGGTCCAGAGCCTAAGCAGGTTGAAGATGGTCCACAGCAGGGTGTCCAGTGTCAGAATCCATGCAGGCTGGGAAAGGCATCCCTGCAGGGGTGGACTGGTGAGGAGATTGAGCCTGATCAGAGTTAGGAAGACGTCCATGCAGAGGGGCAGAGGGAAGTTGGCATAGAGTATCAACCCTGAGCAGGGTGAGGAGTGAGTCCACGTGGAGGGGAAGCTGGAGAAGGACAGGAAAAGAAACTCCAAGGAAGGTGGCCTGGGGTGGGATGTCAGAGCTCGAGCAGGGAGAGAAGAATGTCCTTGTTGGGGGTGGCCTGGTGGGAGATAACCCAAGCAGGGTCAGGTGCAATGCCTCACAGAGATGTGATGTGAGCTGTCAGAGTCTGAGCAGGAGAGGAACTGTCTACGTGGAAGCAAGGGCAGCTCAGATTGTGGAATCATAGCTGTGCAGAGAAGAGGAGGCAGCCTCGCAGGGGAGGACTGATGGCAGATTACATACAGTGGGATGGATCAATTAAGTAAATACATAAAAAATAATTGAGGGGCTGAGCACGGTGGCTCATGCCTGTAATCCCAGCATGTTGGGAGGCTGAGGCGGGCGGATCACGAGGTCAGGACTTCGGGACCAGCCTGGCCAACATGGTGAAACCCCGTCTCTACTAAAAATACAGAACAAATTAGCTGGGTGTGGTGGTGATTTCCTGTAATCCCAACTACTCTGGAGGCTGAGGCAGGAGAATTGCTTGAACCCGGGAGGCGGAGGTTGCAATGAGTTGAGGTCGTGCCACTGCACTGCAGCCTGGGTGACAAAGTGAGACTCCATCTCAAAAACTAATAAATAAATAAAAATAATTGAGACAGATTTCTCACTTTTGGAGAAGGGAGTTAAAAATACAGAAAGGGAGAAAACTAGAATAAACCCAGTTGTTGGATTGGATATGTAATGTCCATGTGAACTCATGGACTCTGATAGATAATAGATATGACGATGGATAAATAGGTAGATACACAGAAAGAAAGATAGATAATTAAAGATATAAATGTATGGATATGGAAGTTATCTGTATGTGTATTACATACATATATTTCCTAGCTTTCTCCACTGAGAGAGGTGGGAGCAGTGACACTCCAGTAGCAATGAACACACCTAACACTCACATCTTGGCTTTTAAATACCATTTTCCATGCAAAAGAGCCAGGGCTCCTTGAGAAAATAGCTAATTTCAAGGATGGGACAGGAAAAATACGAAACAGGACATCTTGTGCCAGAAAGTAAGGATGTGCTAAAAGGATATTGCGAACATGTCAAAAGGAAGTAGAAATGAGTTTAAATCGGCTTCTTGTAGCCAAACTTGGGACAATTTGAGCATAAAATTAATGATAGTAATGGGTTATAACCCACTAAATGAAATAGGAAATTCATTTAGGTATAAATAAATTTATGAATAAATAGAAAATTTGGAGAGAAGCAGGATATTTATATAGTTTCAAAATATTTCCCCCAAAATAATTGTTAATTCCTAAGGAGAAAGGAAGAATTTTGCAATGGAGAAGCTTTGCAGATATCACTTCCATCAAGAAATCAAAGTAAACATCATCAGTAATGGGACTAATAAAAATGACTTGTAATCTGGTAGAATTCAGTGAGAACATGTTGTCACCTCTGAAATATTCTTGCCAAAAAGGCATAGTCTGAATCTAATCAAAAATAAATACTGAACAAAGCCAAACGGAGGGACATGCTACAAAGTAACTTGTCTGCAGAGTTTCCAGTGTCAAGGTCAGGAAAGTCAAGGAAAGACTGCAAATCTGTTCTAGGTTGAAGGGACTAGACAATTAAGGGACATGACAACCAAATGCATGATTCTGGACTGGATCTTTTTGCTCTAAAGTGTATAATTGGGGAAATGTACAAAACGTAGATGGCGTTTGAGAATTAGGTGATGCTATCACTGTGAGATATCATGGTTAATTTCCTAATATCTGAGTCCATTTTCGTGTTTCTATAAATGAAATCCTGAGGCTGGGTAAATAAAAGAGGTTTATTTGGCTCATGGTCTTGCACACTGTACAAGCAGCGTGGTACCTGAATCTTCTTGTGAGGGCCTCAAGAAGCTTTCACTCATGGTGGAAGGGAAAAGGAGAGTTGGCATGTGCAGATCACATGGCGAGAGGAGGCGGTCCCAAGCTCTTTTCAACAAGCAGTTCTCATGGCAACTAAGTGAAGACTCACTCACTCCCATGAGAACGGTACCAAGCCCGTTCATGAGGGATTCACTCCCAGGACCAAAACACCTCCCACCAGGGCCCACCTCCAACTCTGGGGATAAAATTTCAATTTGAGATTTGGAGGGGGACAAATATCCAAACTAAATCACCTAACTTAATAGATGTATTGTGGTTACATAAAAAAAGTTCTTGTTTATCAGAAATACACACTAAGAAATCCAAGCATAGCAGGACATCAGTTAGGCAACTTTTAGTTCATTTGCCCAAAAAATAAATAGAAAATGTTCTATGTATTGAATATCCAGCTGTTTTGTATGTTTGTGGTTATTAAAAACTATAGGCACATGCCTTGCCTTTTGTTCCAGCTACTCAGGAGGCTGAGGCTGGAGGATCGCCTGCATCTAGGAGTTAGAGGCTGCAGTGCACTATGATCGTTCCTGTGAATAGCCACTGCACTCCAGCCTGCATAACAAAGCAAGATCCTGTCTCAATTTTTATTTTGTTTATTTATTTATTTAAGATGGAGTCTTGCCCAGGCTGGAGTGCAGTGGCGTGATCTAGGCTCACTGAAACATCTGCCTCCTGGGTTCAAGCAATTCTGTGTCTCAGCCTCCTGAATAGCTGGGATTACAGGCGCCCACCACCATGCTCGGCTAATTTTTTTGTATTTTTAATAGAGATGGGGTTTTGTCATGTTGGCCAGGCTGGTCTCAAACTCCTGACCTCAGGTGATCCACCCACCTCAGCCTCCCAAAGTGCTTGGATTAAAGGCGTGAACCACCATGCCCAGCCTCTATTTTTAAAAAATAGATAATTTTTAAAAATTGGAGAGGGACCAGACCAACCCCCCTGCCTCTCCCACCCCCACACACACAGCCTCCAGAGGCTGCAGCTGCGCCTGAGCTCTGGCATTATTTCTGGAACCTATCATTCCCACTAATACCGTCTCCAAAGGGAGCTGAGGGGCCTCTCTCCAAGACCCAGCTTGTCTGGAATCTAGAAGCTCAGACCATAAAGAGTAGAGAGCTTCTTCATCCTCTGGAGGTGAGTACTAGGTCTAAAGTCTAGCCCTTGACCTATTGCTGCAGCCCTCAGTGATGCTTGCCCTTCCTAACAGGTGAGGCTTAAGAATCAAATAATCCTTTGGCTAGCCTACTCACCTTGACGAGGTTCCCTAGTGATCAAAAATGAATCCCACCTGTAACTAATTCAAACAACCTAACTGTCTGCAGCTCCAAGAAGAAACCTATTATTAATTCTTTGGAAACCCTGAGGACAGCTGAACCCACCATGCCTCACATCTCTGACTTCCTTGATTGACACTTAGGACAAATGGCCCTCCAGTTCTTTCTCTCCTCAGGTATTCTCTTTCCCTTGAGTCAACCTCAGACCATTTCCCACCATCCCAGGCTCTCATCTGAGATTTGTGGTACCCTTTTCTATAGTTAACCAACAACATTACATCCTCAACCCATCTCTGTTGGTTCCATCCATTACTTGTCTGCATCTGAGGAAATCACTTCTCCTGAAGCCCTCTCAAGTCAGGTCAGGTTATCTGTCCACACATCACTTTCCTCAGGGTAGGAAGTGGGCTCAGCAGCCTCCTCCTTGGCTTCTTTCAAACCACTGCTCATCCAGCCTGATAAAAAAAACACTGTTTTGGTGCTCAGGCCATCTGACTGTATCATCTTTTATCCTTCTTCATTGCCCTTTCCCACCAATGTATTCCTTTGTCTGCTCAAGACTTTAGTAGCTACTTGTGTCTTTCTTTCACTTTGAGTTCTGGCATTCTCCTGCATGTCTGTGTAGATGATGCACTGACACCCTGGCTCTCAGTTCCTTCATAATCCCAACTTCAATGGCCTTCTCCTCCATGCCCCTTGAACTGTTCATTCTCATGTCCGTAACCTGGATCTTGCTAGCTCCTGGATTTTCTCTCCACCTCAGAATATTTCAATTCATTTATGCCACTGTTTTACATCATCCTCCTTTCCTTCAGTCTCTCATATGTAATGACTCTCAATATTCTTGACCTTTTACTTCATAAATATATTTAATTTCTAGCCCTTTTTGCTGTATCTACCAGTCTTCCTTCATGCCAATTTCATTCCTTTCCAACTCTGCTTCCATGATTTATCCCTTGAGCCATCTTTCTGTCAGTATCCACAGAATCTTTTGCATTTTCATTCTTCCTCCATACTCACCTGGCAATACGTTAAACTAAGTCCTTCCAAATTTCTACTCTTACCTCTACCTGGGCTCTGCTGAAGCCATTAACATAGTTTTCCAGATTCATTCCACTAGAAGTGTATGGCTTTAATCTCAACAAAATACTCAACATTACCCAGAGACACTTGCATGGTTACTTAGTCATCTCTCTGTGCTATTTTCCAATGTGGCTATTTCAGAATCCCCACCCTTCTCAAACTCCTGACCCTACCTCCTCCCCTGTTACTCTTAACAACAAATCTTGCCAGCAGATATTAAAGAAAACAGAAACAAGAAGATCACTTCCTCAATTCCTGCCACCATATTGAAAACTTTACCTATATCCAAATCTACCATTTGCTTTTTCCTCCTGTTTCAATGGATGATGTGTCTTTCTCTCAAAGATACTCCCTCAATCTGCATTCTGGATGACATCCCTTCTTGTGTCCCTTAAGAACTGTTTTGCTGATTGCATCTTCAATCTTCTATATGGATTTGTTAACATCCATATTTAACATGGTCAATTTTCTCCCTTCTTACCAAACAGTTCCCCCTTTGGCCTGTGACACCACTGCTTTCACTACCTTCATATGGGTTATAGGAGCCATATGTAATATTAAATTATATGGCTACCATAATCCAGTTTTCCTGAAATCTATTTTTTAGTCTGGGGTCAGTGTTAGTCTTCTAAAACACAAATCATTTTCATGGCTTCCCTGCATAAAAACCTCCAAAGGCTCCCATTACCCTCAGGGTAAAATTCAAAATATTTGATACGGCTTATGAGATCTTTTACAACCTATCCCCTGCTACCAGCTTGAAAACTTAAGCACCATCCATATCTTCTTCCTCCTCCATCACATATTCCAACCCCACTCTTCCCACAGCCCTCACCAATATAGGCTCTTGTAATTTCTGGAATGTATCTCTTGTCTCTGGGCTTTTGAAAATACGTGCTCTTATTAGAACATTCTTCTCTTTTGTCCTTTGTTCAATTCTTCTCATTCTTTAGGTTTCAATTTTGAAGTTCCCCTTGAAAAACTTCTCTGACACCCCAAGCCTTTGTCTGACAATGTGCCCTCATAATTAGCACTTATCCTCAGTCATAGCGCTTTGCACACTCTTGGAATGCCCTGTTTACCTGTGCTCATTAGGATGTCAACTCCTGAAGGGCAGCAGTCAGTTGTATTTCACTTGCCTTTGTCTTCCTATTGCACAGTTCACTCACTTGTACAAAGTGGATGTAGCTGGTAAACATTGTTGAATACATGTGTCAGTGGTCACTGCCAATGAATTGTACAATTTTGGCAAAAATATTTTAAATTAAAAAAGAAATTATTGCACATTTTCAGAAAACTGAGTAATTCAAATGCAGCTAAAATGTGTTCAAGTTAGTGGACAGGAGCTTCCTATTTAATACAGTAATAAATGGTAATTAAGGGAAACCATCTCATTTTGGGGGAATGTTTGGAAATAATGAGGATAAAGGATCAGGAGTAGCCATTGCTAACATACTATTTTAAAGACTTATTTAGAGTTTTTTCCCCCTTGTCTTTAGAGATAAAAACACCTGTTCAGAAAAGTGATAAAAATAAGTTATATTTTGGTAGTATTCACTGAGCTATGATGGAGAGAGAACTGAAAAGAAAAAGAAGTACAGGCATACCTCAAAGGGATTGCAGGATTGGTTCCAGAACATGACAATACAGTGAGTCAAACACATTTTTTGGCTTCTTAGTGCATATAAAAGTTATGTTTAGGCTGGGCGCAGTGGCTCATGCCTATAATCACAGCACTTTGGGAGGCCAAGGTGGGTGGATCACCTGAAGTCAGGAGTTCAAGACCAGCCTGACCAACATGGTGAAATCCCATCTCTACTAAAAATACAAAAATTAGCTGGGCATGGTGGTGTGTGCCTGTAATTGCAGCTACTTGGGAGGCTGAGGCAGGAGCATCGCTTGAACCTGGGAGGTGGAGGTTTCAGTGAGCTGAGATCGTGCCACTGCACTCCAGCTTGGGTGACAGAGTGAGACTCCATCTCAAAAAAAAAAAAAAAAAAAAAAGCAAAAAAGTTATGTTTACACTATGCTGTAGTCTGTGCAATGGCATTATATCTAAAATAAAAATACACATACCTTAATTTAAAAAACACTTTTTTGCTAAAAAGTGCTAATAATCATCTGAGCTTCAGTGAGTGATAAACCTTGTCGCTGGTGGAAGGCCTTGCCTCAATGTTGATGGCTGCTGACTAATCAGGGTGGTGACTGCTGAAAGTTGGGGTGGCTGTGGCAATTTCTTAAAGTAAGACAGCAATGAAGGTTAGATTGACTCTTCCTTTTATGACATACTTCTCTGTAGCGTGTGATACTGTTTAATAGTATTTTACCCACAATAGAACTTCTTTCAAAATTGGAGGTAATCCTCCCAAATCTTGCTGCTGTTTTATCAGTTTATGGAATATTCTAAATCCTTTGTTGTCTTTTCAACAATGTTCACAGCATCTTCACCAGGAGTGGATTTCATCTCAAAAAATTACTTTCCTTGCTCATCCATAAGAAGCAACACCTCAGCTGTTCCAATTTGATTATGAGATTGCAGAAATTCAACGGCATCTTCAGGGTCCACTTCTAATTCTAGTTCTCTTGCTACCTCTGCCACATCTGTAGAGACTTTCTCCACTGACATCCTGAACCACCCCCCAAAGTCATCCATTAAGGCTGGAATCAGCTTCTTCCAATCAGCTAATGATATTCTTCCAATATCAGCTAATGATATTTCGACCTCCTCTCATGAATGTTCTTAATGGTGTCTAGAATGATGAATCCTTCCCAGAAGATTTTTAATGTACTTTGCCCTGATCCATCAGAGGAATCACAGTGTATGACAGCTATGGCCTAACAAAACTGTATTTCTTAAATAATAAGACTTGAGAGTCAAAATTACTCCTTGATCCATGAGCTGCAGAAGGAATGTTGTCCTAGCAGGCATAGAAACAACATGACTCCTTGTACACCTCCATCAGAGCTCTTGGGTGACCAGGTGCATTGTCTGTGAGCAGTAATATTTTGAGAGGAACCTTTTTTTTCCTGAGCAGTAGGTTTCAGTGTGCTTAAAATATTTAGTATACCATTCTGTAAACAGATGTGCTGTCAACCAGGCTTCATTATTCTATTTATAGATGACAGGCAGAGAATACTTGTAATAATTCTTTTGTGTGTGTGTGTGTGTGTGTGTGTGTATGTTATCAAGCTGAATCTAAGATTCCCACCAGACCATTATAGGCTTTTTATCATTGTTATCGTACTTTAAGTTCTGGGATACAGAACCTGCAGGTTTTTACATAGGAATACACATGCCATGGAGGTTTGCTGCACCCATCAACCCATCATCTACATTAGGTATTTCTTCTAATGCTATCCCTCCCCTAGCCTCCAACACCCCCCGACAGGCCCCCGTGGGTGATGTTCACCTCCCTGTGTCCATGTGTTCTCATCGCTCAACTCCCACTTATGAGTGAGAACATACGGTGTTTGGTTTTCTGTTCCTGTGTTAGTTTGCTAAGAATGATGGTTTCCAGCTTCATCCATGTCCCTGCAAAGGACATGAACTCATCCTTTTTTATAGCTGCATAGTATTCCATGGTGTATATGTGCCACATTTTCTTTATCCAGTCTATCATTGATGGGCATTTGGGTTGGTTCCAAGTCTTTGGTATTGTGAACAGTGCTGCAATAAACATACGTGTGCATGTGTCTTTATAGTAGAATGATTTATAATCCTTTGGGTATATAACCAGTAATGGGATTGCTGGGTCAAATGGTATTTCTGGTTCTAGATCCTTGAGGAATTGCCACACTGTCTTCCACAATGGTTGAACTAATTTACACTCCCACCAACAGTGTAAAAGCATTCCTATTTCTCCACATCCTCTCTAGCATCCGTTGTTTCCTGACTCTTTTTTTTTTTTTTAGACGGAGTCTTGCTTTGTCACCCAGGCTGGAGTGCACTGGCACGATCTCAGCTCACTGTAGGCTCCACCTCCCAGGTTCGCGCCATTCTCCTGCCTCAGCCTCCTGAGTAGCTGGGACTACAGGCACCCGCCACCACGCCTGGCTAATTTTTTGTATTTTTAGTAGAGATGGGGTTTCACCTCGGCCTGCCATAGTACTAGGAGTACAGGTGTGAGCCACTACACCCGGCCAGCATAATTCTTAAAGCTTTACTATATAGTTTTTGTATGTGACCCTCCAAACCTCATGTTGAAATTTGATCCCCAGTGTTGGAGGTAGGACCTGGTGGGAGGTGTTTGGATTGTGGGGGCCAGATCCCTCAGAATGGCTTGATGCTATCCTCACACTAATGAGTGTCTTCTTGCTCTATTCATTCCGTGAGAGCTGGTTGTTAAAAAGAGTCTGGTGCCTCCCTCCCCACTTGTGTTCTCTCACTCTCTCTCTCTCTCTTTCTACCTCTTTCTCCCCATGTGATCTCTGCCTGCTCCTGTTCACTTTCTACCATGAGTGGAAGCGGTCTGAGGTCTTCACCAGAAGCAGATGTTGGTGCTATGCTTCTTGTACAGCCTGCAGAACCATGAGCCAACTAAACCTGATTTCTTTACAAATTACCCAGATTTGCATATTTCTTTATAGAAACAGAAATGAACCAAGACAGAACCCTAGGACATTCAGAATGGTAAATGAGTATTGGCTTCGACTTAAAGTCACCAGTTGCATTCGCCTCTAACAAGAGAGTCAGCCTCTCTTTTGAGTCTTTGACTTCTCTTCTCTGGCTATAGAAGTCCTAAATGACGTCTTATTCCAATATAAAGCTATTTTATCTGCATTGAAAATCTGTTGTTCAGTCTAGCCACCTTTATCTATTATTTTAGTTAGATCTTCTGGATAAGTTGCTGCAGCTTCTACATCAGCATTTGCTGTTTCACTTTGCACTTTTGTGTTATAGAGATGGTTTCTTTTCTTAACCTCATGAACCAACCCCTGCTAGCTTCAAATTTTTCTTCTGCAGCTTCCTCACCTCTCTTAGCCTTCTTAGTATTAAGTAGACTTAGGTTCTTGCTCTGGATTTAGCTTCACCTTAAGAAAATATTGTGACTGGTTTGATCTTCCATCCAAACGACTCAAACTTTCTCCGTATCAGCAATAAGCCTGTTTTGTTTTTTTCTCATTCATGTGTTTGCTTGAGTAGCACTTTTAATTTCCTTCAAGAAGTTTTCGTTTGTATTCACAACTCGGCTAACTGTCTGGCTCAAGAAGCTTAGCTTTCAGCCTGTCTCGGCTTTCGATACGCCTTCTTCACTAAGCTTAGTAATTTCTAGCTTTTGATTTTAAGAAAGAGATATGCAACTCTTCCTTTTACTTGAACACTTAGAGGTTGTTGTGTGGTTATTAAATGGCCTAATTTCAGTTATTGTGTCTTAGGGAGGCCTAAAGAGTGGAAGAGAGATGGGGGAACCGCCAGTCAGTGGAGCAATAAAAACACAACATTTATAAATTAAGTTCACTGTCTTACGTGGGCATGGCTCCTGATGCTCCCAGATAATTACAAGAGTAACATCAAAGACTAGTGATCACGGACCACTATACCAGATATAATGATAATGAAAAAGTTTGAAATCCTAAGATGTGACATAGACACAAAGTGAGCACATGCTGTTAGAAACATGGCTCTCATAGAGTTGGCAGATGCAGGGTTGCCACAAACCTTCAATTTGTAAAAATTGCAGTATTTGTGAAGTGCAATAAGGCAAAGTGCAATAAAACAAGGTATGTCTGTATTTAATCAATATTTTCAGAAATGACTTGGGGCCTCACCAGGCTCATATTTCTCCCTTCTTACCTAGCAGTCCCTCTTTGGCCTGACACTGCCACTCCAGCCACCCTCAACTTGTGTAGGGCTTGTTATAGTCCATGTTTTCCTGATACCTATTTTCAAGACCTATAACTTAGTTATCTTTGTGTACCTGGTACCAGATGCAATGCCTGGCACAGAGTATTGCCCAATAAATACATATTAAATAAATAAGTGAAGATAGAGGTGCCCTCTTTGATCCAGGTCTATAATTTTTCTTTTCATGTTATACTTCAAAAAGGATTGCAGTCCTTTTCCTTATCCTATGCTTCCTCTTGTGAGAGTTTAGGAGTAGGAAGTTGCTTATCCTTATTATCATCTAGTATCTTTACCTGTGGTATGATCAATGGCAGGACACTAATTTTATCAGATCAGGTTCTACTTTGGCTGCCTCTATGGAGGTGTGAATCTCAAAAAAGTTGTGCCTTCTATAAGCTCTATTACATATGAAGCTGGAGGCAGCCTATTTCCTTGCTCTTTCTTCTATCAATACATTTGTCATTATCTTCATTCTCTCAGAAGTGACCTTACATGATCTTTCTCTTTTCTCTTATCTTATAAAACATATTTTGGTGTGTTTACTCACTCAGTTTTCCTCCCATCCCATTGATCATGAGAGCAAAATTGCATTAGACTGAAACAAGCCTGGCTCCCAGGACTGCTGACCAAAGGCAGTTCACAGCCCTGGGGACATCTTCTCCCCAGTGTTCAAACCTCACATTCCATTCTGGTCATGCTTTCCGTTGTTAATCCTGGCTTTAGATGAAGCCCAGCTTAGAAGCCAAGGATGTATTAAGTAGTTTCCAGTGATCAATTTTGCCTCTGATCTTTGATTGCAGATGTAGTTTTCAACCTATGCATATGAGTCATGTAAGTTGGCTATTTGATGAGAAGTAAGGGCACTATGTTATTTTACTTAATCGAGTGTTCATAAACTCCTTATAAAGTTGTGGCAATCTAGCAAAAATCCCCCAGTCATTTACCTTAGCTCATTAAGCAAAAATGTATGTTCTTTGTTTAGGGAAATGTCTTCTCAGGAGATTGTCTTGGAAATATTATTCTGAAAATGATGAAGACACAAATATCCCCACAAGAGAAGACAAACATAGCTTCTTGTGTGCCTATAAATGCTGTATTTTCTCTGGTTCAGTTGGCAAATGTGCATGGCATACCCTAAAACATCTATCAAATGTTCAGTCCCTGACAGACCCTTACCCAAAAGTAGCTAATAACTGTTCTTGTTATGCCTTTTGACAGCTAAGCCACAGGAGCTGCAGCGATCACCCAATTTTTTATTCTGGTCTTGCTCATGTATTCATTCAATACATATTTATCTTGTTCTTCTGGTGTCCCAAGCACTATTAGAGGTGCTGGAGATACATCAGTAAACTAGGTATGATTCTTGCCCATGACCAGTGGAGGCGGTTAGAAGACAGGTGATTAATAGAAAAAATATTAGAGAAAGTGTCAGGTGGAATATTTAAAAAGTGGATTATGTAGAGAATAACAGAGGGTTTGAGGAGGAGAGATTTTAGATTGTGAGGCTGGGAAAGGCTCTCCTAGGGAGACAACACTTAAGCTGATCACTGAGGACAGCGGGGAGCCAGCCAGCCAAAGATGACAGAAGGGCATGCCCCACAGTGGCTCAAAGTCAGACATAAGCTTGGTGTGTTTGCAGCAAAGAAAGAAGGCCTCCAAGTGGTGAGACTTCCGTGCTTTAAGATGAGGCCATATAAAGGAAGATAAGATGCTTGTGTTTTTATTTTAAGACACTGATGACCTCATGGCCTGGCTGCTCTGGGAAAATGGAGGCAGAGTGGATGAATGGAGGCCAGTTAGGACACTATTATAGGAATCCAGGCAAGAGAGGGTAGTGACTGGGATCAGGATGGCCACAGTGGGGATGGAGAGAACTAGGCAAATGAGGGAACTCTTTTATCAGAGAAGTTGACAGCAGTTACTCTTAGCTGCGATGTGGGGCTAAGGAAACAAGGGGACCCAGGATAATTCGCAAACATTTTTAAATTTCCTTTCTCTTCATTAGGCTTGTTGACTGTGCACTTGAAAACCTCGGAAGCTTCCTAAGAGTAAACCAGCTTTCGGTGTTCCAGGAAATAACCACAGGGAGCTTTCAAAACTAGGGGCCAAGGAACCAGTACTTCCCTCCAGTCTGGAGAGGTTGTGATTTATTTTCATTCATTGACGTTCATTTTAGTGAAGCTGTTTGGTTAACATAGAAATTTTTACAAATAATTGATAAGAGTTTTGTTTTAAAACTTGTATTTTATGGAAAGTGTGTAGCATTTCATCTTGAAATGACAACAATGACTCTCTGTCCTCAGCTTTTTGATTAAGGAGAGAAGTGTGAATAACATTTGTTTGGGGTTTTTAGCACTACTATGGTTACAGTGTGATGGTTGAAAATGTTCTATCCAGCACATTATTAGTTATTCCATTTCTTGATAAAGCAGACATTTACCAACAAGGCAGAGGCAGGGAGTGTGGTGGGGGTGGGGGAGGCCAAACTCTGTGAAACGCTTAACCTTTTAACATAGTTCAACAAAGTTTAGATTTCTGGCAAAACGCCTAGACTTTGTAAGGCTGTTCATGGTTGCAAAACCCGACAAGACCCTAGTGCTTAAATTATTCTGGCTCAAAAATTGAGACAATATGAAGAGAGCAAAGGGAAAAAACAAACACACCCTGATAGCTACAGCTGGGCTCATGGCACAGAGTAAGTAATTTGGAAAAGGATGCTGGAGGTGGTTGACTACAACCTACAGTTCTCCTTGGAGGTTTGTCAACTACCTCTGCCAAGAGAACAAATTCTACCCAAAGGGAAAGCAAGTTCGGCATGCAAGGTGAAGAAGGACCTTAAGAACACATGACAAACCAAATATGTCATACATTCGAGACAATCGCTTGTTTCCCAGAACCTCAGCGATTGTCCTCACAGAGAACAGCAGCAAAGATTCATCAAGGAATACAGGTGTTAAGCACTTTGCCTGAGAAGAGTTGTCTCATCCAGAAATGCAGATGTAGGTTATAATTGCTGACAGTGTCAATGACAGCATCTTCTAGCCAAAGAAAATGGGGAATTTGTAACTAGCCAGAAGTAATCACATATTTCCTTATACCGGCCTTTGTCTGGTATGTGTCAACATTTCCGTTGGTTTGAATTCCTAGGAGTTTGTCTAAAATTTGTTAGAACATATGGATCATTTGTAAATAAGAAAGCATAAAATGATAATTATGAAATAATTATGGATGAATGTAGTACAGTGGTTCCCATACGTGGTCCTCAGAACCCTAATTCTGAGGGAGGCGCTGTAGATGACAAAGGGATTAATTTAAGTATTAGTTCCTTGGTCAATAAAATTGGGAAGCTTCTGAATGTTGCTTAGATTTCTCTACAATAGTATTTCTCCTTTTCAAAGTCTGTAACAGTTTTATATGCATTGTGAAGCTCTGGAAGGGGAACAGAGTATCCATCTTTTTTTCCAAATATATTTGGTCACAAAATTATCTCTATACCGTGTCTTCATCCCACTATTTTGATGGATTATATCATCAAACACATATTCTGAGGGCACATACACTGGTCAACACTGGTGTAATGCAATGTGCATCATAGGCATGTCTGCAGATGGATGCGTTTTCACATAGGGGCTCAAGAACAGTGGAGAAGGAATCAGACAAACAGCAAAACAAATGGAGGAACTGGGTAATTCAGTTCAGTTCGGCAATTTTACAATGTCAGATCCAAGATTTCTGCATTCCTTTCAGCTGTTCCTTCCTAATTGCAATATGGCTGCTCTAACTCTGACAACCACATCTGCATCCGATGTAGGAAAAAAGTAGGAGAAAGGGGAAGGGTGTGAGAAAGGCTGTTTTTGTAATCAAGAAAATGAAAAAGTTTCCAGGAACACTACAGCAGATTTGTGAATGTATATAATTTCATGGGACTATGTCACACAGGAAAGAGCTGTGAAAGAGATTACGTTAGAATTTTATTTTGCTCTATGGGGCATTTTCTTGGTGACTTAGAGGCAGTAAGAGAATTGAGGTCAGAAAAGGAGTATGGGGTGATTTGTGCATATTTCAAGCTGTAGAAATATGAGGTGGAATGTGTTATTTTAGACACATTCCTTTGAGCAAGTCTTTTGAAGTAACTGGGTCCTTCTTTTAAAAAGTGGTAAAATATCCTATCTCCTTTTTTTTTTTTTTTTTTTGTCTTGGGGGAAGTATACTCTCTTAAAATAAACATACACAAAACCACACACACATACTCCTTTAAAGCTAGGTCGGGAGCAGACATGCCCCCCATCCCTGGAAACGCTGTCTAGTGGCTTTTCAACCATCAGATCCAGGTCAGTACTTGTCAGAGGACAAAATGTTCTGAGGCTTTTCCTTAGGTTACTAGTAGACTTTGTTGCTTTTGCTAGATTGGATCTTTCAGGACCCAATCCAGGCCATGGCTTCAAACATGAAAGTGTTTTAGAGACATCTGAGATAATTGCCGTATTTTTTAACTCTCTGTGCTCTTAATGAGGATAAACATACACTAGGAAACAAATTGGTTCAGTTTGCTTATGAAATTTTCCTTGGTAGCAAGACACAGACATGTTGGTACAACACTGTTCTCTATGGAATGGAATTTATGAAGAGGAAGCCCCATGATGAAACCTCCAGAAGGGGCTAGCAACTTTTAGTCTACGAAATACCAAAAAAGAATATTTGCTATAAAATGATTTCTTTGAAAATTGTCAATCATATGGGCCTCTAATTCTGTTATAATAAAATCCCACTGGTTTTATATCACTTTTAGCAAAAAAAAAAAAAAACTTAAAACATGTTCATTTTTATATTTTTCATTTTTAAAATAATATAAGCCTCATTATTAACTCTTCAAAAAAATGGAAACACTACTCTGAAACCAATCATCCTAAGCATTCTCTTGAAATATCTTCTAGGTTTTTAAATATGAATTTTCTTTAAACACATGATTAAACTTGTAGCATTATACCGACATCTTACTTTCTTCACTTTCTGTTATATGGTAAGCACTGTTGTCATGATACTATCTAGTCTCATACAACCATATGAACAATTGGGTTGTTTTCATTTTTTTCTCAAAGTGCCATATTATTGAGCCCATATTGTCATCCCTCATATGGTAATACTAGTGTTTTTGCCCATAGATGCAAAAATTATTCATTTAATCCTTCAACTGATTTATTGATTACCTATTTACATATGTGCAAGAAACCATGAAGGATACAAAAAAAAAAAAAAGAAGTGGGCCCTAACTTCAGGAGTACGAGGGTAAAAGTTATCCATATGTATGTCCATATGGAGTTGACAAAACTAGCCATTTGTAGAAGGTAAGTATAAAAGATAATAGGAACACCAAGGGCATGTACACAGAGGAAAGGCCACCTGGGGACACAGCGAGAAGGCACCATCTGCAAGCCAAGAAGAGAGGTCTCAGGGGATACCAAACCTACAGACACCTTGCTTTTGGATTTCTAACCTCTAGAATAGTGAGAAAATAATTTCTGTTGTTTAAAGCAAAACTAGGAATAAAAAAAAGATGACAGGTGCTACAGGAGTTGAGAAGAAAGGGGCTGAGGAAAGAAGAGATTGGAAATGGACTCACCATTCCATTCAGCCCGGATCTGATCTGGATTTAGAGAGGTGAGGATGAGGGGGCTGAGGGACATTTCAGGCAAAGCAGAAAGGGTGGGAAATTCCTGGGTATGTTTAAGGAGTAGTCAGATTTATGCCTAGTTTGCATAGTGGAGTTTATTTTAACCGCAATTTCCTGCATTTCCAGAAGAAAATGGTCTGGAACCTTTAAATGCTGAGAATTTCCCAGTTCTCTTCTTCACTTGTATGTGCAAAATCAGGGAGTACGTGTTTGACAGTGAATAGACATGAGGTCTCCTTTTTTCTAGTGTAAGCTACTTTCCCAGACTCATACTCTTTGCCTGTCATCTCTTAAAAAATCTGAAAAAAGAAAGCTTCATTTGGAAGAAAAGAAATCAAAGCCATTTATACCTTTTCATACTCAGCCTTCCCAGAATTTTCATGTTGACTCATATTTTCGGTAAAACTGGAGTTAAATGTCTGTGCATTTTGCTTTGTGAGAATGGTATTGAAAAGTACATGCAAGTTGAAGAAATTTTGTAATTACAAAGTGTCAGAGCTGGAGAGGCCTCATTACAGATCACTTAGATCATCTAGCCAGTGGTTTTCAAACACTGCATTTTTAAATGTGTATTTGTCCTATTAAATGGAAGCTTTACTCTTAAGACCAAATGCAAGCGACATAAAACCAAGTCCCTCTCCTTAGGCAAATTATCTGAGTCCTTAAAGTTTCTCAGAGCACAGATGAAAAAACACCTGTTTAATCTTATCTGCTTACCTTACAGATAGTAAAATTGAGTCCTAGAAAACAAAGTACCCTTAGAGGATATCATAAGTCCATTATGAGGGCAGGTATGTTCAGGATTCAGCATCTTGGCTGACTCCAAGCTTTTAAATCAGAGATGAATGCAATGAGTTAAGCCATAGTAAGTCTCTATTTCTTCATTCTCCCATCTCCCTTCTCCTAGGGAAAAGAAAGAAAGTCATGTTTCTGAGGCCTGGGAAGCAGAGGACAATGCAAAGGGTATTCACCAGTATTCAGCTGCATCCTCCACTTTCAGGTCCTCTGGGTCCCAGGGTCTGGGCTTCCCCTCACACAGCCCCAAGAGAGCAGGGAGGCTCATAGCTACACGTCCGCTGTGACGAGGCTGCCTTTCAAGGAGCACCAAGCAGCATCAGAATGGGAATGAGAGCAGGAATTCTCATTCTTAAACAAATACTTTGTGCCCTAAAAACAATCAATTTTTACTTTCTGAAAAATTGCTGTTTCTCAGTTCCAAGCCTTGAAATCCTTCTAGTGAATTGGTTCTATTTCATGTAGACAGAAGAAACATATCTAAAATGGACTACAAATGACTCTTCTGATGGAGTATTTCTACTGGCACCTATTATGCCCTCATGCTTCATGGGCAAAGTTGTTACCATGATATGATTACCTTTCAAGTCATGCTGATAGTTTTTGGATTAAATGTACCCGTGGGATAAATGGTGATGTTTAGAACATGGGTGACCCATGCACGTTAGGTGTATTTTGCATAGGCCACAAATTGGTGAACGAAGAACCAAATGTGTGATGTAGATTTGCTTTGTGAGGGGTGTCTGGCATTTTAAAATTTTTGAATGAATTTTTAAGGGATTTCACCTAAAAATTCAGATTTCCTATTTCTCTTCAAAAATCAGAAGACTGGGCAATACTGCCTCCAAAGTCTTAAGGATGACTGACATGATAATGTTTGATCTGAGCTGTGCGGTATCTGGTTCCGTTAGATGAGACATGCATTCCTCAGTTTTCTCTAGTTCCCTATTGTGAAGCCACCACAGGGGCCTGGTGCTTTTTTATAGTATTCAATATTCCTTTGAAGCCATGCTTCTGCTAAAAGTGAAATAAATATTTGGTGTAGAGGGTACATGTTTCTTACATAGAGTCGGGCTAAATACCTGATTTAATTGGCCTTGTGAGCATTTGAGTTTACCGCTCCTGTACAATGTGTAAATGGATAACACGGTGTGGCACTAATTCTGTCATAAACATTTTTCTCATATTTTAGCATCTCTAAAATTGGGAGGCATCTTAGATTTGCTGTCACTGGGCCGCAGCCATGGGGAGTTAAATGGTTGCTGCCTGCAAACTTGGTCATAACTGTTTATGTTGTTATATCAATTGATTTTATGTCTAGTGTTGGAAAGGTGCAACACCAACAAAGGCATTGGTTTTAAGTTACTATTTAAAACATCTTCAATAAGATTATGCCATTACTCAGTATTGACACAAAAAGTGACTTTAATATGCAGAAAGACAGGGAAACAGCAACTTGCCATGACTTTGATATTAGTGAAGCAAAAGTTCCTTGTAGGAGTAATGACTGCATTTCCTTCTTTTCTTGGAAAGAGGATCCAGGTGCTTTAGGAGACCTAAGAAGGGGAAATCTTACAGGTCTATGAGGCTTTGTTACATTTTGTTACTGAGATAAGTGCAAAAGAATTCTTATTACAGGCCAAGCAGTGCAACCAAAGGCAAGAGAAAATGCCAAATAGTTTGTAATAGATAAAAAGAAATGTCCGGACAAAGGCTGTGTGGCCCACCCAGGCTTCACAGAGGACTATCATTAAGGTGTTGCATCTGGGATTGATTGGAAATGTATCCTCTTTTCTGTATTGGTACCATTAAAAAGAACCTGAGCCAGACAGTATTTAAAGCAATTGGAACACGTTTTATTCAGGAGCGATTGCAATATGGGAAAAGAAACCTCAGTATAGGACTGAGCTCAATTCTGAATACAGCAAGGACAAGTGGGGAGGTATAGCTAAGGAACAGGGTAGCGGGGGCGGGAGGGGGGTTCAGTGGATGAAAAATGACTAAGAGGACACATCAAGAGTAGGGGAAGTTTTGATAAACTAACTTAATAGGATTCTTGCTACAACTGGGCTATGCAGGTCCAGCAAAGATGGAAGGAAGGCTGAGACCTTAGGAAGAGGGCTCAGAGGAACCTGACTGAAGTTTGGTCAAGAAGAGTTTTGGTCAGTGCATAAAATAATGGTGCATTTCACCATCCATGATGTCTTAGATTCAATAAATATGATGAAACAAAGCCAGAAAATGGGAAGGCCTTGCTGCCTCTACTAACTATCAACATGGTCGCTTCTGCTACTGTCTATCTGCCTTTTTCAGAATCGCCTCCTCTCTCTTTCTGACTACTGAGTGAAGAAGAAATGGAGGCAAAATGCTTAAATGGCATGACTCTTAGGAAACAGCAAATGCTGCTGCGGTAGAAAATAGAACCAGACACAACAAACCAAGCTGCCTCTAAAATTCTAAAGGCAGACCAACCTAGACCCACACATCTGAGAATTGTCTTCCCAAGTCTTTCCAAGTTTAAAAAAGGACGTTTAATGAAAACCCCAACAGATTCATAGGAAGCCACAGCTGAAGGGCTAGGTGAACTTGGCCTGTTGTCTTACAGGCACCAAAACCTGCTGTTCAGGACAGTGACAAATCCATCCCCTGTCATGTGTTATTACTTATAGTACATGTCATGGGACAAATGTTTGTTATTAACAGAAGTTCCATGGACAAATTTTATCATCCGCTTTCTGGTCCTCTCCAATTTAACAATTTTATATTTTGCCTGCAGGCTAGGAGAGCTGAGTTTATGCCAAAGACATTTCTATTTTAGCTGTCATGCCCCAAAATGAACACTTTGTTTTAAAAAGAACTGGAAAAATAACAGGCAAGAAGAAAAAAGTAATTCCTTTTTTGACATTTTGAAAATAATTTAAAGTTAATTCTAACCAACCAATAGCTGTTTGGTTCAGTTATCTTTCCAGAAAGTGAGATACTGGGTTTAGTATTAGAAACAAATCATCTTTACTTAGCAAAAGGCCCTATTCATAACACACATGTTTAGGGAGTTGTTTAACTTTATTGCTATGCTGAAAGACACCGTGAAATGTCCTAGGGAGGTGTGCATTCATTTGAGTATTTTCTGTTTCTCACATTTATAAGCCATGCTATCAACCAAATAAACTGCTAGCACGGGAATGACCCCCTCATATCACTTTTGGTAAAATTCGTTGAACTCCAGGGTTAATTAGCATATTTTTTACTGGTAAAACAAAGTGGAAATGGCCTTGCCTAAAAATTAACCACCCATACTCCTTTCTTCAGAAGGAACACAAGAGCCAAGGTAAAATGTTACTTTCTCCAGAAAATGTATGCTTTCACTTTTAAATTGCTAAATTATTGTGTTTTGGGGGCTGACATTTTCATACCTTTTACAATTATCTAATGGTGAGATTTTGGTGATTGAATTTTAAAAGTGTAATTACAACATATTTGAAAGCTAAATGATAATCGCCACTGTTACTGCTAGAAATTTTGTACTGAATAGAATTAGAGCTGGAATATGTCAGAAGCTTATTTGGGTGGAGCACATCAACATAGTTTTAATGTTTTAAATCTGGTGTGTTTCCAGAGTTCCCAGGGCAATAAGACAAACTTAATAGGTGAATAACAGTTTACATAGTGTCTGATATTGAGTAGGCACTTGTGAATATTTGTTGAAAAAACTTTGCATATGCATGCACAGATACATGAAATGTGCACACTATCTTTCAATAAAATTCAAAATTAGGACATGTCCCACAAATATTACATTTAATACTACTCAACAAGTGAACTCAATATATTTAGAATAATGATGATAATTATTATAGGTAAGTTATAAATAAATTTTTTTATTATTAACTAACTCTCAACTTCATTTACCTTTTCTGCTGTCATCTCCACCTCAGATAGTACCTTAAGACCTCAGTAATTCTAGAAAATGTCTCTGATAAGAAGGCCACAAGTCATCTCTAGAGCAATTCCTAGACCCAAACTGTGTCAAGTCACAGAGAGCTGCACCTTCATACTCCAAAAGAACAATGACCAAGAAGAATCTTTTCACTGGTTTTATCTGGATGAGAGGAGAAAAGCAAGAAGAAAGATCATTCATTTATTCACTGATATATTCCAGATATTTATAGAGAAGGGGAAAATATATAAAATTTCTGGTGATAGAAGAAAGCCATTTATACAGAAACGTGAGCACCCTGTTGCAACTTTACCTAAACATTCTCACGAACTTCTCAGTGAATTAAAGTTAACTTGATTTGGGAGGAATTTGGAAAAGTTTGAGTCTACGTCATATTGATAGTGGAGACTCACCATGTGGCAAACCAGGTACAGTACAAGGGTGGTCCTCCAAGAGAGACTAACACCAAGATTGCTTAGTTTATTTATTTAGACTAACAAAAAATTCACTCCTTGACCAAATTTGAGTCTGACTCCTCTGAGTCCTCTTTCTATCTAGGTATTGTCCTTGGGCTCTGTCATTGGCCCACTTAGTTCAGTTTTAGCAAGTATTCTGCTAGGTCAGTGATATGGTTTGGCTGTGTCCCCACCCAAATCTCATCATGAATTGTAGCTCCCATAATTCCCATGTGTCATGGGAGGGACCCAGTGGGAGGTAGTTGAATCATGGGGGCAGGTTTTCCCATGCTGTTCTCATGATAGTGAATACGTCTTGCAAGATCTGATGTTTTTATAAGGGGCAGGTCCCCCCCACACACACACTCTTGCCTGCCGCCATGTAAGATGTGACTTTGCTCCTCAGTCACCTTCTGTCATCATTGTTAGGCCTCCCCAGCCATGTGGAACTGTGAGTCCATTAAACTCTTTTTCTTTATAAATTACCCACCCTCAGGTATTTCTTCATAGCAGTATAAAAATAGACTAATACAGTCAGGTTAGTGAAAAATCCCCCACCTTTGGAATCTGATCACCCTCCATGTCTGATCAAATTCCTTATCCTCTCACTCTTGATATCTTATTTCCTTGACCTGTCTTCAGCAAGAATCCTGTGAGTCCAGCTCTCAAGAATCCTCCGGTCTTGATATTTAATCTTGGTAATGTTCCCTCCACTGACCCTGACTCTGTTCCTTGCTATAAATCCCTGCTTGTCTTTGTTATATTTGGAGTTGAGCCCCATCTCTTCTCCCCACTGCAAAACCTTCATTGAAATAATCTCTCTTGAATAACATCTTCCTTACCGTCTTTAACAAACAAGTGTCATGAACAACTTTTTATTTAACAAAGTGTAAATATTACCATAGCTATTTTATAGCCTGTAACTTAAATTGCTAAATCATTAATCCTCTATTAAATTTTAAGTCAATCTAGGCATATAAGAGATGGTACTCTACGACAGTTATAATCTGAATAGTTAGGACCCTATTCACAGATTTATATTTCAGGCAATAGAAATCTCTGTATTGGCATGTCAAAACTAATAATATTTTATTTTATTTTTAATTCTATGTATTTTATTGTATTCATTTATCTATTGACTTGACCAAACTCTCACGGAGATCCATGGCACAAAAATGATTTTAAAAAGAAAACCCTGGATTTATTCTATTGAAATATTTTTTAAAATTCAATAATATACTTTGTTTAACCCAATATGTCTAAAACATTATCATTTCACCATGTACTCAATATAAAAATCATTAATAAAATATTTTACATTTTTTTGCTGTCTTGTTAAAAATATGTTGTTAATTTTACACTTATAGTACATTCCAATTCACACTTGCTACATTTCTGAAATAATCTATAAAAATAACAAATCAGAAAGCCTATGTTCTGTGTGCCTAAGCTTGATAGAACTTTGAAGGGATGTCATATCGGTGACTCTTCCTTTTAAGACAGCATTAGAAGAGATAAGTTGAGAAGACCTGAGAGGAACGTAAAACAAGTTGGCAGGATTTCAATGCGGATGAAAATTTATAGGTTTGCAGTCCAGGACTTTACCAAGTATAGTTCTACAGTAAATCATAGCTGAATTGTTTTCCAATGAAGTTCAAATTTTGAAATTAAAGAGAAATTACAAGTGTTGTTAGATTTAGCTTCTGGAAAATAAATGTTTCAACCATACCTGTTGTATAATGTCATTGACCTCTGTCAATTAATTGGGAGAAAATGGTTTGCCTGTCTGCTTGGTTGTTTAGGGGACTAAAGGTCTAACTATACAACACACCTTGGTGTATGAGCAGAAAATGTGAGCTCTGTATTCTGACTTTGTTGGCTGAGTGGATGTAGAGTTAATGTTTGGTTGACATTTATTGAGCATCTATTTAGCCAGGCACTGTAATAGGGTCTGGGGAGGCTATAAAGGTAAGTGAGAGAATTTCTTCAGATGACTACATTGCTTGGGCATAGAACAGAATCCCTGTTTTTGTAGAATGTGAATATTTTGTTAAATGGCACTTTTATGACTTTAAACAGTTAGTTCTCCTTTTACCCCAATTTCTTATCATCAGGAAATAATTGGATGATCTAGTTTTCCTTTCTTCTAGAGTTTTCCAGAACATTAATATTCCCAAGCACCAAATGTGAGCTCCTTGAGCAGGGCACCACATCAAGAAGCAGCTTTATCATGGTGGCAAGTCCTGAGATGTCAATAAGGCATGGCTTAGGAGGCCTGGAAGGCCCTCTTGACCCAACAGGTTTCTCCCAGTTTGCCCAAGATAGTCACATTACTAAGTAGCAATACATTAGAAATTCATTGGATAAATAAGTATTGATTATACCTCCTAATGACTCTTTGAGCCCACCTTCACTGAGAAAGTAGAAATTTTCACAAGATTGGGGGTAGGTTGAATATGAGCCACTGCAGAAGGTGAGGTGACATGGGGCAGAGCAGATTGAGGTGCGCAGTGCTGCTTGCAGTGTGCAGCATGAAGACCATAAGGCAACCCACTGGCAACCTGAGAAAATTCTGTCCATTTCAAGAGTGGCCTTGTAGAGTAGTGCAGATGGGGTAACTCTTCCAGTTAGAGGAAGGGTGCAGAAGCCAGTGTTGAGAGAGGAGGGATGATGCCCCCTGACCTTGTCCTCAGTAGAGTCCTCTTGCCCGGTGACTCCACATTTAAGCTGATCTCTGGCAGTGCTGCCTCCCTCATTGGACTGACTGTAAATGATGATATGTTGCTTCTGAGAATTCTTCAGAGCACAATGAAATGCAAGCAGCAACATTCAAATAAGATTTTATTAACCACTTACAGATACCTGAAGGTAAAGAGAAATAACAGCATGAAATTAAATAGTTTGGATTTTAAGGAATAAGTACTCTGTCTTCAAGTTGTAGTCCAGCAGCTCCAGGCCAGGTGTGTGGCAGAGGCCATCCTTCTTCCCTGACCTGGGGATGTCCTGTAGCATATTTAGGCCCCTCTAGGCCCATAGAGATGCCAGCCACAAGGGGAAGCCTCAAGAGATAGGAGTTATCATTCCTGTGGACTGTAACTTTCTTAATGGCAGAGATCACATCTGTTTTACTCACATTCTTTCATTGAGGAATTTTTTCACTGAGCATCCACCCTATGCCAGATGCTTGGGATACATCAGGAAGCCAAAGAGACAAAAACAAAACATTTTCAAGTAACAGACAATAAAAAACATTTTTAAAAAGTTTGGTTAGAGTGAAATAAATGCTGCAGAACATGATAGATAGGTAAAGGGGGACTGGAAATTCCAGCGGGGAGTTTGTATGTTTGGGGGTGGGTGGTGGAGTGGGGTGTTTTTGCAATGCAAAATAGGGTGGTAAGAGTAGCCTCATAGCTATAGAAGGTGAAATCTAAGACAAGGTTTGAAAGAGATGCACAGATGAACCACGTCAATATAGAAAGGGAGAGCAGGAGGCAGAGAGAAGAACCAGCACCTTGACCTTAAATTGGTCACTATTAGATAATTAGAGGAAGAGTGCTAATTAGAGGGAGGGTGCAGAGGCTGCCATCAAGGAAAGGATGATCTCAGAGAGGTAGGAGGGATGAGGGGTCATGGGAAACTTAAAGGCCATAATAAGGACTTTGGCTTGTCTTGAGTGAAATGCAGAGCCACTGGAGGGTGTTGAGCAGATGAGTGGTATGATTTGAACTTAAATTTTATCAGAAATACCTGTGGAGTGGTGCTGAGAACGGACTATAGGGAGGCAAGGTGAAAGCTGAGGTGCCAGTATAGAGATGATGGTGGATGAGAGCATGGTGACAGCGGTTAAAGTGGTGGAAAGAAGTCAGACTCTGGATATATTTTGAAGGAAGAGCCAACAGGATTTCCTGATAGATAGGATGTGGACTGTGAAAGGAAGAAAGGCATCAAGTCTTTTGGTTTGTGCAACTGGAAGCATAGAGTTGCCATCAGCTGACACGGGGAGGAGTGGGTTGCATATGGTGGGAAGTTGGAATGTAAGTTTAGTTGTGCACACGTAGAATTAAAGATGTCCATTAGGTACTTTTGTGGAAACACTTAATGGGCAGTTGGATATACAGTTTCTAGTTTTGGGCAATGATTTGGGCTGGAGAACACTGCCGGATAGGTAGTAAGCATTCAATAAATATCCATTGAATGAATGAATGGGCGAATGAATGAATTGAAATTCTGTCTTCCAAGGTTGGATTTTCTGTCTGAGGAACTTCCTTTCCCCAGATAATTGTCACAGAAATACTAACTTTGCTTAGTGGAGACATCAATCCATATAACATCATAAGACCACACTGTCAAAATATAGCAGAGTAAGTCTAACATATGTATGTAGGTACAAATATCTACTCATTTATAAACTGGTTGGGCATGGGTGCATGTGTTGGTTTGGTGGCAGCTGTTATAATTTTTACTAGGTTATTGAATAAGTGACGATTAGAGTGGAGCCAAGGAAAGTGATACGGGTGATCTTAAACACACAGGGTTTCTAAATTTTGCTTAGAATTTCCTTGGAATGGATTTAGAGACCTAAAAACCAGTATCATGAAATCAAAGACCACTAGGACGGCCCATAAATTATTGTTTGACTTGAAATGTTTCCAGTAATTCAGAGAGGGCAGAGGTGAATGTCTAGGTTTCCAATCTTATGATCTAAACTTCCTTCTTTCCCCATTTGCTCCATTTGTTTTTCTAGAAAATTTGTCCCTGTAGGAGGTAGCTGAGCTATTGGAAGAATTTGATCTCAATAAATTACTATAGTAGTAATACTGTAACACATCTTTACTTTTTAAAAACAGAGCTTCCTTATCCAGCCAAAAAGCATGTAGGTCTTTGCATACACAATACATTTCTACAAAAGTAATTAAAACAACATGAAAGAACCATGTTGGTGGAGAGCCTTTTAAACAGCCCAACGAGTTTGTTTATAAATGTGGTTTTCTAGATCATGCTCAGAATTCTTTGCAAATAAATATTTGCATGATATTTTTGTTCAAAGATTAATTTTTCCTGGGATAAAATGGGGTTTTAGAAATATTCTTGTGTTTAGCTTCATATTGCTTTTCAGTGATATTATGGATTTATAGAACTATTTCTATTAAATGGAAATTGTACACTGAGCACAAAATTTTGTGAACTTAATTTGAAATGTGGGCTATATTCAAACTACAGAATGTGCTGTTTTAAATAATTCACAGTAGAGATAGACAAAGACAAAAATACATCTGGACAGCAGTAGTTGAGCTGGCTATTTTAAGAAATCAATCTCAGTGGTAGCAAACTCACTCTCTTTTATGAGATTGTAATTTCTAAAGCACAGTTAATATTGGGCCCTATCACATGCATCTGGGAGTAACTGCACATCTGTGAAATGTTTTTACAAAGATAATTCATCTTTTTCTAAAAAGAGACATAAAATTACTTGTTGGGTGAGGCTATTTATATGCAAAATATTGTTATTTTTTTGCACCCAACCAGGAAAGGGGATTGGTTTGCATCAGGTTCTCCTTGTTTTCCTTCTGTTCTGATTTATTCTTTTGTTTTTATCATAATTATTATCAATAGTAGGGTGTTTTTTTGTTTTTTGTTTTTTTTTTAAAAAAAAAAAACAGGGTCTTGCTATTTTACCCAGGCTGGTCTCAAACTCCTGGCCTCAAACAATCCTGCCTTCTAGCCTTCCAAAGTGCTGAGATTACAGGCATGAGACACCATGCCTGGCCCATCAGTAGTTTTTTTACTTGGTCTAGTGCTTTATATTATTTTAATTCCCAGATGGTCGATTTGCTTATACATCAGTTTTCCTGTGAAATGACTAGAATACTTTGATCTTGGCAACAAGAATTCTTTCAGGTTTACGACATGTTGAATTGAATCTTATCATGAGGGAAGTGAACAAATCAGGAAAACCGAGTAGGTATCGTAGTTGTATTCATCAAAGTACAGCAATTGGAACAAACAATTCAGGCAGTTGACTAGATTCGAACTGTAACATCATTCCAAATATTTATGGTTGTGGATTTAACCTGCAAAAGTTTTGATTCCTAAAATATAAGAGTTTGTAAATAATCTCTGGTTTCCTAAAAAGGAAAATGATATTACAGTACACATACACATATAGATCCTAAAGTAATAAGGGCTGTACTCCAGCACAGTTTAGTTGAACTCAAACAATATTATAAGGTCCTCACTTCAAAGAGGAGCTCAAGAGAGTATGTTTTTAAAAGAAAATCGATCTAATGAATGACTTGTCTCCATTTTTCACAGCTTAATTAAGCTTGGCTTTATCCTTAGAACTTAATGAGAGGGTTCCTTAAAATGTTATCCTGGATTCTTGAGGCTTCTTCAGACTTCCTCAGGCTTCTTCACTGCTTCAGGCCAATTTGGCATCAAGCATCCTTCCAGGATCCCATAGTTCAAGCTCACAGGGTGGGTGTCCTCTGAATAATCAAATTGCTCAGTTAGAAATTTCTCTAGCCTCATGCCTCTTTCCAAGTGGTTCTTTTCTGAAGTAGAGTAAGAAAAAAACTGCCATAGAGAAAGAAATATAATTTATCCTTCCTGCTCTACCTTCTCTCCACTTTTCCTTCTTTGTTCCACTTCAGGGTAAGGCACAAAAGGTACCTGTGCTAGGGTACTAGAGTAAGGGAGAGTAAAAACCCGAAGCAAAGTCAGGAGACACACTGCTTGTCTCTTTTCTGTTTGCTTTGAATACTTATCAGTTCTTCCTCCTGTCTAACTGAAACACTGTACCCTTTGGCCACCAGCTCCTCATTCCCCTGACTCCTCAGCCTCTAGTAACCACCATCTCCACTCTGTTTGACTGTTTTAAATTCCAAATGTAAGTTAGAACATGGTATTTGTCTTTCTGTGCTGGCTTATTTCACTTGGCATAATGTTCTCCAGGTTCATCCATGTTGTCACAGGTGACAGGATTTCCTTCTTTTTTACAGCTGAATAATATTCCTTTGTGTATATACACCACAGTTTCTTTATCCATTCATCCATTGGTGGACACTTAAGTTGATCCCGTAACTTGGCTATTGTGAATAACGCTGCAATAAACATGGCAGTGTGGATGGCTCTTTGATGTACTGATTTCAAATCCTTTGGACATGTCCCCAGAAGTGGGATTGCTGGATCATATGGTAATTCTATTTTTTTTTTTTTTAAGGAACCTGCATGCTATTTCGAATAATGGCTGTATTGATTTACATTCCCACCAGCAGTGTGCTAGGGTTCCCTTTTCCCCACATCCTCACTAACATTCACCTCTCATCTTTTTGGTAATAGCCATTGTGACACTCCCTGTGTCTTTAAAGAACACATCACCTGCAAGCTCCCTGCTCCTTGAGGTGTGTCACTCCAGACGCTGGGTCTCGTGCTATTTGTTACAGTCTTATATCACAGCATATAATGTTTGGAATAGTACATTTAAACAGAAAATTTAACATTTTGAGACGTTTAACAACGAGGTTACTGTTTGTTTGTTTGTTGGAGAACAGTCTATAAAAAACATTTACTTTAGGCCAGGTGCGGTGGCTCATGCCTGTAATTCCAGCACTTTGGGAGGCTGAGGCTGGTGGATCACCTGAGGTCAGGAGTTCGAGACCAGCCTGACCAACATGGCAAAACCCCATCTCTACTAAAAATTTAAAAAATTAGCCGGATATGGTGGTGGGCACCTGTAATCACAACTACACAGGAGGCTGAGGCAGGAGAATTGCTTGAACCCAGGAGGCGGAGGTTGCAGTAAGCCTAGATCGCGTCATTGCACTCCAGGCAACAGAGTGAGTCTCCAACTTAAACAACAACAACAACAAAAAAAAACCCCAAACATTTACTTCATACATTTCTTGGGATAGTTATCCAAGTACATTTTAGCAGCCAGTTGAATTGGCTGGCAGCATAAAGTAAGTATTACCATTGTGTTAGGGTTTATGAGATTGCTAGTTGCAATACCGCTATATTATTCTTCTAGTTAGTTAAGTCATAATCAATTTCTTTACACTTTCTGCTTTATGGAGGCTATTGCTCTGATCTTTGGAGTGAGAGAGAGAGAAAAAGGCCTCGTTCAGTCAGCAGTGGTTGAGTTTTCTGAGTAGGTGGGCCAGCTCGCATCAGGAAGAATGGAAGCAAGCCTCCTGGGATGTGCTGTGTGTGGCTCTGTTCTTACCAGATTACAGTATTTTAGGGACCAGTGGCCACTGCGATCAGGACCAACAGCATTCAACAAGGACCAACTTCTGTGATTTCTCTGCTCTCTAGGCAGAAGTGATGCTGGGTGGGGGTGGGGAAGGTCGGGTGAAACAGGAATGAACTTCTAAACTGCTGTAATCTCTTGAGCAGGGGTGAGCTCACCTGGCAGCAGAGCCCTGGGTGGCAGGAATTCCACAGTGGTGGTCTTCACCTGCCACACTTGTTCTGGCCATCATGACTGACACCTGGATGAGACAGGGAGGTGTCTGTGCTGGAGAACCTGAATGGTTATGTTTTAATATGAACAGTGCAGAAACTGAATGTCTGGATTTCACCATCACATTTGCAGCATCATTAGGACACAAGTTGGTCTCTGAGAGCAAAGCGTACTTGTCAGGGGGAACTGTTCCTTTGCAAAGTACCAGAAAGTGAGATGATGGCAATAAAACTGCAATAAGGGGACAGAGAATACTTTTCACCTCTGCCAAGTTTTCCTAATGCATTCTCTAAAATGCAGATTCTGATTTTCATTAATTCTCTTTATGTAGGCAGAATTTTCCATTATTCCTCAGCAGACAATGCCTTAGTGTATCTCCAGATTTGGAAACATTTCACCTTTAAAATTGTTAATGTGGATTGTGAGAGTGAGAGAATTCTGGTGGTAACCCTTTTTAAAAGGAATATTTTGTTATCCTCCCTACTTTCCCAATCCCAACTGGCATGAGGTGGGCAAAGCCGTCTGCCTACTTGTTGTAAATGTGTACTCCAAATGGACACATTTTCCTAAAGCGGGTTTCCTTGGATAAGATAATCATGCTGATCTTTGTAATGACCAATGGCTAAAGTTCATTTGCAAAAGAAGAAAAAATCATGTAGATATAAATACAGACTCTGATGTATTTATGTGATCATATATTTATATTTAGCTACATGTCACATTTTATGTAGCATTTATTAATTTTAAGAGAGCAAGATACCCACTTCATCTGTATTAATGCCTTATCATTTAGAATATCCACTAGCTTAAGGTACCTTATTCTATTTTATTTTCTATTACCTATTCTCTTGGGAAATGTATTAGATGAAGTGAAGAACAGGAACGGGAGAGAAAAAACTCTCCTAACATGATTGTGATAAACCTCAGGAGCAGTATCATGTTTACTAAGGAGTTTCAGTTTTGCTTGGAAGCCTTCCCCTGTCCATTCTTGGTTATGGGCTTTGGTCCAGTTTCTCAACTAGCCGTGCTGTTAGCAGCAATAACTAAAGAGGAAGAGAAATTACACAGCAGCATCAGCTCTGTGAAATCAGGGCCTAGCACATAGTGGTCACTTAGTACCTGTGTGCTGGATTTGGAAGTGACAAACAATATAGTGCATCCACATTTTGGGGTCAGGATGCTGCCCCTGCAAAGGTCCACTAAGAAGGTAAGGACTGTGTGATGGTCGTGGTAGGGCCAGCAGGTGCCGAGGCAGGGCCAGGTGTCTTGAAAGCAGAAAAAGATGGGAAATGCTCCTATTAAAAGTTAGGGGCAAAAAGAGACTGAATGCTTTCTCTGTATTTTTGCAGATAACCTAGTGTGTAATATAGCACAATATGTCAAAAATCCATTCCCACACCTCCTAAACAGCCATACCCCAGTATTTTAACCAACAACTGAGATCATGTGGGAGTAGAGAGGCTGGTATTAAAAAATATAATATTTGTGGGCTTTTTTTTCTGTAAATAATCTAGTTTTTCAGATAAAATTTGTAATATTATTTTTAATAAATAAAATTGAGTTTCAGTTAGAGTACATCTCTTGTGCATTTATTTCATCTCTGTTTTGAAATAATCATCAAGTGAGGAAGCCTGAGTTTTGTATCAGTTTTTCAGGTGTGTTTTGATGTTATTATAAAAATATGTTTGAAAGGAGCAGAAGAAGATACCTATCATCCTCCAAATATCAGAGATTTGCTGAGCATGACGAGAACAATATTGCATTTTCCTTAAAACGAAGAATGAAAAGATTAAAAGAACATTGTATTTTAGAACCCAACTCCTTTTTAAAATATAAAAAAATGAGATTGTTTGCCAGACTATATAGGGTCCATGGAAAAACTACCACCATAGCCAGATCTGAGAAGAAACCCAAGGATCTAGAGTGAGAGAGTGAAAAACAACTCATAATGTTTGGACTGAGGGTTAAAGAAGGAAAAATCCACAATCAAGGTGTGATTCCAGGAGAGAAGGAGTGAGACGGCCGTCAACAAGAAAGCTGGCTTATTGCAGAGCAGGAACTTGGCAGGAGCGAATGGTAATACAGACACACTATCTTATCTTCTCCCGAGAAAGGCCTCCAGCTCTGAGCCTAATCCTTTTGGCAAGGGAGAATCAGGAAGCTTAAGATTTTATAGCCTTGCTGGGCTCTCCCTGTACCTATTTGGAAGATAAACAAATAACTCCAAGGCTTTTCATCACCCTTTAGCCTAAATAAGGAGTACATTTCTCCAGATAGATGGCTATTTTCAAGCCAAAAATGAGAGAGCAGGAACACATCCACTGTGGAAAGAGATAAGAGCTGTTCTGCTTAGACAGCAGAAGATCTGGAGACACCAAATCCCAGGCCAGATTTCACCGTGAGGAGTCTGGGGAAAATTTCCAATCTTTTGGGGATAAGAGACTGTAACTAATTCCCTTGGCAAATGGAGTTACGTGGGAAATAATCTTCAGTGACAAAGTCATCTTAAAATGATCTAAAATGACAATTGTCTGCATTTAATATTTTTTATCACTTACTACTTGATTAACCAAAGGTTTGGCACAACATTATGTGGTTTTGAAAGTGATGTGGCCAAAAAGAGAGGTAATTTTTTTATAAAGATATAGCCTGGTGTAGCAGAAGGATCATGGCTTTGGGAGCTAAAGATGTGGGCTTGTGTCTGAAGTCTTCATCTTGCTTCCTTTGTGATCTTATTACAAGTTACTTACTCTCTCTAAGTCCCAGATATTGTTTTCATCTGATGATAATGATAACCTACTTATTCTTTTGTGGTGGGGATTAGATAAGATACTAAGAATAGACATATATTAAATGATGTCACCTAATAGCATGTTTTGGATACTTGGAACGTAATCTGAATCCTGAAATTCCTTTTTTTTTTATTATTATACTTTAAGTTCTAGGGTATATGTGCACAACGTGCAGGTTTATTACATAGGTATACATGTGCCATGTTGATTTGCTGCACCCGTCAACTCATCATTTACATTAGATATTTCTCCTAATGCTATCCCTCCCCCAGGCCCCCACCCCCCGACAGGCCCTGGTGTGTGACGTTCCCCGCCCTGTGTCCAAGTTTTCTCATTGTTCAATGAGTGAGAACATGTGGTGTTTGGTTTTCTGTCCTTGTGATAGTTTGCTCAGATTGATGGTTTCCAGCTTCATCCATGCCCCTGAAAAGGAGATGAACTCATCCTTTTTTATGGCTGCATAGTATTCCATGGTGTATATGTGCCACATTTTCTTAATCCAGTCTATCATTGTTGGACATTTGGGTTGGTTCCAAGTCTTTGCTATTGTGAATAGTTCCACAATAAACATATGTGTGCATGTGTCTTTATAGTAGCATGATTTATAATCCTTTCGGTATATACCCAGTAATGGGATTGCTGGGTCAAATGGTATTTCTAGTTCTAGATCCTTGAGGAATCGCTACACTGTCTTCCACAATTGTTGAACTAATTCACACTCCCACCAACAGTGTAAAAGCGTTCGTATTTCTCCATATCCTCTCCAGCATCTGTTGTTTCCTGACTTTTTTTTTTCTTTTTTTGAGACGGAGTCTCACTCTGTTGCCCAGGCCGGAGTGCAGTGGCGCCATCTCGGCTCACTGCAAACTCCGCCTCCTGGGTTCATGCCATTCTCCTGCCTCAGCCTCCTGAGTAGCTGGGACTACAGGTGCCTGCCACCACGCCTGGATAATTTTTTTGTATTTTTAATAGAGACGGGGTTTCATCCTGTTAGCCAGGATGGTCTTGATCCCCTGACCTTGTGATATGCCCACCTCGGCCTCCCAAAGTGCTGGGATTACAGGCATAAGCCACTGTACCCAGCCTGTTTCCTGACTTTTTAATGATCGCCATTCTAACTGGTGTGAGATGGTATCTCATTGTGGTTTTGATTTGCATTTCTCTGATGGCCAGTGATGGTGAGCATTTTTTCATGTGTCTGTTGGCTGCATAAATGTCTTCTTTTGAGAAGTGTCTGTTCATATCCTTTGCCCACTTTTTGATGGGATTGTTTGTTTTTTCTTGTAAATTTGTTTAAGTTCTTTGTAGATTCTGGATATTAGCCCTTTGTCAGATGGGAAGATTGCAAAAATTTTCTCCCATTCTGTAGGTTGCTTGTTCACTCTGATGGTAGTTTGTTTTGCTGTGCAGAAGCTCCTTAGTTTAATAAGATCCCATTTGTCTATTTTGGCTTTTGTTGCCATTGCTTTTGGTGTTTTAGTCATGAAGTCTTTGCCCATGCCTATGTCCTGAATGGTATTGCCTAGGTTTTCTTCTAGGGTTGTTATGATTTCAGGTCTAACATGTAAGTTTTTAATCCATCTTGAATTAATTTTTGTATAAGGTGTAAGGAAGGGATCCAGTTTCAGCTTTCTACATATGGCTAGCCAGTGCTATGAATTTCCCTCTACACACTGCTTTAGATGTGTCCCAGCGATTCTGGTACATTGTGTCTTTGTTCTCATTGGTTTCAAAGAACATTTTTGTTTCTTTTCTTTTTCTTTTTTTTGGATGAAGTCTCGCTCTGTCATCTAGGCTGGAGTGCAGTGGCACGATCTCCACTCACTGCAAGCTCCGCCTCCCGGGTTCATGCCATTCTCCTGCCCCAGCCTCCTGAGTAGCTGGAACTACAGGCACCCACCATCACGCCTGGCTAATTTTTTGTATATTTAGTAGAGATGGGGTTTCACCGTGTTAGCCAGGATGGTCTCAATCTCCTGACCTCGTGATCCACCTGCCTGGACCTCCCAAAGTGCTGGGATTACAGGCGTGAGCCACTGCGCACAGCCAGAACATCTTTATTTCTGCCTTCATTTCGTTATTTACCCAGTAGTTGTTCAGGAGCAGGTTGTTCAGTTTCCATGTAGTTGTGTGGTTTTGAGTGAGCTTCTTAATCCTGAGTTATAATTTGATTGCACTGTGGTCTGAGATAGTTTGTTGTGATTTCTGTTCTTTTACATTTGCTGAGGAGTGCTTTACTGCCAATTATGTGGTCAATTTTAGAATAAGTGCGATGTGATGCTGAGAAGAATGTATATTCTGTTGATTTGGGGTGGAGAGTTCTGTAGATGTCTATTAGGTCTGCTTGGTGCATAGCTGAATTCAAGTCCTGGCTATCCTTGTTAACTTTCTGTCTCGTTGATCTGTCTAATGTTGACAGTGGGGTGTTAGAGTCTCCCATTACTATTGTGTGGGAGTCTAAGTCTCTTTCTAGGTCTCTAAGGACTTGCTTTATGAATCTGGGTGCTCCTGTATTGGGTGCATATATATTTAGGATAGTTAGCTCTTCTTGTTGAATTGATCCCTTTACCATTATGTAATGGCCTTCTTTGTCTCTTTTGATCTTTGTTGGTTTAAAGTCTGTTTTATCAGAGACTAGGATTGCAACCCCTGCTTTTTTTTTTTGCTTTCCATTTGCTTGGTAGATCTTTCTCCATCCCTTTATTTTGAGCCTACATGTGTCTCTGCATGTGAGATGGTCTCCTGAATACAGCACACTGATGGGTCCTGATGGGTCTTGACTCTTTATACAATTTGCCAGTCTGTTTCTTTTAATTGGGGCATTTAGCCCATTTACATTTAAGGTTAATATTGTTATGTGTGAATTTGATCCTGTCATTATGATGTTAGCTGGTTATTTTGCCCATTAATTGATGCAGTTTCTTCATAGTGTCTACGGTCTTCACAATTTGGTATGTTTTTGCAGTGGCTGGTACTGGTTGTTCTTTCCATGTTTAGTGTTTCCTTCAGGAGCTGTTGTAAGGCAGGCCTGGTGGTGACAAAATCTCTCAGCATTTGCTTGTCTGTAAAGGATTTTATTTCTCCTTCACTTATGAAGCTTAGTTTGGCTGAATATGAAATTCTGGGTTGAAAATTCTTTTCTTTAAGAATGTTGAATATTGGCCCCCACTCTCTTCTGGCTTGTAGGGTTTCTGCCGAGAGATCAGCTGTTAGTCTGATGGGCTTCCCTTTGTGGGTAACCCGACCTTTCTCTCTGGCTGCCCTTAACATTTTTTCCTTCATTCCAACCTTGGCAAATCTGATGATTATGTGTCTTGGGGTTGCTTTTCTTGAGGAGTATCTTTGTGATGTTCTCTGTATTTCCTGAATTTGAATGTTGGCCTGCCTTGCTATGTTGGGGAAGTTCTAGATAATATCCTGCAGAGTGTTTTCCAACTTGGTTCCATTCTCCCCGTCACTTTCAGGCACACCAATCCGACATAGATTTGGTCTTTTCACATAGTCCCATATTTCTTGGAGGCTTTGTTTGTTTCCTTTTACTCTTTTTTCTCTAAACTTGTCTTCTCACTTTATTTCATTAATTTGATCTTCAATCACTGTTACCTTTTCTTCCACTTGATCGAATCTGCTATTGAAGCTTGTGCAGGCATCATGAAGTTCTTGTGCTATGGTTTTCAGCTCCATTAGGTCATTTAAGGTCTTCTCTATACTGTTTATTTTAGTCAGCCATTCATCTAACCTTTTTTTCAAGGTTTTTAGCTTCCTTGCAATGGGTTAGAACATGCTCCTTTAGCTCAGAGAAGTTTGTTATTACTGACTTTCTGAAGCCTACTTGTGTCAACTCATCAAAGTCATTCTCCATCTAGCTTTGTTCTGTAGCTGGCGAGGAGCTGTGATCCTTTGGAGGAGAAGAGGCACTCTGGTTTTTAGAATTTTCAGCTTTTCTGTTCTGGTTTCTCCCCATCTTTGCAGTTTTATCTACCTTTGGTCTTTGATGTTGGTGACCTACAGATGGAGTCTTGGTATAGATGTCCTTTTTGTTGATGTTAATGCTATTCCTTTCTGTTTGTTAGTTTTTCTTCTAACAGTCAGATCCCTCAGCTGCAGGTCTGTTGGAGTTTGCTGGAGGTCTGCTCCAGACCCTGTTTGCCTGGGTATCACCAATGGAGGCTGAAGAACAGCAAATGTTGCAGAACAGTAAATATTGCTGCCTGATCCTTCCTCTGGAAGCTTCATCCCAGAGGGTCACCCGCCTATATGAGGTGTCTGTCGGCCCCTACTGGGAGGTGTCTCCCAGTTATGCTACACAGGGGTCGGGGATCCACTTGAGGAGGCAGTCTGTCTGTTCTCAGAGATCAAACACCGTGCTGGGAGAACCACTGCTCTTTTCAGAGCTGTCAGGGAGGTTTAAGTCTGCAGAAGTCTACTGCCTTTTGTTCAGCTATGCCCTACCCACAGAGGTGGAGTCTATAGAGGCAGTAGGCCTTGCTGAACTGCGGTGGGCTCCACCCTGTTCAAGCTTCCTGGCTGCTTCGTTCACCTACTCAAACCTCAGCAATGGCAGATGTCCCTCCCCCAGCCAGGCTGCCGCCTCACAGTTCAATCTCAGACTGCTGTGCTAGCAGTGAGCAAGGCTCCGTGGGTGTGGGACCCACTGAGCCAGGAACGGGAGAGAATCTCCTTGTCTGCTGGTTGCTAAGACCTTGGGAAAAGTGTAGTATTTGGGTGAAATTGTCCTGTTTTTCCAAGTACAGTCTGTCATGGCTTCCCTTGGCTAGGAAAGGGAAATCCCCAGATCCCTTGCACTTCCCGGGTGAGGCGACACCCCACCCTGCTTTGGCTCACCCTCTATGGGATGCACCCACTGTCCAACCAGTCCCAATAAGATGAACCAGGTATCTCAGTTGGAAATGCAGAAATCACCCATCTTCTATGTTGATCACGCTGGGAGCTGCAGACCAAAGCTGTTCCTATTTGGCCACCTTGGAAAGGAGGTGAATCCTGACATTCTTTTGGAAATGTTCTGAAATGATTTCTTTTTCTTCATCTTAGATATAGAATTGGTGGGGGGGGGGCGGGATATGAGCAAGAATGAAATAATGGGTACTGTGTTCCTGGCTTTAGAGAATTATCTTTAAATAAAAATACAACATGAAAGTCCTGATTTATTTTTATTTCTTTTATGTTTGAGATGAAGTTTTGCTCTTGTTGCCCAGGTTGGAGTGCAGTGGGGCAATCTCGGCTCACTGTAACCTCTGCCTTCCAGGTTCAAGCGATTTTCCTGCCTCAGCCTCCCGAGCAGCTGGGATTATAGATGCACACTATCACACCCGGATAATTTTTGTATTTTTGGTAGAGATGGGTTTTTACCGTATTGGCCAGGCTGGTCTTGAACTCCTGAACTCAGGTGGTGCACCTGCCTCGGCCTCCCAAAGTGCCAGGATTATAGGCGTGAGCCACTGCACCTGGCCAGAAAGTCCTGATTTAAATAATAAAGTTCAAGAGTGTGTCCTCTGCCATCCTCGATTTACTAGCTTGCTCTGCTTTAGTGTATCCATCTCTAAAATGGGAATATTATTACTTACAGTTATAAATAGCTGTAACAGAGCATACAGTAATGGTCCTTGAGCTTCTCAGTGTCAGAAGATTCATGTTTTAAACATTTTAAATTCTTCTGCTTATCTATAGCACTCAAGAACATAAAGTGCTTTGAAATAGTCCAATAAAAAGGCCAGGTTTTTTCCTGCTATAGATATGTGGGATGAGGTACATTCAAGTGGTAAATCAGTGACACCCAGTGGCTGCTGCTTTTATATTTAGTTTTTAAATTTTCAATTTAACTTTCTAAAGTTCTGTCCCAAAACAAATGAAAGAAGATGATGAGAGCATGGAAGTTATAGATGCCTTTAAAGAAAGAGTTTCTCAGCAGTGATATGATTTTCCTAGGACATGAGAGCTATTGAATAGCAATACCAAAAATAGAGAGAGTGCAGGACAGTGGAAAACGGTTCTGGGAATTTCCAGCCCCATCATTTGCATGCTATTAAAGAGTGTACTCAAGCTTTCCTGTCACTGTTGGATTTCCCAAGAAACATTCTCATCCTTGAAGTGGCATGTTAACTGCCCAAATCCAGCGAAATCCTTATGTGTTAGAGACAGTTGGGAACATTCACTGGATATTAGACTTCCTAGGTGTAAGCAAGACTTAACTGGAGGTTTAATCCATAGCCCGCACCAAAACTCCCCTCAGTCGTAATATGACTCGCTGTAACTGCCTCAAATCCCCACACACATGAAGTTGAGTAGATTAGCATAATAGAACATGCCGGGCTCAAATCCCAGCTTGCACACTCTGTGGTTGGAGTCTCTTAAGTCACTTAAACCTCTTGGAGCCCTCAGTTGTCCTTCTGTATAATAAAGAATAAAGGCGATAATACTTAACTCATGGGTTAATAAAAAAATATTAGGTTGGTGCAAAAGTAATTGCGTTTTTTTCTCTTCCTTTCTTCCTTTCTTCCTCTCTTCCTCCCTTACTCCCTTCCTTCCTTCTCTCTCTCTCTTTTTGATGGAGTTTCACTCTTGTTGCCCAGACTGGAGTGCAATGGCACCATCTCACTCACTGCAACCTCCACCTCTTGGGTTCAGGCAATTCTCCTGTCTCAGCCTCCAGAGTAGCTGGGATTACAGGCGCCTGCCACCATGCCCGGCTAATTTTTATATTTTTAGTAGAGACGGGGTTTCACCATGTTGGCCAGGCTGGTCTTGAACTCCTGACCTCAGGTGATGCACCTGCCTCAGCCTTCCAAAGTGCTAGGATTACAGGCGTGAGTTACCATGCTTGGCTTGCCATTATTTCAATGACAAACATCTCAGTAACTTTTGCACCAACCTAATAATACATGTAAAGTGGTGGTCATATTACAGGCACTCATCATTGTCCTGATTTGTATCAGCTGACATTCTCTGTTGACCTAGATGCACAATGGCTGCTGAGCAAAACCCTTCTCTGAAACTGGATGAGTCTATTGCACTTTTTAGGTGTTCTGTGATCTGACTCCTCTCTGAGGTAACAGCTTGGATGGAAATGTACTCATTGTCATTTTTTATAATTAGAGAGTGGGACTATTTTCCATATATGACTAGTGTTGCTAAAGTACTTAGGATTTTCTGGATGAAGGACTCTGGAGAAATACTGTATTTAAAAATTCTTAGCTAATAACTTACATTTTAAGGATTAGTATTTTTTCCACATAAAACATTAAAGAAGTTTTAATAGCACAGAGATATGCTAAGTAAGGCAATTAGGTAACAGAGTTTATTAAAAACTACACAAAGGGTACATTAAAACAAAAGGCTCTAGTGCTTAGTTGCTGCTCCTTTTAATTGCTAGATAAATATCTTCAATAACTAGGTTATTAAACTATATACATAGAAATATGGTAGTAATATTTTTAAAAGATGACCTTTTTCTACATTAGTTAAAAAAGTGGAATGGTTAAGATGCCAGGCCTTGCAGCTAGGTGGACTTGAACTTGAATCTTGGATTTTTCCACTTACTGGTTTACTTAGATTCTTTAAGCTTTAGTTTATATAAACAATATAAAATTATGTAGTTTTATGTCATCGATAGAAGGTTGGGAAGAGTGAAGGAGAGCAAGTATGGGAAATACTTAGTATCTGGCACACAGGAAGCACTCAATATGGAAAGTGGAAAAATAGGAACTGCATAGAACAGAGGCTCTTAACCTTATCTGATTCCAACCCTACATAACAAATATTTATTTATATATTTTTACTTGACAAAAATTGTGTATACCTATGGTATCTAGCATGATGTTTTGATAAATGTGCACATTGTGGAATGGCTAAATCAGGCTCTTTAACATATGCATGACATCACATATGTATTTTTTGTGGTAAGTGCTTGAAGTCTTCTTGCAATTTTCAAGTATACAATATATTGTTATTAACTATAGACACCATGATGTTCAATAGGTCTCTTGAACTCATTCCTCCTGTGTAACTGGAAATTTTGTGTCTGTTGACCAATGTTTCCCCAAATCCTTTCTCCCCCAACAAATAGTTTTATATTTTCTTTTCCCTTTACTATCTTAGAAAGAAATTTTAGAGCTAACACAAGATACTACATTATTTAAATTCGAGCACATTAGAGTGCTCTAATTATAACATAAAGGAGAAATAGAGGAAATTGGCAAATGGTGAAATCATAATATGCATTTCATGATAATTGGCAAATGGTGAACTAATAAGCATTTCAACATAATGCTTGGATACAAATGACACCAGAAGACAAAATACTTGTGCTTCCACAGTCATCCTGAGTATGGCAACTAGCCATGCAGAGCTATCCAGCTATGTGACTCAACAAAAAGTAGAACCTTGGTGACTTTTTCAAATAGGAAAAAACCCTTGGTAATATATCAAACAAGGCATAGTGATATTCCCTCACATATGTGGTAGGTGCATTACTGGGAATTTTATATTGGTTTATACAAACTAAATGTATCGTTTATATTTAAACCATACAGAAGCACCATTAGAGTTAAGGTTCTAAGCTAAAAAAGTTATAATCAGATTTTTTGGCCTACACAAACTTGGGATGGAATGATTTTTCATTGTGGGACTGTCTCCTTCATTACACCATGTTGATAATTCTGGACCCCCATCTACTAAATACCAATAGCCCCTACCCTCTAAATCTTAACCAAAAGTAACCCCACAGCTTTCCAAAAATACCTCCTAGTGGGATATGCTACTCTCTTTAGGAATCAATGGCCCAGAGAGGCATTGAATCTCAAAGCTGATTTTCTTAACTTCTTAAACAAGCCAAAGGTTTTGAAATCCAGGCTGTGGGGAGTGAGACTGAGGAATTCCTTTTTTTTTTTTTTTAACTTTTATTTTAAGTCCAGGGGTACATATTCAGGTTTGTTATGTAGGTAAACTCATGTCGTGGGGGTTTGTTGTACAGATTATTTCCCCATCCCAGTGTTAAGCCTAGTACCCATTACTTATCTTTCCTGGTCCTCTTCCTCCTCCGACCCTCCAACCTCTGGTAGGCCCGAGTGTCTGTTGTTTCCCTCTTTGTGTCCATGTGTTCTTGTCATTTAGCTCCCACTTATAAGTGAGAACATGCGGTATTTCATTTTCGGCTCCTGCATTAGTTTTCTAAGGAAAATGGCCTCTAGCTCCATCCACGTCCCTGCAAAGGACTTGATCTCATTCTTTTTTATGGCTCCGTAGTAGTTCATGGTGTATATGTACCACATTTCCTTTATCTAATCTTTTATTGGTGGGCATTTAGGTTGATTCCATGTCTTTGCTATTGTAAATAGTGCTACAGTGAACATTCATGTGCATGTGTCTTTATGGTAGAATGATCTATATTCCTTCAGATATATACCCAGTAATGGGATTGCTGGGTCAAATGTTAGTTCAGTTTTTAGCCCTTTGAGGAATCGCCACACTGCTTTCCACAGTGGTTGAACTAATTTATCCTCCCACCAACAGTGTATAAGCATTCCTTTTTTTCCACAACCTCGCCAGCATCTGTTACTTTTTTGACTTTTTAATAATAGCCATTCTGACTGGTGTGAGATGGCATCTCATTGTTTTGATTTGCATTTCTCTAGTGATCAGTGATGTCGAACATTTTTTCATATGCTTGTTGGCCACATGTATGTCTTCTTTTGAAAAGTATCTGTTTATGTTCTTGGCCCACTTTTGAATGCAGTTGTTTGTTTTTTCTCTTGTAAGTGTATTTAAGTTCATTATAGATGCTGGATATTAGACCTTTGTCAGATGCATAGTTTGCAAATATTTTCTCCCGTTCTGTAGCTTGTCTGTTTACACTGTTGATAGTTTCTTTTGCTGTGCAGAAGCTCTTTAGTTTAATTACATCCAATTTGTCAATTTTTGCTTTTGTTGCAAAAGCTTTTGTTGTCTTTGTCATGAAATCTTTGTCCAGGATGGCACTGCCTAGGTTGTCTTTCAGGATTTTTGTTTTTTGGGGGTTTTACATATAAGGTTTAATCCATCTTGAGTTAATTTTTGTATATGGCATAAGGAAGGGCCCTAGTTTCAATCTTTTGCATATGGCTAGCCAGTTACCCCAGCACCATTTATTGAATAGGGCATTTTTTCTATTTTTGTTTTGGTTGTTTTTCTATTGCTTGTTTTTGTCAACCTTCTCAAAGATCAGATGGTTGTAGATGTGTGGCCTTATTTCTAGACTCTCTATTCTGTTACATTGGTCTAGGTACCTCTTTTTGTTCTAGTACCGTGTTGTTTTGGTTATTGTAGCCCTGTAGTATAGTTTGAAGTTGGACAGTGTGACATCTCCAGCTTTGTTCTTTTTGCTTAGGATTTCCTTGGCTATTTGGGCTCTTTTTTAGTTCCATATGAATTTTAAAGTAGTTTTTTCTAGTTCTGTGAAGAATGGTATTGGTAGTTTGACAGGAATAGCATTGCATCTATAAGTTGTTTTGGATAGTATGGCCATTTTAATGATATTGATTCTTCCTATCCATGAGCATGAAATGTTTTTCCATTTGTTTGTGTCATCTCTGATTTCTTTGAGCAGTGGTTTGTGATTCTCATTGTAGAGATCTTTCACCTGGTTGGCTGTATTCCTATGTATTTTATTATGTTTGTGGCAATTGTGAATGGAATTGCATTCCGGATTTGGCTCTCAGCTTAGCTATTGTTGGTGTATAGGGATGTTAGTGACTTTTGTATTTTGATTTTGTATCCTGAGACTTTGCTGAAGTTGTTTATCAGCTGAAGGAGCCTTTGGGCCAGGGCTATGGGGTTTTCTAGATATAGAATCATGTCATCTGTAAACAACAATAGTTTGACTTCCTCTCTTCCTATTTGGATGTCCTTTATTTCTTTCTCTCGCCTTACTGCTCTGGCCAGGACTTCCAATACTATGTTGAATAGGAGTGGTGAGAGAGAGCATTCTTGTCTTGTGCTGATTTTCAAGGGGAATGCTTCTAGCTTGCTCATTCAGTATGATGTTGGCTGTAGGTTTGTCATAGATGGTTTTTATTATTTTGAGGTATGTTACTTCAATACCTAGTTTGTTGAGAGTTTTTATCATAAAGGGTGTTGAATTTTATCAAAAGCCTTTTCTGCATCTATTAAGATAATTATGTGGTTTTTGTCTTTAGTTCTGTTTATGTGATGAATCACATTTATTGATTTGCATAATCCCTGCATCTCAGGGATAAAGCCTACTTGATCATGGTGGATTAGTTTTTCTATGTGATTCTAGATTCAGTGTGCCAGTATTTTGTTGAGGATTTTTGCATTGATGTTCATCAAGGATATTGGCCTGAAGCTTTCTTTATTTGTTGTGTCTCTGCCAGGTGAGGTATTTCTAATAACCAAGATTCTTTGAAATTTCAAGAGGAAAGACTGGCAGTTTGTGGAGTTTACCTAAGGGAATCCTTGCCTAACTCTCCCCCTACCAGGAGAATGTTAGAAGGAGAGAAAAATGAGAGAGGCTGGGTGAGACATACATGTCCCCATTTTTCCTCTTTCTGGTCAGGAGCCAAGGGAGGAGAGGTGTTGGGTCGAAGGATGAGAAAAATTTGCCCAGTTTGGAACCCTGTAAGGAGCTTCTGTATAGAGTGACCACCTCAACATGGGATGGTGGAGGGGGCAGGATGGTCGCAGCTGAGCACTGAGTAGCAGAACAGGATTGAGCAGAAGAAGGGCCAGGTTTAGCTTTCCCAGGTATTTTTGACACCTCTGGGATGTGAATGGAACTCAAACAAGCCCACAGGCCTCCAAGGAGAGCCAGTAAATGGGCCAGGGATCTGTAAAAGGAGAAGGGTAAGGGATGCCCTCACAGCTGAGTGCACAGCCTAGGCCAAGGGCAGAGGGAAGAGGAGGGGCAGACTCTGACAGGCTGCAGCACTTCCTCATGGCAAACCCAAGCCTGGAACATGAGGAGGCTCCACAGAATCCCACACATGAAGCCAGGAAACGCAGCAGCCTTTCAGTAACAGATGTCAGCAGGAAGCCCAGAGATGGACTCGTCACAATTTAGTGTTTAAATCCAGCCTGAACAAGTCACTGTGCCTAAGGGGCCAATGAGGGTCCAGAGGATACCTCTTGTCTCCTCTGTCACCATCTGATCATATAAGCCACACTCTTTGCTGATAAAGCCAGAGATGATCTAGAGTGACATTTAAGAGACTGAACTTGACCTCATTCATGACCTCAGAGATGGAGCATTTACCAAAGGGATATTTTAAATTATTGAGTCAGACTATATTAAGTTTTTTTCCCTTTCATTATCCATCAGGTAGAGGCTTATGAGAAAGATAGACTCAATTATAAGGAGGAAGTGGAAATCTGTACTTTCTTTACACATATTTATAGTGTGAATAAATTTGTGATTTTCTATGCTATTATTAACCAAGGGTTTACACCCAGGATCTAGACATGACACGCTGGTAGTGCTTTTTGATGAGAGATGGTTTTGACATTACATATTATAGTGGCTTCATTCACAATGTCAAGCCTAACTCACACTTGTGTTTGGCATTTATCTCATTAACAAACAAAATTAGCCCAGTAATTTTCACTGGCAAATTAAGAGACCATGGGACTTTTGTAGGAAAACAGGGTGTCAATTTTAAAATATTACTTTTAGGTAAGTTGCACTTGAATCTCATAAAATTTACCTTTCGCCCTGATTTGATATGATCAAATAATATTTGGTTATTTGATAGTATTAATACATGGCAATTTTTAAAACATCGCTCCTAACCAGTTTTAGAATTTCCTCTCACTCATCTTTTAAGGAAAATAGTTCTGTGATTTGTTCATGGCCAATGTTAAAGGGTCAGGTAGCACTATAGATTAAGGGAGGCAGAAAATTTACAGAGAAAAAACTATTTCCATTGTTATGAATTTAATGTTGGAAAAAACAATTTCCATAGTTATGAATTCAATGTAGCTCCGCGCCCCCCACCCACCAAATCAAATGCCTATGGCTCACACGGTTTTCACGTGTGTTCTACATTTCTCGTTGAGTCACAGACGGGAGCAGTGAACCCTGAGGAAACTCAGTACACATTCTAAGGACAGTCACGCCAGAAGCTTGCCTCCCCAGGCTTCATGCAGCCCCAGTGAGTCAGGCAGAACTTTCCCAGCAAAGCAGCCTGTGTGTCACAGTGGACCAAGGCGAGCTCCTGCTGTTATAAATAGATTCTTAGTGGGACTGGGAAGGGCATGGAGACACCAGAAAATATAGCAGTTCTGGGTGGGGTGGCAGACTGAGGACAGAAAGTGGTAACAGACTATGATGCAAGTTAAATTGATGCCAGAACCTAGGCTTCTGCTATTAACAGTGTTTCCTTTCTCAGAAGGGACTAACTGGGCAGTTCTTTGGCTCCAACTGACTTCTACCCCCCTTGCTAAATCATTTGATTTCTGCTGGCTCGCACCCTCTTTGCTTCTTCCTGGCAAGCTCTTGGGCTGATTTCCAATCGCTTCCCCTTGTGGGTACCCTTTTCCAGGGTTACTTGAGGTCGTGCAGTTGTTTTGTTTCTTCACAGACTTTTAGGCAAAGTTATTCCACATGGCTCTTTAAAGGCCACCCAAACTACAAATTTCTTAAAAATATATGTGCATATACATGGGGAAAAATCATAAATTTGAGTAAAAATGTTCATTATAAAACAAAGCTAAAAAAAAAAAGCCAGTGGCCCCCACACCAAATCTGAATAGACTACATGGTCCAAATTTTGTATTATAACCTTATAGGAATAGATTATGTTTACATTACTATACAAATGCATAGACAAAACTACAATAGCAATATAAAACCTGGAAGGAAATATAAGAAAATATTTATAGGAATCTACCTCATGTAGTACAATTATAAATTATTTTTATGGTTTTCATTATAATTTTCTTCACTTTCAAATTTCTATAATGGTATATATAAGTTTTATAGTAAAAACTATTTAAAAACCACCAGTTGTTTTTTTTTGTTTCCATTTTTACATCAGCTAGTACATACAGTTTTCTAAAACAGCAATAGCTGTGTGCAGCTGGTGGTATATGGTGGGTGGGGTGGGTGTAATATAGGAAGAGGAATGTAGAAAAGAACAGTATGTTCAGAAGAAATGAATTGAGGCTCTTGCTTTAGACATAAAGTATTTTACACAAATTGCCCAAGACTTCTCATTTACAGTCGGTCACAAGCTATAGTGAATATTGGCTGGGTTTTGGCAATGCTGAATGCAATTTTGCCTTTCTTTTCTTTCCTTTTCTTTCTTTTCTTTTCTTTCTTTCTTTTTCTTTTCTTTTTTTTTCTTTTTTTCTTTTTCTTTTTTTTTTTTTGAGATAGAGTGTCGCTCTGTCACCCAGGCTGGAGTGCAATGGCACGATCTCGGCTCACCACAACTTCTGCCTCCCGGGTTCAAGTGATTCTCCTGCCTGAGCCTCCTAAGTAGCTAGGATTACAGGTGTCCACCACCACACCTGGCTAATTTTTTTATTTTTAGTAGAGATGGGGTTTCGTCATGTTGGCCAGGCTGGTCTCAAACTCCTGACCTCAAGTGATCTGCCCTCCTCGGCCTCCCAAAGTGCTGGGATTACAGCCGTGAGCCACTGAGCCTGGCCAATTTTGCCTTTCTAACAACAATTTTCTTTTCAGAAATTAGTTCTCACCCAGTCTAGTTTAACTGTTATCAGGAGCCCCATACTTACTTAGACTGGGGACAGATACACAACCCAAGTCTAGTTATTGAAATGTTCTTTTTGCTGTGAATTTGAACTATGAATAGAGAGACAAAAGAACTGAAAAACTGATTGTAACTCCATTAGGTCCTGGCAGCACCTTGTCATTCCCGCTACCTTGTCCAGGGCCTGCCTTGCTATGTGCCTGTTCCCAAGTCTAACTAAATTCCCTGCTGCTTAAGTTAATCAGAATCAGTTTCTTTTGCTCATGCCTGTGTCATACAGTTATTTTTACAGCTTGACTGGGGCATCTCCATGCTGACCTCCATGAATGCCTGGATGCTTTGCTTTGACACTTGGCCAATTTAAGGTCAGTGGGCTAACTAACCAACTAATCAGTGATTTGCAATGCACTGTTTACAGTCCAGAAGTCCCCTGGCGAAACCCAGGGCCAGAATGTTTGTTGATAGCTTTCACCTGGTGTGACCAGTTGCCTGTCTTGGCTAACAAAGGGGTGAGGGGTTTGGGGAGACTGCTGTCTAGAGGTTTTGAGAAGCCAAGTTCATATCACAAGTCTTGGTTATTTAATCTGGAGAGCAAGCACCTCCTCACACAAATCAGAAGAAACACAGTGCCTGGAGATGTCTCAGATTCCCAGTGCTTGAGTGCCATCTCTTTCTCTTGGTATACCTGAGCTTTTACCTTTATTTGAAGTCTTAGGTGAGTGTGCTTTGTGAAATTTCCTGAGCCCTTTCAGATAACTTAATCTGAGTAATCTTTTTGGGACCCTAACTGACACAGAAGTAAATAGCAGATACAGAGTGACAGAAAACCCTCAGTGATGAAAAGGTCTAAGACAGCGAGTAGGTAGAGGCACGATTTAAGGTGGAGAGAGGGGCTTGGCTAGCTAGGCAGTCTTTTTAAAAACAGTTTTTTTAAATGTTTATTTCTTCAGAGACAGGATCTTGCTCTGCTCTGTTGCCCAGGTTGGAGTGCAGTGGTGCCATCATAGCCCACTGCAGCCTCAAACTCTTGGGTTCAAGGAAGCCTCCCACCTCAGCCTCCCAAAGTGCTGGGATTACAGGAGTTAGCTGCCATGCCTGTCTAACAGTCTTTCATATCAGATCCAGAGAGGGGCAATGTGCAGTCATTTTTCCATGAATGTGTGAAAAACTAGGCGGCATTCTAGACCATTCTTATAAGATACTGTATATCAGAATGAAGTCAGGAGAACCTTTGACTGTTTTGTGAATATGATAGAACCCATTCCTGTTACTGGACAGGTGTCAAAGCCGTGGCTCCGCGGTAGTGCTAATGAGCAGGTTGCTGCTGCTCTTCTTGGGTGCATCTTCCTCACAATTCCATGCCCCGGGTTGCATCCTCTGGGCCGGTTCTACCATTCTCCTGTGGTTGCTTGGTGAATTGTAAGCTAAGATCTAGTCAGGGAATGATATGTTGGGAGTCAGTGAATGATATGTTCCAAAAATGCTGTTAATCTGTGGCTGGGTGTGGTGGCTCACACCTGTAATCCTAGCACTTTGGGAGGCTGAGGTGGGTGGATCACCTGAGGTCAGAAGTTTGAGACTAGCCTGGCCAACATGATGAAACCCTGTCTCTACTAAAAATACAAAAATTAGCTCGGCATAGTGGCGGGTACCTGTAATCCCAGCTACTCAGGAGGCTGAGGCAGAAGAATCACTTGAACCCAGGAGGCGGAGGTTGCAGTGAGCCGAGATCACACCACTGCACTCCAGCCTGGGTGACAAGAGCGAGACTCCATCTCAAAAAAAAAAAAAAAAAGAAGCTATTTATCTACTGGGGTCAAGCTGTGGATGAGTTCTGGTTCACAGAGATTTGCAGGATTCACTGGTTCCATTCCTCTCTTTTTGAAATAATCAATTGCGTTATTGCACTATCACAGTGAAGTTTAAGTCTTTATTTTTTAATCTCCTGTACTGGCTGTGAGCATTTGATTGCTGCAGTTTGGCATTTATCTTCCCATTTTCAACAGTATCAAGCAAATGCCTTGCATATAGTAGGTGCTCAAAAAGTATTTGCAGAATAAGCATATACATGTATATATTTATACATTTGATGACCAAGCTACCAGAAGTTCAAAGAAACCTGTGTTTTTCCTTCTGCTCCACTGTCATAAATTAGAGAGTGACAAAAAGGAAGCACAATAAACTGATAAAAGAAAGAAATGCAGCTTATATCCTCATTTATAAAATGGGGATAATGATCCTACCTACCTCCAAGGGTTGTTCCAAGGATTAAATGAGCTAATTTTTCTAAGCAGTTTCTGGTACATAGAAACCATCCCCCACCACATTCCCTTGGCCATGTAATCACACAATAAACCCAATATCTAAGGCCTTACCAGCAAGGAGTTTGCAATATAAGCTGAAAGGCTGCTATAAGCCTTGTATTCTCTATCACCCTTTCTCTGGGTTATCCTTAGATATTCTCTCCTGGCAGATCTTCCTGCATGTGCACAGACTGGAACAGGAAAGCCCTACTGTATCTCCTTGGCCTCAGGCTACCCGTAAATTCTTCAAGAGGGCTAGTGGAGGCTTTCTATAAACCCATTCTCTCACACCGATCATGCGCCTTTTCATTTCCAAGGGATTAGATAGGAAATACAGATTGCCTAAATTAATCAAGAAACAAATCTTGCATAAGAATACCTTTTGTTCAGGTAAACACAGAAATAGGTCCCATTAAGTGAGAAGTAGAAGGAATAGATTACTAGTAGTAGTGACTGGGATTTCCATCTAAGAAGCTCTTTAGGGACCTCTGCTCTACTAGGGGACCCTGTTTCAATGTGTAAGAGTTACTTTGCTGCTTTTTGAAATATAATGTTATACACTCCACCTTTCAAAGACACACCATCTATTAAAGATGGCTGTCCTCAGACCAGTCTTGGAACTCTCAGAAACAAAAAAATTAAGCTAGAGTAACATTCAACTTAAGACATATCATGACCTAATTGAGATCACTTAGATGAAACCAATTATTTAAAATTAAAATGACTAAAATTACTTATAATATACCTCTTTGATTTATTCCTTTCCTTACTTGCTGATCATATGTGCACTAATATCTATGGTCAAGTGTGCATGTGCAGACATGAAAGTCTTCCTCATCCAGATGATTTGGGAGGCCAACTCCCTCACACAGCTGAGTCCTTGGAACATAGGCAGGCTCAGTCTAGGATGGCTTCTAGAGAGAATACTTGGAGCAGCAATGTGACCCCCTAAGATGTCAGAAGTGGGGAAGGGGCTGAAATCTCCCTTTCAAAGGCTCACAGCTTCCTTGGCAGCTTGAGTAATTGGAAGAAACTAGTAGCCCAGCCATAGCTTCAAAGGGTGGTATCACTGATGATTTGAGAAACTCCCGGTATTAACATCTACCTTAGAACCTTCACAAATACACAAACATGAGAGGATTTGTCATACTATTGTTAGAGTCAAATGAAACACAACCTTGTTGTCAACTGACCAATACTTTGATTTTAGAGCTAGAAACTAGCATGAAGATTAAGGGGGTCTGGTGGTAGTAGCATCTGTAGTTGGGAGAAATCCCCTCAATAATAGAATTTTTTTTACTAAATTTTTTTAATGACTGTGCAAAAACAATTTATTTTGAGAATAAAAATATCTATGAAGTTCAAAATGCATGACAATAATACAAAAGATGAGTTGGTGGTAAATGGAGTTAAACTGGTAAAATTTCCTAGCATCATCAAGGAAATGGTATAAGCAATTATTTTATTATTTATTTATTGAATTTTTTTATTTTTCCATAAGTTATTGGGGTACAGGTGGTATTTGGTTACATGAGTAAGTTCTTTAGTGGTGATTTGTGAGATTTTGGTGCACCCATCACCTGAGCAGTATACACTGCACCATATTTGTAGTCTTTTATCTCTCGCCCCCCTCCCACTCTTCCCCCCAAGTCCCCAAAGTCCACTGTATCATTCTTATGCCTTTGCAGCTTCATAGCTTAGCTCCCACATGTCAGTGAGAACGTAGATGTTTGGTTTTCCATTCCTGAGTTACTTCACTTAGAATAATAGTCTCCAATCTCATCCAGGTCACTGAAAATGCGGTTAATTCATTCCTTTTTATGGCTGCTTAGTATTCCATCATATATATATATATATATCACAGTTTCTTTATCCACTCATTGATTGATGGACATTTGGGTTGTTTCCACAATTTTCCAGTTGTGAATTGTGCTGCTATAAACATGCGTGTGCAAGTACCTTTTAAATAATGACTTCTTTTTCTCTGGGTGGATACCCAGTAGTGGGATTGTTGGATCAAATGGCAGTTCTACTTTTCGTTCTTTAAGGAATCTGCACACTGTTTTCCACAGTGGCTGTACTAGTTTACATTCCCACCAGCAGTGTAGAAGTGTTCCCTGATGTCTGCATCCACACTGACATCTACTGTTTCTTGATTCTTTGATTATGGCCATTCTTGCAAGAGTGAGGTGGTATCACACTGTGGTTTTGATTTGCATTTCCCTGATCATTAGTGATGTTGGCATTTTCCCACATGTTTGTTGGCCATTTGTATATCTTCTTTTGAGAATTGTCTATTCATGTCCTTAGCTCACTTTTTGATGAGATTGTTTGTTTTTTTCTTAGTGATTTGTTTGAGTTCGTTGTAGATTCTGGATGTTAGTCCTTTGTCAGATGTATAGATTGTGAAGATTTTCTCCCACTCTGTGGGTCGTCTGTTTACTCTGCTGACTGTTCCTTTTGCTGTGCAAAAGCTCTTTAATTAGAGCTATTTATCTTTGTTTTTATAGCATTTGCTTTTGGGTTCTTGGTCATGAAATCCTTGCCTAAGCCAATGTCTAGAAGGGTTTTTCCAATGTTACCTTCTAGAATATTTGTAGTTTCAGGTCTTAGGTTTATGAAATATATTTACATTATTTCCTGAGCTGTCTTTTCCTTCAACTTGAAACTTCTCGCAATGGTCTGATTCATTAATGTCTTCAATTGACCACTAGATGGCAACATTGTTCTTTTATGTTGCAGCTTTGACTCCCAATAAGCAAGACAGATTTAATTTTCCAACAACCAATTTTAAAAAGTAAAAATGCAAAAGCTAGTAATTTAAATACATCACTCTGTACAATGGGAACAAGGTACAGCATATTAAATTATGATTTTTCAATTCATTTACCTAAAAAGTGTACTACACAGTATTCTATTTCTGTGCATTTTTGGATAACAGACATTTGTACCTGGTGCATTTGGAGATGGTGTGGCCTCGGCTCTTCTAGTCTTTGTGGCTACAGAGAACTGCCCAGATGTTGAAATATGTTTTCATTCAAATCATTTAACATCTCTCTTGATTTTGCAACATCCTGGAGCAGTGATTTCCAAATCTGGAAGCTAAATAAATAAATAAAATTCCAGGAACCCGTCCTCAGAGATTCTGATTTAGTAGCTCTGATGTGGGCATGGGTATCTGAGTTTTTAATAGCACCTCCATCTGCTTCTGATTATCAACAAGTTTGGAAGTGGTCTTCGTGTCCTTAATTCCTTTAGCAACAGAATCCTTCAAATAATATGAATTTTAAGTCAACTTAATTTAAAATTGCCACACTTTTTTTTTTATTTTAGCAAAATGGTCTTCATTAAAAATACTCAAATATCTCAATTACTAGAAAGTTGAATTCATTGTAAAGATAGTAGGGCTTTAACAATTGTAATTAATATTCATTCACCCTGTGTGTCTGAAAGAAAGGTGATCAGACCCACGTGTGAGTTGGGATTGATGTGATGAGAAAGATGGCTCGCACATGGGTTGCCATTCCTGTGTGTTTCTCAGAATGGGGATCCTTGCACTGGGGAGGGGTGGATTTCTGCAGGAATAATTTCAGACATTGCAGAAGGATGTGTCTCTATTGTTATTCTGTTAAATACTAGGATGTATAACATAAAATGTCATTATCATTTCGGATAATTTTGAGGGTCCCATCAGCTATGTGAAGTAGTATTTTTCTTTGTCATTTCCCATTTTCCCTCTTCTCTTTTTCTCCCTGTCACTTTCTCTTTCTCTGTGTCTGTCTCTCTCCCTTTCTCTCTCTGTCTATATATATATACACACACACACATATATACACATATGTGTTTATATACGTATATACACGCATATATACACTTATGTGTATATACACATAAGTGTATATGTATGTATATGCACTTATGTGTATATACACATATGTGTATATGTATCTATATACACATATGTGTATATACACATGTGTATATGTATGTATATACACATGTGTATATACACATGTGTATATGTATGTATATATGTGTATATGTGTGTGCATGCACTTGTGTGTATGTACACACACGTGTGTATGTGTGTGCATGCACTTGTGTGTATGTACACACGTGTGTATGTGTGTGCATGCACTTGTGTGTATGTACACACGTGTGTATGTGTGTACATACACTTGTGTGTATGTACACGTGTGTATGTGTGTACATACACTTGTGTGTATGTACACACATGTGTATGTGTGTATATACACGTATATATACATATGTGTATATGTGTGTATATACACGTATATATACATATGTGTATATGTGTGTATATACACGTATATATACGTGTATATGTGTGTATATACACGTATATATACGTGTATATGTGTATATGTGTGTATATATACACGTATATATATACGTGTATATGTGTGTATATATACACGTATATATATACGTGTATATGTGTGTATATATACACGTATATATATACGTGTATATGTGTGTATATATACACGTATATATATACGTGTATATGTGTGTATATACGTGTATATGTGTGTATATACACGTATATATACATATATACGTGTATATGTGTGTATATACACGTATATACACACATATACACGTATGTACACACATATACAGATATATATATCTAAATAAATATATATTTCTGTCATTATTTGTTCTGGATCATTATTAACTCTTTGGTTTAAGGTGATAGCTTTAGACCAATTAATCACTGTTCAAATATTATTTGCCTTGGCTCATTTGAATTAAGTGACCTCATTAGTTTTTTTTCTTTCTCTAATATTATATTTTTGTATTTAAAAATGATATGAAAATATAACGAAGACTAGTATTACAAAATAGCACTATCCTTTTCTGGTGTTAATTCATGAATGTGTATAAAGGCCCTCATAATGATAATTAAAGAGAATGGTGCTTTCTTGAATGGGTTTACAGTTAAGCTACACATAATGTTTAAACATTAAAAGCCAGTTTTATTCTCATAGAAAAAGAGTACCAGAATACCATAGCATGACTCTCCGGTTTAAAAGAGTCAAGTCTACTGATCTCCAAACTATACTTACACAGATTTTTGTTGCTAGAAGTTAAGAGTCTGGGAAAATTACTGCTTTGTCACATTCTCTTGCCTTCTTTCTTCTTGTTTCTCTAGTTTTTTAAATAAATCCTTGACTTTAAAGACAAGGAGCTTCTTATAAATTTTCTAGTTCACAAAAACCACTTCTAATTTTTAAAAGACAATTTCAAAAAAGCATGGTTAGAAAATGGAGCATGTATTGAAATGTACATTGACTTCTGAGTCAGATACACAACTTAGAGAAATTCTGTCTGGGCGGCTGCTTGATTTTCCTGTCATAGTTGGAGTCCACACTTACCACTCCCTGCATTCCAGTGATGGTCCTTGGCCATAGGAGAAGAGTAAACACAACATTCTATTTACAAGTTTTCATTTAGAGGTAGAAGTCTCTGAACCTGCCCTTGACAGCTCCCACTGAGCTGGACCAGCAGAGGGACCTGAAGCTCCGCTCATGCACCTGGGGTCAGGGATAGAAATTTGTGTGTCCAAATAAACATTTATTTTCTTAGAATTTTATTGCCTGTTTCTCCCCTTTAAAAAATGCAAGAGAATTATCTGCAGGAAAACATTCAGATTTAGATCAAAACAGAAAAATGAAGCAATGCTCTCTAGTGAGAGGGCTAAACCATACTTCTTCCCTCCTGAAAAATTGTCAGTGATTTTGATTAGCAGGAATCATTGACACTACAAATCAACCCTGTTTTAATTTTTAAAAGACACTTGAGGTGTGTTTCACAGCACATTGTGTCTGTGCAAACTAAAAAATTAAAATAAAGTAAAATTTAAAAATATTTTAAGCCCAAAAAGCAGGAAAGGGAGTACCCCTAAATTTAGAAGATGCCAGATCTTAAATACTAGAAAACCCTGTCCTGGTTTCCAAATGTTTACCCTTCTGCAAGGCTGGCCCACAGAGTACCTTCTCTCTTCAAAAGAAAATCCTGGCACCTAGAAGATTGGGCTGACAGTGAGTATTAAAATGACTTGTTTAATGAGCAGCGTGATTGAACAGGGTAGGGAATGCTGGGGAGTTTTCTCGCAAGGACTAGGTTTGGTGTTTATATTTTGTTATGTTGTGTGCTTCCACTGTCCCTTATTTTGACAAGCTATCGAAAAGTTTAAGATGAAGATGGGCAATTTAAAAAAAAAACTGATTGCTAAAAAGAACTGGTGCCTCTTCTTACCCGTCTCTAATGGAATATAGGCTGTACCACTTAAGTGAGAGAGTACTTGGCATTAATACAGCACCAAAGATTCTTGAGGTCTGTATAGTACTAATGAGCAGGGGCTGTGATAGATGTTTTATTTTTTTAAAGCATTAGGCTACCCTCCACTAAGTAAAGGCTATTTACTAAATGGTAGGCAAATTGCCGATTCTTAGGACTGGAAGGAACTGTCCTCCAGAAATCATTAACTGCATTCCACGCTTCTTCCAGGTTGGACTACATTTACAATGTTTGTGTCCTGCACTCTCTAAGATGATATTGTCTACTCTAATCTTTACTTCCTGATAGACTGGACAAATTCTGCCCCTCACCACCCAGATGATTCCATTGTTTAGGAATCTAACCTCAATTTCCCTTCCTAAATTTAAGATTATTACTTTTTTTTCTTACTAGAAAAATGGAGAACTTTTCTTTTCTTTGCCAGGACAGATATACTGACTTCTTTATGTTTTATGTTTGTCATTTTGCCTCTAAAGTTTGGACTTATTTCTCAAGGAGTTCAATCTTCTCTTTTCTGTCATTTCAAACTTTTCACCATTTCCATTTTTTTCAGGGAACAGGAAATTAAATAACTAGTAAATGTTGAATCAAAAGAAACTCAGGATGTAATATCAAAAACCATACATAGAAATATCATATAAATCTAGTATCATAAAATTTTAAATTTCATGGCTGACTAGTAGGAAGAATGTAAGTGGACAGCTTTATTCTCTTCTACTTCATAGAATTGGGCTCATCAATTTACAAAATGTCCTAGAAGCAAATAAGTGGGTGGTAAATATTCTAAAGATTCTAGCATTTATTCTTTTAAACTAAAACTTCCAGACTTTTATGGATAATATTTTATTCTTTGTGTCTTCCAGAGAAAAAGGGAGTCTATATTGTTCAAATTTACATTATCTATGTTAGAGTCATTTTCCTGAAGGCTATTTAAAGGTTGAGAAATACTGCAAATGTCTGAAAGACAAGTGTATATTTTAAAAACAGATGCATACGTGCATGGCTTTAACAGAGAAATACTAACATATATAACTAATTTTTTTTTTTTGAGACGGAGTCTCGCTCTGTCGCCCAGGCTGGAGTGCAGTGGCGCGATCTCGGCTCACTGCAAGCTCTGCCTCCTGGGTTCACGCCATTCTCCTGCCTCAGCCTCCCGAGTAGCTGGTACTACAGGCACCTGCCACCACGCCCGGCTAATTTTTTTTTGTATTTTTAGTAGAGACGGGGTTTTGCCGTGTTAGCCAGGATGGTCTCAATCTCCTGACCTCGTGATCCGCCTGCCTCGGCCTCCCAAAGTGCTGGGATTACAGGCGTGAACCACCGCGCCCAGCCCATAAATAAATAATTTTTTTAGAGATCATACTATTGCAACTAAAGAGAAAATTTGCTCTCTTTCGACCTCTCTATTCACATGGTCTAAGATTTCTTTTCATATTGCAGTAGGTGGAATGGAGTAAAATGACCACAGTAGGGCTGTAGGGAGAATGCTTCCAAGATAGTGAAACACTGATGGGTAATAATTGGTAAAAGCTCGGTTGTTTCAGGGAAAAAATTTTCATCAGGCTTGGAAATACACATGCAAATGGCACAGAGTTCCAAAATGGGCTGTTGCACCCAACACAAAAGAAGACCTGTGAGCGCATGCATGTGCAGGCATATGTATGTGTGCACGGGTTTTCTGCTGCCAAAGGCTTTATATCTTGGTGGCACCCAGATGGTGAGGAGGAAGTAGTCAGAATTGCCTTGCTTGACTAACTCTCCATTTTGATGATCAAACCCCAAACAAACCCAAAGCTTTGGTCTGGGGGCAGGGTTGTCACTTTTAAATATAACAAAATAAACTACCCTCCCTCTCCCCCCAAAAGCAGCCATTTGTAACTTGGACATAGATTCAGGGCCCATGAGAGCAGAAAGGCTCCTAGAGCTACTGAGACCAAAGCCTCCAGGTGGCGGAGGAAGCGTCAGGCCCAGGTCAGCATGTCTTTTCAGAAATTAGTCAGGAAGACTATGCTGGCAAAGGCAGCTCCTATGCAGACCTGTGTCACCCTTCTCTTCAGAGTAAGTCTCTAGTCCTTGCCTTTTCTTCTTATGGACTCTCCTTTTCCTCCCTCTTCTCAGGGGGAAAATGATCTCAAAGTCACAACATGAATATTTGCTAGGTTTGATTTTGGCAAAATTAAATAACCCCTTGGTTTAAGCCAGGCCACAGGAGAGCTGTGTGTTTTGCCTGGTGTAGGCTGGAGCCTGGTGAATTGTGCTTTCGTGTTGTGCTATTGCTTGTATTGAGAGACACTAGCAAGGGGCCTTATAAAGCCTGTTACTTTGTTCACTGTAGGGATTCTGCAGGCTGCCATCCATACAATCAGGCCATTGGCGAATGCTTTCACATAACTCATGGGAATTAATATTTTAAGTTTTATGATCTGCGAAAAATCATGTTTCTCCCCAACAATTGTGAATTTTTTCCACTATAAATTTTGTAACTGAACATTGTCTGTTTATTGCTTAGGCTGTTGGGAAGCATTTGTCTGAGCTTGCAGGTTCAGTTTCCTTATCTGTAAAATGAAGATAATAATAACGTACCTCATAGCTTTACTATGAAGAAAGATAATGGCTTTATTTTGAAGAATAAATGTTTTTTTCTACAAAGATAAAGAAGGTAAAACATGGTGCATCTTTTTTAGCCCATGGTGAATGTTTAATTAATGTCAGTTGTTATGATTTATGCATGTGACAACAATAATGTATCGGTAAGCAGTAGTGATATGTCAGGCACTCTGATAGATGCTGGAAATAAGGAGCAACCTAGACCCAGCTCGAACTCTCCAAGAGTGCATTCTCAAACAGCAAAAGCAAGCTGGTAAGTAAATAATGAAGTGTGACAGGTGCTGTGACGAGGAAGGACAGGTGGGAACATGCTTCGGGAGCACCTACTCCAGTCTGAGGAGCATGACCCAGAACTGGAGGAAGTTTAAGTGCAAGTTCAGCTGGTGGAGAGGCAGAGGAGCCTCACTGAAAAAACTGTGCAGGAAAGGACATATTTGAATTGTTGAACGAGGTCTGGTGTGACCAGAGGGCAGAGTAGCTGGTGGGGTGCTGAGACTGCCAGAGAGGTGGACAGCAGTGAGGTGCCGGGTCAGGCTAGTATTATAAGCTACACTGAGGAATTCTGACTTTATCTTATGTATAGGGGGCAGTCATTAACATGTTGAAGCAATGATAAGACCTCATCTGATTTGCTTTTTAGAGGTATCACTCAGGTATGGAGACTGAGATTAGAGGAGGGCTAGGTGGGAGTTGAGGAGATGAATTGGGCATCTCTTGAGCATTGGTGCTGGGGACTGGACTAGAGTCAGGGCATCCATCCAGCCAAAGTTCCACCTTCCACTTTCCAGCAACCATACAGGAGTGAATGGTTTGCATTTATATATATTTTGGAATATTTCCTTCAGCATTAGTTTTCTTGTCTATTTTCTTTTTTGCTCCAATTTCAGCTATTTATTATATCCTGTGTAGTGTGTGTCTTCAGGTATGCTTTAAATTCTTTTGTGAAATCAAAATGTGCAGGAAAGAAGGAATGAAAGACGGAAGAAAGAAAGGAGGAGAGAGGCTGGTGATACTCATGAGCTGGTACTCCCTTCTTTACATACATTTATTTCAAAATAACTATAAAGCATCTGTCCTAGTTTTGACCCGATTTGAGGGAAAGTCTTTATATCAGACTCTGTGTATATTTTTTACCATTAAATGCATTATAACCTTGTTGAGGATGTGACTCAGATGGTGTTACCATTGTAGGACAGATATGAGCTTTCCTCCTCTGTTAAACTTCTGACCATAATTCAAACACCTGCGTATTTAAACTGGTGCAGTCAGAACAAGTTTCTGCACTCATCACTTCTTCACCCAGCAAGGTATGTGAAAGAAGATTTGTGCAGCCAGTTGGTACTAAATTGCATAATAGGTTAACCTGAGCCCTTTGAATTCAAACAAAAGAAGTTCTCAACCTGATTGGAATTAACCTACACTGACTTTCTGCTTCATCTTTCCTAAAGTGAAGATGATACCGATCGGCAGGCGGGGAGCCTGATGGATGTTAATGGGGGGTTTTCAAGTTTGTCTTGCTTTTCTTAAACTATTAAGAAAGAACAAAAAACATTATTTAGAGTGGAATCAGTTTCCAAGAAGGGAAAAAAGAAAACTGAGAATTTATTATTAAAGAAAGAAATGGAGCCAAGGTGAAAAAAAGAAAAAAAAAAAAAGGCCTTCTCACATCTCCTGGCCAGGTGCTCCGTGCATATAAATGTTTCAAGTTAAGCTTTAAGATCAAGGGAAAGTCTGCAGGGAGCCTTGTTTCCTAGAGGTCTGCTTGCTAGAGCTGCTCCCGAATACGGGCTGCCCATTTTTATTTGGTTATTAAGGATTAAAGCAGGCGACAATTCTGGAATGGTAGTTCCTTGGTTTCCATTGACTTTGTACAAGAGAGTGAAAAGCAAGCTTCCAAGGGAGGGTTTGCATATGTATTTTGGGCTATCAGCTCGCCCCCTTCCCTGTCATCTTGTGTGTATGTTTAACATGAAATTGCCCTTCCTCTCATGAACTCACACTACAAGAAAGCTGCCTCGTTGCAACGATTGAGAATCTCTGTGCCTCTCAGAAATCCTCCTGGTTTTCACAGGAGTGTGGAGGGAAGATGAAAGGAATTTCACATTAGATTGCTGGTTGCTCCAGATACTGCAGGTTAGCAATTGCCCAGGTTCTCTGGGCTTTCAGCCTCTGAATACATGATTAGGAAGGCAACCCATCACTCTGTGTCCATATCTTTAAATTTTCCTTTTTTCTTGTTAGTTTTACAGCCTGCCCTCAAATCTAAAGCCCGTCTGAAGTTACTTTAGTAAAGTGACTAAGTTTAGTGATAAAACAACACACACCTGAAGAGAATGCCTGATCGTCCTGGTGGGTAATGGGGTCATGAGTGTCAGTTTTAGTAACAGTCGTTATAATAAAAGCAGAGATGAAGAGCTCAGCCTTCCAAAGTCACAAAATAACAGTACAATTTGCTGATTTAATCCAAGCAATGTTTTAAAAACAGAACTGGAAACTCAGAGTTTATAAAGACTTACACCCTCTGTCATCAACATTTTTCAATCCCACAGGAGCCCAGGAGGTTCAATGTATAAACTAAAAGGCTGAATATAAATAAAGTGACTTGTCCCGTGTCACATGACTGGACTAACAAATCATGGAATCTGAAATGAAAACTGTTCGGTTTCACTTCAGTATTGTAATATCCAGTGCCATTATTGTGATTTCGATGCTGCATGTTGTTCTTAATCATTGCCAGGTTTTGCAGCACGGAAGGCTGCATAACATGAATGGTGAAAGATCAACCAAAAACATGTAATTCTGGAACAGTGTCTCTTATTGTATGTTTTTTTAATTGAAATTTTTATATGCTCAGAGCCGAATTTATTTTCTATTATAACCTCATAGTTTTATGTTCATGGCTACTCAATAGCATGGTTATTTTAAAAGCAGTAATCAATAATTATATGTCCATAGTCATTATTACCTAATATGGTAATGAACACAGTTAAAGACTATAGACTTGCAGTTTCATCCAGAGGTTACGTCTATCTTCTGTTAAAATGTGAACTTCTCTTTGATGTGGAATAATAGTTGAGAAATAAAGATGGCTGGCCATGGTGGCCCACGCCTGTAATCCCAGCACTTTGGGAAGCCGAGGTGGGCAGCTCACGAAGTCAGGAGTTCGAGACCAGCCTGGCCAACATGGTGAAAACCCCGTCTCTACTAAAAATACAAAAATTAGCCAGACCTGGTGGTATGTGCCTGTAGTCCAGCTACTTGGGAGGCTGAGGCAGGAGAATTGCTTGAACCCGGGAGGCAGAGGTTGCAGTGAGCCAAGATCACGCCACTGCACTCCAACTTGGGCAACAGAGTGAGACTTCGTCTCAAAAAAATACATAAATAAAAATAAAAATAAAAATATTTCAGTGCTTAGTAATCCTGACACCTCTGTGCAGTATTTGCTCTCTCTCTCCCTCTCTACTTTCAGAACGTTCCAGAATGCTGTCTTTTGATAGTCTGTAATGCAGAAGCTGTTAGAGAAGCCTCACCCTGGGAAAGTATTCTTCAGGACAGATGGCATTCTATTTTATTTACCCTTTGATTGTATCTTAGGAAAAAGTTATCACATTTACTGGGCACAGGAATTTGGGGATGTTGAATTTGGTGATGGTCATTTGTGAGATTTGACTCACTCTGCTGCCTCCACCAGCAGTGCCTTCATATATGGGCCTTAAAGGAGAAGAGGCATGTGGCATCACTCACTCATACAGCAAGTGTTCACCCAGTTCATACTTCATCGGGGCAACTGAGCGGGTCCACAGCATCCAGCAGCCAACTAGAGAGAAGGAGGCAGTGGCTGCAAAGAGCATGGAGTCCACAGATAGAACAGAAGAAGCACACTGGGTGTGAAGGTGGCATTCTCATTAGTGGGGAAGGGTCTAGGATCACTGAAATCCTAGTGGAAACACTGAGTGGATGTGTCAAGTGAAGAATCAGTAATGTCTCAGTGTAACCATCACTTTAACTTAAATGAACGCAAAGACAACAAGCTAATTATTTTCTACTGAAATTCTTGTTTCCAGTGTGCATGTCAAAAATTTATAATAGTTACCATTGTTTGGGACCAGACTTTTTTTTCCTAAACATTATTATTTGTTGTTATAATTCAGCTTGGGTTTGAGTTGTTCGGGGATAAAATAAGAAAACAATATAAAGTGAATTAATCTAATGATCAAACCAACAACATGAAAGTTACAACATGAATGATCTAAGGAAACCCAGGTTGCAAAAGCTACCAGGGCCATTAATAGGTTTCTTATTAATTTTTTCCCCCACTCAGGAACTTCTGTGTTAGTTTATAACAGCAATTTGGATTCATAGCACTGGATGGTTTACAGAGTTCATTTCTGCACATTTTTATCTTAAGATCTTTAAACAATACTATGACTATGACCTAGAGAGTGCAGATTTTATCTCCAACATATAGAAAATAAACTGAGGCTTAGGGATACACTAAAGATAACCACTTAATGGTAGAGACTAGAACTTAACTCCAAATTCAATCTTCATTCTACTACTTTCTGCCTTCCTACTATGAATTCTAAATCAGATCTTCAAAAAATTTAAAGATGATAGCAGTCATATCCTTATATCGAGAATTTTAAACACCCAGTATGTCTAGTTTAAGTACCTATTCTGGGAGATAAGTGATCTTTAAATCACCCACTCTTTCACGCAACCCCATCTCAGAACTGAGAGTGAATTCAGGAATATTTTTCCAGCCTCGGAATAGAGAATCCTTTGGGAAAATAATTTTAATGGTTATGGATCACTAGCAAATCTTGACTGGTATTTTTTTTTTAAACCAAGCCATCTGGCAGTTGTGTCTTATTTCTTCCTGCTGTCAATGGCTGGACCCACACACATTCCAACCTCATACAAGAATGCCAATGTCTGCACATTTTCACTATGAACAGGCATTTTCAGTCAAAGCAGAGAGAAATGAGGCTCTGCCTGTCTGTGGCAATAACATTAATATTACCTCTGTACAGATGCTTTTAGAAGTATGAAGTTAAATGCAGAGCCCTGGAGATGCCTAGAAGCACACATGAGATAAGCACAGCCATTCACGGAAGACCTAAGAAACTGAGCATTTGCAGGACAAACTTTTCACCATGACAAAGTACAGCAATGTTGCGTATTCCAATATGAGACTGACAGCAGGAAATAATGACAATAAGATAAGTGTAAGATGCATTTATGATGCAGAGAGGTGGAAGATACATTTATATGTATGTATTTGGTCAGAATAAGCAAGGATATTATTAATTACCAATGTAAATTTAGCCTTGGGGAATAAAACAGCTGAAATCTGAAGGCAGCAAAGTCAGTCTGGCTACAGATAAGCTAAGAAGTGTAGATCTGAAATAAACATTCATTACAATCCCTTTGACAAGAAAAACTGTTATATTAGTGGATAGCATTTAGGAACTCAGAGGAGCAGAAGGTCAGCTTCACAACAAAAATGCCAACTGCTAAATGAATGTGCTGAGCAAAACTGGCCAGAGAGTGCCCTCACAAAGGCAGCGGTAGGGTGGGACTGGCCCCTGGGGATGCTGAAGAAAATGCTGGTGTCCAGTGGCTTATTGACCCATTTCACTCTCATTCTTTCAACTGCTGTTAAGTGAAAACAGGGTTACATGTGAGCATACACACCTGTGCATCTGTATACATGCATATTTATTTAATGCCAGCAGTCTCTTTCCTGTTTACCCTTCTAACTTCATAAACAAGAGGAGAACATTTTCTAGGCATTAAAAAAATCTGATAAAGCAGAACCACCCTAACTTATGGGAAAAGAAGAAAAGCATTTAGTCCATTGAGTCAAGCTCATGGAACCAGAAGTATGCTTGGAAATCGGCCATTAAGGATAAAGTTGAGCATTTGCAATCCAGGCACTAGATCTAAATACCTACAATTGTTTGTTCATGTCATGGACTAAATATGCAGGTTGTATTTTAACATTCATTTTGACCCCTGCATTGAATTCTGTAGATAACAAGGCTGTTTTCTATTTGTGGATCATGATAGTGGCCATCAGATGCTCTGCAATGGTGTACTTACCTAAAATGTGAGGCCATGGTCAGAATTATATAGTGTTCATCTTATTTTAAAGAGTTAAAAACTGTAGTTTTAGGAAATCAAGAGATTTTTAGGATTTTACGCATGTGCACTTGGTGAAGATTTCACTACTCTGTAATTCAGGTTTTGCTTTTTATTTTTCATGCAAATAGAACCAAGACACTATTCTCTCCACAATAAGGGAGTTAGAGACTGGAGCCCAGAAATGAGACCAAGCATAGGCTTGGTCTTGACTTTGTACCTTAGCCATGATCGGTTTATTGCATTTTATAGTTGGATCATTCCTTTATTCCATGACTGTGAAGTGTGAGGTGGAGACAACAGGATTAGTAACACATTAAGTGATTTATTCACTTCCATTAATTGCCAACTATATATGAGGAACTATGATAAGTATTAGGGATGCAGAGATGAATAAGACAAGGCCTCTGATTTAGAAGATCTCATAGTTAAATGAAGGAGGTAAATTAGCAGACAAATCATAATACAAATAGTCTAACTGAGACATGACTAAAATGTTCTGGAAATTTAGAGGAGAAAGAAACCCTGCCATTGTGAGAGGGCATTTGACTTGGGTCTTGAGTACTTTTTGAATATTTGTATTAATTCTCCCAGGAAAAATAAAGTGAGGAGCCTTCCAATCTCATGTGTCTCACAAGCCTTCTGCTAAAATGATTGAGATTTGCTTAAAGCTGGCTATATGCTACAGCAACTATATATATATTTTGTTTCTCAGTTTACAAAGTGCTTTCTAGCATGACTCTCACAAAATGCCCTTACCATGGGGATTATTCTCCCCATTTTACATGTGAGAATGCTGAGGCACTGAATGGGAAGTAACTTGCACCAGGGCCTGGATTCAAACATTGCAAATATTGGCTTTCTTCCAATTCCAAAAACTTAAATCTTTTTTCTTGTTTATATAAACAAAAAAGTGTATATATATATACACACACACACACTTTGGAGATACATATATACACACACACACACACACACACAACCTTGATTATAGAAATAACAAATTTCAACAGCATCATTTCATTAAGCTTCCCATTTAAAATGGATCCATTTCATTTATGCTTCTATTGAAGAGATGGATGTTCATCTGGTCCTGTTTCCTATTAGCTAAAAGGAACTTTGGAATTGCTCTGCTGGAAAAGCCCATGTTCCATCCAACCTAATATTGTGTTGACAACAGAGGCCTCAAGGGATTTGCCAGGGAAGGACATAGTTTTCCTCCCTGACATTAACCTTAAAGGTTAGGTGTACTCTCAGTAGCCATTTATGGCTCTGACATTCATAAATTTGGTCAAAACCTTTATGAATCCATTTATATTCCTTGCCTGTACCTCTTTTGTGATAATGAGCTCCATACGTTTATTATTTTCTTTGTAAAGTAATACTTCCTTTTATTGGTCCTTAACTCACCTCACTCAAGTTTCAAGGGGGTCCTCTACTTCCAGTGAGAAATTGAGGATTAGTAGAATAACTGTGCTGTGTTCAGTTTACAAATGATCTCCAAAATTCTCCGGGTTTATTTTATTTTTGTCTAAAGCAAGAATAAATAAACTGTACATTATATTTTTATTGTAGAGAGACCAATATTTTATTTAAAGATGAAGATTCTGCCTAGTGGCATATTTTTAGTATACTTTTTGATGCTGCTAAAATTTGCTCTAGAAAAATAACCTCATTTTGGTATTTGTAATACACATTTTGCATGTCGAAGGCAGCTCCAATCTGGCTATGGGGAAAGCTTGAGGTAATTTTTGTTGTCTTCTACAACCACTTTTGAAGAGTAAGTATATTGCATATTATGTATATTTGATAACTGATTATAATGGATGATTATAATGGATGTATGAGAGAATATCATGAAGTAGTAGAAGAATGCTGTCCTAGGTGTCAAAGACCTGGTGTTCTAAAACCATTTCTGGACTGTAGATTTCAAGCTTATGAGATTAGGGATTAAATTAGGTAATTTTCAAGATTACTTTGTACTTTAAAATTGTAAGTCCTTGATTTCCTTAGCCATTCACTTGGTGACTTTAACAGAACACAGCCAATCCTAGCTTCTCTAAGCCTCGGCAGCCATCTCCTGATTCTATCACGATTCATTTGCTCTCAGTACTATTGAAGGCTTGTAGATATTTCTTATTTCCCACTCCAGGGATCTCAGTAAATGAAAAAATTATAATTTCCTCACTCTACCCCCTTACACAGATAATTACCTTTCCTACAGATTTTTCTCAAGTGGTGGGTTTATTTTAGGCTCCCCAAGCTTTTCTTGTTTGGAGGTAGGGCTTAAAGGCCTCTTCTGGATCTCTTCTGTTCTAAGTGGTCACCCTTATATTTGATCAGTACCATCCTTTAGAACTCACTACAAACAAAAGTAAATATTCACCAAAGCCTCTTCATTTTCATCTTTCAATTTGCTCAGAATCTTGAGGCTGATGGCTTTCGTCCCAACTACATTTGTTTGTTGACTTGGGTTAAAATTTTTTTCAGCATTGGCCACTTACTAGTTTTGCCATGAGAAGTAGACATTTAATAAGAATTATTTTATTTGCATTTTTTTCAAATGGTGAGTACAGGGTTGCAAAGTTCTCAGCCATTTTTTTTTTTTTTTTTTTTTTTTTTGAGACGGAGTCTCGCTCTGTCTCCCAGGCTGGAGTGCAGTGGGGCAATCTCGGCTCACTGCAAGCTCTGCCTCCCGGGTTCATGCTATTCTCCTGCCTCAGCCTCCTGAGTAGCTGGGACTACAGGCGGCCACCACCATGCCCGGCTAATTTTCTGTATTTTTAGTAGAGATGGGGTTTCACTGTGTTAGCCAGGATGGTCTTGATCTCCTGACCTCGTGATCCGCCTGCCTCGGCCTCCCAAAGTGCTGGGATTACAGGCATGAGCCACCATGCCAGCAGTTCTCAGCCATTTGAATACAACATCACTCTGCTCATCAAACGAACACTCACTCCTTACACACCCGTTTATGACCAGGTCTCCGCTTGCTCTACCCAGACACAGTGACACTTCAAGCACACAGTTCATGGCGTGGTGAAAGCATGTGAACTTACAGGTTTAACAGTCACATCTGTAAAATGGAGCCAGTGATGCCCACATCATGGGATTGTGCTGGGCCCTAAATGAGGAATGCATGTCATACCTCGGACACATAGAGGAAATTTAGGTGTATGACTGTTGGCTTTTTTCCTGTTATTTTCTAGTTCTCTAATTAAGCCATCCAACAATTCAAATTGGAATAGACCACTGTATCAGAGGTGTATTAAAGCAATAGGACACTGACTCCCCGAAAAACATTGTTTATAAATAGAGAAACACTGTGGTCTGTGAAAACTGAAGTGAATTGAATGTGTCTTGTAAAGTTGACCAGGCTGATTGTCATTGTTTTGAGAAAAGTTTTTCCTGCTCACATTGGCTCTAGTTGTTATCAGATGCTGTGTTGCTATGCTGTTCATACTTTGCTGTGTGGCTGATATTAACCACAATGATCTGGGTCTTTCTCTTAGATAGCCTATTTTAGTAGGCTATAAAGCTTTATCTGTCCAGGTCTGAAATCAGGGCCCCTGCTCCTTAAATGATTTTCTCTGACAGTTGAGTAGCTCTCTCAGCCTCTTTGTGCTGTCAGAGAGTTACTGTCATGAGCGAGTTGATTTCTGCCACCTGCCCTGCAATAGTCCTTAAAGGAGTTTTTTTTTCTGTTTACCACCCAGTACTGCACCTCTATGTTCCCTTGATCCCACTAAGTAGAGGGATGAGGAGGCTGGAAATAAAACCAAAAAGGAATATAAATCCTGGAAATATTATTTGAAAATCCTAGTTGTAGATAGGGTAATGTTTAATAAAATGGCTCACTTTTGGTATCTCTAAAATTAAAAAAATTGTAACAATTTAAACATGTTAATCAGACAAAAATGAGTGACTTTATTTTAGAAGAGCAGGCTGTGTATTTATTCGTAAAGATACTTCATTAATCCTAGAGGATTAATAAAGTTGATTTTTAAAAGTTCAAATACTGCTTTGAAGTACCTAATAGAAGGTACTTGGTAGACATTGGAGACTATAATGATGAATAAAACAAAAGTTCTGTCTTTGTTTCATTTAAATATATAGCATCATTTTTAGCTTAGATTAATGCTTAATCTAGGTGGATTTTGAACGAATCACATTGTATCCTGGTGAATTTCTGATGAGAGTGCACAGGGAAGAGGGAATGGGTAAAACAGCTGCACTTACTTTCATAGTGACTTGACTACAGGGTAAATACAGCTATTTTCATTATAAAGCCTTTTGGCAGCAAACAACAGAACAGTTATTTACCAGGTTAGAGAAAGGGGGTTCTTTTTCTCATGTAGCAGAATGGTGCAGCTGCCTATGGTCAGAAGAGATGCTTCACAGTCCCTAGAAGGGGCTGCAGCTCTAAGTACCAGCTTCAGGCGATGTCCACACTCAAAGCAGGAAGAAGGGCACAGAGGCCAGCACAAGAAACATCTGTCTTTCATATCAGGACAGCAAATACTTTCCCAGAATCCCCCAGAAAAAAAAAATCTTAGGTACTATTGGACAGAAATAGGTGACATGCCACATGCTTCAAAGGAAGCCGGGAAAGTGAGTGTTCAGTTTTACCAGCTTCTAAGAGGCAGAAGAAGGGAGTTGAGAATGGAAATTGGGCTAGTCAACTTACAATGTCTGCCATAATGTTTTAAACATAAGAGCCCCAAATCAATTCTTCCCAAAGCCCGAGGGAGAGAGAGCAAAAAGCAAACACAATTGGAGAGGAGAGCACTGCTCTGTCACATTGGCCTGTCAGCTGCTGGTGAGGTGCTTCTCTTCTAATTTCTACAATTGTTTTAAGGAGAAAAATTTCCACCTGGTTTTACTATGTCAAGTTCTCCAGAATCTCTTTGCCTTTTTATAATTTTCCATGCAAACAGAAGAGTGGCCAAAAGACCTGGCATTTGGCAGGTGAGAGAAAAGCCGTTAAGTTACCCTTTGTCTTAAATATGAAATATCCTCCTTGAGTCGTATCCCATGGTGCTGGGAAGTCTGAACCCTTCCCACATACACCAAGCTGGGCTCACATGGCTTTTCTAGAAGTGGTCCATTTCCCATCTCGCAGTATTTATAACCCTCTCTTTGAGAAGAAAATGGGCTTTACTAGGAAGTCATATTAAGATAGAGAATTCAGGCAGCCCCAGTAGTAAAAAGTAAGGACATAATTTAACTTCATTTGGTTGAAAAGACAAATGCAGATAAAAGCAGTAGACAGGAGCCAAATGCCTTGGCACAGGAAGCAGGCAGACAATGAACTTGGCCCTTTGCCACAGGAGCCATTCACGTCTGCTGAGGGCCTGGTTCTGAGCAGCGGCGAGTGCCCACTGAGGGTCTCTGCCCAGTGCTGTGTGTGGAAGCGAAGTACTGAATGAAACTACTGGGGAAGTGGGGGCAGGCAGAAAAGCTGCAAGAGCGTGAGAAAGCCAACTGGCGGGGAGGGAGGCCCCAAGTCTGCAAGAGCTACACAGTCAAAAATAGCCTCGGGCCACGGTGCTCGGGAAACTTTGCAGATATGCCCTTTGCTTTCAGAAAGAAAATGCAGAATGCTGTTGTCCGTCTTAGGAGTGAAACATTATGTTTTAACTAGAAAATGTCTTCATTAGAAGTACCTGGAAGAACGCTGTTGACACTGCCTGGGTTCTCTGTGGCGTTTTGCTGGAACAGTGTCACACTTCCTGAGCTTCAGATCAATTCATTAAACGTTGGCTGAGTGTATGTTATGAGGCAGGCACTCTGCTAGTTTCTGAGTTTAACAAGATGAAAAAGGTAAGGTGCAACCCTGGAGTGGCTTGCACTGTAACTGGAGGCGCTTTTGTCCTCCAGGGAACGTTTGGCAATGTCTGGAGACATTTTTGATTGTCACAATTTGGAGTGATGCTACTAGAATCTAGTGGGCAGAGGTCGGATATGCTGCGAAGCATCCTATGATACCCGGAACAGCCCGCCCCTGCCACTACAAAGAATTAACCGGCCTCAAATGTCAATAGTGCTGAGGCTGAGAAACCCTGCACTATAGTGAAGATACATGTGGAAAAATAAAAATAGTACAATTGTAGAAGTGTGGATAAGATGAAGTGTCTGAAAGACAGGACTTATAAATTCTATCCAAGGAATCTGTGAATGATATGAAAGTGATGTAAGGTCTTCAGTGAGTGTTGAAGAATGCTCAGGAGTTCACCAGAAGATTAAGAGGAGAGAGAACTCCTTATGGGATTACCTAAGCAAGAGAGGATAAGACTGTGGGCAGAAGCATTTCCAAATCAGAAAGACTTCAGATTGCACAATGTGAACAGTAGGAAGTGCTGGGAAGCAATTTGGAAGGGGATAGGCAAGATCATATTATTAATGGCCTGGGAAGCCAGTCTAAGGAGCTAGAACTCAGTTATATAACTGATGGGGAAAGATTGAAGAACTACAAAGTAATGTAACCAAAATTTTAGGTAAAATAATCCATATAGAAGTAACAAACTGCTTTTCTCTGTTCTTACACTCAACACAGAACATGTCTGTTACCAAATGTGTGGGTGCTTCTCCCACACCAAGAAATTCTCCAATTATCTGTGGATACCAACTGGTGTCCTACAATTTATCTCAATTCTGAAACTATGTACCTGGAGGTAGCATCAAATCAAGGGCTTGGTCCCATGGGGTGCCTCCGCTCCAGACGCCAATCACAAGTAGTGAGTGAGTACCTAGGTTACCCACAACTTCTGTCCAACTTGGCTACAAATTGGTGGCTCCCATGACCTTTCTCAAGTTTGATAATGTGCTAGAATGGATCATGGAATCCAGGAAAATGGCTTACTTACTAGGTTACCATTTTATTACAAAGACTACTTTAAAGGATACAAATGAACAGCCAGATAAAGAGATACACAGGGCAAGGTCCTGGAAGGTCTTGAGCACTGGGGCTTCTGTCCCTGTGGATCTTGGGATGCACCATGCTCCCAGCATGTGGATGTGTTGCTGTTAACCACCTGGAAGTTCTCTGAACCCTGCCCTTCTGGTTTTTATACAGGCTTCCTTACATAGGCATGATTGATTAAATCATTGGCCATTGGTGATCACCTCAACCTTCAGCCCTCCTCTGCTCCCTAGAGATTGAGGGGTGGGGTGGGAGGTAGCATGGGGCTGAAAGTTCCAACTGTGTAATCACTTGGTTGGTTCTCCTGGCACCCAGCCCCCATCTTGAGGCTATTCAGGAGCCCCGCCACCAGCCATCCCATTAGCACATGAAAAGACACCTATCACTTGGTTTTAGGAACTGTCTACTAGGAAAGGGAGGCGGAGACAAAACCTGTATTTCTTATTATTACACAGATAAATAACTATTACATTTTGAATTATTTTGAAAAGGATTTGAGAGGCCCCGTTACCTAGTCATTAGCATTCTACCAGCTCTTTCTCAGCTCATCACACAAAGGCACATCTTTGATGATATGTCCCCAGAATCATCTATGGTGCTGTAGACTGACTTTATGGAAGAGACGTTGCTTGGTGATCAATAGAGAGGCCTGGTCTAGATAGGAAAGTAAAACCAAGAAAGGTTTCATTACTTGACAAAATGTGGAGGCACTGAGAGCTTAGAGATGTGTACGAAGCCAAAAATAAAAAACAAAAAACAAAAAGAGACAAGTTTGGCAGGAAAAAGACCATGAGAAAAATGTAGGATTGGAGATTGTGTCTAGGGAGTGGAATGTAAGTATTCTGATATAGAGCAGATCAGGTGAGATAGGTGAGTAAGATACCTAAATACCAGTGAATGAAGTAGAAAGCAGTTGTTGGCACTGAGTGTGAAGAGAACAATCAGTCCTTGGGCTGGGGAGTTGGGCAGCTTATTCATGTGATCATAAAAGATGCCAGAGATGAGGGCAGGACTTGAGGTGAAAATGATGAGTGCAAAGCAGGTGTCAAGTGTGTCCATAAATATGATGGAAAACATCTCATACATTAACCATGAATATGCTGGAAGACAGCAGTGATGAGGGAGGGTAGAAGCTATCCAATGGCTTAACTGGCAGAGTGAGAGGGAGTTTTGCAACATATTGGGGAGTAATTCCCTGGAAATAGCAATAGGGAGCTAGAGAATGCCAACTTAGTACTGTTGCAGGACTTTTCCTTAGTTCAGCTACAGATGGAGTCCTTGTCCATCCCATGCCACAAAAATATAGGCTTGCAGACAGTTTGAAGTGTGAGTAAAGCAGGGTTTTATTGGGTGAAAAGGAAAAAGCAGGGAACAGGGACCCTCTGCAAAGCCAGAGTCCCCTGCTCCTGTGCTTCCCGCCTCGCAGTTTGAATCCCAGTTTCCACACAGGAAGAGGAGGGGCCAAGCTTTTCCCCCTGCTGCAAAAGGCTCAAACTTCCCAAGACTCCACCCTAGTGTACAGGCTGGCTGGAGTTTTGCCAGGGAGCCCCTCCCACCTGGCTGTCTCAGTGAAGTGATGAATTGCCCTTGAGAGAGCCACATGTAAAGCCATGTCTTCAAGACAGTGCTAGAAGCAGAGAGAGGCTGTTTGGTGAAGAAAATAAAGATGTTGGGAAGTTTCTTTAGCATGGAATGGGAGTTCCAGACATCACAGTTAGGAGATTTTTCAACAATCAGAATGGGAGCAACAGATGGGATGTATTAGTTTGCTGTGGCTTCCATAACAAAATAAAAATGCCACCAACTGGGAGGCTTAAACAACAGAAATTTATTGTCTTACAGTTCTGAAAGCTAGAAATTTGAGAAGAAAATGTCTGCAGAATTGGTTCCTTCTGAGAACTGTGAAGGAGAACCTGTTCTAGGTCTCTGTCCTAGCTTCTGGTGTTTTGCTGGCCATCTTTGGTGTTAGTTGGCTTGTAGATGCACCCTTCTGATCTATGACTTCTCACCTTTGCATGACCTTCTCCTTGTGTCTCTCTCTCTACCTGGAGTTCTTTTTAGGAGCACGCTAGTCATATTGAATTAGGGGCCCACCCTACTCCAGTATGACCTCATCTTAACCAATTGCATTAGCAACAATCCTATTTCCAAATGAGGCCACATTCTGAGGGTTAGGACTTCAACATATCTTTTCTGGAAGAACACATTTTAACCCATAATATGGGGTAAGAGAAGCAAAACACCCAATTGGAAAAGACACAGAGAGGAAAGATGGCTAGAGAGGTTTCCACTTTGGCCAATGATCAAGAATGACAGGTGTATGAGACTCAGTAGAATGAGTCAGTCCTAAGTCTCCAAATCTATCTCAAATGGCAAGGTCAGGTACAGTTGGGATGGACCAATGCTCATTCTGGGGCAGCTGGCTTGACACTGCCCAACTCTAAGGGGCACCTCTTATAGAAAGAGCCACATAGATTACTGTGTGACTGGAGCTCTCTGTTGACCAACTCTAGGCTGTAGCTCACTGTACATGCCTCAGACCATGGGAGAGGAAGTTTGCAACAGGCCAGTGAATTGGGAAAAATCTTAGTATGAATTATGTTGTATACTATATTTTTAAGGCTTTTGAGAGGGCTTCCTCTCTGAGCAAAACACCTTGAGACTAGGATCCATATCTTCTCATTTATAGATATCTCCTTCAGTGCCTTAAAGTCTGATGCAGTAAGTACTCATAAATAAATAATAATGCAATAAGTACTCATAAATAAATAAATAAATGAAGAATTAATTTCTAGTGGTAATAGTGTAGTTACACTTAGTTAAGAGTGGATTCATAGGGAAATGTTTGGAATTGAAAGATTCAATTCTTGGAAAATAGCCCAAGATGTCTGAGAATATGAGACACATTTCTGAAGGACACAATGTGTCTGTGATTTAGGCTTTAGCAGTTAACTATAACACATTCCTTTGCCTTATAGAGTCAACTTCCAAAAGCATTTTCTACTTGAGTGTTTTTCTAAGAGGTTTCAAACACTTTTATCAGAAAGATGTTCAAAGACAAGTATTCTGGGAGGCCACATTTTGGATTTGGGGGGCTTTGTTTTTTCTTTTTTTGTCATTTTAAGTTTTATAATTCAGTTTTGCCCAGCTGCACAAGAAATTTGTTTTTGCATCATTCTTCAAATGCGGGAAATTCAAATGCCTATATAATAGAAGCTCATGGTGGATAAGAAATGTGATAAACATTATCAAATTAATCCTAAAAGTCTTACAAACCATTTGGTTGAATTTATGCAGATTGTATGAGAAATGGGAAAGGAAAATGCTCTTGGATGACATATTCTAGAAATTGAAATGTGATATTTGTCTAGAAGATTAAAATTACGCAGCAGTTAGGGCAGTCCTAGTTGTGGAGTAAGCAGCAATTCCAAATTAAAGTGGCTGAACTTATTGTCTCATATGACAACTAAAAGCTAGGGCTCTTACTGAAATGATGGATTCCACAGCTTAGGGGCATCCCCGTGGATCCAGGTTCTTTTAGTCTTTGTGCTGCACCTTCCACCACTTGTCAAGAAATTTCTTTATGGTCACGGGATGGCTGTAGCAGCTCTAGGCATTACTTTTATTCATTTATTTCACAATTGTTCATTGAGTGAATATTATGTGCTAAGGTTGTAGGTACTGAAAATACAGTGGGACTGAGTGGACCCAGTGGAATAAGCTGGCTATAAGTTTCCAGATAGATCTCCTGCTCTGTTATTAGATAAGAAACAAATTATCTGCCTTCATCAAGTTACACTTTAAAGAAAACAGAGGCTCAAAAAAGGAGAGGGGGTGATACATATATTTCAAGTAGTGAAAAGTGCTGTGAAGAACAATATTGCTGTGCAAGGTAAAATAGTGTTGAAGGAGGTGTTCCTTTTTTTTTTTTTTTTTCTTTTTCTTTTTTTGGAGGCAGAGTCTCACTCTATCACCCAGGCTGGAGTGCAGTGGTGTGATCACAGCTCACTGCAGCCTTGAACTCCTGGGCCCAAGTGATCCTCCCACCCTAGCCTCCCAATTGGCTGGGACCACAGGAGCATGCCACCATGCCTGGCTAACTTTTGTATTTTTTTGTAGGGACAAAGTTTCTCCATGTTGCCCAGACAGGTCTTGAGCTTCTGGGTTCAAGTGATCCTCCTGCCTTGGCCTCCCAATGTGCTGGGATTCGCGGTGTGAGCCATCGAGCCTGGCTGGAGCTGTTACTTTATAAATAGTTATCAGAGAATTCTTCTTTGGCCTACAAGGTAAGACCTAAATGAAGGAGGGGAGTACACTGTGGGAACTTCTGGAGAAGAGAGCTTCCAGACAAGTTCAAAGCCCCAAGGGTAGGGACATGTTTGATGTATTTGGGAAACAGCAAGGAAGTAAACATGGCTGGAAAGGCGTGACCAAGGAAATTGGCAAGAAATGAGATCTCAGAGGTGGTACATTGGATCAGAAGGACCGTCTAGCCATGATTAGAATCTTGAATTTTCTCATAATGTGGGAAGTGTTTGGAGAGTTCTGAGCGGTGGGTGATATGATTGCTGTTTAAAAGGGACACTGGAGGGATATTCTCTTTTTCCCTGTCTGAGGATATTGATGTGTGAGGCTATCAGTATATCCTGAATCTGACTACTTCTCACTCCCCAACCACTATAAGTCAGTTGTCTCTCACCTGGACTGCTTCAGTGGACTCCTAAGCACATTCCATATTTCCGCATTGACCCTCTTACAGCGAGTTCTCCAGAAAGCCTCCTTTATGTAAGTTCTCTTTCTTCTTTCTCTGGGATTTGCAGCCATGCTTTTGTGGGAGTTCAGTCAGGCTGGTGGGAAAAATTTTAAGATGAAGTTATAGGAAATAAACACAAACCCTCTTGGAAGGCCTGGAGGTTTGCATAAAGTGTTTGGCTGAAGGCAGCTGAATCCACTTAATAGCTTAGGCCATAGATACATAGGAATGTAGAGGAGTTTATCCAAAGAGCTCGTTTACTTATGTGGTCCTAAAACTAACCTTTGATCACTCACAGGCAGGATGGCTCTCCCGGGGTGGGGACAACCAAATTAATTACACACAGATGTGTTGACTCAAAGCCTTTGTCATTAAAACTGTGCTAAATAAATGCCTGCAGGGCCAGCTAGTCGGGCCATGGCTGCTGACTCTTTACAGCACCTTCCTTGGTGTCTGTGAGCGGCTTGGACCCCTAGCTGCTCTTTCAGTGAATATCGGTGTCTGGGTACATTATTCATCTGTCGTGTGAGCTGGGGTCCCCCCCAGGCTTTGACTATGTTTTGGGGGTCTTACAGGATATTTACCTGAAAGACTATACCTTGGCCCCTGGCATTGTGATCAGTGTTCCTGCAGGGTTTGCATTAGATACTCACGCATCCTCTTTTCAATCAATTTTGGTTTGGGGTTTTTCTTGGCCACCTCATTAATAAGGTGTCGTTGAAGTACATACTACCCACCCCTCAGAGGAATTCTTGACAGTTGTCTCCAAATTAATTACTTACTGTGTACCTTCTCAGCTTTCCTGGATTTCAACTATATTTTCTTTGCTTCTAGGATTTTGAAATGTCTTTTTGAAAATATCCTTTTGAAATATCTCAAAAGGGTCAATACTGCTATTTTAGAATGAGTAGTGTTTTTTCTTTTGCAGGGGGAAGAGTATGTAATTACTGGTCAACATGAGGAACAAAATGAAGTGCATTTTAACCAGGCCAAAATTTTTTCTTTTCTTTTTTCTTTTTTTTTTTTAAATAAAGAACTTCTTGCCTTCTAGGGTATAAAGGCTTTTGTATTCCTTCAAGCAGAGAACAATCAAGTGCCTTGGTCATTTAGATATTCACCAGGCAGAATAATTTAGGTATCATTGTCTGAAACCAGTGGTCTTCAATCTTTCTTCTACTTTGGGTTAGAGTTCTGAGTGATGGCTGTAGGCTCCCAGGACATTATTCTCTCTCTTAGAATGAGCACAAGCCTAGAATCTTCCAAGTCAGGGAAACCTAATTCCATTAGGTTTATGATTGCTAGTGGAATTCAGTTTTTGATATGATAATTCTTGTTATCGCTGATGGGAGAAAATTATCTAAATACGTTAAAAGGTATTTGGCAAGCTTTTTCTTCTACTCAATTATTCGTATTGGTTAATCAAGAATATATAAAAAGATTTATATAATCATGTTTATATTTTGTTATAAAGTTTTTGATGAATACTTTAAATTTTCTTCATAAAACTAATTATGCCAACTCATTTACTTTTGCTTGGGTAAGTTCTTTCTGTAATGTTGAATATAACCACTAATCCCAACTGTCACTTATGACAAATTAGGGCTTCCAGGCCCACAAATGCAGATCCTGCAGGTCACGTGCCCCAGAGATGGAAAATGTGATTTCTCCCAGGGGCCAGATATACAGACCATTATATCGTCTCACGCTCTGAGAAAGTCTCCCCTCTCCACATTTACCGTGCATCCTCTGACTGCAGAGCATCTTTATCTCTGACCTCTAAGCAGGGTCACTCTTGTAACAGCTGAGAGAAAGCTTTCAGGAATGAATGAGTGCTCACAGAAATCAGGTAGCATGCTCCGTCCAGCATGGTGATCATTTCTGACAATGCTGATCGAGAGGCTTCTTCTGCAGTCCATTGATTTCAGTGTCAGGCAGATGAAAAGTAGCATATTGATGAGACTTTGCCAAAGGTGTCTTGTCAGATAAAAGACCAATAGAGGAAGCCAACTTAAGACAGGCCATCGCATCAATTTTCTTGGTGCTGAAGGAAAGAGAATGAACTGTGATGCTGAAACTAATCGATGACTGTAAAGATACTCTTAAACTCATACAATAAATTGTTTTGATTTACAAAAAAAAAGAGAAGAGTGATCTACAAAAAGGATAAAGGAAAATAGGCCACATAAGGTGAAGTAAATGATTTTCATTTGCAGCAATAGTGAAGTTACAACTGAGACTTTTTTTTAATATTTACCTGTACTAAAGGCTTTTCTGTAGAGCAGGATTGTGTAAAATATCTTGTGCAATGTTTTTTGACTTTTCAGTATTGGCTTCTAGAACTCAAAGTTGAGAGTAAAGGCCACTCTTAATTCAGAGAGAATCTCAGATGAAGGTGCTGGTCTCCAGCTCCAAGGGCTTGGTGAGAGGTGCCCCTTGAGTAGGATCAGAGATGAGCACTTTTTTCAAGCTCTTTCCTTCCTCTATCCATCCATCCTCTGTTTGTATAAAGAAGACTGGAAAAGGGCTAGGAGGTTATTTTTAGGGGCCTTGTCCTAGGCACTTACTGATTTCTTTTCTCAAGCTTAAGGGAGTAGGAAACCAAAGACTGTGGGTATCAATAAGAAATGAACACTTGTTTTTCTCCTTGCTGTCTTCTGAGCAATAGAGTTTGCAAATTTGTTCTGGTGTTTTAGGGGCAAGAACACTAAAGGAAGATGATGGGAGCACTGAAGCCAAATGAAGGCAGCACGGGTCAGTCCTGTTAAGTGTTTCATGGTTCCCAAAAATGAGCTGGGAGAGGGTGCAAAATATAACTGAGATAGAGAGAGGTGGCTGCAAGCTTGCTGGGGTCCACTACAGGCTAGGATGTGATATGGTAGCTAGGTGATATCAACTTTTGAAGATGTATTCATATTTCTAAACAAAATACCTTGGAGCTGAGTCCAGTGCCAGCAGGGTCTTGGGACCTTTTCCTCTCTATTTCTACTGTATAGACCACAGCTTGATTAATGGTGCTGAGCACAGAGAATCAGTGAGGATCTTTGTTGCACTACTGAGGTTGGAAAACATGTTTATCTCTGATTCTGCTCAAGTGGCACCTCTCACCAGTAATATGCTTTTTTTCACATGTGGGCACTCATATTAGGCAAGAGCAGTTCAGGCCAACCAAGAAAAGGACATTCGCCATGCACAGGCATGTCAGGAGGTAGATCTCCTTTCTTCCTCCCAGCACTGATGCCAGAGGAAGACTGCAAGGAAGAAGGAGCAGGGAGGTGGGAGAGAAGACTTCCACCCCCAACTCCAGGCTCTGAAGTCAAGGTCTAGTAGCCTTCATGGGTCTGAGGAGAAGGGAAAAGCCTTGACTCTAATGGGAGATTGATCTGGACCAAGTGTGAATAACTGAAGATGGCAGAAAAACAATGAGATTGGATTTAGAGACTGTTAGCAAAGGGAGTTGGCAGCACAGCTGATAGAAATTATTGGAAAAATAATGTCCACACTTAAAAACTCAATGACTTGAGAGTTCTTGAATAAACCATGACATCACTTTCTCTAGAGAATATTTTAATCTGAGTAATTACAGGTTTACTATAAGGCAAAGAGAAGATTTGTTGTTAATCTTCAAAAAATAAGGGATCCAGGCCTGGCACAGTGGCTCGCACCTGCAATCCCAGCACTTTGGGAGGCTGAGGCAAGAGGATTGCTTAAGCCCAGGAAGTCGAGGCTGCAATGAGCTGAGTTCATGCCACTACACTCCAACCTGAGTGAGAGAATGACACTCTGTCTCAAAAAAAAAAAAAAAAAAAAAAAGAAGGAAACCTAAAATTTTAAAATTATGATAGCAGCAATGTAAATTCATTCCTTCATGGGGTTGGGCGGGGGCACGGTGAGGACTGAGGTGCCCCAGCTCAGCATCATTTTGCCTCTGCTGACCTGACATCTGGTTGCAAACACAGGAGACAGTCCAGGTCAGATCACTCAAAGCTGGCCCAAATTGCCAATCACAGACCTGTGAACTGAATAACTTATTTTGGTTTATGCCAATAACCTTTAGGATAGTTTGTTATGAAGCCAAAGCCAGCTGATACAACAGTATGATGTGCTGTCTGAAAATCATAAAGAACATTTAAAATAAAATCATCCCATGTTACCATCGCCCTAAAACAGCTCAGCATTGTAGAATTAGTTTATTACTTAGCCTGGGCCTGAAATTCCATTAAGATATGTTATTCTTAAAATTTCCGATGGTATAAATTGTTTATCAGACTACATTCTCTTTCTAGCGTGTGTGTGCAGGCATGTAGAATTCTCTGTTCAGACACTGGCATTATTGAGTGATTGCTTGTGTAGGGTCACCTTCCACACCAGTGCTTCCGCTTCATGAGGACTCGATTGAATTTTCACAGTTTAGCCCTGTCCTTGGTCAGATCAGAGGCCCAATTTGCTCAAAGTAAATAGTGATGGTGACAGCAGTAGCACTAGCAGCAGCAGAGAGAACACCCAGGCTGACCTTGGTGGCAACTGATGAAGCTGGATTTTATAATTAGCATTTGCCCTGAAAAATGTTGTCTTCTACTGTGATTCTTTTTGCCCAATCTTATTGTTTATAAGAAAAATATCCATTTGTTCCTGTATTTATTGTTAACATTAAATTCCTCACGTTTTTTTTATTTTTATTTCGCTAGTTTTGGGGGAACAGGTGGTGTTTGGTTGCATGGAAAAGTTCTGTAGTAGTGATTTCTGAGATTTGGATGCACTGTTACCTGAGCAGTGTACACTATACCCAGTGTGCAGTCTTTAAAAAATTTTTTAAAATATTCATTTATTTTTTTCTCCTTAATAATATGCTTTGACTTTTTAAAAATCCTTTCTCTAGTTCATTATAATAGGCAGTTAATAAAATCAGACCAAAGTAAGAGGTCTGCTTGGCATGATCTGGAAACAGCTATAGATCTAGGAGTCTGGAGACTTAAGATTGGTTCTTGTCTCCTCCATTATTTTGCAGTGGTATGTTAGAATGAATTGCCTTCAGTTTTTCCCACGATTAAAGTCAGAATAGAATGCCACAATTGGCTCAGAGTGTGGTAAGTAAGATAATATGGAGAGAAATAATCTCCCTCCAGACAGGACATAGAGTGGCATTGCCCAAGCTTGAGAGGAAGGCCGTATCCCCCAATTCCTCCTAATTTAAAGTGATAATTTATTAGGCTGCTTTAAATAGAAATAGCATTCATAGATGACCAACATAAAATCTTGAATAAAAATATATTAATTTCAACAAGCAAGTGAAAGTATTCAATAGCTGAGGAAATCCAATTAATAGAACAAACACAAGTGCAATATATAAGTATTATTAATATTTTTCTCAGGACAAAAAATCTTCTCATGAGGGCATTTACAAAACAAAGTTTCTTTTGAGGAATTAGCAACATAAGAAATAAATATATAATTGTAAAAATTAATAAATCTTCAAATGTGAATATTTATATTGATGGTCCTATTCAGAGCCAACTAGAATAAACTGAAAAACACAATCTAGGCACATCAAAGTTCAGAAGGAAATAACTTTGAGCTCCAATTCTAAACACAGCCAAATCATCAGTAATAGGTATGCAAGGACTCCTTGAAAGAGAAGAATGCATTTCAGCAAAATAAAAAATTGAAAAGAATGGTATATATGATACAATAAACAGTGAGAGGCAAAGAAATCAGCAAGATGTGTAGTTGTCTAATTGTTAGTTGTAAAAGTAATATAGAACAAAAAAAATGGGTGTTGGAGTGGGTAAGGTGGGTTGGGTAGAAGATGATGTGAGAATAGAGAAGTCTAAATGCACCAGGCTTCTAACTACTTACAGAAAAATGTTTTAAATATGTTAAAACTTCAAGGTTACAAGTAGAAAATTGTAAATAAAACATATAACTTTCAAACAAAAAAGAAAAAATAGTTTAAAGATCCTCCATAATCAAAAAATAATAAAAAGTTAAAAATAAAGCAAGTAAACAGAAAACTTTTCCAAATAACTTTACATAATAAGGAAATCAAACTAAATTTCTATTTAGTTTCAAATTTCATTAGAAATACATGACGATTGATGTGCATACCAAAAACTAGGAGAGCTAGCCAAAGTAGTACTCAGTGGCAAATTTATACCTTAAATGCATTTGTTAGACAGTAAAAAAAAAAAAAAATTAGATTTTTCAACTCAAGAAACTAGAAAAAGAGAAGTAAACCACCCCTCCAAAGAAGTGATTTCTAAAGATAAAAAAAGGTAATGAAAAAAAATAGAATTTACCAGTAAGACAAAATTTTGCTTATTTGCTCCTTTTAAAGATACTCTGTTAAACACACACACACACACACACACACACAATTAGTGATTTTAATTTTAAGAAAGATAGGTGAACACTAAGTACAAATATGTATATGACTAGAAATTTCTGTGGAACATGTCCATATACATTTTAATAGAAATGTATATAGAAATGTCTAAAGATAATGGCCTAATAGCATATGTCCATCAGTTGTCCCTTCCTGATTCACCAATGAAATGGTAGACAATAAATTAAAAGGTTAACAAACAAAGAGAATAGAAATGAGGTTGTTAAGGGATCATAGATTTTAACACATATTTAAAATATTGAGAGCAGATGGAAGCGTGATGATTGATGTCACAGGGTAGAGAAACTAGAGCTTAGAGCACATCAAGAGCAGATATATCATAAAAGAGAGCCCGTTTGCTCCAAGTCTATGGTTTCTCAAACCCTAGGGTGTATCAGAATTGCCTGTTGTGCTTGTTAAAGGATAGATTTCTGGGCTCTGTCCCTACAATTTCTGATTCAATAGGCTGGAGTAGGACCTGAGAACTTACTAGAAATGCTGATGTGGATGTTGTTGGTTTGGGGACAACATTTAGAGAGCTGTTGTTCTAGATAATCTTGGATAGGTTCAGAATTTTGAATCATCAGGTACAGTGGAGGAAAAGAATGACAAGTGGGGCAGAAAACAGGGAGCTAATCAAAACTCTGTGTATAATCTGATCTGCACAGTCTGTGTATATTGAACAATTAATTGTTCAATCTGCTTTTCAAACACACAGAATGTTCAAAACCAGAAATCTTTGCTTAAGCAAGTAATGAGAGGCTTTTTTCACTGGAGCTCTGTTGAAAAGGCCTGCTGAGAATTAATCTATTTTGTTTGAGTTTCCTACAAGGGCAATATATTCACATAGTACTTGTTCAATTAAAAACCAGGTATAGATGGTACACAGTAGTGGCATTTGATTACTGTCACCATCCTTACCTAAAAAGATGAGAAAATATTCTAAAAGTGTCTTGGTCCTCAAGAAAGAGGCTTTCAAGAAATATACTTTTTTTGGTCTCTAGAAAAACTGAAAGAAAAGAAAATATCTTCATCCACATATTGCAGAGTTAGTTTCTCTGTTCTGTCAAGAATCAGATTAGAGCATGTACATATATGAATGATGAACCTCTTAATATCCATATTTATAATGGAAATGTCTGCTAGTAATGACTAGAATAATATAACTGCTATATTTGTAACTGTTTGTAATGTGTCTCAGAGCCCAGATTTTCTCACTAAAGTTGCATTATTTAGGGCTAGACAAAAAAGCTACAATTCATGAGACAATAATAATTTTCTCACTAAAAAATGAATAAGCACTAGTATATATGCCTGCTGCCTTATTATTTTAAAATAGCTCAAGTCAAATTTTTATACCTTCAAATGCTATTTTTTGTTTCTAAAAATCCTATGACTTAACAAATGTTACTTTAAAAATTTAAGAGTCCAAAATCAGACCCACTATAAACTGTATTCCCTTTTTCTTTACTTGTGTGAACCTCAGTCTCTTTCTCTTACAAATTTCAGCTGAAACCAAGTGCATATTTCAAAGTCAATTCCAGTAAGGAATTTTGCTTTGGTCCCCCAGAGTAGTAAACCATAGCAGACCATGTTCCTTGTTACCCAAATAGACATCCAGCGGAACTATTTTCCTTCTATGCAAGGCATCTTGTAAAACAACTCTTTCCATCCCAAGAACTTGTGACAAAACTCGTTTGCACTCCAGGTTTTCATGCCTTTCCTATATAACTTCCTTCTGTTAGGCCATCACCAACAGTGTAATGAAAAAAGGATGCCAAGACATCGTGTTGCCAAAATACAGTAATTGACACGCCAAATGTCTAGTCTTTGCTGCCTCTCTTAGTTAGACGGTTGATTCCCTTAAGGAGCCAAACACTATTGGGGATTTTGACTTGGTATGTGCTCTGATGGAAAAATAAAAGGCCCTTAGCAGGTGAGCTTTGATGTAACACAAAAGGAAGAAAAGGAAAGAGCCTATTGAAAACAAAAACAGGCCTGGCACGGTGGCTCATACCTGTAATCCCAGCACTTTGGGAGGCCAAGCTGGGCGATCGCCTGAGATCAGGAGTTCGAGACCAGCCTGGCCAATATGGTGAAACCCTGTCTCTACTAAAAATACAAAAATTAGCCGGGTGTGGTGGTGCATGCCTGTAGTCCCAGCTACTCGGGAGGCTGAGGCAGGAGAATCGCTTGAACCCGGGAGGTGGAGGTTGCAGTGAGCTGAGATTGCGCCGCTGTGCTCTAGCCTGGGTGACAGAGTGAGACTCTGTCTCAAAAACAAAAAAAAAGAAAAAAAGAAAAAACAGAAAAAGCAAGAAACAAACGAACAAAAGGAAATGGGGAAAAGGAGAGGAATTTTTCCCCCTAAACACTCAGAGAGAATATAATTCTAATTATTATCATTTTTGTCTTTAATTTTCTTTCAACTTCTCTGAGATATGTACATCAAAATCAGGTAAACACTACTAAAAGTAAACATATGTATGTATAGAGCATCTGTTACTCTCCAGATTCTGTTGAAAGCCTTTCATGCCTTACGTCTTTTAATTCCCACAACAACTCTTGTGTAGTGGATATTGTAAATTCCCATTTTACAGATGATGATACTGATGGTCAGGGAGGTGAAATAGCCTGTCCCATGTTGATGTAGATATATTAATGCTGGGGCTGGAATCCCAAATATGTCTGACTCTGTATCCCATGATATTAATGCAGAACTACTGGAAATCAGACAATAGGATGCCAAACTTATAAAAGGTGAAAAATGCCTTTAATCAATTGCCTTTGTATTTGCAGTAGTACAGACTAACCTCTTATTGATTAATTAAATTTACCACATGCAGTATAATTGATCAATTTTTTACTGGAACAACCAACTCCTATCTTGTGTCTTAAAGACTGGCTTGACATGAAATAATTTGTTGGGGGCTTGACATCTAATGTTATCTAATAACATTAATAATGCTGGGCCGGGCACGGTGGCTCACGCCTGTAATCCCAGCACTTTGGGAGGCTGAGGCAGTGAATTCACAAGGTCAGAAGTTCGAGATCAGCCTGGCCAACATGGTGAAACCCCGTATCTACTAAAAATGCAAAAAATTAGCTGGGTGTGGTGGCGGGCACCTGTAATCCCAGCTACTCTGGAGGTTAAGGCAGGAGAATTGCTTGAACCTAGGAGGCAGAGGTTGCAGTGAGCCAAGATCATGCCACTGCACTCCAGCCTGGGCGACAGTGCAAGACTCTGTCTCAAAAAAAGAAAAAACAAATAAACAAACAAAAACCGCTGATGTAGCAATTCATCACCTATCTAAAATCCTAAGGAAAATACAAATATTTCTCCTGCCTAGTATTATTTTGTTTTTATAAAGAGAGAAACTAAGACATTTGTTTAAATAAATAATAAATTACTGCTAAGGTTTATAACAATACCACATTCATTCAAAGATTACTGAAGGCTTTTGCCTGATACCAGCTTTTGTCTTTTTCCCTTAAGAAAAATGTTTTATCCGCTAATGGGTATTTTGTATAAGAATACTGCTTTAGGAAAAGTGATATCAGTAATTGTGCACAAAAACTAAATAAATAATAAACAAATGAATGAATCAGACACCAAAAAATTGATAAGGGTTTATGATTAACATTGCAGAAGAGTAGCAAAGTCTGGTCGAAGTTCTTTGTACTAGAGCACAATTCCCAACTTTGAGAAATAACTTCTGACTAAATTTCAGAGAGGAAAATATTTTCAAGATAATTAAGGAAACAATGCAATAAAGTCTAAATAGATTAGCAACCAATTCCCACTTTGCTGCCTTTCTTTTTGTTTTCTCGAAAATATTTTACTCTTCGCATGAAAAATCTCGGATACTTACCAACTCTTTAGAAAATTCTTCGCTACCAAGAGTCTATACCTTAGCTCGCCACTTTTCCCTACTCTGTCCCAGGGACTGCTGTGTTCTTGAGCCCTGTGTCATCCTCATGGTCCAGGAGTGCCTTAAAGAGTTAATATACTTCCTGAGCCATTTACTTACTTGGCTGGTTGTGGGGAGAATTGAACATATTCATCATGAAATGATTCAAGAGAAAGTTTATTTACCACTTTAGAAGAGATTTTAAATAAGAGATTAAAATAATAGTTTCTTAGTGATCATTTAAACACGTTTCATTGGAAACTTATTTTTTTTTATTCCATCCTATGACACAGAGGCTACCACTCCACTGTCTTCAATTTCACCTGTCTACTGACCAAATTTCCAGCTGCCTGATAAATATTGCCCCTTGTTTTTCTTGCAGACATTTCAAACTTGACATTTCCAAAATTTAAGTTGTCAACATTCTTCAATACATAAAGCTTGCTTTTCTCTAAAGAAAAATTTCCTAATTTTGTGTCATAATCACGTTTTGAGCATTTAATACACAACTCTGCCCTTAGTAGGGGGACATATTTTTTAAAGCAAAGGCTAAAGTAAAAAGTTTCTCTACCCAAACTTGTAAATAATGACATTCATTGCCCATAGCTACATGGGGGTGGGGAGAGAGTGGGGAAAGCATTGTCAGAGATGTAAATAACATACTTTCTAGCTAAGGGACATAAGCTCTGTCTTTTCATTTATTTTTCTTCAATTTGTTCAAATTTTTTTTTTGTCACTCATAATTCAAAAACAATTTAATGGAAAAACTTCAAGTGTTGTATATATATTAGTCCTCGATGAGAACTAGAATGTAAGAATAATTTTACCAACATGGAATTTAAAGTTTTTTTATTTACGGAAGGTTAATTTTTCTCTTCACCGGAGAGCACCATGAAGGTCCCTACAGACAATATTATTTCCACCGGGCATCTGGCCACATGTTTACTAACCTGAGGTTTCATTTTGAAAAATAAAATGCCTTGTCCTTTCTTTGAAAGGACAAAAAATCTTTGTCATAAAACGATTTCCTGTGGGTCTAAGTTTGTCATATTTACTTCTATAAAGTGGCAGCTTATCCCACTGGTTCTATTTTCATTTGCTCCATATAGTTCTCCTTCACCTTTGCTTGTAGATCTTTCTAGGAGAAGTCAACAGAATGTCTCTGTCTGTGGAAATGTGTGTTTATCAAAGGGGAGGATTGGGCCAAGTGAAAATGAGGAAGGTAACAGGCATCAGCTCCCCAGATATCCTCAAAGCAAGGCCAGTCCCTGTTCAGGGAGTGGGAAGTGTGTTTCCTAAACTCTTTCATTCGGGTTAGGTTCCCTCACACCAGTAATTTAGTGAACAGGAGAGTTCAGGCTTGTCCCCAAGAGTGCCTAGATTGCCTGTTCTGTGAATGAGTATTGTCTAGAGATAACTTTTAGAATGCCTTCTTTGAAGAGGCTGCCGAGCCCTGGGCAGCAAGTAGGAAGGGAAATTGAAGTAGCTTTGGGGACAAGTGCTTTCTCTTCTCACACATGCCACAAATGGCTTAATGCTCACACAAAACCTATGGCCATAAAATTCCTTCTAGTAGGTTCCTTATAGGAAACAGAATAAACCACAGCCTGCCCATTATGGAAGGCTAGCCAGCTTATTACCCCGCAGGGATGAAGGATCTCTGGCTCCAAAATGTCTCAGGGTTTTCTTCAGCTTGGTATGTAGAACTGCTGATCTATCACCTCTGAGAAGCAGGAGATAATAATAAACAGGTTAAGGAATCATTAAGGCAAACCTTGCTCATTGATAACATTTCCTTCACATGCCTTTTATTAAATGCTTTTAAAGCTTGCTGCCAAGTAGGCCTACAGTGCATTAAAACTCCTGCTGAAAGGAACAGCCTAATCTAATATGGGAAAAGATGAAGAGCCATGAAAGAGTGCATTGAGCTTATTGTCTTAGATGTGGAATAAGCATCATCTTTGTGGTTCATATTGCCATTAAAAACTCTACTTGTGGTATGTAGTTCTTACCACAGTCAATGCAGCTAGCAGACATGATGTGAACTATGAAGCTATATTAGAAATGAAAGGGGGGTTTTTCTTCCCAGGGAAGCATACCTTGTAGTGTTGTCATCATGTGCCGGCCTCATCAGCTGGGATACAATATTTTATCTGGACGGTCACTGGGAACATTTCCATTAGCATCAGTTAATCCTTGACCTTCATCCTGTGTTGCTATTTGGGTTTCTTCTGGAGGGTGAATTGATGCCACAGAGCTTATCTGCATTAGCTAGTGCATCCTGTAAAAGAATTCCAAATAGGTTCTGTCATATGTGCTGGTGCAGGATAGGGATTGGTTAACTGTTCACTCCTAGCATTTTTGCACCCTGAATGTGATCAGGGAGTAGCCAAAAGTTGGTGAAAAGGAAAATAATAGGTTGTTGACAGCACAGCAGTAATAGAGTCTTGAAGCCCCAGTTGGGGAATTAGACTGGCCTAGAAGAACAGCAAGGCTGAATAGGTCAAGAAGCAATGAACCTTAAGGCAGCTTTAAAAGGAAACAGATGAATAGAGTGAAGAATTCAGCAGGACACTGAGGCCTAAAAGCAGGCTCAGAAAAATCCCAGCAACACTAAAAGAAAGTATGAGCTGCTGCCAAAGGAAAAGGAAATTTGAGCTGGATGGGGACATTTGGGAGGGAGTACATTTTGGCAGGCAGTCCGGGTAGATGCAACATGTTACGATATGTGTTTCAGTTATTGAGGAATGATATTGGGTAAATCGATTAACAAGAACTCAACACTATTCAGTTTTATAAAAAATATAAAAAAACTTCTGAAAAAGACAATTCTGAATTCTGAATCACTTCACATCATATGTCCGTCTTTGTTTCTCTGACCTCTTAACGACACAGACTATTTGTCTCCACTATCTACCCTCTTGAATAAGGAAAGATGCTATATTAGTTGGGAATCTTTTGTTTATTAATAATAAAAAATGGACTCAAGTTGTCTTATGGAACATGGAAATTGATTGGTTCTCCAGACCTAATATGACTGAATTCAGGTGTTCAAAAATGTAATAAGTCATCAGACTTAATTCTTTAAAGTCTCTTGGTTCTGATTTTTTGTATAGGCTCCATTCTATAACTGACTTTCTCTAGTGGGAAATAAATGGCCACCTGCAGCTCCAGGCTTATCTTCTACCCGCTTGGCTATACCAGGAAAAAGAGATCCTCATTTTCCCAACCTTCTCAGTAAAATACCTCTCATGTGAATAACTTTATTACTGATAAAGTCACTTGTCTGCCACAAAACCAGTCACTATGACCAGCATGGGAGGGGGTGGGTGGAGACATGCAAATCTTTGACTGACAGTTTTTGGAAAGTGTGGTGTGCTACTATTAGAGGAAGTATCTTAGATTCTTTTGTGCTGCTATAAAAGAATACCACAGACTCGGTAGTTTATAAGGAACATAAATTTATTTTCTCACAATTCTGCAGGCTGGGAAGTCCAAGATCAAGGTGCCAGCAAGTTCATTGTCTGGTGAGAGTTCAGTCTCTACTTCCAAAATCGCACCTTGAATGCTGCCTCCTATGGAGGGAGGAGGGTGGGAAGAAACACTGTGTCCTCACATAGTGGAAAGAGGAAGGGCAAAAAGGGACAAATTGCCTCCATCGAGCCCTTCATAAGAGCACTTTATCCTGTGAATGAGGGAGAAGGCCTCATGACCTAATCACCTCTTACAGGCCCCACTATTTAATACCGTTACATTGGCCATTAAGTTTCAACACGTGAATGCTGGAGGGGACACATGCAAACCATAGCATTGCAAGGATGAATGGATACTGAGCAGACTAAAGCAACAGATGTCCACCTCCTATGCTCAGTGGCTGGCAACTTTTCTCCACCATGGACTTGCATTGGATGAGCACTAGACTAAAGCGATGCCACCAGAATGCACCCTGAACTGCTCATAAATCCAGAGACATTTTTACAATAGGATTATTTTTTAAAGAATCCTCTTTGATAAGTTTGACCTTCATCTAGGTAATCTGAAATCAGACCTTATATGTCTTTTAAATAAGCATACAAATGCAGAAATTACCTAAAGAACTGAAATACAGGTTGCAGCCAAGAGAATAAACTGAACTTCATGACTTTCTTAGTTCTTTTATAGACCTTGGAAGTTTTCATCAGTTATTTTCTGCCATTTGTGGCTTATTTTGAATATCTAGAGACGATGTTTATGTGTATTTCAAGAGAACCGTGAAAGGGCCTATGTAAATATTATTGTAGTAGTTAACTGTTTTGGAGATCTTAATCAGAATTACATTATTTGTTATTGTACAATTGGTAATTCAAACCCTAAGGATGTGAACTCGTGGAAGGACTTACCTTTTTTAATGTTTCAAAAACTTGTCATAATAGCTAATATAGTATAATGTGTCAAATTATCAAATATAGCAGATAAAATGATTATAGAGATGTCACTTGGCTTGATAATTTTAAGAATAAAATGAAAAAAGGGAAAATGATTATAAAGACAAATTATAAAGAGTCTTATTACAGCTTGGCATCATCCTTTCTCAGGCCTGCTGTATAGCTTTCATTTTTAATAACATTTGAGTCTATGTAATAAATGAATCAATTTTTATAACATGTATTTTTATTAAGAAGGAAGCCCAAGTGCTACATTCATCTAAGTTCAAGTTGTACTTTTCTTATAACTAGCATCTTACTATATACAGGAACCTGGAAATAGGAAAAAAATTAAGTTCAACTTAGAGTGCCCATGAAGAATATGGCTTAGTACAAGAATCTTAAAAGAGTCACCGCTTTTTTATGTGACTAGAGTCGTGCTAGTAAAGTAGCTAATTGAAATTCTAGCTCTAGGGAAAGCCATTAAGGTTAACACACTTCTTGAGGGAGAAAAAAAATGTTCTTGAGGCAAAGGAATGCTTCGTTGAAAATCTCTTACAGTATTTTTAAAAGGATCTTGGTTGGTGGTCTATGTATGCCCATTGTCTTTAACATTTCTTGCTTGATTTTGTTTGTTGAATGTGATTCCCTTGTACATTTCTTTGTTCTTTTTTCCTTAAAAATGTTGCATGGCTACTTACGTTTAGATCAGACAAATAGGCACGTTCCCCTTCAGGAAGTGCTGTTAACGGGAAGAAGCCCGAGATGTAAGAAACAAAACAAGTTGAAGACCTTTCATAGGTTTCTTTTCTTTACATGACTTTACTTTTGTTTGTTTTTAAAAGATCTTTTGCCAATGACAGTATAAAGTTACTCATTTTTTTTTTGCCTATTTCTCTTTCCCACCTTCTAAGAATTTTATGTGTTAATTTCTTTGCAATTTTACCACTATTTTACACTTTCACTTTCAAAATACTGTAAGTTAACACAGTCAGCAGATTCCAAACTGCTAAACTTTTGAATTCTCCGAGTCCTACATGTGTAATTGGGTCTATTTAACTGCAGAATTTGGAATCAGATGTTTGTCAGTTAATCCCACTAATTCAAACCGTCCAGTTTACTCTGTCACCCTCTACTTCAAGCAAAACCCACAGTTTTTTATTTTCAAATGAAATTTAAAAATGTTATTTTGATTAAGCATAAGAGTGGCCAAAGTCACAGCAGAATTTTGTGTGCCTTTTTGTCAGTTACCACACATTTTCTCACTTACCTCGTTTTGGTGTTTTTAATTGAACATACTGAAGTTGTAGCAAGTTCTTCCCATGAACATTGCTCTATGCACTCCCTCTACTGATACCACCATGTATAAACATTGTTTCTGTGTGTGAGAGATAGAATTTCCCCAGAGGCCCACAAAACATTTAATGAAGTGTGAAGCACAAACATTTCATTACAACATATTGTGTACTTTGCCTTTAATAACTACATTCTTCATCCAAGAAGTCTCAATAGCTTTCAAAAATTAATTACAGTAGTATTATTTTTCCCAGAATATAGTTTTTCCATGACAGAAACAGCACTTTCCTAAACTATTGTATTTATTAGCAACCTGTTGCCCTTCGACACTAGTGCCATTTTCATCGACCCTGATCAAGTGTGTATCATTTAAACTTCCTTTAAAAATTATTAAAATAGTTTCATGTTATTGGATTCTTTTTCCTTAACTGTTCACAATCACCACTGAAAATGATGCACTGAAAGGGAAAGTGTGAAGTTGCTGAACATTACTTTGAGTGGAGAAGTACATTTAATTGAAGACCTTCATGGTAGTGGGGATATTCTTTTTTTCCCTTGATTGTGCACAGAGGAGGCAGATGAGCTCTGAATTCCTTTGTTTTACTATTTCCCACTTTGGTCTGCTCCAGAGAAACTCTCCATCTTCTGTCTTTATACCCTTCCTTCCCAAGACAACCCCTCTTAGCTATTATGGATACAAAATACAAAATATTGTGGGATGACAATATTTTATGGCCAATATTACAAATATAGGAGATTCTTTGCCTTGTTCAGTGATGTCCTTCATGATTTTATCAGTGTAGTTAGTTTCTTAGTTCACTTTTTAATTATCAGTAATTTATGTATAAGTAATAATATACAATATATGTTATTTTACATTCTTGGATTCTTTTTTGCAATGTAACCTGTTAGGAATGTTATCCAAATATGTGTTCCTAACTAGTGAGTGAGCTTAAATTGGCATATGATAAAGTTATCTTAGGTAGACTTTGAATAGAAGATACAAGAAAAATTATGAATCTATGAGACATACATCTCATCTGTTGTTGAAAGTTACATTTTTGTTCTATAAACTTTCTGAACTAACACTTATTTTTTTTTTATTGAGGCCAAATAAATTGCTATTGTCCTTGCAGCACAAGACCATCCAAACAATTTTTCATCAGGAAATAGGACTCTCCTTCTCTGCCATTTGCTTCTTCAGCATAGTTTTTGGTAAACCAAGTAACATCTTCAAGAGTGGTAGTTTGGCAACTTAAATCAAAGATTTCACTAAGAAAACATTAATGTTTTCACTGACTTCATTTCTCCTTTCTCAACTCTCCTTTGCCTTATTTTGTACTGTGCACTTGATATACATTCACTTATGTGTTATTCATTGTCCACTGAATAAATTGGATGCTTCCTATGTGCACTCCCTATTGGGTACTCCCTATGTGCAAATGGGAGATATGAAGATGAATAAACATAAATCATGCTCCCAGTAGGCCTACTAAATATGGTGGATATTGTAGACTGGATCACTTCACATTCTCTCCAATCCATTTCCATCATGCCTTTTATGTTTGAATGGACGTCTAAAAATGACATTTCTCAAATTCTCTTGTAACTAGGATTCCACATAGGCACTAGATTTCACCAAACAAATGAACCCACACATAAGACTTTGAAAATGAAAGTGAGAAACATGGGATTGGGCTTATGGGTGGGGAGATTGAAAGTTGTGGTGGAAGCGCTTGGTTTTCCCAAGGCATTTGAAATGTTACAGTCTACATTTTGTCCTTGGTGCTGTATCATGAACTGAGAGGAGGCAGCGGTAATTAAATTTCTATGCAAACAGTTCCCTTAATGTAGCAAAATAATTCTTTTGGCTATATTGTTTCAGGATGTAATTGGTCTAAGCTTGATTTTCTGGCTCTTCCAGAAATTCTATAAACTATTTAGTAGCCTGTGATAAATCCCATTCTGCTTAGACTAGCTGGAGTGGATTCTGTTGTCTGCCTCAAAGGACCCTGACCTTTACTATACAATTGGGAGATATGAGCACAAATTGCTTGAATATCAAGTAAACAGTAAGCAATAGGAAGGTAAAGATAAATTTGTATGAAGAATGGGAGGAAAAGTTATTATTTCTTGCTTGGATGTTCAGAGAGAAAGGGCTATTGGTATTTGAGAAAGGCTTTGAAATATGGATAAGGTAAACTTGCTGGAATGGGGAAAAGGATATACCAAATGAAGGAATAGAATAGAGTAAGAGATAAGAATGGGAGCAGGGCTGGAGCATATGAGCATAATAAGCAATAATGAGATACAATGAGATTTAATGTTAGAAAGATAAATAGGAAATAATGAGACACTGACATTTTTGTGTAGGATAGATAGGAATCACTGATTGATTTGTTCATTTAACAAGCGTTTCTGGAGACCCTATTCTGTGCCAAGCATTGTGCAAGACAGAACTCTGCCTCATTATGATTAATTTAGTAGTAAAGAAAAGAATATATCTTAGTGACGGGAGCACTGAAGGCAGGGAGCCAAGAGGATTTTACCATAATCTAATGAGAGATAATAAGCAGTGACAATAGGAATGGAGTTTGCTATACTACACTGTTGACTTTTTTATTTGCCCATTTTTATTGCATAGCTCAATTTTGGCTCTGCTGCTTTAGTTTAACAATTCTGATGTATTTATTTACACAAACATGACAAATTGTGGTTTGTTTATGATTTCATGTTTATGTGGCTTATCACCTCCCATGAGATTGCAAGTACCTGATTAGTAAATGACTCTGATGTTCTAGATTGTTTCTTGATTGATGGATTTAAGAAATCTCCAAATCTATATAAGAGTGGCAGATATGTATCTGAGAACTCTAAGACCCTATAAAACCACATGCAAGCCAGGTGCTAGCACAGGTCATCCAGGCTTTTGTAATAATAATAAAAAAATTGGCTTAAATCCCCATCTCACCTCCAGTGGGAGACCTGCCCTCCTTTGGAACTTCTGAGTGTCCTTGTGATATGGGTTTGGAGTAGGGGAGGAAGTTTGAGATTCTAACTTTCCTCTGGTCCCAAGTTCCCGGATCACCTAACTATCCCAGTTGTGCCATTATGTCCCATAGTAAATTCCACCCTGCATCCTTTACTGACCACAATACCAACACCAGCCTTGGTGTAGAACAGATTTTTGCTGATGGGTTAGAGTCAAGAGAGGGCTTACATTAAAGCAGGCAAGTGTCTTTCAATTGGTTCTTCAGAAGTCTTACTCCTAGTAGACTGAGACTGAGAACCCAACCTCTGTTAATCTATCTCCAACCATTTATTGGTCAGATCCAGCTTCCCAATACGCTGCTTAGCCTAGTCTCTCTTTTGTTGTTGTTGTTGTTGTTGTTTTTTGTCTCCTTTTTTCTATGTTGCTCCTGTCTCCAATCCCCATTAATTTTGTTGAATTGAATGAAACAATTCAATTACATATTGGTTTACTACTCTCTCCTCCAGGCCATCCCGTTGGGTTCTTAACTTCCTCACCTAAGGCTATCATCCATCATGAAACTTCCCTAACCAAACAGGGAAACTCTTGGATTATCTTATAATATATATTAGTTCTGCTACACAAACATTAAAGAGCATGTATTCTGGGGATATTCCTCTATCAGAGGAGGACTTTTATTCCTGTCAGGAAAAAGGAGCTAAAATTGGCAAAATAAATTTCTCCCAGTTTATGAAACATCATATAAACTGAATTAAAATTTCCATTTTTAAATTGCATTAAATTCTATTCTCATTGAAAAAAGGAGTAAGAGATTACTAAAATTTTCTTCTTTTAAAAAAAACTTGTTGAAAACTATAAGAAACAAACCTAATTTGTTTCACTGCAGCAACATTGAAATACCACTTTTACAAGAATAGTTGTGCTCCATAAAATGTAAATTTATTTAAATACCTTTGGAAGTTTAAATCCCAAGTATTTTGCTTTGGATCAACCAAAAGTGTTGAAAATAACTATATATATATATTTATTTCATATATATTTACATACATATATATTTATAACTATATATAGTTTTATGTATAACTATATATGCTTAGTTTTATGTATAGTATATATAACTATGTATGTAACTATATATCTATATATAGTTATATGTAACTATATATAATATGTATATAACTTTATATAGTTATATTTATACAACTATATAATATATAAGTATGTATAGTTATATATATATTTCTAAAGTTCTTCCAAATATAATTAATATAGTAGATGGTTTAAAATAAACAGAAACCTTATTCCCTTGCCCATCTGTGAGCCAGAGAGATATTGACTACTGTGAGATCACAAATCAATTAACAAAGGCAGCAGTGGCTTCTAAAGCAAGAGAAAGTATTCAATTAAGCCAGAAAAGCTCAAAGAGCTCTCCTCTGTCTAATGAGTCTTCTGTGGCTAGTTCACATCGATACTCCACAAAACCTGAAGAGAGACCACCAGACAGTGCCAAAACAGACATTCATTCTTCAGCCTACCCTCTGGCTTTGAAATACCTCATGAACAAACAACCCTTGGGCATCTTTCCTCTTCAGGGTTAAATGTGGGCTGTCAGTTGTTGATGGTATGTGACCCATCTCACTTCACTTCCCTGCACAGATACACCTTCATGACTCAGCAGTCATTCTTTTTCCGGCAAAGGATATGAGTACCTATGGCTGGATGATCTCAGTCTCCCCTATCTTGAACTAGGCAAAGACATTTCTCCAAAGCAATTTTAAAAATAAAATTTGTTGTAGGCTTTTATTTTTTTGGAAATAAAAATAATACACTTTAATTTTGGAAAGTGTTGAAAAAAAAATCACACCCAGAAATGATCATTGTTGATATTCTTTTCAATCTTTTATTCTTAAAAATGCATATGTGTACAAATGTATATATGCTATATTAATGAAACCATACTATTTTGCAAACCCTCATTCAATACATTGTGAGATCTTTCTATGTCATTGGATATTATCCTAGAGCATTATTCTCATTAACTTTATTATATAAATATATACCATAATTTATTTAAATCAGTTCCATACTGTTACATATTTTGGTTGTTTCTAATTATTTGCTATTTCAAAAAATGTCTGTGCTTGTGTGATATTGCACCTATTTCATTATAAGAAAATCCCAAGTAGTGTAATTTCTTCATCAATAAATGTGGGAAATTTTTTATCGTTTTGATAAATAGAAGTAAATTGCTCTCAAGAAATGTTATACTGCCATTTCTTGGTGTAGAAGAATGACCATTCTTGTTGTTATTGTTCACTTTAACCTTTTTTATTTCAGTATTTTAATCTTCATACTTTTTCTGGAAACTGCTTTATATTAGTTTTCTGTTGTTGCTAAAACAAATGGCCACAAATTTCGTGGTTTTAAAAAACACAAATTTATTATCTTACAGATCTAGAAGCCAGAAGTCTGAAATGGGACTCACTTGGCTAAAATCAAGGTGTTTGGAGAGTTCTAGGGGAGAGTCCATTTTCTTGCTTTCTAGCTTCTAGAAGCTGCCGGCATTCCTTGGCTTGTGGCCCCCTTCCATCTTCAAAGCCCAGAATGGCCAGTGGAGATTTTCCCACATCACCTCTCTGGTTCTGTCTCCTCTGCCTCCCTGTTCCCCATTTACTGACCCTTGTGATTATATTGGGCCCACCTCATTAATCCAGGATAACTGCTCATCTCAAGGTCATCTAATCAGCAACCTTAGTTCCATCTGCAACCTCAGCTTCCCATTGTTAGATAACATAATATATCCCAGGTTCTGAAGATTAGCACATGCCCATCATTAGGTGGCCATTATCCTGTCTACTACATGTTTCATTTCTTGTATGGGAAAATACAACATAGCAAAGAATGTTTAATGGATTGGTACATGCAATTTGAATTCTGCATTTGCATTCTGTATATGTAGATATATGCATTGAATATAGGTCATTTTATGTGTTTTGTCCTTCTATGTGTATGGCTCTAGGAAAAACCATAAATTTACTTCTGTGCAATCTTTTCCATTAAAAATACCTCCTAAATCTGTAAAAATTTTAACAAGAGACTTGTGACATCAGCTGTATCAATCTCATTTGGATTGTTATACATGTTGATAAGCAGCAGTGAGAAGTGAACTTTAAAAAGGAAATCTTGAGAAAACTCTTATCATTAAAAGAAATTGTTACATTGATATAAACTTTAGCACTGAAAAAACAATGTTTTGGTTGTACTTTCATCGTTTTTCTTTCTGTCACTGATGCCCTGCAGGATTCCAGAATTCCTTCATTGCTTTTGGCATTGCTTTTTTGTCAAGATGCAAATAGGTTGCAAACAAACCAGTAGATTGAGCTTTGCCATAGCCCTTCTAATGGGTGTTTATTCAAACCCAAAGGTTTAGAAGGTGCATTGCTTCATGACTGTAAGTGATCTAAAAATAGTTGGGTAACCTTCCGTGCACAACTTAGGAACTTAGAGTTCATTCCTGTCATGTTCTGCTGAAACATATCAAGACCAGAGCACAGTGCCAAGAAATCTGAGTCTACCCAGATGAATTGGGTGTGAGACAGCCTGGAAAAATAAAAAGCCGCAATAAGGTTTAAAGTGAAGTGGATGGTAAATTTTTTCCCTTTAGAGTAAACTTAGATAAGGGCAGAAAGGGCATAAGGTAAACCACCATGACTTAGCTCCATCAAGAAGCACTCCAAAGCAAAAGAACAGCCCCAACACAGCTTTAGCACTTCTGGTTTCCAGAACACAGTTGGATGTAATGTCAACATCAAGGAACTGACAAAATGAAGCCTACTGGTGTGAAAGGAACATCCACCCCACTCCTTCTAAAGAAGCTTCTAAATATCAGTTGTCTAAACCTATTGATAAGCATGGATGCATTATTAATGAAGCCAGCAGCCTGCCTGGTGCTACTCAGATGGTTCAAGCATTTAGTAGGAAATATTTCTGTGAAGTTCTGCACAAAATAATGACCGCATCTGTCTTAAATCGAAACAAATGGCTGTTGCAAGCTCTGGGGAGGCTGGGAGCAAGCAGCTGCTTTGCAGAGAAAGGCAGAGGGCCACCACCTGCTGAAGACAGGCGAGCAGGCAGCGGCCACTGAATATTGACTACTTAATAATTCAGGATAACAGGAACCCCTGGCTCTTCAAACATGGCACTGCCCCTTCATCATGGGCTTTTCATCACCCTAATGAGTTACTCGATGAATTGGATGCTAAAATGTCTTCCAGCAATTCTCCAAAGTCTAGGACTCAAACTGCCACAATGAAAGGTTCTCCTTTGCAACAAAGGGTCCATGTTCTTATTTTATCTGTCTCTTCTTTTCTTTTTTTCTCTTTCTTCCTCCCTGTTACCCTCTCTTCCTTCATTCTCTCTTTCACTTTTTTTTACTTCCACCCTGCCATTTATGTCATGAGAATGCCAAGTAAAATATTAAGTTAGAAAAAAGCTTTAGAATCACCATTCTCCACAAGCTTCTGATACAGTAAATTTAAAAAACAACAAAACGATGCATGTTGGTCCAATTAGTTTTCTACCAGAAACATTTGAAGAAGTTCATGTGCTCATTGGAGCTTTTTCTTTGGAGCTTCCCATAGCCAAGCTTTCAGATGAATGCAACTTCCCTGTCATTTCACAAAGGAAGAGATAAACACTTGGGTTCAGCAGAATGATTTCAGCCAACAGGACCACCCTGAGCCACCTATGAAGCTGATTCTTGTGACTCATAAAGACCCAAACTACAATAGGGGATTTGAGATTTAATTGGTCACACAAAATGGCAACGTGGACAAAGTGATATTTTTATTGACTAGTTGAAAAACAGTTTTCTTGGTGTTCCTTCTCATTTGTTTAACGTGGACTTGTTGAATTCCACATGTCAGATATGAGGCTGGGTCCTGGGAATACAACAGTGATCAAGGCCCACAAGCCCTCTGCTCTCATGGGGTTTAGACACTTTTTGGGGATATGAAAATAACAAGAAAATAAACAAATATGCTTTTATATTTTATATATATTGTATATGAAATAGACAAATATATGTAAAATAACAAACAAATAATAAGAGCAACAATTACTGATTGTGTTAGGTGCCTTACAGGATATAAACAGAGTGCAAGGGAGAGAATAACGGTGTGAAAGGGAAGGGGCTACATAGATTTGAGTTGGGAATACAGTCTTGCTAAAGAGGTGAAATTTTAGCTGAGACCTAAAAAGTGAGAAGGAGCCAGCCATGGAAGAAGTTAGACGACAAGCATTCCATGCAGGAGGAAAATCAACTGTAGAGATTCTACACTGGAAGACTTACCAGAAAGCCATATGGTTGAAGCATAGTGAGTGAGCAGGAGAGGGCTTGAGATAAGGTTGGAAATGTTTGTCTTAAGTATATAGGACATTTCAGCATTACAGAATGTGACTTTCCCAGTATCCATTCTTCCCTCATTCCTTACTAACAAAGTCCTGATTTTATTCTAAACAGTAAAGCACCGAGATAAAATGACTATATTTCCTGGCTTATTTTTGCAGGTGAGGATGGTTATGCTATGTAAGTGGAAGACATTAAGACATTGGGTAGGATTTCTAGGAAATATTATTACAGGGACTGACTCAGCCAGAAGACATGACCTTTTGTCTTTCCCCTCCTTCCTCTTTTTCTTCCCTGGAATGTGGTTGTCAGGCTGGAGCTCCAGCAGCCATATTGGGCCCATAGGTCAACCTTGAGAATAGAAGCCACAACTAAGAGAGTAGAGCACAAAGACAGAAAAAGCAGAGTCCCCATTGACTGGTGTGCCCCCAAATTAGCCTATGAGTACCTTTCCTCCAACTTTCTTCACATGAGAAAAAAGTAAATCTCTATCTTATTCTAGACAGTTCAATTTGGATTCTTTCAAAAACACCACAACTGGTATTATTTTAGATTCTACCTTTTAGATTCAAATATTCGTTTTTGAAAGAGAGTAAAAAGTGATATATAGTTTACTAAGAGAGGAGATATTGCTAAGGTTTTTTTTTTCAAAAGGGGTGTTTTGAGAAGGATTTTTCAGTACTCGTACTCTGAAAAATATTTTCAGAGATGATTCACATACACATTCATTCATCCTTTTTAACATTCAAAATGAGACAACTTGAAAGATGATACAAGTAAAGGAATGAAAACTTCAAAATATTCAAAAAGCCAAGAGGGACTTTGTCAATGCAAAATTCCCACTCTCTTTCCAGTTTAAAATATCATTACTTTTCTACTATCCTTTTGGAATTAAGGTGAGTCATCTAATCATATTTATCTATTTCCAAAATCATTCAAAAAATTAGTTTTTTTTTCTTTTTTTCTTTTCTTTTTTTTTTTTTTTTGAGATGGAGTCTTACTCTGTTGCCCAGGCTGGAGTGCAATGGCACGATCTCGGCTCACTGCAAGCTCCGCCTCCCGGGTTCACGCCATTCTCCTGCCTCAGCCTCCTGTGTAGCTGGGACTACAGGCACCCACCACCACGCCTGGCTAATTTTTTGTATTTTTTTAGTAGAGATGGGGTTTCACTGTGTTAGCCAGGATGGTCTCGATCTCCTGACCTCATGATCCACCTGCCTCGGCCTCCCAAATTAAAAATTAGTTCTATAAAACATTTTTTGAATATCCATGGATTTTCTTGGCTATGTCTTCCTTCAGTTACTATTAAATGCCATATTCCCTTCTGAGACTCATTAATCCATGATGTCCCATCTGAAATATCATCATATTTACATTCCTACAGTATCATTCACATTAGTTGTGGTTGTTGACAAACTCTGGGTCCACATTTTCACCTAAATAAAAGTAAAAATGTAATGGGGGAAACTTAATTGCTTTCCTTGAGTTGCCACTAGGTACCAAATAGACATTGGAATTACTTTACAATTATCTAGCTTATTGTTACAGTCTAGTAAACAGCAATGGTATAGAAATTTCTATGAACATTTGGGTTTAGAAAATCATTGACTTATTTGTCAGTTTTTTTTAATAAGTGGAAATATCATGTGCCTAGTAAGTTATAACGTGTTTGTTGAAAGGAGGGGAAAAGGAGGTCATCAATTAGATATTATTTAAAAATGGAAAAAAAATTGTACTAAGAGAAATACCCCAAACAATCAGAAGCGTGGCTGTGAAGGAGACATACCTGGATACAACTAACCTTGCTGCAAACCAAGATGGGATTAATAAAATAGTACTGACATTCAAGGAGAAATTAATTCTAACTATGGAATCAGAGAAGGCTTTTGAGAGAAGGCAGCATTTGAGCTGGGTCTTAAAAAACAAGAAAGAATTGGAAAGTTTGTAGCATGTAAGGAAACCATTCCAGGCAGAACCCTGCTGGTGTGGAAATGCCTGGTAAATTTGAGAGAACAAGGAAGGATAGGTTCTCAGCTGCAGAAGATGGGGGAGGAGATCTGGCTTGGGACATACTACCTTCCCTTGGCTTGACTCTTGTTCTTCAAAGCCACATCTTATAAAGGGGAAATAAATACAACAGATAAATGCCTGAGTGACAATTAGCGAGATAGAATGAAAGGGGAAATAGAGTGCTATGTGTGAAAACAACCAAGGTTGGACCCTGCTCAAGCAAGCTGCCAGGCATTTCAGGTGACGTTGAAACTATGACCTGAAAGGATCTGGCCAGTTAACATTTGGGGAAAGAGCTTTCCAAGCAAAGGGAGCAGAGTGCGGTGTGTTTGAGGGACTGAAAACGTGTCTGAGATGAGTTGTGATAGAAGGTGAAGTCGTGGGAGTATATAG